>NC_000015.10:99427481-100065908 GCF_000001405.40 Homo sapiens
TCTCCCCGGATGGAGTTTGGCAGGTGGTCAGTTTTGCTGCGTGAATTGTAAGTGAAGAGTCTTTTAGCAACCACCTCCCCACTCTCTGCAGCCTCAACCTCACTGTTCTGTGCCCCTCCCGTCTTTCCTGCCTTGTACTATTTGGACTCCTTTCTCTAATCAAAATCTGCTCCCTGGAAGAATCAAAGAGCAGCCACTTATTTTCCTTAGGGCCAACATCTTCACTTGGTCATCATTCTACTGTAAGCTGGTGAATATAGCACCTGACATAGAGTAGGTGCTCAGTAAACTAGAAGGAAAGGAAAATGTGTTTTGAACGACTGGGTGGACGCATGGGTAGACGCGTGGGTGGACGCGTGGGTGGACGCGTGGGTGGACGCGTGGGTGGATGCATGGATGTCCATGTGAAGAGGCTCTCTTATGCAGAAAAGCTACTGAAAATGGATCGGATTAGATAAAAGTGGGAAGAAGGCTCTATCAGATGCTTCGCCTCTCTTACTGCCTGGGCATTACTCTTCGGGCTCTCACTTTCTTGCAAGTGGCAAGAAATAAAGCTGATGAGTATGTGAGGGGATGGGCAACCCGACTAGAGTGCTTCCGGTCACAGGCAGTAACATGCATGCAGTGTGAGCAGAGGTGGTCCAGTTCAGGCTGAGACACGGTGCAGCAATCCAGGGGGACCCGGGAATGCTGCAGGACCACGCCTCAGCGTCACTTGCAGGGTCCCAGATCCCTCCGATGGAATGGGAGTCAACACATCCCTGATCTAGCTGGTGACACCAGCCGTCCTTTACCTCCTGAGGCTCCACTTTATTCCTCTGATGAGGGACTATACTGATGCAAGATGGTTTCCAGGACCTCTTTGCCCCTTCGCTGACCCTTAGGTCTCATGGGTTATAATGGCAAAGGTGCTGGGACCCCGGGTTCTCTCCAGAGCTGTAAGCCATCTCCAAAGGAAAGCTGCAAGGAACATCTGTCCATCTATCTATACGTATATATATATATAGATAGATAGTTAGGCTGCGCGTGGTGGTGCATGCCTGTAATCCCAGCACTTTGGGAGGCCGAGGTGGGCAGATCACCTGAGGTCAGGAGTTCGAGGCCAGCCTGGCCAACATGGCGAAACCCCCTCTGTACTAAAAAAAAACCACAAAAGTTGGCCGGGTGCAGTGGTGTGCACATCTATCTATATATATACATACATATAGTTTGAAGTCTTTGGAGACCCTTGCTGTATGTGTGTATATACATGTGTGTATAGATATGGTCACATAACATATGTATATATCATATATGTACACATATATAATTTATACGTATACTTTTTTTTTAATAAGAAAATGTGTGAGTCACTGGGGTCTGAGTCCTTGTTCAAAAGATCAAAAGCAGACATGTGGTCTGCATGCCCATGCTCACTGCAGCACTATTCGAAAGTTACGGAATCAACCTAATCATCCAACAACGGTTGAATGGATAAAGTATGGTGTATACACACAGTGGTATACTATTCAGCTGTAAAAAAGAAAGAAGTTCTGTCATTTGTGACAAGATAGATGGAATTGGAGGACATTATGCTGAGTGAAATAAGCCAGGCACAGAAAGACAAATACCGCAGGTTCTCACTTGTATGTGGGATGGAAAACAATCAAACTTAAAGAGGCAGAGAGCAGAATGGTGCCAGAGGCTGTGGGAGAGCTGGTGAGGGGAGTGAGGAGATGACAGTCAAAGGGCACAGGGTCTCAGTTAGGCAGGAGCAATATATGTTTTGTTTTTGTTTTTAGGAAATGGGGTCTCGCTGTGTTGCGCGGGCTGGTCTCAATCTCCTGGGCTCAAAGGATCCTCCTGCGCTTGTCCTCCTGTAAGGCTGGGATTACAGGTGTGCACCATAAGTTTTCTTTTCTTTGAGATACATTGCACAGTGTGGTAAATATGTAAGTAATAATGTATTGTACATTCCAAAATCACCAGGAGAGTAAATTTCAAATGTCCTTACCACAACAAGTGATGAGTATGTGAGGGGATGGATATGTTAATTACTTGATTTAATTTTCTACGTTGTATTCATCAGTCATCACATCACTTTGTACCCATAAATACATACAACTGTAATTTATCAATTTAGAATTTTAAAAGTAAAATTTAAATGTAAAAAAGTGGACATCTCACATAGGAAGCTCTCAGGGGTGGCCCAGCCTCAGGATCTGGGCAGGCCTGGCCCTGAGCTCTGTGACATGTGATCTGCCTGCCATGTGGCTTTGGTGGGGACAGGAGGGGGAAGCAGGGGAGGAGGGGTCCTGCTTGGGTGTGGTCTGGTGCCTGAGAACTGGGCAGACCCATGGTGGGCCCCTGTGTGACTGCCTTCCTGGCCAGCCCCCAGGTGTTTGGGTGGCCAACGGACTACTCCTAGCCAGGGAGCACAGGTGACTTGTGACACTTCCCAGCAAGAGCTTCTGAATGCTGGTGTGAGAACGTCCACAGGGCTCCTTCCCTCTGAAATGGAAGCTGACAGTCTAAGATGGTGGCTTCCTGTCAACCCAGTCCTGGATAGATGACCACGATCAGTCTCCTGCCAACCACGACGGATGCTTACTGTGGGCAAGAAAGAAGCTTCTGTTGCTATCAGCCACAAAGACTTGGGGCTTGTGACCATTGCACCACCTAACCTATCCTGGCAGGGTCGAGGCCCAAATATTCCCAAAAATCCCAGAAAAACCACCTTATTTTTCTTCTTCCCATGTGCTGGCCCTCAGGTTCTTGGTGGCTGATCTGGGTTTCCTGGCCAAGCTTTTCAGCAACACTGCTGATGACCTGACGTGTTCCAGCACCTCCCCTGCTCCTCCCGCAGCCCCCCAGCCACTCACTCTGGGGGATCGCTGCAGATGCAATGTTTCTTGATAGGAGGGATGGTATGACTCCAAGCCAGGCTGAGGAATTGCAGTGAATGGGGGCCTCCAGGAAAGGCCTCCCCTGGAAGTGAGCCCCAGTTGGCATAAAAAGCTGTTTTCACCGGGTGCAGTGGCTCACACCTGTAATCCCAGCACTTTGGGAGGCTGAGGCGGGCGGATCACCTGAGGCCAGGAGTTCGAGACCAGCCTCAACATGGAGAAACCCTGTCTCTACTAAAGCTACAAAAGTAGCCGGGTGTGGTGGTGCATGCCTGTAATCCCAGCTACTCGGGAGGCTGAGGCAGGAGAATTGCTTGAACCTGAGAGGCAGAGGTTGTGGTGAGCTGAGATGGCGCCATTGCACTCCCGCCTGGGCAGCAGGAGCGAAACTCCATTTCAAAAAATAAATACATAAATATAAACAAAAATTTTAAAAGATAAAAAGTTGTTTTCACACTTGCCTTATGTTCTGCTGAGAGCTGATGTTCTCCTCTGGATGTGAAGCAGCCAGGGAGAAATCTCTCTCCCGGGAACGCAGTGTTAAGCAGGGAGCTGAGAGGTGCACGCATAACCTTGGCAGGCTCGGCTCTGCCTCCTGGGCGTCTGCAGCCCACGTGCATGCCTGGCACACCCAGCGTGGACGCACCCTAAGTGGCCCTGGGGCAGAGCGGACCACAAAACGCACAGCCTTCAGCTCCGGCAGTGGCAGGTTCAATGGGGAGGTGGTTTTTAAAAACCTCCTGCTTATCGATTTCTGCGTGGTGAGGGAAACTTCAGCCGGCCTTTCCGTGGAGAGAAGCTGAAAACCGACCCTGCTTTGTCCGCATCTATTTCCTGCCGGCTCTCAGCAGCGTGACCAGCTACCTCTGCTGGTGGCGTGACCTTGGGTGTGTCACCTCACTGCCGGCTCTCAGTTGCTCCCTCATCCCTGTCATCACCAACATTTCCTGGAGCCCACCATGGGCCACACATGGACTCCACGTCTCACATGAAGTTGCTCTTTAAATGCCCACAGAACCACCCTGGGTAGGTACAACTCTCCTCCATTCCCATTTTTCCAGACGAGGCGATTGGCACACAAAGAGGTTAGGAAATGTAACGGAGGTCACCCAGGGGTGGCGTCGGATGAGAGAGAGCTCAGCCCAGTGCCCACCTCTGGGGACTGACCACCCAGACGTGTATTGCCAAGACCCACTCCCCTTCTGATTGGAGTCACTTTTTCCTCCGTGCGCTGCCCGTGCCCACTTGCCCTGGCGTCTATGAACACATCGTTCCCTTCTCTTCCCCATGGGGACAGCACAAGGATGCTGGTGGCTGGCTGTGCCCCCAGCCATGTGAAGACCTGATAGGCCGGCCTCCCTGCGGGGTTCAGGACCTGGCCTGCCGTTGGGCCTGTCACAAGAGAAGCCATGGCTGGTGAGGAGGGTCACTGGCCCGCCTGAGCGAGGCACGGGGACCAGCCTGAGGCAGCAGCGGAAGGCAGGGCTGGCCTTTTCTCCAGTGGTCATCCCTGCACCCCACAGAGAACCTTGGTACCAACATGACCCCGCGTGGCAGCCCCCGGAGGTGTGGTGAGCAACCACCAGGGCCAGAACCCCAGCTGGTGCGGGGAGACAGGCTGCCGCCCCTCCAGAGGCCTAGATCAAGCAAAGGTGACATACCAGGGAGGAGTCAGGCCCCTACGGGAGAGGTTGGGAGGGTCTCTGATCTAGAGAGCACAAGCAGGAGGAGCAGGCATGGGGCCTTGCCCAGCTCTCGGCAGTCCTTCTCTGTTGCCCATATGGGGTAATGTCGAGACCCAACCAAAGATTCCAGCAACATCAGTTTGACCTGGGGTAAGGGGTTCTTCATTCCAGACCCTCAGGGTCTCTTCCTTTGGAATGGAATGGGGATGTAGTGGGGAGGGTGCCCTGTCAGGGGGTGCTGCTGAGCACAGGGTAAAGATGTGCAGGTGTCTGGCCTGCATCTTTCATCAGCCCCCACAGCAGGAAGGAGACCCACAGCGGGATCCTGATGGGGGACACGCCCACACCCGTCCTTCAAGGCTGGCCCTGATGGCGAGCTCACAGCTCCTCCCAAGTCCTGTCTGAGCCCTGTCATGTCCATCCAGGTCCTCCAGTGAGCAGACCCCAAGCCAGGAGGAGAGGGGCAAGAGATCCGTTGGGGGAAGCACCTGTGGCAGATGGGGAGACAGCCTCGAGCCAGGATGCAGGTCTGAACCTGGGACAGGGAGAGAGGGAAGGGGGATTGGGTAGGAGGACGTGCGTACCCAGGGAAGCCCTGAGAAAGCCGTGCTGCTAGGCTGATGAGAAGCCCCAGAGAGAGGCCTGCATACAGGGCAGTTGGTGGGTCAGGAATGGCCTGGTTCTAGGGACTAGTGCCTGCACCGTATCCAGTCACTGGCTGGAGTGGCTGGGGAAGGAGCGGTCTCTGTGTGAGCAGTGACTCCCGTTGGGGCAGCAGTGGGCAGCTGAGCCTTTTTGGGGCAGCAGTGGGCAGCTGAGCCTTGCTCCAGCATGTTCTTTGAGGAGATCCCATAATTCCCATTGGTTTCTGGGGCCCCCTTTCCCCAGAGGCCCCCAGACCTCCTAGCCCCCCACGCCCTCTGCCTGTGGACCCCTCACCCGAGCGGACTGCCATCCCCTCTGGTCCTGTCTGGCAGGCAGCTCCTGCTGCCGGGCCTGGGACCCACCTGCCAGGTGCTCCTTCTGCCCTCCAGCTGCCCAGAGAGGGGCACCCAGAAGCATGTGCAGCCTTGGTTCACAGGGAGTCCTGTGTGGGGCAGAAATGGCCCCCTGTGGGTGAGCTGGGACAGGAAAAGGCCGTGGAGATGAGGAAGGGACCCTGAAGACAGACCTGGCCTCGGCCACACTCATGCTTGGAGCTGGCTTGAGCCCTGTGGGGTGGGGTCAGATGGAGCCCAGATGCTGGCTGGAGGGTCCAGGTGAGCATGTGCCAGGCACAGGGGCAGCCTGGCCGGTTCTCAAGGGACCACGGGCAGCCGGACATAGCTGTCCCCGCCACAGCTGGGCCCAGCTTTTGAGAACAGTGACAGGAAACAGAGGCCTGGATGGGCAGGGCCCTCACTGGACACAGGCCTACCTCCTGGGAAGGAGGCCTGCGTTTGAGAAATCCCCTCGGCCTGGGAGGGTGGAGAGACAACACCCTGCGTGGGTGTTCGGCCTTCGGCAGCACCACGCCCTCCCACCCCCAGAGCTATTTCTGCAGCTTCCTGGCTTGGTTCCTCTTGCCCCACCCCCACCTCTGTCCCAGGTGAGACCTGCTGGGAGCAGAGGCCCTGGAGCCACATTGGGGCAGGGCCTGGGGAAGGGGGACACCCCCTGTGGAACAGCACGGACAAGGGGCCATTGCCAAGTCACAGCCAGGTTTAACCCCTAGGATTCCAGTTAAAATGGAAAATTTGGACTCAATCTGCCTCTCCCCGCTGAGCAGAACCTGGGGGGGCTCCAGCCTGTGGGCTCTGGGGGTTTCTTGGTAACTTCTCCTACGGCAGGGATGCCACAGAGCTTCGAGGGCAGATGCCACGTGTGGCTGCTCCTGTTGGCTGGAGGGGACAGGAACCTGTGACAGTGTCCTCTTTCTTCCCCAAGAGCAGAGCCGAGGACCAGGAGGTGCCACAACACCAAGGGGACAGGCCCCGCAGAACGCTGTGGGGAGGAAGACATGACGCGACAGCCTCAAAGCACCCGGCAGAGCTCTCGCCTCCTTCCCTGTGATTGCCAGTGTCCAGATGCGCAGTCGGTCAGCCCTGGGACTGCCCGAGTGTTGCCTGCACTCGGCAGCCGTGACCCAGAGCTCAGCTACGCAGCACAGGAAAAACAGGGCTGTCGTGGAGGAATTTGTGTTCTCATCACACATTCAGAAATTAATTTTTTTTAAGAACTTATACTTTTGGGCTCTTATAAACAATCCGTCTTCTAAAAGTCCGCCTGGGACAGGCTGGATAGCCTCATGGCCACCTATTTAAGTAAACTCCCCATCTCCATCATCACCCAGGCTCCTCTCTGCTCCTGCTTCCTTTTTTCTCCTAGCTTGCATTGTCAGTAACACAGTCCGGATTTGACTTATTTACCTTGTTGTCGTCTCTTCCTACCCTGACTCCCAGTAGAACAGAAGCTCGAGGAGGCGTGATGTTGCCTGTTGTTTACTCTGTATCCTCAGAACTTGAACTGTGCCTGACATGCCATAGGCACTCGATAAATGTTTCTGGAATGAACAAAAAGGATGCTTTCTTCAGAACACGGTGACGCTTTCCCAGCAGGGCTGGAAGGGCGGACGCTGGCATCCCCGTCGCTCCTAGAAGCCCCCCTGACAGGGTCTGCCCTGGGCTAGAAGCCGGTGCACCTCCCTTTCGGGTCCTTACCACAACCTGGGACATCTTGAGACTGGACCCCTAGATTGGTGGCAGGACCTGCTCCGAGCTGCCCAGCGAGACCTGGGCAAGCCGCCCCCACCAGCCCGGGGCTCCCGACCTCCTCTGTGCTCGTCCCTGCGCCCTCACGCCTCACCTGGGAGCTGATGAGACACACAAAAGCTCCAGCCCCACCCCGGACCTGCAGGGACCAGGGGATGCATTTGAACCAGGGATCCAGGTCAAACAAGTGCACATTGCAGTTTCCCATGCAATGCCCTGCCCACAAACGCCCCCTTCTCCCAAGCAAAGTGGAGGGCTTTGCTGAAGCCATCTCGATTCTTCCTCCCTGCAGCTACTAAAACACGCAGCGCTGGCAGCTGAGGGGCGCGGGCCTTAGCATTACCGCAGAAACTGTGAAGGGCAAACCTGGTAATTAGCCGGGGAGAGTGGGGAGGTGAGGCAGGCACAATGGGAAGGCGGGGAACGGCAGCTGTAATTGCAGGGTGTGCCAGCCCTGGGGACGCGCAGGGGGAGGGCATTAAGACGTGGAGGCAACCACCTATGTGTGAGCTCCCGTCGGGTGGGGGCCCACAGGGGCCGGCAAGGGAGGAGCGGGGTGACAGGATGCGAGGGAGATGTGAGTCCAGCCACCTCGAGCCTGAACGCAGCCTGCCCAGGTGTGCAGGCGGAGCCTCCCTCACTGTCCCCACCCTCGCTGGGTGACACCCAAGGGACGCTGCCCCAGGCTTCTTGGCCACTGGAGGGTGAGGCTTCCTGGAAGCTGTTTCCCTGTTTGCTGCATCTGAATTGGATCCAGAGAGTTCTAAGTCGTCAGAGTGAATTTCACACTGAGGCTCCCTGGCACCCTGGGGCTTCATGGCAGGGTGTGGAGGCAGCTTGCAGGGCAAAGAGGAGGCCAACCTGGTGGGCTTCCTGCCCCTGGCCTGACCCCTCCATCCCACACACCCTGACTTCAGCCAGGCAGCGCTGCTTCTGTTTTATATTGAAATTTCTGAATGAGATTTCATTTCAGGAATGAGGTCTCGTTACTTTAAAAAAGAGAGCAAGAAAGGAATTGATTCATCTGCTGTCTCATTTTATAGATGAGGAGGGAAGCAGCGTGCCCAGAGATACTTGGGTAAGAAGAGGCAAGTTCCGTTCTCCTTCTACTTCCTGGCTCCAGAGAAGGAAATGGCACATTTAGGGAGGACTCTGTCTCCTTGGGCAGATTCCCAGATTCCAGGGCATTTTTATTGTCCTAGAAAAATGATGCGGAAGCTGAGAATCAGGATACTTCGCTCCCTAGAAGACACACAGAGGTTTGAGAGGGAGCTGGGCTTGGCACCCAGGTTTGTGGGGAGCATTGGACCATTTGGAGTCCAGGGTGACATCACCCCACCCCTGCCAGCCCCTTCTGCTCTATCCTCAGCTCCGCTTTGTCCACTGCCAATCAGTCATTGCAGGGACAGGCGTCGTGCAGGGGGTGGAGCCCCCAGCAGCCCCAATGCTGCCCTCCTTGGCCCCAGAGTCCAGCAAGACTGGGCACAAAAGCATATTTGATTTCACCCATGGGAGGGCTTCAAAGGAAAGGGAAACCAGTTGGGGCCAGAAAGGGCTGAAACCTCCTGAGAGCTGCCACTCCCTCCTGCCCCCTGCCCCTGGGACCCCTACACCATCTCAAGCCCGTGAGATCTGATCCTCCCCTCATGTTCCATGATGAGACCCACTGCATCCCAGGCGCCTCCCCCGAACCCTCAGCCACCAGGCATGCTGACTTCTTTCACTCCCCCTCCCCGGCCAGGGCAGGTGCCCCCCGACCCTCCACAGAGGACCCAGTTCTGCCTGCAGAGAGATTCTCCTGCGCAAGCCCCACATTCGCTCTCCTGCGCCCGTGGGGGGCCCTGACAGCCCCTCTGTGGGGTGTGGACCTGGGTAGGAGGAGCCCCTGATGCTAATCTGAGTGTGACCTCGAGGTGACGGAACTTTTCTGGTTCTCCCTTTCCTCACACGTAAAACCAGAAGACGGTGCTGGAAGAAAGGTGACCCCCAGCCTGACTTCTGTGACCCCTGCTGTCCAGGGTTCCATCAGCATTTCTCAGCGACCGGACATTGCTGCACTGGATGCGGGGGAGTGGGGTGGGGCGCTGTGCCTAGTGACCCATGGGCCAGGGCCATGTCCCACGGCCACCTTTGTAGATGTTGCCAAGTCATATGCCAAGTGGGGACACTGCCCTGGGGTTGGCTCAGCATCCCTCCTCCCCTCTGTCCAGCACCCTTGCCTCTGGGGACTGTCTTCTGCCCCCCATGTACTTCTGGGGGTCTGCCAGGCCCAGCTGCCCCCGGCCTCATGCAGCGTGGGCGCATATGAAGAGAGCCCTTCCCTCCCTGGCACTAGGCTGAGAGGGTTGGCTCTGGAAGTCAAATGGAATGTCCCTTACTCCTGGGAAAGCTTGTCCAACACCGGAGAGTAAGGTCCACAGGCAAGCAAGGGTGGTGCTAAGTGAGAGACAGAGCACAGCCCCTCCACGATGGCGCGTCCCTGGGCCTCTGTAGCCTGCACTGGCTCTTGGCAGGGGCACTCTGGCCCTCCTTGCTGTCCGTGACCCAGCTCTCCCTGCCCGACCTCTCCCTGTATCCCTCCTCTCTGTGTCTGCCCAGGATGACTGACTGCCTGGTAGGGAGAGCAGCAGCTGTTGGCTTTTCCCATGTTCCCTACCTGGAGCATTCAGCACCACACCAGGGATCAGGCTGCAGTGTAGCCTGGGCATCAGGCAGCCAGGGCAAGAACCGAGGCTGGGGGAGAGGAGTCTGTCTGGGGTGCAGAGCTGGTGAGGAAAGCGGCTCCAACCCTATCTGGGGAGGCCGCCTGCTCCAGCCTGGGAGGATTGGGGCCCAGCACACTGGGGGTCTCAGCCCTCCAGGGACCCAGGACCCAGGACCCAGGGAGGGAGATGAGGTCAGCGCTGAGCAAAGGCCCGTAACACGAGGCAGGAGGATGTCGGCACCCGAGAGACCTGACAGCCACTGGTGACTCAGGGGGATTGGCTGGGCTGCCTGCAGGTTCCCCTGGGCACTCTCGCCCCTGTGGACCCCCTTCTGATCCCTGGTTCCTGGGCTATGCTGTGCTCCTGCGGGCCCCTCGGCAGGGCTTCCCTATTCCCTCCAGCTTTCTGTTTCCATGCAGAAAGTTCCCGAAGCCTGGACCAGGAGGGCTCAGCGCCAGGCTGAAGGAAACAAGGCAAGGGCCACACCAGCCTGTCCGCCCTTCCCGGGTTTTAAAGTCTGGTGCCTGGAGAAACATCAACCTTTGACTTTAGCCACGTGCGATTGCTTTTCCGCCGGAATAATTAGCAGTATCCAACCCTGAAGCCTAGACACTTTTTCCTGAATCATCCTGGGCCTCAGGACAGCTGGAAGGGCCGAGTGGCTCACACAGCCTTTCATGCCGCCCTCCTGCTGGTCCACATGGGGACTGAAGTCACACTGGCCAAGTGGGCTGGATGACAATATTTTATTTTAAGACCCAGATTTCCAGCCAGCTACCCCAGCTGTGTTATGACCCTCTCTGTTCACACAGGTTGAAAGGGAGATGGCAGGCAGCATCCTGTTTTGGGGGTGGGGAGAGGGCAGCGGCACCACCCTTTCCCTGGACTCCCCTATTCCCTGACACCAGCATGAAAGCAGACCCCTCATTATCCCCCGGCCAGGGCAGCCCAAGACCCAGCGTCACCGGGCCCAGGCGGTGGGTCCTCCGGCCAGGACGGGGGTCGGGGGAGGCTCCTGTCTCCCAATACCCCCACTGGCTTCCGAGAAGGTGCAAATAACGAGCGAAAGGAGGGAAGGGGGGAGGCACCCAAAATAAAGGCCTCTGAGGATGAAAGCCCGAACCCAGTCTTTCCACGGAAAAAAGGACTTCCATTTGTTCTTGGGTAGAGTTTAAAGAAGAACAGAGTATTGTCATCACGAAACGGTTTCATTTCAAGCCTTGACTTTGGGGGGTTTGTTCTGGTTTTGTACTTTCTCTCCTCCCTGTGGCTGCCGCACATGAAAGGCTGGGGTCAGGCCCCGCACGGGGGTGGGAAGCAGGGCTGTGCGTTTTGCTTTCATTTCCCCGAGAACAGCAGGAAGCTCATTCCACCTGGAGATGTCTGGCTGTCTCCTTCCGGCCAGTCCCAGACTTTGCTGAGAATAATTCCTTCTTGAAAAAAAAACATAACAATTCCCATTAAATGTTTCAAATTGCCCACACCAAACTCAAAGCTCAGAGTGAGGGCTTTGAAGGCTTTTCACGGAACAAAAATAAAACCTTCGCAGCCTTGGAGAGATGTGGCTGAAATAACCCCCGGGTATGTGAAATGAGCCTGAGGTATGTGAGTGGCCAAACAGCAGCCCTGGTACCCGAGGAGGGAAAGGTTTGATGAACAAACGGAAGAAATGAGGATCGTGGCTGGAAGAGGCGCTGCTCCCAGGGGTTTCACAGATTTTTGTGATTTGATCCAACGTTGGGTGATTAGCTCCACTAATGAGGGAAACAGATAATCCCAAACAATGACTAATCCGTCCAGTGACCTATCCCCCTCCGGCCTTCCATCAAGATGGCTGGGGAGAAGGGGACCAGCCCAGGCAGAAACCCTCGCCGAGGTCTTTGAGGTCGTTCTGAGCTCAGTCTAAACGCAGCCATACTCAGATTCAATTAACGCACTTAGTAAACATTTATTGAGCACCTACTATATGCCAGGCATTGTTCTAAGTGCTGGAGACACAGCAGTCGACAGAATGACAAAGATCCCTGGACATCTCGGCTGCGTGGTCCTACAAACCCAGAAGGAGCATGTGACGGTTCTCCGGGGCCACCTTCTCCAGCTGGACCAAGCACATAAATCATCTGGGGCCTTGTGAGGAGCAGCCTCTGATCAGGGTCTGAGGAGGGGCCTGGGGCTCTGCATTTCTGACAAACTCCCGGGCGGTGTCATGGCTGCTGGCCCAGCTGCCTGAGTTCCATCCCAGCTCCGTCACCCACTATGTCAGCGTGGGCAAGCTTTTTAAATGCATTCGCCTCCATTTTCTCATCTACAAAATAGAGCTTCAAATAGAGCCCACCTCACAGAAATGTAGTAGGGATATACATTTTCTTTTTTTTTCTTTTTTTTTTTGCCTAAGCCCGCTTGCACTGGGTTTTCCATCCCTCA
This sequence comes from Homo sapiens, assembly GCF_000001405.40. Taxonomy (NCBI): domain Eukaryota; kingdom Metazoa; phylum Chordata; class Mammalia; order Primates; family Hominidae; genus Homo; species Homo sapiens. Next base: position 99,439,931 of record NC_000015.10, read on the forward strand.
CAGGGTCTGTGGATGCATCTTTGTATCTTGCTCTTGCTCTGAATTTCCCCGTCTTTCCTGCCAAGCCACCACATACCCTTGATTCAAAAGGCTCCTTTCAGACCTGAGAGGGTGGAAGGGTGCACAGCTTTCTCCTCAAACTTTGCCACTTGGGGTGGCTGAGCATGGAGACAGGAGTGAAGGGCTTCTCCATAGAGCTGCGGCTGGAGAATCTCATCCTGCACAGCCTTTTAGCAGCGGGGGGACTGAGCGGACTGCAGTCCCCATATCACCCGGGGACCACGGAGATCATCTGGAAAGATGGACTAGCCAAGAGTTACTCAGCACTCTGGATCTGCGGTCAGACTCCCCAGGTGCGACTCTTGGCTCCTCCGCTCAAGACCTGGGTGACCTTAGGCAAGGGACTTAACCTCCCTACTCCTCTTCCTGTCCAGTAAGGTGGACAGGTCAAGGTGGTCCCGACTTCTAGACTTGGTTGTTCCTCCATTTCTCTGCTTTCTTGTGATCCAATTTGGAAGCAGGCCCACAACGAACATGGTGGGGAGGCATCTGTTCCAGGCAGGTGGCATTTTACCTTGGGGCTTCACACTCCCCAGTGGGTGAGTTAGTGGTTTAGATGCCACTAGTGGTGGTCACACTGATAGGTCATGGAGACTGACGCCAACCTGGGTTCCAGCAAGGGGTTCGAATGTCTTAATGACATTCCAAAGCTCTTCCAAAGCTGAAAGACTGAAAATGAACCTGACACTGTGAGACCCACAGGGCAGGGCAGGGAACATGCCCAGTGAAGCCCGAACCCCTTCATCTGGGTGGTGACCAGCCTGAGCACTTGAGTGTGAGTCAGGCTCAGGCAGCCGCGGCGGCAACTCACAGCCTTCGGCAACCCCTGCCACCCACCACACCTTCCTGGTGTAAGCAGGAGGCCTTGGTCTCAGGGAGAATCTCATCTACCACCTACTGGGTGGATAACTATAAAGCGACTAGGCAATTTGCTTAAGCCCGCTGGGTCTCAGGTGTTTCATGTATAACATGAGAACATTGGAATCATGGTTTCTAAGGATGCTTGGCTTCATGCCAGGTGGGACGACAGCGACTCCAGCAGAACAACGGTCTGCAGTGTCACTGTAGCGGGGTGGGGGGGCTCACCCAGTACATCCCCACCCGGAACCTGTGTGGAGGCTTCCTCCTCTACAGCAACGCCATGCAATATATGGGACATACTTTACAAACAATCATTGTTTATCTGATATTCGGTTTTAACTGAGTGTCTTCCACTTTATCTGTCAACCCTACCCCCTGACTCCATGCTCCACTTTGCTCTCCCACCCAAAGCCTCCCAGCCTCCCTGAAGTCTGGCTCACCTTGCGGCCTGCCCCAGCTCCGATGCCCCTCCTCAGTTGGGGGAAGAGGATGTTCCGTCTCCTGTCTATACTAAGTACAAACTACGTTTATCTCCAGCTTCTTTTTTGATTTGCAAAAGGCTATCTTGGATTTTGTTGTTGTTAAGCACAGTGCCTGTTTTTTGCTTTTTTTTCATTCCCACAATCACTTTCCTTCTCCTGAAAGCAATGTGGGTGTGAGGACTTTGGGAAAGGAAGAGCTCAAGGATGGATCCTTCGAGACGCTGTCTCTAAGCGCAGGGAGCCGAGGAGGCTGCCACTACTGGGGCAGAGGGTGGGGAACGGAATCCCTCTGGGAACTCAAGGGTGTGGACGAGGTTTAACTGTTCTAAGGGCATCTTGTTTGGAGCCCAGCTGTATGCATTGATGAGGCCCATTTAAATATTTTAAATAATTAGTAAATTCCTTTTTGCAATAGGAAATGCTTGTATTTTTTTTTTAACTCAAATGGCACAAAATGGCATTGAGTGAAGCCTCATTCTTTCCCATCCCCAAGCTTTTTCTCTACTCCCTGAAGACCAACTTGACGACAGAGGCAAATTGTGCACTCTGGGACATATTCGTCCCTTTTGGTTGGGTGTGTTTTGGGCACAGGCAGTAGCTGTGCAATGTGCACGGTTCGGCATCCTGCTTCCCCCTCACTCTCCTATGCTGGAGAGCATTGTAAACCCACCCCATCTGCAGTTGCCTTTAGGTGGGTCACCACATGCAGTGGGGGATGTAGTCTCAGCACCTGTGCTGGGGCTCAGAGAAAGGACCTGGCACCAGACATCCATGAAACACTTGGATAGCCCCTGGGAATGCCACCCTCCTCCTGGAACAGTTGGTCCAGATTGCTGATTAATGTTTACCAGAACAATTTAAAACTCAACTTTGCATTCAAAAGAGAGCCCAATGCTATACCAGAGGCAAAGCTTTGTGATCGCATCTGAGCTTTGTTGACGTGCTTAGAGCTGTTTGTACACACTTTTAATTGGTATATATACACCGACTTTTGTTTTGCTCCCTTTAATGCCACTGCTCATAAACACTTCCCTGTACTAACATAAGATCATATCTTTTTGATTTGCAATGGAAAAACTGTGTCACTATTTTTTCCACCACTCAAGCATCTATGGACTTGATCTTTTTGCCAGAGTTCTCTGGCTGGCGTTTGAATACAAAAAAGAATGTGAGCTATGTCATCTGAAAACTGCTGATTAACTCTTAAAATTTCTCAGCTCTCATTTGCTCCACATGTAAAGATTAAAAGCAATAATAGTCATGTGATTGCCTTCTTCTGCTTCAGAACACTCCACCCCCACCCCATCTTCTCCACACATGCCATTCCTTGCAGGCTTCTGGCAGTGGAAAGGATTAGTCAACTATGTCAAAGGCCAGGAGCCAAACATCACGCCCCGCGCTAGCCAGGAAAACCCTCCCCTCCCAAGCCGTGCCCTCTCCCTGCCAGCCCCAACACCCCAGGCACCTGGTACAAAATCATTGAGCCGAGAGTGGGTGCTTCGGTGGCTAACTCTCCCCTTCGCAGCATTCACGGAAATACTCACGGGACCACGCTGGAAAAGAGCATACGGGGTTTCCCCTTGAAGGGTGATGAGGCTGAGTCTCCTTAAAGACAGGATTGCCATTGCAAATGTTACGGCAAAGATGAATTTTGAGCTCGGTGCAGACATAGGTAACCAAAGACGTGATATCACCACATGTACTGGTGTTGGAGAGCAGTCACCCAATCAGAAAACATGACAATGGATGGGCTGGTGCTGGACCCTGGAGCCCACTTCAGGGTGGGGTGAAGCTGTTAACCTTCGAGATGCTGGGTCCCCTGGGGGCTCTGGAGAAAGGCTAGGTCAGCCAACCATGGGGGCACAGCAGTGGGTACTGGGCCATAGTCTGGAAAGATGGCAGGGTCCTCATAACCAGCGCAGCCATCACTGGGAGTACTGGCTAAACACTAGCGCCTGGAGTGAGGGAAGTGCGGGGCTCCCGTGGGTGGCTCCACCTTCTTTCCATGCACCTGCCCTGAGGCTGCCCTCAGCAATCCTTATATCCTGCAGAGAGACCTAATTCCACAACAGGTTAGTATAAAAGGGGTAGAGTACTGTTTGGGGAGCCAGGAGAGACGTGGTCCAGCACAGGGCAGGAGCATAGCAATTCCTCAGGAGCTGTGCCCATTTTTTTCTGTTTGTTTGTTTTGTTTTGTCTTTTCCTGAAACGGAGTCTCACTATGTTGCCCAGGCTGGAGTGCAGTGGTGCGATCTCAGCTCACTGCAATCTCCGCCTCCTGGGTTCAAATGATTCTCCTGCCTCAGCCTCCTGAGTAGCTGGGATTACAGGCACCCACCACCATGCCTGGCTAATTTTTATTTTTTGTATTTTTAATAGAGATGGGGTTTTGCCATGTTGGTCAAGCTGGTCTCGAACTACTGACCTCAGGTGATCCACCCGGCTCGGTCTCCCAAAGTGCTGGGATTGCAGGTGTGAGCCACTGCGCCCAGCCAGGAGCCGTGCCCGCTCTTTCCCAAACAGCTGCCCAGCCTACCCCTCCTCTCCTCCACGCGGCCTCTCAAGACCTTGCTGGAGGTCCTGGGCAGCTCAGCTCTGACACACGTGACTGTTTCGGTCATGGTTCACACTGGGCAGTCTGAATGTGAAATTAGGGTGATTGACAATCACGCCAGGTGCCACCCTAGCAAACCACGAACTTCTGTCTCCCTCGCTCTGACTTATAAACCCTCCTTGGCACAAGAAAAGCCAGTGGTTTGCTAAATAGAGAGCCATTATTCCCTCCAAGCATTCTCCTTGGAGACAAGAACAAGTTTCTCCCTATGGGTCAATTCAGCTGCAGAGAAAATACTTTCTAGTCTTCCATGTATATAGTCAGAAGGAAGAAAGGAAATAGGCACATAAATAAATGCACATTTTGTGGGCAGTCTTTTTGTGCCAGGAAATAACATGTTCAATGTTATTTAACTTAAGCCACACAGGTCTGTAAGAAAGGTGGGGTTTCCCCCTGCCGTTTTTGTTTTTTTTTGTTTTTTTTTTTTGAGACAGAGTCTCACTCTGTCATCCAGGCTGGAGTACAGTGGCTCTGTCTTGGCTCACTGCAACCACCACTTCCCAGGTTCAAGTGATTATCCTGCCTCAGCCTCCCAAGTAGCTGGGATTACAGGCACCTGCCACCAGGCCTGGCTAATTTTTGTGTTTTTAGTAGAGACACGGTTTCACCATGTTGGCCAGGCTGGTCTCGAACTGCTGACCTCAAGTGACCCACCTGCCTCGACCTCCCCAAGTGCTGGGATTACAAGCATGAGCTACCATGCCCAGCGGTTTTCCCCGTTTTACGGATGAGGAAATTGAGACTCAGAGAGGTTCCCAACTGGTGGGTGGTAGGGTCAGAATTTTAACCAGCCAGTCAGCTTGTCTGACATTATGTTCCAAACTTTTCAGAGAACAAATCACCCATATCTCTAAAAGGCAAGACACAAGGTATACTCAGAAGGCCATTTACCCTTCAAATGAGGACTCAACTTGAGGCTGGAGACATATGGCCCCTTCCTTCACAGCATTTTTCTGTTTTACTTTGGACCTTTTTGACATTTTTCATCAGTGGGCTGCTGCTGACTGGTTTTGATAGGCACATTTTTATTTACATGCAAATTCTCAGCAAGCAGCTCACATGTAAATACTATACTAATTATTAAACTTGTATGGCTCATCAGAATGCTGCATCCTAATTGGCTGCAAGATTGTCGATAACCGACAGTAGCCTGATTTGGAGCCTTACCAGTTTTCACATCTGCATAATAAAAGGGAACAGGAGGTTGAGAGTGTATACCTATTTTATATGTGTTTCTTCAAGGTCAAATAATCTTTTATTTCCTTCCCAATCTACATATTCATAAAGACCTTTGTGCAATTAATGAGACGGAAGATTAAATGGTTGCAGATTAAGAACAAACCCTACTATTCTAATTAGAGTAAAAGTTACTTAGTCAATCAGATTAGAATTCCAGATTCAAACTAGCAAACACCGAGGCATAATAACGCCAGCACACACCGTCCCCCTGACTGAACTGGTAGCTGACACACAGCTAGTGCAGCCGGGCAGGAAAGCCATGAGCCCTGGGAATTCTTTTTGCCTTTGCAAAGACCCTTCTAAGTGCCGCCAATGGTGGAAAAATTGAGAGTAGGGGATGGAATCTCATCTCATCACATCACATCACAACAAGGCAACATTGTTTGGCCCCATTGGGGTTACAAGAAGAAAGAGTCTGCCCACATCAATTGGTTTGTGATTTTCCCCAGAGTCCTCTTTGGGGAACGTTAAGGAGTTTTGGCAAACAATGAGTACTTATGGATGAGGTCTTGGGGCACTGGGGCTGGGTACAGAGATTTAAGATTCGGTCCCTTCTGTAAGGGAGCTTGCAGTTTCCTTTGGGACATCAAGACCTGTACATCTGGAGATGATTTTGAACGAGGTCTTCACTTGGGCTCCACAGACGGCCGGAGCAGTGTTTCTGGTTGTTGCTCTTGTTGTTTTGTGTTGTTTTGTTTTGTTTTGTGATGGCGTCTTGCTCCGTCATGCAGGCTGGAGTGCGGTGGCACCATCTCGGCTCACTGCAACCTCTGCCTCTTGGGTTCAAGTGATTCTCCTGCCTCAGCTTCCCAAGTAGCTGGGATTACGGGAGCGCACCATCAAGCCTGGCTATTTTTTTTGTATTTTTTTACCAGAGATGGGTTTTTGCCATGTTGGCCAGGCTGGTCTTGAACCTCAGGTGATCCCCCCACCTCGGCCTCCCAAAGTGCCAGGATTACAGGTGTGAGCCGTGGCGCTTGGCCACGGAGCAGTGTTTCTTGAAGTACGGGTCTAGAACAAGCATCTAAACAACTTCAGGCCAAAATGCAGATTCCCTGTCACCCCAGACCAGCTGGTAAAGCTGGAACATCTGTATTTTTGACAAGCCCCTGATGATTCTGATGCACATTGAAGTTTAGAAACCACTGGCTTGAAGAGTCCCTGAATGGACTTCAGCGAATCCACAGACGCCCTGACATTGCAGACATTTTATATTTTATGTACATTTTTCTAGAAAGAGGTCCATAGCTTCCATCAGGTTCTCAAAAAGTGTCCATGCTCCAGAAAAAGGTTAATATCCCTAGAATAGCAGAAAGGGATTAGGAGAGGGGAATCCAGCAAACCAGCAGACACTGGCCACATATGACCCAGGGCAAATCATGGAACCTGAAGTTTAGAGATATCCCCAGTGCAGTGCGGTGTTGGCGATTCTTTCCTTCAGCCCCAGTGGTGCAGGCAACAGCACTACAGGAGCTCAGAGGAAAGAGCCAGGGTGAAGCGATGGCCTGGACGAGAGCTCTTCCCAGCAGAGGAGGGTTCGTCTGGTCCACAGAGGAAGGGCAGTCCAGCTTGCTCACGCGGGGTTTGCATAGCCAAGGCACCAGCCAGGCGGGGACACGCACACAGGGAGCACTGGGAGTGTGAGTCTCCTCCTCTCTCTTTGCCCTGTCTCTCCTTTGCCTCCATATTCTCAGGAAACTTGGAGCTTGGTCCCATTCGCACCTGAAGCAGATGGTGCACCTTCTCCGTCCTGAGTGCCGCCCTTACCCAGCGGGGGCAGGAGTCCTCTCCAGACTTTCTGCAGGATCGCTAATGAGATCAAGTCTGCCTGTCTGGAGGGGCGATTATCCTGCGGCAATGGGTTATTACCTTTTACAAGTGGCGCTCGGCCTTCCCCGCTGCCTGCGCGCCTGGGGCGCACACACCTGGGCGGGGACAGGGCAGCTGCTGAGAGCCACTCAGCAGCTGGCAGCTCATTAGCAGACGCAGCCTCGCCAGCGGGCAGAGCCAAGTGGGGGACAGCACTCGGGCCTGTCTGGGCCTCAGGACCAGATCGCAGGAGGAGAGTTGCAACCCCAACCACCCTGCCCCCAGCCCAGCTCAGCCCTGGAATTGGGGCCGGGGATTCCCTACCATGCAGGGGTCCGGGCGTCTTAGAGAGGCAGGGTCCTCATTTTTTGTGGAAGGCTCTGAGGCCCTTGCCCTCCCTGGCCCTAAATGAAAACCCTTCCTCTGGGCCCGCGGGACAGTGAAGGGAGGCATCAGGTCTCCAAGCAGGTTTACCCTCCACTCTGACCTGCGGCTCCTCGTCCCTGAAGCTCAGGAGAAGCCTCTAAATTGCAATCCATCTCCCCCAGAGATGGATTTTCCTGCCCCTCCCTGTACATCCCATTGCTCTGGGGTCAAGCTGGCATGCTTGCAGAGACAGAGGAAGGGGAGGCACGGGGGCGGGGGGCGGGGTTAGCGCAGTGCCTGGACACGCCCACTGCCCCGAGGAGGCCCCGCCCACAATCTCCGGGCCAGCCTGCAGGGAGGACCCGCAATCTTAGAGCCAGGTGCCACGCGCTTTCCCCATCACTCTTCCCCCACGTTAACCTCCGTCCACCCGCTGTGCTGCACTCCCCAGCGCGGGGCCTATGGAGGCTGCCAGCTTCCTGCGGCCCCCACACCTGTTTTTGCTGCAGCTGCGTGCAGGCCTCTGGGGGTCTGCCAGGGCTTTCGGGAGGTCCACGTGGATGTCTCTATCCTCGCCCAGTGAAGGAAGCCTCCTCACACTCTGCCTGAGCACCTGTCCTTTGGCTTTGATCTTCGTCCAGACCCAAAGCCCCACATATTGTCTTTCATATTATTCGGTGGGGGGAGAGGGGTGACTGTGGGAGGGGAGAAAGAGAGAACGGAGAGAACAGTTGTCTGCACCTGGGTCATGGTCTGCAGCATCAGATAAGGGGTAAAAGACACCCAGATAATCCACACTCCCCACCCAGCTTGGGGCCTAGAGAAGCAGAGGCAGGGAGGCCTCATGGACGGTGTCTCTGCTAGTCTCCTCTGGCTGCCCTAACAACACGCCACAACACACCACAACACACCACAGACCCGGTCGCTTAAACAACAGAAGCATGTTTTCTTAGGATTCTGGCAGCTGGAAGTTTGAGATAGAGATGTTGGCAGGCTTGGTTTCTTCTGAGGCCCCTCACTTTGCTCTGTAGACCGCCACCTTCTTCCTGTGTCCTCACATTATCTTTCCTTTGTGTCCAAATGTCCTCTTCTTCTAAGCACACCAAGTCAGGCTGGATTCGTAACCCCCAATGACCTCATTTTAATTTAATTACCTGTCTCCAAATATGGTGACATTTGGAAGTACAGGGAGTTATGACTTCAACAAGAACTTTGAAAAAGGACGCAGTTCAGCCCATAACAGTCTCCCAGGGACCCCACAATTCCTCCAGGGTTTGCCAACCTCCAAGGCAGAACCTGAACCCCTTTCCTGGGGAGTTCCCCCGTCTAGGTGGAGAAGCAGCAGTGAAGGAGGCAGTCATGTGTCCAGGTGCAGGGAAAGCCTCTTGTTCTCCGAGCCGGGAGATCCTGGAAATAATTGTGAAAGGCCGTCTGATCCAGGTGCCGGTTCCAGTGGGGCATCAGGGAATCTTTCAAGTTAACCTGTTTTTTTGTTTTTTGAGACAGAGTCTTGCTCTGTCGCCCAGGCTGGAGGGCAATGGTGCGATCTCGGCTCACTGCAACCTCCGCCTCTCAGGTTCAAGTGATTCTTCTGCCTCTGCCTCCCAAGTAGCTGTGTGCAGCACCACGCCCAGCTAATTCTTTTTTTGTATTTTTAGTAGAGATAGGGTTTCACTTTGTTAGCCAGGCTGGTCTCGAATTCCTGACTTCAGGTGATCCACCCGCCTCGGCCTCCCAGAGTGCTGGGATTACAGGCGTGATTAACCTTCTTCAGTTGAGCATTTGAGGAGGCCTCCCCTAGAGAAGCACACACCCAACCTGATGCTATGAGGCAGGTTTCCTTATCCCCACTTTACAGAATAGAAAAGTGAGGCATGGAGTCACCCAAGAATCAGGAGAGCCAGGATTTGAACCCAAATTGTCTAGTCCTGGAGCTCAGGCTTGGACTTGAAGAACTTGAAGAAAACGTGAATTTAAAAAAATATATATCAAAGTGGAAAAAGCTTTTTAAAACATAACACGCAACCAGAAGCATCAAACCAGATACATTTAACATCATTCACAGAAACCGCTTCATGTCCTATAATAACAATAATAATGGCCACCGCCACAACTCAGACAAAAGACAAAAGAAGTGCCAGGGAAAACCACTTGTAATATACAATAATTTCCATTTTCTTTAATATACAACGAGCTCTTCCAATCAATAAGAAAAAGTACAACAACCCAAAGGAAAAATGGGGTGGGAGGCAGGGAGAAAAGCTGTGAGCAGACAGTTCACAGAAGAAATAGAATTGGCTATGAATCATTTCTACGTGCAAAGTCACCCAAGGACACTCATAGTTAAAGAAATGCAAATCAAAATGCTGACTCTCCATTTTCACCTGTCAGATTGGCAAAATGGAAGAGACTCACAATTCTAGTACTGATGAAAGAACGGCAAAAGGGAATTTTTTTCTATATTTTGGGAGAAAATATAAATTGATGGAGCCTGTTTTAGGGCTATCTAGGTTCTGGCAAAATTGGCACTGCAAACACCATTCCACCCGGCAATGCGTTTACTAGGCGTTATCTACCCCAGAAACAGACTCACAGGAATGCTTACGGCACCAGCCTTTGAGAGAGTAACCATCTAGAAACAGCCTAAATGCCATGGATGGGGCAATGGCTGAATGAATTATGCCCCTCTTCCCCTGGAAAGGAATTCTACACAGGTATAAAAAAGAATGAGGTTGGCCATGCGTGGCAGCTCACGCCTGTAATCCCAGCACTTTGGGAGGCCGAGGCGAGTGGATCATCTGAAGTTAGGAATTTGAAACCAGCCTGGCCAACATAGTGAAACCCCATCTCTACTAAAAATACAAAAAAAAAATTAGCTGGGCGTGGTGGTGCATAACTGTAGTCCCAGCTACCTGGGAGGCAGAGGCAGGAGAATCACTTGAACCTAGGAGGCGGAGGTTGCAGTGAGCCAAGATCGCACCATTGCACTCCAGCCTGGGCAACACAGCAAGACTCCGTCTCAAAACAAAACAAAACAAAACAAAGCAAAACAAAAAAAAGCAGAATGAGGTTGATACCTAAGTTCTGGAGTTGGCAAAAGGTGGGTGGATCTAAGATCTATTTATTAGGTGAAAGTGTGGAGCGCTGAGCAGTGTGGTGCTGGGAGTGATCCCATCTGTGTGAGAACGTGAATAAAGGAAGGTACCTCCAGGCAACGGCCCTGGGAGTAAGAAGTTTGCCTTCTGTGGTCTCCACTCTGTATCGTAGGGTTCTCAGACTCTGGTGCCTCAGGGTCCCCTGGAGGTCTTGTTCAAACACAGTCTGCTGGGCCCACCCCCAGGGTGTCTGATTCAGCAGGTCTGGCGGTGAGTGGTGAGGTGGGGAGGAGGCAGAATCTGCATTTCCAGCAAGTTCCCAGGCAAGGCTGCAGCCGCTGCTGCTGCTCCAGGAGCCCCACTTTGAGAAGCCCTACCGTAGTGTTCACATTTGGGCACCATGTGCAAGTATCGGTTTTATAGTATTTTTTAAATAATAATTTATGAAAATGATCCCTGGGCCAGACTCTTCTCCACCCACGCCAGTGGTTTGTTGTCTTCACCTTGTCGGTCGGGAAACCACTCCCTGTGTCTAAGCCCCGTCTCTCTGGCTTCGTTCCAACCACCGCCTCTCCGCAGTGAGGTCAGCTACTCACAGGAAGGATAAGCCACGCTTAGAACAAAGCTCCCACCCACTGGAAGACAATGACCAGACCCCCGCCCCTTGAGCCTTCTGTCTAAGAGCAGAGCTCCAAACCCTTATTTTCGGCACTAGAGCAGCCCTTTCCTGGTTGCATAATCACAAGCCTCAGCCTCAGCTTCCCGCTCCTTCCCCCTAAGCTAGAGGATGTGCAAAAGGAACGCTGACACCTGTGTCTGTGGAAAGGTTATGACTTCCCTGTGACGAGCCAGAAAGCTCAGAGCCCGACTTGCAGGAGCCTGTGCACCCAGAGACTTGCCATTATAAAACCAAGAATGAAACTGTGCATTGGGAGGAGAGGACGTTGGAGTCCTCCTTCAGAAGGCCGGTTCTGTCTCATGAACCCCGTTTGAACCTCTTGGCTGTGAAGGTGAAGGCAGGGTCTTGGGACAACCTCCAGGTCACCCCAGGAGGAGGCCCCAGCAGTGGGGCTCTGATCACTGTGGCAACCCAAATTCCCTGCTCAGAGGTTCTAGACACTCTCTGCCCTCCTTGCCCCTAAATAAGTGGAATTGAGTCATGCCCACGGTCCTCTCCCATCCAGCACCCCTATGAAGCTGGTGGCCACCATGCAGAGCCCAGAGAGGGACATCTCACCCTCAGTGTCCTGAAAATCATGTAGTAACACAATGCCTTGGAGCACATACCTGCTGAGTGGAGTGGCAGTGTCCCTTGGCCACCCGGTCCCTTCTCATGCACCTCACAGCCTCACAGAGGGGCTGCTCCCAGCCCCCTCCCGACCTGCCTCCAGCAACCCACCTCCCCCTTTCCTCCTCCTCTCTCCTTCTGCCCAGGGAAGCAGTGACCCATCTCCCCTCTGTCCATCCTTCACATGCTCCCTCCATTTCTGCTTTCAAAAGAGGGAGAAAACATTTTGATTATGAAGCATTTCCAGGGCTGTTTAGGTTTGCCATTGCTAGGTCTTTTGTTTGCCTTTCCTCCTAGCCTCCACCTGGGTTGAGGCAACATTATTATCTCCTCTGTACAGGTGAAGAAATGCTAATTGAGAAAGGCCACGAGACGGCCAAGTTCAGACACCCATGCGGCCTGGAGCAGGGCAGAGGCCCTGCCACCTAATCGCAGGGCCTGGCGGTGTGCGGGACACAGAGACATCGGACCCTCGTTCCAGAGCCAGTGACTGCTGGAGGGAGACACGAGCGCCCCGTGGTAGCAACAGAATTGAAGAGGGTGAGAGTGCAAATCCTACCTGGTCAGAGGCAAATCCTACCTAGGTCTGAATTGAGGGATGATGAGGAAGAAGGGAGGTGGGCAATGGTTGAGTCAGGGCTTCATCCTCTGTACTTCTACCAGCCTTTTAACCCTTCAGTTGTTCTCACAATCGTATCCTCACTTGATTCCTAGAAGCACCACGGGTAGTCGGGAATGTCAGGGGAACCATGGCTCTTGGGCACAGAGACGCATCCCAGGTCACACTGCTTGGCTGTGATGACTTCAGTGAGCTCTTTCTAGCCAGGGGATATGTTATAGGCTTTGTGAGTCCAGTGTCGAGAAGCAGGAGGCCCTGTTCTGCCCGGTGGCCATCTGGGAGTGGGGTCACTGTGACCCTGCTGTGTGTGGCCAAGGTGGCAAGGAGCATCGAGTCCACTGAGACCAGACAGGAGCCCACTCCGCTCCTGCCCCGCCTCCACCTCCCACCTCACCACCTGGTTTTTGTTCCAGGCAGCCACATTTCTCAGCTTTCCCCCAAGCTGAGACCTGGAGGGGATCCAGTTTGACCAGTGAGTTGCACGTGGCAGGGTGCCGGGACGCCTGGGGAAGTGTGGTGTTCCAGACACAGCCACCGCCCTGTCTCCTCGCTGCTTCCTGCCTGAATGCAGAAGCGGAGTCCGGCTGGGGGTGGCCATCTGGCGACTCTGAGGACAGAGTCTATGCTTGGGATGGCAGAGCCGGATGCTCAAAGGAGCCTGGATCCCCAGCACTTCCTCATGTGGCTCCACCAGCCCTGCCTGCTTCTGGACTTGCTCTATAAGAAAACGAAACTCCTGTCAGGTTCAGTGGCTGTGGTCGGCTGTGGTCAGGGGCAGCTGAACAGAACTTGAAGTCTCAAAGGTCATGAAGCCCATCAGAAAACAGGAGCTCCCTGGCGCCTGCAGCCTCTTGGTCTCAGATCCAGCTCCTGGGACCTCAGGGCCTGCCCCTTCTCCTGCCTTGCACCCCAAAGCCTGCCTGGGACCCACAGCCCCCTCCCTGCGGCTGCTGGGAGCTGCGAGTGGCACCCACGCACTCTGGGCCTGGTCTTTCGGCCACGACACTCGCCACCTCTGCTGGGCAGTCTCAGTAAGTATTACTCCTTCCACGCAGGCCAACTGTAGGTGGCCGGAGGACAGTCGAGCAGTTCCTTCTGTCTGTCCTGCCATCCACAGCGGCCAGTCTTGCCCAGATCCATGTGGTCTCAGGACTGTGCTGAGGGGTCCAGGGAGGCTGCTGTTTTCCCCAAGTTACGCACAAAGCAACCATAGGTGAAGGGGCTTGCTGGGGGCCTGTGGCTGGTGAGTGGTAGAGATGGAAGCAGAACCTCATTCAGATGTCCCTGTTCTGTGGCTCTCAAAGGGAAGATCCCTGAGCACACATCAGAATCACCCAGGACATTGCTCACGATGCACACTCCCCAGCCCCACTCCAGGCCTACCAAACTGGGATGTCTGGGGAAGATTCCCAGGAATCTGCATGGTTGGGCACCCCCCTCACAGCCCAGGCATGATTCTGGTGCACACCGAAGACCAAGCACCTCTCTTGAGCTGAGCTCTCTCCCCAGGCATGATTCCGGTGCACGCCGAAGACAAGCACCTCTCTTGAGCTGAGCTGTCTCCCCAGGCATGAGGGTCAGACCTGCAAGGTGTCAAGTGCAAGCCTCCATCTCATGGTTCGTGGTTCCAGGTGATGACCCTGAGCCCAGCACCCCAGAACACAGAAGCACTTTCAGCCTGCAAAACAGCCAAAAATCCTGATGCCCAGGCTAAAACCTAGACCAGAGAAATCTGAATCTGTAGGGGTGAGACCCAGGCACGGGCACTTTTAAAAGTTCCCCTAGTGATTCCAAGGCCAGAGCTGCCTGTCCCCAGGCTGCGTAGGGGAGAAAGATGCTTCTTCCTGGGGGAAGGTGGTGGGGTGAGGCTATTAAACACACAACTAGGCCCCACCCCAGAGTTTCCCATCCAGCAGGTCTTGGGAGGGCCCAAGAATTTGCACTTCTATCAAGTTCCCAGGTGGTGCTGGTGCTGCCGGACTGGGAGCCACACTCTGAGAACCCCTGGAGAAGGAAGCAGGAGTGGAGGAAGAACTGAGGGTGGTTACATGTGGTCCTTGTTAAGGGGCAGGTGACTTGCTCCACTGAGCAGGGCCCACCTGTCCTGTTTTCTTAGGTGCTATGGATTCTCCAAATGCACCTGCTGAGGATGGGAATGTGCCTCTCCTAACATCACTGAAGCCATATAGATAAAGAATTGTGACCTTCCATCCAGGGCCCCGGGGATGGCAGGGCAGAGTGTGCGCTGCACAAATCCGGAAGCCACCATTCACCTCCCCTGCACTGTGGCCCTCCCTGGCATTGCCAAGCCTAACACATTTCCCACTGAAAGCACAGCATGTGGCTGTGGAAAGTTTCCTGTGGCACCTCAGAAATTCTGCACCCACATTTGCTTTCATTTGTCTCCTTTCTGCCCCTCCTCATTTCTGTTGGAGCTCCATCCCCCTGGAGGGTTTAGGATGGGATGGATCTGGCTGGCTTGGTACGGGGGCCTCTGCCCTACCCAGGACCCACCAGAAGCGAGCCTCCATCCTGGAACCAGGCGCTCGGCCTGGCTGACCCAGCTAATCCGGGCATGGGCAGCTCAGCCAGGTCAGGAGCATATGGCCTCCCTCCTTTGCCACTTCGTGCTGCTGATTAGGCCTCCTCCACAAGGAGATAAACCTGCTGGAGGAATTTGTTTTCTCTGGCAGCCCACACTCTGTCCAACAGAACTGCAGGCTGACTCACTGGCGCTGGTTTCCTCTGAGCCCCCGCCCATGCACGGCCTGTCCGGGCTTCTCCCTTTCAGGAGGCACTTCCTGGCTTGACCTACGTGTCCTGGGAGTTTCTGTCTTGTGATTCGGGCCCAGCTGCCACCACATTCCTTCCGTGACACTTGGCTGGAGTGGGTGGGCAGCCGTGAGCGGGCTGGGGAATCTTATCAGAAGGTGTTCCGTCTGGGGCCTGAGCACAGAGAGAACTCGCCAGCCCAGGAGCTCGGCTGGCAGGAGTGGAGGGCCCCCAGGGGAGGCCCCTCTCCGCAGGGAGAGAGGGCAGGTGGGCAGGGCCCGTGGGGGAGAACACACCCAACCCACCAGTGGGGAGTGAGGCCTTGCCAGGTATGAAACCGTTGGGGAAAGAATGTCCAAACCAGCTGGTGCCTCCCTCATTTCTATCTCCAGACCAGCCCTCTCCCCTGAAATCTGGGGTCATAAATCCAACTGCCTCCCTGACAAGCCTGCACTCCTGATTTCTACCCCCAAAAGCTATGTACGCCTCCCAACATCTCAGCAACTCCATCGTTTCTTAGCTCAAGCCAAAAATCATGATGCTATCCTTGACTCCAAGCCTTCGGCACATTCTACTTGCCTTTTTTTTTTTTTTTTTTTTTTTTTTTTTGGTACACATGAGTTTGACTGGATGACTGACTGAAATGTCACCAGCAACTCTCCACAGGGCCAGATGGGCACTGTGAGAAGCCCTCCCTCCCTTTTACTTTCTCCCCCAGGGCAGAGAGAGGAATCTGCCCTTAGGCTTACTTCCCTGGGAGGAGAGCATCATCCTCCAACCTCTCCCACCAAAGTGAGGTCCCCATGAGGTCACTGATGGTCCTGAGTTGGGACTGAAGGCTGGCAATATTCTTCTCCAAGCCCTGCACTTGAGACAAAGCCTGGAAAAGCCCCTGGCTGGGCTAGCTCACAGGCTTCCTGAGAACTGCTACTCAGAGAGCTGTGCTCTAGCTGGGAGGATCACCTTCTTGCAGGTCATGCCCCATATTTTGCTTGGTCCTTGGATGAGAGGAGGGAGAAACAGAGGGGACGAGGCATGGACCAGATCCCTTGGCAGTAGCTAAACCTTGGGAGCTGCCACCAGCTGCAATTACTTGCTTCTGCCTTTAATTTCATGTTGAGAAGCCACGGGTGATGGAAAAAGAAATTGGTCCCCATGGGCAGAACGCTTTTTCGATATGCATTTATTAGCAAAGCTTCTGAAGGTGTCGTAAGCTGAACGTGAGGCAGCTGCCTCTAGAAGTGAGATTCACATGCAGGGTGGAAATGGTAGATGGGAGATCTGGAGGAGAGACACTTTGGAGAAAAAACTTCTGTTTGCAAGGGACCGTTATTTTAAAGTTCAGAACATTTTTGCAACTATCCCCCTACCCGCCCCCCGGCAACCTCCTGGCTTGTCCCTTATTTCAAATCTATTGTTGCTCTCTAAGGGCCCATCCGAGCTGATGTTCTTGCTGATGTTCTTCTTCGAATCAGTGAACCAAGGAATTTTAGTACAGGTGCACCTCGTTTCGCATAATTGATATGTGTCTGAAAAATGATGTGTTAATTAGCTTTGTTATAAATTAAATGCTGTTTTAAATGCAACAAGATGGTTTGCATTTTAAGATAATCTGATGGCAAATTCATTATTTTCAAAGGCTCTTATAGCCAGTTATACTCCGGTTCATGGCTCCTTCCCCAAGCAGCCTCAGAAACGTCGCTGGGATGGATTATGATTCATATCATCACAGACATCCACAAATAGAGAGAAACTCAGATATTTTCACCGTGGTTTCCAAATGCTTTCTCTTTTTTCAGCCATGGAACTAATGTTTCAAATGAAATCTGGCTCAGAGCTGAGTGAATGGGACAGGGGAGAGGGAGGCCTCTCCTGCTGAATTAGTGTGGAGAACCCAAATCCCCACCTGCCTGACACCCGTGTAGCTCCCTATGCTCCCTCATGAAGTCCCCAGCACCCACTGGAATGCCCAATTTGAAAAGCACTGCTCTCAAAGCGTCATAAGCATTTTCTCTTATCAGCAGTTCTACCTCTAAGACTCTAGATCCTCCCACTGGAGCACAGATGTTCGTCACAGCTTCATTTTTGACAGCAAGTATTATAGAGGAAAACAGTTTAGCTCCTGCCACTGCACCGTCAATGGAGAATACACGGAGAGCCCGGACTTAGGAATAACGAGGCATCCCTCCCTGTCTCCCACAGGGGTGGAATCAGTGGAGCCTAGTGGGGAGGTAGAATTGCCACTCTGGGCTAGTAGGAACAAGGATCTTCCCACCCCCGCCCCCCTCCCCAGGCATTAATAAAGGACAAGTAGAGAACATGAACTTCTACTTCCACCTGGCAGTAACAAGACAGCACAGTGTCTCCACTTTTGCTGCTGGAGCAATCTCAGAAGAAACCAACTGGAACAGAAGGTTTAAATAGAATCCAGAATTTCACAACATAATACCCCAAATGTCCAGGTTTCAGTCAAAAATCACTTGTCTTATTGAGAACCAGCAAAACCTCGATTTGAATGAAAAAGACAATCAATATATACCAATACTGAGATGATGAAATGTTAGAATATGATAAGCAAATATGATAAATATGCTTCAAAAAGCAATTACAAACACACCTGAAACAAGTGAAAAATAGAAAATCTAGGCAAAGAAATAGAAGATAAAAAGAAGAACCAAATGAGAAATTTAAAACTGAAAAATACAGTAACTGAAATTAAAAACTCAATGATGGGCTTAACAGTAGAATGGACTGAGAAAAGTATCCACAAACTCGAAGATAGAACGACAGATATTACCCAGTTTGAACAAAGAGAACATAGACAGAAGAGTAAGAAGAAGGAGGAGAAGGAGAAGAGTAGTAGTAGAAGAACAAGAGAGTTTCAGGGATATGTGGGATGATTAAAAAATTCTAACATTTATTGTCATCAGAGTTCCAGAAGAAGAGGAGAATGAGGGCTGAAAAAGTACTCAAAGAAATAATGGCTGAAAACTTCCTAAATTTGTCAAAAGACATAAATTTACTGATTCAAGAAACTGAGTGACCCTCAAACAAAATAAATTCAAAGAAATTTATCCCAAGAAACATCATGGTAAAATTTAATGTGAAACTTTCACATTATAGTGAAAACCAAAGACAAATGAAAAATATTGAAAGCAGCAAGAGAGAAATGACACCTTACCTGGAGGAGAAACAATTCAAATGACACTGGGTTTCTCATTAAAAACCAAGGGAGCCAAAAAGAAATGTCACTGCATTTCCTAAGAGCTGAAAGAAAAGAAACCTCAGGCTGGGTATGGTGGCTCATCCCTGTAATCCCAGCACTTTGAGGAGGCTGAGGTAGGCAGATCACTTGAGGTCAGGAGTTCAAGGCCAGTGTGACCAACATGGTGAAACCCCATCTCTACTAAAAATACAAAAATTAGCCAGGCATGGTGATGGGTGCTGGTAATTTCAGCTACTCAGGAGGCTGAGGCAGGAGAATCGCTTGAAACCAGGAGGCAGAAGTTGCAGTGAGCCGAGATCATGCCACTGCACTCCAGCCTGGATGACAGAGTGAGACTCTGTCTCAAAAAAAAAAAAAAAAAAAAGAAAGAAAAGAAAAGAAAAGAAATCTCAGCCCAGAATTCTATATGCCATGAAAATATCCTTCAGGAATGAAAGAGGAAATCAAGACATCACAGATGAAGGGAAACTAAGATAATTTGTCACCAGAGACCTAAAAGAATGGAAGTTCTCTAAACAGAAAGACAATGATAAAAGAAGCCATCTTGGAGCATTAGGAACAAGAAGGAACAATGGAAAGGGCAAAAATATAGACAAATACATTTTCCTTCTCCTCTGGAGATTTCTGAATTGTTTCATGATTGAAGCAAAAATTATAGCACTGTTTGATGAGTTTCTAAATGTATATAGAGGAAATATTTAAGACATATTATAAATAAGAAAGGGTAGAGGAATATAAAGGGAGGTGTGCTCCTACACTTCACTTGCACTGGTAAAATGTCAACACCAGTAGACTGTGATAAGTTATATAGATATAATGGGCTGGATGTGGTGGCTCATGCCTGTAATCCCAGCACTTTGGGAGGCCGAGGCAGTTGGATCACTTGAGGTCAGGAGTTTGAGACCAGCCTGGCCAACATGGTGAAACCCCGTCTCTACTAAAAATACAAAAATTGGCTGGGTGTGGTGGCGGGGGGGCCTGTTATTGCAGCTACTTGGGAGGCTGAGGCAGGAGAATTGCTTGAACCCAGGAGGTGGAAGTTGCAGTGAGCTGAGATCTCACCATTGCACTCCAGTCTGGGCAACAAAGTGAGACTCTGTCTGAAAAAAAAAAAAGTTATATAGATATAATGTAATACCTAGAGCAACCAGTTAAAATGCCACACAAAGAGAGACACTCCAAAACACTATCAATAAATCAAAATGGAATCCAAAAAAAAATGTCCCAGTAACCACAGGAATACAGGAAAAAGGAAATAGAGAAATGAAAAACAGAACAAACAGAAAACAAAAAATAAAATGGCAGACTTAAGTCCTAATAGGTCAATAATTACATTAATTTAAAAGTTCTAAATACATAATTTATTTTATTTTATTATTTTTTTAACCTTTATTTTAAGTTCAGGGGTACATGTGCACTTTGTTCATAGGTAAATTGTGTGTCACAGAGGTTTGGAGTACGGATTATTTTTTCACCCAGGTAATAAGCATAGTATCAGCTTTTTGATCCTCCTCCTCCTACCTTTCACCCTGAAGTAGGCCCTGGTGTCTGCTGTTCTCTTCTTTGTGTCCGTGTGTACTCAGTGTTTAGCTCCTAACTGTAAGTGAGAACGTGCAGTATTTGGTTTTCTGTTCCTGTATTAGTTCATTTAGGATAATGGACTCCAGTTCCATCCATGTTGCTGCAAAGGACATAATCTTGTTTTTTTATGGCTGCATAGTATTCCCTGGAGTATATGTACCACATTTTCTTTATCCAGTCTGAGGTTGATGGGCATTTAGGTTGATTCCACGTCTTTACTGTTGGAATAGTGCTGCAATGAACATATGCATGCATGTGTCTTCACGGTAGAACGATTTATTTTCCTTTGGGTGTATACCCAATAACGGGATTGCTGGGTCTAATGGTAATTCTGCTTTTAATTCTTTGAGGAATCACCACACTGCTTTCCACAATGGCTGAACTAATTTGCATTCCCAGCAGTAGTGTATAAGTGCTCCCTCTTATCTGCAACCTTACCAACATCTGTTATTTTTTGACTTTTAAACTTTTCAATTCTAGCATATATATATGCTATGTTTTGCCATGATATATATATAAAAAACATGGACTCACAGTAGCAGAACACACATTCTTTACAAGAGCCTATATAGCAAAGATATGGAGTCAATTTAAATGCCCATCGGTGGTTCCCGGATAAAAAAAAATGTGGTACATACACATGAGGGAATACTATGCACCCATAAAAAGGAACAAGATTATGTCCTTTGCAGAAACATGGATGGAGTTGGCCTTCCGGCATCACAAGAAATTCATTGCCCCAACAGGCATGGACAGAAGCCTCAAGTTCTACAGCCCATAGTCCCTGGCGCTTCTGACAAAAGCTGGGCCTCATCTCAGTAGAGGGATAGAATTAGGGTTGGGGGGCTGGGGGAAGTCTATGAGGGGAAGGAGCATCTGTAGTGTGGGATATTCACACCATTTCACTCTGGTCTTGGTGGTGGCCTGAGAGCCATGGTGGCATGGACCAACCTCATCCATGCACCTCCAGGCCTCATGGGAACAGATGTGGAAGGAAGAACTGTCACGCCTCAAGGCCCAAGGTCAGAGCCTCTCCCTTCCTGTCATTCAATGGACGTGGTAGTGGCTGTTCCACACCCACTTTGCTGCAGTTCCTGTGAGAAGGGAAAGGCTGAGCCAAGGGAGCTGTGAAAGGGATGGGCAAGAGGGCTTGTGCAGGCTTGTATAAGCAGTGAACCCGGGAGGCAGAGCTTGCAGTGAGCCAAGATTGCACCACTGCACTCCAGCCTGGGCGACAGAGCGAGACTCTGTCTCAAAAAAAAAAAAAAAAAAAAAGAAGAAGAAAATTGTACATATATATATATATAGTTTTGAAAACTTAAGTAAATGGTGAATTTTGAAGTCAAGTTTCTCACTATTGGAATAGGAAGTTAGAGACAAGCAACAGGAGAAGGCTATAATGGGGTGGGGTGATTGATTAGAGCTGGAGATATGGATATAAACTCATGTCTAGACTAATATAGATACAGATGGATACATATTGAAATATTTATAGATATGTGTGTATACACAGGTTAGTACACACACATAGAGTTTTCTGCTCTCTCTGCTGAGAGAGCCAAGAAGCAATGTCACCCCAGGAGCACACCTGGTGCCCAGATCTTGATTTCTAACATCATTCTTCAACAAAAGAAATCAGAGTTCTCTGGGGAAATGGCTGGCACTACATCTGGGGCACAGACTATCTGAGATGATCCTGGATCATCTTTTAATGTCAGAAAGCAAGAAAGTCCTCAAAACTAAGCCAAAATCCACAAAACATGATGATGGGAGTCTATCAAAGGAACGCAGAAGCCAACCCAAAGAGCTCCCAGAGACAAAGACTGGGACAATTTAAACAACAAATAAAGTAGTGTTAGATCATAACCTAAAATAAATATCCGAGTCCATATTGTCATAAATAAATTATTCAATACATAGATAAATGGAAAAAATAGACAAATATTCTCCCTTCAAGGAGATAGCACATAACTCTTCATTCCTTAAGTATGGACTGTGCCTAATGAATTTCTTTCCAAAAAGTACAGTAAGAAAGCAGGGGGTGGGGAGTTGGAGGTAGGGGTAGGGTGAAGAGTAAATTTTTGGTAGAGAAAACTGACAAACACTCTGTCATCCAGATGACCAAGGTTAACATTACCAGTGACAAATCATGTTGATGGTATATGTTATTAATACGATGTGATAAGAAGGGCGCTTTGTGTTTGTGGTCTTCCTCCCCAAAACCCATAACCCCATTCTAATTATGAGAAAAAAACATCAGACAAATCCCAATCAAGGGACATTTTATAAAATATCTTGCCAGTGCTCCTCCAAAGGTCATCGAAAACAAGGAAGGTCTAAGAAATTGTCCCATCCAAGAGAATCCTAAGGAGACAATGATGACTAAATGTAATGTAGTAACCTGAATGGAATCCTGGGCAGAAGAAGGACATTAGGTGAAAACTAAGGAAATCTGAATAAAGTATAGACCTTAGTTATTAATAATGGATCAATATGGGCACATTACTTGTGACAAGTGTATCATACTAATGTAAGGTGTTCATGAGGAAAACTGGGCATGAGACGTAGGGAAACTCTTCACAACATTTCCATAACTCTAAGTCTATCCTAAAATAAAAAAGTTTACTTAGAAAAGAAAGCAGGAGTGGCTATATAAATATTAGATGAAGAACACTTCAGAACAAAGAAAATTACCAGAGACAGAGAGAAGCATTACATAATGACAAAAGAATCAATCAACCAAGAAGATTTAACAATCAGAAACATGTATGTACCTAACAACAGAGCTACAAAAAACATGAAGCAAAAACTCATAGAACTGAATGGAGAAATAGACTAATCCATAATTATAGTTGGGGCTTGAATATTACTTTCTCAACAATTTATAGAACAACTAGACAGAAACTTAGCAAGGATAAAAAGAACAACAATATCAACCAACAGGAGCTCATTGACATTTATGAAGCATGTGATTCCACAGTAGCAGAACACACATTCTTTATAATAGCCTATGAAACATATATCAAGATAGACTATATCCTGGGCCATAAAATAAATCTTAACAAAAAAGTTTAAAAAAATGGAATTCATGTAGAGTGTGTACTTTGACCAGAGCAAAATCAAACTAGTAATCAATAACAGAAAGATACAGAAAAACCTCCAAATGTTTGAAAATATAACACACACACACTTCTAAATAATCCATGAATCAAAGAGGGAGTCCCAAGGAAAATAAAAAATATATTGAAGTAAATTAAAAGGAAAATATGTCAAAATTTGTGGGATATAGCTAAAGCATATGGAAAGAATATATAATTAAACCCAAAGCAAGTGGAAGAAAGGGAATAACTAAGGTAAGAGCATAAACCAGTGGCATTAAAAACAGGAAAACAAAAAAGAAAATTCTATGAAATGTAAAGATCAATAAGATTGACAAATTTCTAGCAAGACTGACAAAGAAAAAAGAGAGAAGACAAACTAACATTATCAAGAACAAAACAGAAAATATCACTACAGACCCTACAGTTATCAAAAGGGTAATAAAGGAATACCATGAAGAGCTCTATAGACATAAATTAGACAACTTGAGTGAAATGGACCAATTTCTTGAAAAGCATAAATTACTACAACTCACCTGCTGTGAAATAGATAATTTTAATAGCCCTGTATCTACAAAGAAAAACAAACTTATAATTTAAAAATTCTCCAAAAAGAAATCTCCAGGCCTAGATGATTTCAATACTAAATTGTATTTAAAGAAGAATTAACATCAATTCTAGACATTCTCTTCCAGGAAATAGAAAAGGAGGCAATAGCTCCCAATTCATTTTATAAAGCTAGTCTTATTCTGACCCTGAAAGCAGACAAAGATAGTTGTAAAAACGAAAACTACAGACCAATATCACGTATGAGTATAGATGCAAAAATTCTTAACAAAAAATGAGCACACAGAGTTCAGCAATATAGAAAAAGAATTAATTATGCATCAAAACTGGACAGGATTTATTCCAGCTATGCAACAATGGTTTGTCATTTAAATATCAATCAATATAATCTACCATATCATCAGGCTAAAGAATAATAATTACATGATAGTATAAATGGACTCAGAAAAAAAATTTGACAAAATACAACACCAATTTATGATAAAAACTCTCAGCAAATTTAGAATAAATGGAAACTTCCTCAGCTTGATGAAAAGCATCTACAGAAAACCTGCAGCTAACATTATATTTAATCACAAAAGACTGAATGATTTTCCTTTAAAACGGGGGACAAAGCAAGGATGTCCACTATCATCAGTCTTATTTAGCATAGTATTGGAAGTTCTAGCCACTGCAATAAGACAAGAAAAGGAAATAAAAGGCATACATATTGGAGAGGAAAAAAACAAGTGTTCCTATTTGCAAATGACATCACTTTCTACATAGAAAACCCCAAGGAATCTATGCAAAACAAAAAACTTACTAGAACTAAAAAGTGCATTCAACAAGGTTGCAGGACACGGTTGCAGGATCTAAGATAACTATACAAAAATCAATTGTACACCTACATACTAACAATGATTGGGAGACTTAGCATACAATTTATAATTGTTTTTTAAAAAGCAAAATACATGCAAATTTAACAAGACATAAGAACCATATGCTAAAAATTACAAAACTGTTGAAAGAAATCAAAGATCTAACAAATGAAGAGATGGACTCTGTAGATTGGAAGACTCAACATAGCAGAGATATCAATTATCTCCAATTTTATATACAAGTTTAACACAATTTCTATCAAAACTCCACCAAGAGTCTTTTGAAGATGTTGACAAAATTATCCTAAAATTTATATAAAAACACAAATTACTAAAATAGCTTCAAAAAATTCAAAAAAGAAGAGCAAAGTGAAATTAGTCCACCAATTTCAAGACATATTATCTAGCTCTAGTAATCAAGGCTGCAGTACTGGCAGAGGGATCGACACACAGATCAATAGAACGGAGAACCCAGAAATAGACCCACAGAAAAATGACCAACAGATTTTTGACAAAGGTGCACAATCAATTTGATGGGTTAAGTACAGCTTTTTCAATGAACGGTGCTATAACAATTGGACATCTATAGGCAAAAAGTGAACTTCATCCTCAGCCTCACACCTAATTCAAAATGGAACATGGACTTAAATGTAAAATATAAAACTATAAATCTTTTAGAAAAAAATTGGAGGAAATCTTTGGGCTTTATGGTTAAGCCAAGAATTGCTAAACTTGACACCAATGGCACAATCCATAATGAAAAAAACTGATAGATAGGACTTCATCAAAGTTTCAAATTTTGTTCTAGAAAAGACCCTGTTAAAGGGATGGAAAGACAAGCCACAGACTATGAGAAAATATTTGCGAAACACATACCCGACAAAGGACTGGTATCTAGAATATATAAAGAACTCTCAAAACTTAATAGGAAAAAAAACCAAAAACAAACCCAAAAAAGCCAATTAGAAAATGGCATAAACAGACGCTTCACCAAAGATGTCCAGCATCATTAGGCATTAGGGAAAAACAAATTAAAACACAATGAAATATCAATATGTATCCATCAGAATGGCTGAAATACAAAACAGGGACAACACCAAATGTTAGTGGAGAAACTGGATCACTCATAGATTGCTGGTGGGAATGTAAAATGGCTCAGCTGCTCTGGGGTGCAGTTTGGTAGCTTCTTAGGAAACTAACATGCAGCTGCCATATGGCCAAGCATCTGTACTCCCGGACATTTATCCTAGTGAGATGACATTTATACTCCCGTAAAAACCTGTACACAAATGTTTATAGCAGCTTTATTGGTAATATCCCCAAACTGTAAACAACCCAGATGTCCTTCAAGAGTGAGTGATTAAACAAACTGTGGTACATCCCTTCTGAGGAATACTACTCAGTAGTAAAAAGGAACAAACTCTGATATGTGCAACAACCTGGATGAATCTGCAGGGAATTATGCTACGTGATAAAAACCAATTCTTTAAGGTTACATTCTATATGTTTCCATTTACATAACATTCTTGAAATGACAACATTATAGAAATAGAGAAAGATTAGTGATTGCCCGGAGTAAAAGACCAGGTGCAGGGAATGGGTAGCGAGGATGTGAGGAACATGGGCGTGGCTAAAAAAGGCAACAGGTGCTCATGCCTGTAATCCCAGTGCTTTGGGAGGCCAAGGTGGGAGGATCATTTGAGGCCACCTAGGAGTTTGAGACCAGCCTGGGCATAGCAAGACCCTGTCTCTAAAAAAATAAAATAAAATAAATAATAAAAATGGCAACAGAAAGGATTCTTGTAGGGATGGATCACTGTATCACTGTATCCGGGTTATGATACTGTACTATAGTTTTGAGTGGTGTTACCACTGGGGGAAACTGGGTAAAGGGTACATGGTATTTCTCTGTATTATTTCTTACAACTGCATGTGAATCTACAATTATCACAAAATCAAATATGTAACTTAAGAAAAGACATCTTTAAGAAAAACACTCTAAATGTCTGTAGTTAGGAGGCCAACAAAATAAACTATGGGTCATTCATACTCTGCAAGACAAGCAAGTGTGACAAAGAAGAAGAGAAGCCAACCTGAAGGGCATGGAATCAGAGGTGAGTGAAAATAGCAAGAATAGAAGAGGATATAGATGTCATTCTTTGTCCACAAAACAAGACCAATTTTAAGAATGTCTGTAAACTCACGTAGAAAAACATCTGGGCAGGCACACTGAGCGCTTCACGTTGGTTTCTCGGGGTAAGGGAATTGGCTGGGAGGCACACCTCTACTTTTAACAACGAACTTGTGCTAAACAAACAAACAACAACAAAACCCACTTCATTTTACCGATTAAGCAACCGAGGCTTAGCAGTGATGAAAACAACGGTCGAGGTCACCGAGTGGGGAAGAGGTTCAGAGCTTGGCTCCAAACCCAGAGCTTCTGACTCAGATCAGACGGGTGGGAGCAGGAAACCAGTTGCGTGGGTCTCCTCCAGGCCTGCTGCCGCTGTGCACTCGAGGGCCTGCAGATGAGGAGCGCTCCAGAGAGGAAGAACCTGGGACAAATAAGACCAGAGCGGACGCAGAGGACAGGAAATGGTACCTGCTGGGGTCTTCCCTGCCTCCTGGTGCAGACAGTGCCGGGACCTCAGCAGGGCAGAGGGGCAGACAGGGCCAGGGAGTCTGGATCTGGGGAGATGCCCAGCTACTTAACAGGCTGTGCAGTGGGCACTGGATGGCCACCTTTCCTGTCTTCCTGGGTTCTCGCTTCCCAGGCAGGAGGCAGATCGCAGTCAATCACCAGGGTGCAGTGTGATCCTGGAATCACAGCTCAGGGAGCCCCAGCTTGGCTGGAGGCCTGTGGGGAGCCCCAGAGAAGCCACATTTGACCTCGGCTCTGAACAAGGATGGGTACGACTGCGCTGGGTAGAGTGGGAAGAGGTGGTTTTCTAGGAGAAAGGATTAGCGTGGACAAAGGTGTGGGGGCAGAGGGTCGCCTGGGGCTGAAACCAGCAGGCCTGGCCGGAAGCATGGCGCAAAGCCAGGCTGCCAGCGGGGGTCCCGGACTGAGTGTCCCTTGTTCTGCAGGCTGTTGTGAGCCCTGGAGAGAGTCACAAGACGGGTGTGTTTTTCTGGAAGGGAGTTCTGGCAGCCAAGTGAGGGGAAGGGGAAAAGGTGGAGAAAAGTGGGAGGGCTGCTGCCCCCCAGCTCAGGCACCGCGTGATAAGGCAGCAGCCTGGGAATCGTGCGGCAGGAATGGATTGGAGAAATAGCTTGGTAAATGGATTTGCAATGTATCTGAGAAATATTTTGTAGGCAGAATGAGCGGGACTTGGTGTGGGGCACCTTTGCTGAGCCATGTCCCCCTCTCTGGTCACAGGGCCTTGATTTTCTCTGGGGACATCTTGGAGGGACTCCCAGCCAAGGAGCCCTGCCCACACCCCAGGCTCCACCATCTTTACTTTCTGCCCTGGGACTTTGACTCTTGAGAGGAGGAGTACCGTAGACAGCACATGTGTACAAACATGGTAGAGCGGCTGGAATCCCCCCAGCAGCTGCAGAGCCCTGAGCTGGTGTCTTCAGGCTTCCCTTCCCTGCAGCCCTTGTCTGCAGCTCATAGCCAGAGGGCCTTGGCGCTGGGTGGGCTGTGGTGTTGGAGACAGGGAGGAGTCCCCTTGGTTCTCTGTCCTCACCATTCTGAGCAGGTATGTTAGAAGTTCTCCCGGGCCTTGTGGGCTTTTTTCTTCATTCTCCCTATGTGGTCTGATTTCCACTATAATTGAATCATCTATGAATGCTGACTCACTCATTCAAGGAGCATAATTCAAAAATGAGGCTGGGCCTGATGGCTCCTGCCTGCAGTCCCAGTACTTTGGGAGGCCAAGATGGGAGGATAGCTTGAACCCAGGAGTCTGAGGTTATAGTGAGCTATAATCATGCCACTGCACTCTAGCCTGGGCAACAGAGCAAGACCCCACCTCTAGAAAAAAAGCAAAAGCAAAAAGAGTTCCCATGGCCCAACTTCCCAGAATCTGTCTCTGATGATGATTTCAAGGAAATGTTCTATGGGTTCTGCTCTCTGAGGCACTGGGTCAAGATGTCCTGCCTGAATATAAATGCCTGGTCCTACTTAAATGTTTATGACACCCAGTTCCCCCAAGTACCCGAGCACTTAGGTGGTGCCTAAGTCTACTTGTGGATGGCACTAATTTCCATTCATTAGGACATTGGTTAAAAGTTGCCCTCTCGAGGAAGAGGCAGGAAGAACAACGTTATTGCCCTTGGGGGATTTTGTGTGTTGGCAAGGAGACCTAAGGGCGCTGGGGTATGTTGAGCATCTTCTATGTCCCAAGCGCTGAACTGAGGATCACATGTTCTCACACAGCCCTGAGGGTTAGATGTTACTTACCATCTCCATCTGATAGACCAGAAAATCAGAATGTAGAAAGATCCGATGTTAGCAAGTGGCAGAGGGTGTGTAGAACTCCAGGTGTGTCTGATATTGAATTCTGCATTTTCCAGCACACCACACTGACCCTCATTGGAAGGAGGGTTCCAGAAGAAAGAAGGTGATCTCAGCACCCAAAATCCTGCTGCTTGGCAAATTGATAAGGCTGAAGATGACTCCTACCAGAGCCTTTACTAAGCCAGGGTATAATAAAGAGAAAAAGAGAGAGCCTGAGAGGGTGGAGGTGGGATCCAGGTCTTCTACCTCCTAGGATTCTATGTGGCTATTTGTGGCATCAGGAAACTCTGAGAGCACCACTTTTTAATTCATTTTTTTAATTGACAAAAAAGTATATATTGATGGTGTACAACACGTTTTGATATATGTATTCATTGTGGAATAGCTAAATAAAACTATTTAACATATTCATTACTTCACAAACACCATTTTTGGGGGATGACAACACTTAAAATCTACTCTCTTAGCAATTTTCGAGTATACAATACATTATTATTAACTATAGTCATTCATCATGATGTACAATCGATCTTGAATGTATTCCTTCTATCTAACTGAAATGTTGGGTCCTCTGACCAATATCTTTCTAATCCCCCTGCCCCCCAACCCTTGGTTATGACCATTCTATTCCTACTCCTATGAGTTTGAGCTTTTTAGATACCACAAGTAATAAGTAAGATCATGCGGTATGTGTCTTTCTGTGCCTGGTTTATTTCACTTAATATAATATCCTCTGGGTTCATCCATGTTGTCATAAACAACAAGATTTCCTTTTTTAAGGCTGAATAGGGTATTTCATATATATGCCATATTTTCTTTATCCATTCATGCACTGATGGGCACTTATGTTGATTCCATATTTTGGCCAGTGTGAATAACACTGCAATGAACATGGGAGTGCAGATCTCACTTCAACATACTGATTCCATTTCCTTTGGATATATACCCAGTAGTGGAATTTCTGGGTCACAGGGTAGTTCCAGTTTTAATTTTTTGAGAAAACTCCATACTATTTTCCATAATGGCTGTACTAATTTATATTCCCACCAACAATATGCAAGGGTTCCCCTTTCCCCAAATTCTTGCCAACATGTGTAATTATCTCTCCTCTTTTTTTTTTTTTTTTTTTTTTTGAGACGAAGTTTCACTCTGTCTCCCAGGCTGGAGTGCAGTGGGGTGATCTCGGCTCACTGCAAACTCCGCCTCCTGAGTTCAAGTGATTCTCCTGCCTCAGCCTCCCAAGTAGTTGGGACTACAGGCGCCCACTACTACTCCCGGCTAGTTTTTGTATTTTTAGTAGAGATGGGGTTTCACCATGTTGGCCAGGCTGGTCTTGAACTCCTGACCTCAAGTGATCTGCCTGCCTTGGCCTCCCAAAGTGCTGAGATTATAGGCATGAGCAACCGCATCTGGCCCTCTCATCTTTTTGATAATAGCCACTCTAACAGTTGTGAGGTGACAGCTCATTGTGGTTTTGATTTGCATTTTCCTGATGATTAGTGATGTTGAGAACCTCTTCATATACCTGTTGGCCATTTGTTTGTCTTCTTTTGAGAAATATCTGTTCAAATCTGTTGCACATTTTAATGTCAGGCTATATGTTTTCTCACTATTTAGTTGTTTGAGTTTCTCGTATATTTTGGATGTTAACCTAATCAGATGTATGATTTGAAAATATTTTTCTCCCATTCCATGGATTATCTCTTCACTGTTTTGATTGTTTCCTTCACTGTGCACCGTTTTGATCTCAGGAGCAGGACAAGTCTCCTTTTGGAGTGCCACCCTGCTCACAATGACTATTCTCTTAGTGCTGATCCCCTCCACCCACCTACATACAGAGGAGGGCTTCTGGTGTCTGTGTCTATGTATTACAACCCTGTCCCCCTAATCCCAGATGTCTGGATTAAGCCTGGACACCTAACCCAGACTGGACCAATCAGTGCTCGATTCTATACAGGGAGGAGATGTAAACTCAGAAGCTGTGTTATGACCACCTTCCACCCACCACATGACATGCATAGGGCAACACAGAAGATGGGTTGGTGGAGAGAAGCAGAGGGAGGAACACATGTGGCTTTTGCAAGGGACAGATAGGAAGTAGCTTCCTGCATTTCTGGCAGCTTCTAGGCCTGGTTCTCACCTCTCTTGTGGTCCAATGGTTCAATTCCATCTTGGTTCCAAAAGAGCGCCTAATTTCCCCCCAGCAAATTCCATGAGCTCGTTTGAAGTGGGCTTCTGCAACTTTTGACCTAAAGTGTCCTAACAACCCCAAACGACAGGGATGTGTATCTTTTTGAAACAGTAGAATTTTACTCCTCAAAGATCCTTCCCAAGGATCCCAGAGAAGCTGGGGAGAGAAAAGGCCAACTCTCTTGTATGCAGTTGAAGTTAAGATCTTCATTCTCACATTAAGTGTCTATGATGGGTAATTTTGTGTGTCAACTTGCCTGAGATAAGGGATGCCCAGATACTTGGTAGAGCATTATTTCTGGGTGCATCTGTGAGGGTGTTTCTGGGAGAGAGGAGCATTTGGATCAGTTGACAGAGTGAAGAAGATCCACCCTCCCCAATGTAGAAGGGCATTATCTAATCTATTGAGGATCTGCTTAGAATAGAAAGGTGAAGGAAGGGTAAATTTTCTGTCTCTTTAACCTGGGACATCTATCTTCTCCTGTCCTTGGATATTGGGGCTCTCGGTTCTTGGGCTTTTGGATATCAGGACTTAAACCAGTGTCCTCCCTATGCCCTCATTCCCAGGACTTTGGACTTGGACTGAATTCCACCACCAGCTTTCCTGGGTCTTCAGCTTGCAGATGGCAGATTGTGGAACTTCTTGTCCTTCATAATCTTGTGAGTCAATTTCCATAATAAATCTATCTATCTATCTATCTATCTATCTATCTATCTATCTATCTATCTATCTGTCTGTCTGTCTAGCTAGCTAGCTATGTAGCTATTTTTCTGTCTATCCACCTGCTATCTCTCTATCATCTATCTATCTATCATCTATCTATCTATCTATCATCTATCTATCTATCATCTATCTATCATCTATCTATCTATCTATCATCTATCTATCTACCATCTCTCTATCTCCTATTCGATCTGTTTCTTTGGAGAGCTCTAATAAGGTATCTCAGTCAGTTAGAGATGCTATAGCAAGATACTGCAGTCTGGGTGGCTTAAATGACAAACATGTATTTCTCCCAGTTCTGGAGGCACCAGCAGATCCAGGATCTGATGAGGTCCAGCTTCCTGGTTTATAGATAGCTGCCTTCTCACTGTATCCTCACAGGTGAAGAGAGACTTCTAGTGTCTTTCTCTTCTAAGGACACTACTCTCATCATGGGAGCACCACCCTCAAGACCTTGCCTAAACCTGATCACCTCCCAAAAGGCCCACCTCCTAATACCATCCCACTGGGGGTTAAGGTTTCAACGTATGAGTTTCAGAGGAACACAGACATACAGGCCATAACACTAGGTGGAATGAAAGGGTTAAATTCCAAAGGCATTTATCATAATAATTAAGCCCTATCAAAATTAAGCAGACATCGCTCTCCCTGTGATAACTGAAACTTTCGGTGTCAACACCAAGGACGGGGCTTCTGGGTGTAATTCATCTGTGGAGACTGTTCTGTATTAACCTACTAATCTGTGTATGGCTAATGACTCAGGACGGCATGTTGACCTTGACTTCACTTCAAGGTTTTCAACACGCCTGCCCTCCCAGATAAAGGGCAGGGATTGCAGATGTGTGGCTTGTCATAACACTTATTTCCCTCCACAACCTGGCTCAGGTGTTTAAAGTATTCCATATAATCCTTTGCCCAGTATTTTACAACTTTTCCCTGGATCTTTTCCATACGTCAGGGAACCCACCAACTCTGATGCTGGCTCTGGCAAGCCCTCCGCTGTGGCGGCAACACATCTCACTTTCTTTTTGCGGTCACCCCCCTGCAAAGGCCCAACCACTTCCAAGCACCCTGTGCCCCGCATGGGGACAGGCAAATCAGCTTTTGCCTGGGGGGACCCTTCCAAGGCCTGGACTCCCTGCTGTTGTCAGACCCCTGCCTGGCACTGAGAAAGACCCGGGGAAGCCAACAGTGGCAAGAAGTTGGGGTAGGGGCTGTTTGGAGACACCCACCCCCCTTTTCTAGAGCACTGATCAAGCCGGCTGCAGCAAGGAGCAGGAAACTTGACTCTTCCCCTTTCTTTTTCTTTTTTTTTCTTTCTTTCTTTTTCTTTTTTTTTTTTTTTTGAGACAGAGTCTCTCTCTGTCACCCAGGCTGGAGTGCAGTGGCGTGATCTCAGCTCACTGCAACCTCCGCCTCCCAGGTTCAAGAAATTCTCTGCCTCAGCCTTCTGAGCAGCTGGGATTACAGGCACCCACCACCACACCCAGCTAATTTTTGTGTTTTTCATAGCGACGGGGTTTCACCCTCTTGGCCAGGCTGGTCTTGAACTCCTGACCTCGTGATCCACCGGCCTCGGCCTCCCAAAGTGCTGGGATTACAGGTGTGATCACCAGGCCACCGCGCCCGGCCAACTCTTCTCCTTTCTGATAAGTCCTGGGGTGGCCTTGGGGCAGATGGTCCCCAGCGGCTGCGCGCACCAGGTTTGCAGATCGAGGCACCAGCACTGTGCATGCTGTGACCAGAGGCCTGAGGACCACCCTGCATTCGGTGTGTGTAACCTCTAAGCAAAGACTTTACCTTTCATTGGGAGCCCCATGCAAATCACAAGCCTCCAGAGGCACTTATTAAGTGCCCGTTTCTTCTTTATCTACTTAGATGCTAGACCAAAGAGCTACATTCTAAAATTTCACTGACTGATTTATATCCTGCTTGTTCCCAAAAAGGACGACAATAAAACCACAGGTACAGTATGGCCAGGAACATTTAACCAAGACAAAGGAGGGGAACAAAGGCAGAGAATTATGCCTAGCCTCAGCCTTTCAGGAAAGTAAAATCCAAGATTTCATTCTCCAGGTGTCTTTAAACTTCCCCAAGATGTAAGGGCGACTTCCTTTTCTTTTTGTAAATCTCCTCCAGCCGCATTGGAAAGGCAGCCCGCGCTTTGTGATAAGCGTGGGAGGCCTGTTCCCACTAAGAGGAATTATTCTGTTGCAGGATGGACTGCTGCGGCCATGCAGGCTGAGGCTGGCTTTTTTTGCCCAGTCACTTGACAGCCTTCAGCCCAGCAGCCCTACCCTCTTGGCCGCAGCCACAGAAAGCCTGGGCAGGATTGTGTTTCTCAGCTGACTCTGCACACTGGTGACAGATTGTCCAAGCTGTGCCCTGGCCCGGGTTTGCAGAGCTTCCCCATTTCCCTGTGGATACAAAGGTGAGTGACCAGAGTGAGCCCCCATCGCAGGCCATCGTGCCTGGCACCCTGGGACGCCCAGATGAGTGAGGAACGCTGTGCCCTTGGAGGAGGCAGACACAGCCCCAAATAGTGTCAGGAAGTGAAAGGGGAAGGGAAGGGGGTGAAAAGTGCTGAGTGTGGGCTTTTCGGGGAGCTCCTCTGGTCAGCAGGGTTCCTCCAGGAGCCCAGGGCACAGGGACACCCAGTGGATGGGGCCACTGGGCCAGCATTGCCTACGCAGGAGAAAGGCAGGAGGGGGCCTTGTTTAAGCTCTGTCCCCTTCTATGGCTCTCTCTCAACCTTAAAAACAGGAGACACAAAACCTTCCCTTTGTTTCTACCATTGGAGCATAACGAAATCTGTGATGAGAGCTGGGGCTCAAGCCATTCCGCGGCTGTGACCTCTTGTTTCATGGCCGTTGCCCGAAGGCGCAGAACGTGGGGCTTGAAATTTTGTTCTGCTGTCTGCTTCTCGGCTTAGTTTCTTTGGACTTCTCTGAGTCTTGTTTCTCCCTGCTTAGAAAAAGGTGATAAACGATAGCCACTATCTAGGATATGGAAATTCAATAAACCTATGAATATACCGATAAAAGAATCACATATACGTACAGTATACGCATACACTACATTGACATATGCATGTGTGACTATACACACCACACCTTCTGCACGCCCCCCCCGCAGAGCCTGGAGTGCCCCTGGCCGTGGCTCCCTGGCCCGAGTGTGACTCAGATCCTTAGGGCAAGGACAGCTGCCCCTGTCCCCGGTGGGCCTGCCTCTCTCACCCCCACACTCTGACCCACTCCAGGCTGACAGCAGCTGGGGCCCCCTGGGATGGGCCAGAGCTCCGGCAGCTGCTCCTGGATGGGAACTTGGAGGCCTGACCATGGACGGAGTGCTCCCTGTGCGGGCCCCGGACCTGGAACGCCCACTTGTGAAACCCCAGCCTGCTGACCTTCGGGTCATGGCGCAAAGTGAAGCCTGCCTGTGACTTGGAGGCAGGAGGGCGACTGGAGTGGCGGGAAATGATGGCAGCCATCTGGCTGTGCTATTTACCCTGGCTGCGAAGCCACCCTCCTCCAGCTCTTCTTTTCCCTTCCCTTCAGCATCCTCGCCCCAAGCATACTGCCACGCCCACTGACAGCGATCAAATAATAACAGCAGCAGCGACATGTCCTGAGCTCCCACTGTGTGGGGTGTGCATTCTCCCCTTTCTTGTCACTCTCCCTGGGTCCCTCCTGCCTCCCTGGCTGCACCTCTTCAGTCTTCTGTGCTGGACCCCTCGTCTGCCCAGCCCTGGCCTAGCTCACTGACGGCCGTGTGGTTCTGGCCTGAACCAAACTCTGTCCTCTGCTTGGTTTTCACCCACCACTGGACGTGCTCTAGAGGCACAGGGCTGTGTTGACTGTGTAATGTCTAGAACCTAAGCGCCAATGGGGTGGCCTAGCCCTGGCACAGACGCGATACCCAGGAAATGAATGAGTGCATGAAGAAACAGAGGCTCAGAGAGGGCGAGTCACTTGTCCAAAGCCACAGAGCTGGAGAGTGGTGGAAGGAGGGTTCAGACCCCCTGTCCGGAGGTCCCCTTCCCTTGCCCCACCACCTCCACAAGGAGTGCCTCACCTCTACTGTCAATCACTCTCTACTTCCCCTCCCTCCCCACCCCAGATAGCATTACCTAGGGGCACCGAGGGGGTTCGCGGGCCCCACTGGCCCAACCTGTGGCCTTTCTTAAGCTGAAAAACCTGCTGAAGGAGAAAATGACCACGTTACCTATAAGCAGGAGCATCTGGGTAGGAGCCCGGGGAACATCTTCCTTCTGGCTCCTTCCAAAACCCCAGAACCCAGTGCACGGGCAGCCTTTTGAAGACAGGCGAGCTGGCTCTACCTGTCTTTCTGATTTGAAATCTAGGTCACTCACTGCCTCCCCTCCTCCTTTAGAAGATCAGCAGGATATCTTCTAGGGTCTCAGAGTGAGAGAGGGGACGACAGGGAAAAGCGTTTCAATGGAACCCACACCCTGCCTGCGGCTGTCAGGAACACTTCATTTTGGAAGCCAGTATAATTTATGAGATGCAAATGGATTTAGCACTAAAAAAGAAAAAAAAAATCTTGGAAAAGGTACAAAGTGCACCTCACACCCTGTGTCGAGGCGTGTTTGGGGCTCTGTTAATCATCTCAGACAAAAGAGATTTAATCTCAGGCTAGCTGATCCTGAGAGTGCCAGCATCTCTCCCCAAGCCCAGGAGGCTTGCCCGGGAAGATGCAGGCCTGGCCTCTGTGCAGGCTCCGGGGCTCCGGTGCACGGCACTTGTGTTCAGCTCTTGTCTGAGTCACGCAGTAGATGAAATTACGGAGGTTCCTGCACATGATGAATCAGAAAGCAGGATCAAGCCAAATATTTGGACAAGCCTTGCCTCGCATAGAGCAGGATGAAGACTTCACAGCCAGCAAGCAGCCTGCCAGCAGCAAGCCCAGAGACTGTTTCTGACGAAGTGCTGCCGTGGGGTAAGCTGCAGCTCAGGAGGGAATTAGCTCAGACCCATGAAGCCACCGTGCAGTTGGATCTCTTGGCCAGCGCTGGGCAAAGGGGTGTGTGAGCATCCCAGGGCCCTGAGCCGTGATTCAGTCTTGGGCTCAGAAGAGGGGTCTTGTCACGGTGCAGCGTGCAGGGTGGGGGACGTGGGTTGGGGGAGGAGATGGTTCACTTTGAGTCACCCTCTCAGCCTTCTCTTTCTGGGAGTCTTCAGACAGCAGGCAGCGTTTCCTGCAGCAGCGGGGAGACCGCGCGGCCCTCCCCACGCTCCCGCCTGGGCCCTGGTGGGGGATGCAGGCAGACACGGCGACCACAAAATGGGGAAGGAAGTGAAGCCATGAGTGCCTTGGCAAGGCTTTAAATACTTTGAGGGCTCTCACCAGAGGCCTAATTGCTACCCTTTGGAGCTCCAGAGTTAGTTTTTCAAGGTTGTTTGGAACAATAAAACCCGTAATAACAATGCTACCTTAGATTTGTCTGGAACCTTTTTATTTTGTAAATTAACTTTTGAAAGAACTCAACATTCTTGGGTTTATTTTAAGCTACTTTTCTCCTTCGCAAGGATGCTTCCAGGCACTAAAATAGTCTGCATTGGAGAGAACAAACAAATCCCTACAAGTAAACAGTTGATATTGATGACTAGCAACAGTAGCTAACATGGGCTGTGGACTGACCCTGTGCTAGGCAGACCCCTGCTCCATGATTCACAAGAAAATGGCTTGTCTGAGCTTCACTAGAACCCCTATGAGGTGGGTGCTATTATGTCCCCATTTTGCAGTTGAAGAAACAGGCTCAGGGAGGTTATTATAACTTCCCAAGGCCACACAGCTAGTGTTGCACAGCCAAAATTTAAACCCAGGTGGTCAGACATCCAGCTCATATTCTGCCTCCCGACAGCCCTGATGTTGCACAAACTCATCAGCCAAATGACCCTGAGAACAGGTTCAAGCCATACTTCGATGAGGTCACACTTGATGGCTGCCTTCAGGAGCCTGGCCCGCTCTCCAAGCTTGGAGAACGAAGCTGGGGAGATGGCTTCCTGAAAGGAGGTTAACCACAGGTGAACCAGAGTCTAAGCCCACGTGGGCCAGCCCTGCTTCCCTGGAGAGAAGACTCAGCAAAGATCTTCCTACCTGGGCACCCTCTGAGAAAGCAATGCTGCTGAGCTTGCATGAGAGAGCAGAGCAAAGGCCTGCAGTCCACGGCCAGAGCCCTGGCTCAGAGCCTG
This sequence comes from Homo sapiens, assembly GCF_000001405.40. NCBI lineage: Eukaryota > Metazoa > Chordata > Mammalia > Primates > Hominidae > Homo > Homo sapiens. The sequence continues at coordinate 99,478,059 of NC_000015.10, forward strand.
GCTGGGGCCCTCATTAGGTGTGAGGCTACTCCTGTTAGTGTTGCTGCATAAAGTCCCAAACTTGGTGGCATAACGCCGCCATTTATTGTATTCACAGATGCTGTGCTTCGGGAATTCGGACAAGGTGCAACAGCGTCTACTTGCTTCATGGTGTCTAGGGCTTCATCTGGGGACGCTTGAAAACAAGGGTTGGGGGATGTGACTTGACAGCTGGGGGCTGGAACAATCTGGAGACATTTTTGCCCACGTGTCTGGTGGTTGATGCTGGCTGTCAGCTGGGACCACAGCTGGAGCTGTCACCAGAATACACAGAAGCGTCCTCCCCATGTGGCCTGGGCTTCCTCATGGGCCTCAGGGTAGTCAGACTTCTTGTGTAACAATTATATTCATTTTCTAGGGGTGCCATAGGAAAGTACCACAAACCGGGTGGCTTAGAACAACAGAAAGTTATCACCTTACAGTTCTGGAGGCTGGAAATCCGAGATCAAGCTGTCAGCAGGGTGGGTTCCTTCTGAGGCTGTCAGGGAGGGATCTGCTCCAGGCCTTCCTCCTTGGCTTGTAGATAGCCATCTTCTCCCCGTGTCTGCACATCATCTTCCTTCTATGTGGGTCTCTCTACTCAAATTTCCCCCTTTTATAAGGGGGAAATTCATAATCCAATAAGTCATATTGGATCAGGGCCCACCTTAATGACCTCATCTTAACTTGATTACCTCTATGAAGATCCTATGTCCAAATAATTTCACATTCTTAGACATAAAAACTTGGGGGGATAACACAATTTAACTTATGTGTCACTCCGGGCTCCAAAGGCAACTGTTCCAAGAGAACCAGCAGAAACCACATGGCCTTTTCTGAGCAGCCTTAGAAGTTGAGCTCCATTCTATTTGGTTATAAGTAAGTCACTAAGGTCAGCCCAGATTCAAGGGGGAGGGACAGAGATCCCACCTCTTGGTTGGAAGAAGGTCAAATAATTTATGAACTTTTTTTTTCTTTTTGAGATAGGTACTATTTTTATTTCTCTTTTATAGGCAGAGAAAGCAAATCCTAGCATGGTCAGGCAACTCACCCGGGGTCTGACAGTTAGTGGATGACAGGGCCAGCGCTGGATCTCAATATGGATGTGCTTTCAAACTTCCTATGACCTGGTGCAAGTTATGTAACCTCAGTAAGCCTTGATTGCCTCATCTGTGAAATGGTGATAATGATACCCAATTCACAGAGTTGTTTTAAGTATTGAATGAGGTGAGTTATGTAAAATGCCCAGCACATTAGAGGAGCTCAATTAATGATAATTCCTCTCCTCCTCCTCCTTTTTCTTCTTCTCCTAGCATCATTATTATTATTATCATCATTAATCTTAAAAGTGGAAACACGATGACAAGAGCTTTGCAGGGTAGGGTAATGAAAAAGCACCAGATGGGAGGTTAAACTCCTTGGATCTTCATTTGAGCTGTGGATGTTTACAGCTGCTAACCTTATTGTGAATGTATGGTGTGTCCAGCACAGAGCTGATCATTTCCACATTTGATCCTATTTAACCTGTACACCAGCTAGCAAAGGCCAGAACTCATATTTGAACCCATGAGCCAATGCACTTCATCTCTATGCTATCCCACTTCTGACAAACAATCTGTAAGCTTTTTTTCCCCAGCAATAACAATATATTACCCATAATAATGGAGCAGGCACAAATGCCATGGCCCATGCTCTCATGTGTGCAAAGATTCAACTTTATTTGCCTTTCCATGAGAAACTGCTTCCTATCTTTAGTCCCCATTTCTCCCTAATGACAAAAAAACAAAAGGTAACCTAGTCATTTCCATGGAAAACCAATTGAATTCGGTGATTTCTCAAGTTAGGTTAAAGCTTGTTGAAATTTAGGATTTTTCTCCCTGAAATGACATCTCAATTTCACAGGGAATGTACAGATCATTGTGTCTAAGACATGCCTGGTTTGTGGTGGTGATAGAGATGATATTAGGTTTTCCCAAGCCCCGTTTAATTTCCCTCATCCTGGGCACATGGACGACTGCATTTCCCAGCCTCTTTTGCAGTTAGGTTGGGGTCATGGTGTTAGTTCTGGCCAAGGGGCTGTAAGGGGATATACTGTATGTCATTTCCTTGCTAAGGCAGTGGGAAACCCCCTGTGCAGCCTTCCAGTCCTCCCTTTCTGCTGAGGCCATCCTGGAAGTCAAAACTAAAATGGAGCAAACTGGACTCCTGAGTCATGGCTTGGAAGGGAGCTACTTAGGAGACCCTCACGACATGCAATGGATTAGACCACAGTGAAAGAGAAACACATGTTCATGTGTCAAGCTACTAAGTTCTGGGGTATGTTTGTTACTACAGCAGAGCCTATCCTATCCTATGCTGATTATAACGAGTCATCCTGTGCTGGCTCCTAACGTCAACATTGATTTCCACTGGTATCTGCTGAAGCGACCAGCATTCCCACATGTCAGTGTCTACGGGACTGAACATATCTCCATCTGGCCCCTGGCTTGCCCAGCCCTCTCTGCCACTGATGACTGTGTCTGCTTGTCACGTGAGAATTAGCCGCCAGCCTGGGCCTCTGGCTTCCATTCTCTGCTCACTACCACATCCATCTCAGGAGCATAGGCAATTTGGGCTACTCTCCCAATCTACAGGCCCAGTAAGACTGCAGGAGACCCCATTGTCACTCTGCTGTCCCCACGCCCATCTCTTCTCAACAGCTCTCCTGCCCAGCAAGCTGGTGTAAGGTTCTCCTACCCTTTGCTTTCCCCAAAATTCATATAGGGGTTGCTTTGTCTTCCCCTGAGCCTGAGCCATCTGGTAGGACAGGAGGGCTCACAGACTTCTCCCTTCCAGCAGCCCCTTCTCCCTTGGCCTTGGCAACCTGGCTCTGGTCTGCACGTCACGTTGCTCATGTGGTCTCTTCTCCTGTCCTCTTTCCTTTCCACTCTTTGGGAAATACACTTTATGCTCCAATTTTTTAAGAGTTTTTAGTTTCTCTTTGAAACTCAGTAAACCATTTCTCTTTCAAAAAGCTTCCCTCTTGCATAGCCAAAAGTCTTGATTCACAAGATTACTTTTTCTTCTATACATTTTTAAAGCCCATTTTGAAACTCCCAAGTCAAGAACTGGATTCTTTGGTATTTGTATTCTGCTGGTTCTTTTCTTTCCCAGGGAAAGGAGACCTCTGGAAGAATCAGAGCAACAAGGACATGCTGGGAGGGGTGGGAGCTGGATTCTGAATATGCATCTCTGCATATGATTGTGCTGCAATCATGAGGGACATTTGCATGGTGCCAGTGCACTTTAACCACTTACAATTCACGACAGCCCTGCTGTGTAGAATTACCTGTCTTTTACAGGTTGGGAAAGGGGCTTAGGAAGTTCAAGTGCCTTGCCCAGGATCAAATGGCAATGCCTAAACCTGGGGAGAGTGGTCTTTTTCTAGGGCACGTGTCAACACAGCTAGAAAAGAAGCCCCCACCAGGAGAAGCCAGAGCCAAATGCATGGAGCCAGTGAAAGCTCCCAGCGTGTGACTGTGCCCAGCAAAACCACAAGAATCCTCAGGACCAGAATGTTGACAGTCATGGACTGCCATACAATTCAAAAAAGAAATGTAAGCTCCAAGAGAGTAGAAGCTGTTCTGGTCAGCGCTGTATCCTTGGGTTCTAGAACAGTGTCTGGCCCACAGCAAGAGCTCAAATGATATTAGTCAAATGAGTGAATGAAGTAAGAGGAAAAGGATCGGCTCTCAGGCACCTCATCATTTGGCTGAGAAAGCCAATTTCCGAAAGAAGGAAAATTAGAGAGCAGATTAAGTGCTAAACCAGGCGAAATTAACTATAAGCAAACGTAGATGCAATAAAGAATAAAAAATCAGTCTGTGGGTGAGGCCACCCACAGATCACAATCTGTCATAAATGTGTCACACACAGTGTCATATATGTCACACATGATATAAATGTCACACCTCTGGGTCACACATCTGAGATGCTCGAGGGTTGACTCTGAATGGCTTTATATAAGTCACGATGTACTGGGAGCTCCATTTCCTGTTAGTGGTTGATATGGGAACTTCTCTCAAGGGGAGACTTACTTTATCAGGGAAAATATGTTTTTAAGCAGATTAGGATAAAGAAGGACTCTAAAGGGTGCACTAAATCCACAGAAGATGGCTGCTTCAGGGAGGGACAGGGATTGGAAATTTCCAAAAGGAAACCTTCATGGGGTAAGAACAGTAGGGTCAGATCCTGAAAAAGACATGTCTTTGTCTATTTTGTACTGTTATAGCAGAATATCACAGATTGGGTAATGTACAGTGAACAGAAATTTATTGACCCACAGCTCTGGGGGCTGGGAAGTCTAAGATTGAGGAGCTGGCATCTGGGAAGGACCTTCCTGCTGCACCTTAACATGGCAGAAGGGCAGAGAGAGAGCACAAGAGAGAGCATAAAAGGGGAAAACCCACTCTTTATAAAAAACCCACTTCCATAATAATGGCATTAGTCCATTCATGAAGGTGGAGCCCTCATGACCTAAATATCTCTTAAAGGCCCTACCTCCCAATACCATCACAATGGCAATTAAATACCACATGAGTTTGGAGAGGACAAGCATTCAAACCATAGCAAGATGGGGTACGCATGTCAGAGACAGAAGCCCCACAGTGGGATGATAAAGAAGGCGATTTGAAGAAGAGGCTTTTCCAAGTAAAAATAATGTGCATTGTATCATGTCCCTTCACCAAGCACCAGTGAAGTCTCAATGAGATCGCAATATGCCTGATAGGTTGATTGGCTTTCTTATGGCAAGAGGGACTTCTAGTTCCTGACTGGAGAGGAGCTGAAACAAAATCAAATGCATGCGCCCACACTTTTCTCACAAGATTCGTGTGAGGGTTGCTAATCTAAGTACTTAGTACCTGGGAAGTATTGGACACGGAAACCTTATTGACTCTACAGGTGCTCTGGGTTGGAGTGGGCTGGGGTAAGGTGGGCGGATTTAACCAATAAGATTCTGGAGGAATGGGGACTGAATGCTAGTTCATTCTGTATAGTATATAACCAGTCAGGAGAGCTCAAGATATAGATGCTGTCATTCTTCCAGGCTGTGCCTGTGGCAGACATGACCAATGGATTGCAGCACTCTTTCTCATTGAGGCCAGACTTACACTCAGAATCCCTCTCCACATTGGTCTCCAGGTAGCCACTATTAATGGGATAGAGTTGATGGGAGATTAAACCAATCTGCCTTCCTTAGCCTGAGCCAGAGGCCATAGGCCGGCAACCCATGAGCTGGATGTAGACTGTTTTGTTTTTTGTCTTCCTTACGTAAGGTTTTGAACAAGTTTTTTTTGTTTGCTTGTTTGTTTTGTTTGGCTCTTTTTTTTTTTTTTTGAGACAGAGTCTCGCTTTGTCACCCAGGCTGGAGTGCAGTGAGTGATCTCGGCTCACTGCAACCTCCACCCTGGTTCAAGCGATTCTCCTACCTCAGCCTCCCGAGTAGCTGGGATTACAGGTGTGCACCACCACACCTGGGTAATTTTTTCGTATTTTTAGTAGAGACTGGGTTTCACCATATTAGCCAGGATGGTCTCGATCTCCTGACATCATGATCCACCCGCCTCAGCCTCCCAAAGTGCTGGAATTACAGGCATGAGCCATTGTGCCCAACCTGATTACATTTTTATACTAAGAATTTCACATAAATATCCAGATTTCCAGCTGCTCTTTTTTTTTGTCAGGGTCTTGCTCTGTCACCCAGGCTGGAGTACTGTGGCACAATCTCGGCTCACTGCAACTTCTGCCTCCCAGGTTCAAGCGATTCTCCTGCCTCAGCCTCCCAAGTAGCTGGGATTACAGGCATGCGCCACCACGCCCCGCTAATTTTTGTATTTTTAGTAGAGATCGAGTTTCACCATGTTGGCCAGGCTGGTCCTGAACTTCCAGCTTCTCTTGAAAAGCAGGAGTGTCTGACACACTGAGCCTGCTTTCCTGCAAGGTAACAATTGCCTGTTGTTCAAGAGCAGCTGCCCACTGCCCCCCGGCCCCATGAAGGCTGAGGGCTGTCTAGTCCGGGGGTCCCTGCAGGCATTTTGGATTGGCTTCCATACCTGCCTCTCAGCTGAGGCCAGCTGAGCACACACAAAAGTAGACTCTGAAGATGGCCCGAGTTCCAGCCTCACCTCTGCCACGTATGAGTCATGTGACGTTGGACAAATCCCTCATCCTCATGGGGCCCTAACTTTCTCATTTGTAATGGGGGGTAATAGCAGTATTTACCTCAAGAAATAAGAGCTGTGAAGATTAAATTAATTAGAACAGTGCCTGGCACACAAGAATCACTAAAATAAGCTTAGCTCTCATTGCTTGACGTTTCCATAAACACTCAAGTGTCTGTCTAGAATGGCACCATAATTCCTGCCTCACGGGCCACAGAGTGTCTCTAGGGGCACAGATGAGCCCAGCTACCTGGGGGGTCCTTGCTGGGTGAGGGAGGGTCTCTGTGGTCCACCCTAGGCCTTGGAAGTGGATTTCCGTAGCTGCAGCACTGGGGCACACACGCAAGGGTATAGATTTGAACTCAAGAAATGGAAAGAGGCCAGGCGCAGTGGCTCATGCTTGTAATCCCTGCACTTTGGGAGGCCAAGGCTGGTGGATCATTTGAGGTCAGGGGTTTGAGACCAACCTGGCCAAAATGGTGAAACCCCGTCTCTACTAAAAATAAAAATAAAATTAAAAAATAAAAAAAAATTTAGCCAGGTGTGGTGACAGGCACCTGTAGTCTCAGCTACTGGGGAGGCTGAGGCAGGAGAACTACTTAAGCCCAGGAGGCAGAGGTTGCAGTGAGACAAGATAGCGCCACCGCACTCCAGCCTAGGTGACACAGTGAGACTCTGTCTCAAAAAAAAAAAAAGAAAGAAAAGAAAAAGAAAAAAGAAATGGAATGAATATTTATTCTTTGTCCTCACTTTTCAAAGAGTTAAAAGATGAAGCTAACTAAAGTAGAGATGTTGGCTGACATTCATACTCAAAGCCTCGTAAGAAGGGCCCAGGGCTTCCCTAATGACATACTTTAATGGCGTGAGGATTTTTTAAATGGACCCCAAAATAAGGCAAAAATAAACACAAAAAAGCCTCCAGCAGGGAGGCACGAAGCCTGAAAGGCAAATGGCATCCCTTCCTGCCCTCCTCAGCTCACGAGGCAGCTTCTTCCTGCCTTCTGAGTACAGGCGACTGACCTGCACACAGAGCACCTGGAGCCTTCTGACCTTCATGAAAGACTCTTGTGTCTGACCACCCCTCATCCTGGGAATATCCCACAGCCTCTAGGGGCTGCCTGCATCCCTGGGGACTCAGAGTGTCCATGGTGGACCTGAGGCCACAGCTGAGATTGTTGGTGGGGACATTCCTAGGGAGGGGTCTGTGCAGTGTGGGTGGCACATTAAGCAGGCAGCCAGAGGAGCACAAGGGTCGTGAAAAGAAAGGGGTGTTTTGGGGGCAGGAACAAATCTCCCCACCCTAGAGAGACGGAGCCCAGCCTGCGTTTGAACTGCATGCACTGTCTCCTCTGTATTTTACAGGAAAAGGCCATCCGTCAAGATTCAGCTGAATGAGTTCTTCCGATTCAGCCTCTTGTTCCTCCAGCTGTGCCAGCTTCTGCTTTGCAGGTCTTGCCAGGGTGAGAGGGTGTGAGTGTAGATCTACCAGCGCCCCAAAGACCTTGGAGCATGTTCTATAGGCTCCAAAGCCACCTCTGAGCAGGAATGGAGGGGAAGGCTGGGACCCTGAGGTGAGAGGAAGCAGTTAAGTCAACAAGCAAGATAAAAGGTGGAGCGGGGGCAGGGGTGGAAGACCAGAGAGGAAGGAAGTGCTGGGAGGAGAGGTGCCGTTTTTGTCCTTGCCATTTCAAGGATGGCAGGGAAGAGAAGGAGAAGAGAAGAGAAGAAGTTTTGCAGAGACTATGACGGGTGCCACGTCTAAGATCTTTAGGGGAAATGCCAGTGAAGAGTGGAATCCATTTCCGATTGCTGAACTGTGCTATGATATTTTGAATCCAGCACTGCCCCAGGCCTGAGCTGCAGGAGCCCACAGCTTCTATGGGACTACCGAGGGCTGGGGTGGAGTGAGGGGTGAGGGCAGAGACACTCCATGAAAAAGGGATCTGTCCAGCAAGGACCGATGAGATGGAGAGACTCAAAATAACCAAGCCTGGTCCTGCCTTCAAGGAGCTCACGTCTGGCAGAGGCGAGAGAAATGTTGGAGAAACAGATGTGAATCCCACAGATTCCCCGAGCGTGCAAATCCCTGGCACCACCCAGTCAGCCCCTTGCAGTTTCCCCAGGCGGGCAGCAGACACGCAGCCCACGTCTCTGAGGGCTGGCTGCGTGAGTGAACTGCCTTGAGGTCGCCTGGGCTCCCACGGACCCCGCCTTCGCCCTCTGTCCTCTTTGTGTGTTTCGTGACAGGAGGGACGTGCGACGTCCACATATTTTTCCTGGAGCAGGAGAGGGGTGGAGTCGGGGGAGGAAGGAGGTGGGGGCGGGAGAAGCAGGGGGCGGTACCCAGTGGTCTAAGCAGCCTGGGGGGCGGGTGGCTTGCCAGGGCGCTGGGCATGGCTGTCGGCAGGGACTGCAACATGTGCGTGTGGCACCCTGCCCAGGGGAGAAATCCGAAACAGCTTTCTACACGGAGCTGCTGCTCCTGCGTGCGGGCCCCACCCAGCTCAGAGCCAAACAGCTTAGGGAGCCAAGGGATGCCTTGAACCTTGCAGGGGACAGGAAGGAATCTCTCGGGCCAGGGTATTTGTAGCAGGTATAAAATTTATAATTAATATTCAGATGCTCAGAAATGTTAACTTTATTTTCTACCATTGAACTCCATTTGTTGGAGAGCCCCATTTCTGTTCAGTAGTGGAAAAATACAAACCTCGTCCATCCTGGAGAACGCAGTCACATCGAGTTTGCCGTTTAGTCCATTCCGGGGGTGAATTCAGTCTCTGGGAAGGGCTCAGTCTTCCCAGGAGGCATGTGAGAGCTTGGGAGCTCCATGTACAATCTTAGGAGGGGGCTGGGCCCTCTGGCTGGCAGGAAGTAAGCACCCTCCATTCTGGGATCCCCTAACCTGCTGGGGTCCCCATCCTTCCTCCTCCGGTGACAGAGGAGGGCGCTCACTCAGGCCTCAATTCTTTTACTCCACCCTCTCTCTTCATGCTCTTCTTCCAGCCCAGGAAAATGGGATGTACTGCATTCCTGTGTGGCAGGAAATTGCCCACATATTCTATCCTGCTCCTTTCCCATTCTAGAGCTGAAAAGCAAAACTCTCCACTCTTCTGCAGAACATGAAATAGTCTAATTCACAGCAGCAGAAAGGGGAATGAATGGCAGGGGCCAGGGGCAGGGGAGAGGGAAAAGGGGAGTGAGTGCTGAGTGGGGACAGAGTTTCAGTTTGGGAGATGAAGAAGTTCTAGAGATGGATGGTGGTGATGGTTGCACAACAATGTGAATATATGTAATGCCCTTGAATTGTACACTTACAAAATGGCTTGCGCCTGTCGTCTGGGCTACCCAGGTGGCTAAAGTGGGAGGATCTCTTGAGGCGTGGAGTCGGAGGCTGCAGTGAGCTATGATCAGACCTGTGAATAGTCACTAGACGCCAGTGGAGTTCAGTGTCTCTGGGAGAAACATAGCGAGACCCTGTCTTTAAAAAATAAATAAATAAATAAAATAAACATAAAAAATAATTAAAAAAAAATTTTTTTTAATTAAAAAAAAAATGGGGGTGGTTGCTCACGCCTGTAATCCCAGCACTTTGGGAGGCCGAGGTGGACGGATCGCCTGAGGTCAGTAGTTCAAGACCAGCCTGGCTAACACAGTGAAACCCCATGTCTACTAAAAATACAAAAAATTACCCGGGCGTGGTGGCGGGCGCCTGTAATCCCAGCTACTTGGGAAGCTGAGCCAGGAGAATTGCTTGAACCAGGGAGGAGGAGGTTGCAGTGAGCAAGAGTCAAAAAAAAAGGTTGAAATGATACATTTTATGTTATGTGTATTTTACTACAAAAAAACAAAGCTCATGTCCAGTCTCTTCGGCTTTGGTGCCTGATAGGTTAAAGAATGCTTCTGGAATTTACAAGACTTCTTCCTCTCAAGTACTTGGCTCTTAGAATTGAAAGACTCACTCTTGTTTCTGAAATGGGTTTCAGGAGCTTATCCGGGATGTCAAGAAGGAATGTTGTCACTTTCTCTTTGTAATCCAGCTATAATAATCTCAATCCTCCCCTAGCAAAACTGGGGGGAAGGTCACTGACAAGGAAGCATGAAAAAAAGAAAAATAATTAATTAGTCTTAAGTGTTATCTCCTATTTTCAACAACCATGCATTAGAAGTGCTGGATTTGTCAAGAGATTGGAGTTTCATCTGTTTCTAGGACTGCTTGAGGTATCGAAGTTTACATTTAAGGGTCTCATTGTGATTAGTTTTAAGAATACAGAGAGACAGCCATAAAAAAGGAATGAAATAATGGCCTTCACAGCAACCTGGATGGAATTGGAGACCATTATCCTAAGTGAAGTAACTCAGGACGTTCTCACTCCTAAGTGGGAGCTAAGCTATGAGGATGCAAAGGTATAAGAATGGCACAATGGACTTTGGGGACTCGGGTGAAAGGGTGGGAGGGGGTGAGGGATAAAAGGCTACATATTGGGTACAGTGTGCACTGCTCAGGTGATGGCTGCACCCAAATCTCAGAAATCACCGCTGAAGAACTTACTCATGTGACCAAACACCATCTGTTCCCCAAAAACCTATTGAAATTACATAAATAAATAAATAAATAGGTACTTGGAGGCAACAAAAAGAATACAGAGAGGGGTAAGGGGTCTGGTGGGCAAAGTGGCGGCAAATCTATTCATTTATGTACTTACAGCACCTCAGCAAGGCACCTGCTATCTTCTAGTGTGTATTTATTCCCTTCTGCTGCTGTAGCCAATGACCACAAACCTAGAAGCTTAAAAACACACAAATTTATTTTCCTACTGTTCTGGAGGTCAGAAATCTGAAATGGGGCTGGGCACGGTGGCTCACGCCTGTAATCCCAGCACTTTGGGAGGCTGAGGCGGGTGGATCACTTGAGGTTAGGAGTTCGAGACCGACCTGATCGACATGGCGAAACCCCATCTCTACTAAAAATACAAAAATTAGCCGGACATGGTGGTGCACACCTGTCATCCCAGCTGTTCAGGAGGCTGAGGCAGGAGAATCACTTGAACCCAGGAGGCGGAAGTTTCAGTGAGCCGAAATCATGCCACTGCACTCCAACCTGGGCAACACAGCAAGACTCCAAACAAAAAAAAAGACATCAAGGTGTCCGCAGGGCTGTGTGCCTTCTGGGGATTCTGGGAAGAATCTGTGTCCTGCCTTTTCCAGCTCCTGGAGGCTGCCCTCATTCTCTGGCTCATGGCATCTTCCCCAGCCATGGCATCAACCCGACCTCTGCCTCCATCCTCATATCTCCTTCTCTGACTCTGAGCCTCCTGCCTCCCTCTCATAAGGACCCTAGTGATTACGTGGATCCCACCTGGACAGTCCAGGATGCTTACCCTATGCAAAGGTCTTTACCTTAATCCTATCTACAATGTCCCTTTTGCCATGTGGGGTAACATATTCACAGGTTCTGGGGATTAGGATCTGGACATCTTTAAGGATCATTATTCTGCTCACCATGAGTTGAAAAGCCAGCTGTACACCTTATAGTTGCTCTTTTGCAGGGCATCTGCCTTTTTCTAATACATGGTTTTCGGCAGTTTGACCACGATGTGCCGAAGAGTGGTTTTCCTTGTGTTGATCCTGCTTGGGGTTTGCTGAGTTCTTCAATGAACACCAACTCAGCTGATGCTTTCTATTGGTTTTGGAAAATTCTCAGCCACTTTCTCTTCAAATACTGCTTCTATGTCATTCTCTCCTCTCTTCTGTAGGCCCCCAACTACATTAGACACCTGATGGTTCCCCATGCATCTTCCACACTCTCTTTTGCTCTTTTCATGCTCTTCTCTCTGTGCTTCTTTCTGAAAATTTCCTATTGGTTTTGGAGTTCACTCATGCCATCTTTTGTTATGTCCCACTGCTGTTAAATTCACCCCAGAGTCCTTGATTTGATACTGCATTTAAAAATTCTAGAATGTTCAATTAATTATTCTATAGAGTCTAATATTCTGTTAAATTCTCTATCTTTCATCCATTTGGTCATCTTTTCCTGTATTTCATTTAACATATTTTTTATAGTTATTTTAAAGTCCTTACCTACTAACTCTAAAGTCCTTGACCACTTCTGTAGTTTGGATTTAAAAAAATTTTGGTCATGTTTTCCTGCCTCTTCATATGTCTTAATTTTTTTTTCTTTTTCTTTTCTTTTTTTTTTTTTTGGAGACAGAGCTCTGTCGCCCAGGCTGGAGTGCAGTGGCATGATCTTGGCTCACGGCAACCTCTGCCTTCTGGGTTTAAGTGATTCTCGTACCTCAGCCTCCCAAGTAGCTGGGACTTCAGGTGTGCACCACCACACCCAGCTAGCCTTGTATTTTCAGTAGAGACAGGGTTTCACCATGTTGGCCAGGCTGGTCTTGAACTTCTGACCTCAAGAGATCCGCCTGCCTCTACCTCCCAAAGTGCTGGGATTATAGGCGTGAGCCACTGCGCCTGGCCTTAAATTTTTAATGTATGCTGGATGGTGTGTGAAAGAACCCTGGAGGATGTCAAAGAAGGTTCACCCTTTCCTCTGTCCAGTTGGTGGGAGAGGGCCGGTCACCTCAACCCATGAGGAACTGAGCTGGGTGGACTGCAGGTTTCGTTAGTTTGACTCATTCACGGTTTACTATTCTTGTTCCTCAGCCGAGTTTCTCCTAGATGTTTTACTGAATGCCTGGTGGGTCTCTGCCTCTTTATCGCTTTATCTCTCATATCTCAGTTTATCTAGGCTTCATTGCATCCACAGCTCCCTAAGATCTTCACAATGTGTTCCTGATGTGTTTGTCTTTTCTCTATTTGTTGCAGCGTTGCATTGCGTGATGCTGTCTTCTACTCTTTCTTGGAAGTGAAAGTCCTTCCCTCTACATTTCAAAACACCAACAGGCGAAAAGACCTATAGAACAACAAGGTATCAAAGGAGGCAACAAGTAAGTGAGGAAATGGGTGGCAATCTCTCTGGAGAAGTGGAGACCCTCTATTAGGAGGTCTTTCGGGGGGCTCAACAAATAGCACCCTTCTTCCCCACCCAACATCTGAAGCGAGTGAGAAATAAGTAGTAAGAGAGATATAACCCAAAATATCACCTTTATTACTGACACGATGTCTTAGTTTGGGCTGCTATAACAAGGTACCATAAGACCAGGTGTCTTATAAACAGCAAGATTTTCTTTCTCATAGGCCTGGAAACTAGAAATTGGAGATCAAGGCACCAGCCTGGCTGAGTTCCGATGCAGGACCTCCTCCGGATTGCAGACGGCCACCTTTCCTCTGTCTTCACATGAGGACAAGAGGACAAGAGAGGTCTCTAGGGTCCCTTTTATAAGGGCGTGAATCCCATTTAAGAGGCCTTCACCCTCATGACCTAATCACCTCCCAAAGTCCCACCTCCTAATCCCATCACACTGGGAGTTAGGATTTCAACATGTAAATCTGGAGGAGACACAAACATTCAGTCCATACACAGGCTATGTTAGGAGACATGGCATTTATCTGTGGGCCTTCATAATACTGGCGCTAAATTTTAAACTAACACTTAATGCCAGAATTAGCAAGTGTAGCTAAGGCAGCCCAGAGAGACAGCAATCGAGACAATGTGCATTCATCAGGCAGCCTCCTCCAGAGACACAAGGAAGGGCGTGAGTGGTGTGGGTCATTGCCACTTCCAAACCAGCTGATCAAAAGAGATCCCAGGGGTACAAGGGAGACAGACAGTCCCCAGGAGAAGCCAGCAAGAAGATGAACAGACAAATACAAAGCCAGGAGGGGGGTTCCACTGAGGGGAATATGGAGGGATTTGGGGATGAGCTGCTGCAGGTGTGAGGTCTCCAGCAGGACAGACAGAAAGGGAGGTAGAGGAGGACAAGCCACGGGGAAGGGAAAGAGATGGTGGAGCCTGGAGGAGCTCTCAGGGCTCAGCACGGGGCTGTGGTGGCTGTCAGCCTTTGGTTGGGGCAGGAGGGGAGCTGGAAGGCAGCCTCCGTGCTGGGAAAGTGGGTCCTGAGTTTTCAGTCCTCATGCCCAATGGCCTTGGCCCCCAGCTATCTTTTGGAAACTCAGAGCTGACCCAGTCCCCAGTCAATGACCTTGGGCATGTCTTCAGCAACTCCAAGGAAAAGGATGATGCCCTTGGCATGACTTCCCGAGCCCCCTCTGTAACCCTACTTGTCTTCCCAACCTCGTCTCCCATCGCTCTGCCTTGTCCCCCTCCTGACTTTGGCTTCACTGCAAGACTCTCCTCTGAGCCGCGGATCCTCCAGGACTGAGGAGGAATGGGAAGGCCAAGGTGGGCAGCTCCTGGAAGGTCAGGCCTGCCAGGGAAGCCCATTCAGGGGGCGGTCCTGAGGCCAGGCCAGTCCATATTCTAAGCAGTATTTAGAAGGGAGGACACAAGCTTTGAGCTCAAAGACAAAGTTGGAGGGGAACAGACAGAGCATGGGAGGGCTGGGTTGGGAGGCCATGAGCCCAGGAATGACCCTGACACAGCATCCCTTTTCGACAAGGCTGACCACCCTATGCTGGACCCCAGCTATGACCACCGCAGGCCTCCATACCCCTGATGTCATTTTGCCTTCACTGTGCTTGTGTGGCCCGGTGCAGTGCCCTTCCTGCGCTCAGTGGGCCCTCATCCTCAGAGGCCTGCTGGGACCTGGTATCGCCGCAGCACTCGGCAGGCACCTCCCGTGGCCTGTAGCTGAGGCTGTGTGCTCCCCATCTCTGGGAGCATGGGGTGGATCCAGCGTCCCGCAGCCTGCACCCAAGGTGCAAGAGAACTGGGAAATAAATATTTTTTTTGAATTCAACAATAAAATATATCTAAAGGCAGGGTTGATTTTTTTTTTATTTGGTGAGACAGAGTCTAGCTGTGTCGCCCGGGCTGGAGTGCAGTGGCGCGATCTCAGCTCACTGCAAGCTCCACCTCCCGGGTTCATACCATTCTCCCGTCTCAGCCTGCCGAGTAGGGGACTGCAGGCACCCCCCACCACGCCTGGGTAATTTTTTGTATTTTTAGTAGAGATGGGGTTTTGCCGTGTTAGCCAGGATGGTCTTGATGTCCTGACCTCGTGATCTGCCCACCTCAGCCTCCCAAGGTGCTGGGATTACAGGTGTGAGCCACCGCGCCCGGCCCTAAGGCAGGGTAGATTTTAATGATGTTTGCAACATCAGATTATTAGCTTCCCCAGAGCAATTGCAATCACCTGGGTTCTTGGCTGCACCTGGGGAGACAGCACTGCTAGCTCAGGCCCACGTGCCTCAGTGGAAAGATATCCCCACCTCCTCCTCAGGAGCCGGGAAGCTGCTATGCTGGCCCCTCACCTGCCGTCAGCCCACCAGGGACACCACGGTGCCCAAGAGCATCCCTCCTCTGCACACCCTGGCCGTCCCATTGGGTCCGGAATTGGTGGGTTCTTGGTCTCACTGACTTCAAGAATAAAGCCACGGACCCTCGCGGTGAGTGTTACAATTTTTAAAGGGGGCATGTCTGGAGTTTGCTCCTTCTGATGTTCTGATGTGTTCGGAGTTTCTTCCTTCTGGTGGGTTTATGGTCTCGCTGGCTTCAGGAGTGAAGCTGCAGACCTTGGAGGTGAGTGTTAGAGCTCTTAAGGTGGCACGTCTGGAGTTGTTCGTTCCTCCCAGTGAGTTTGTGGTCTCGCTGGCTTCAGAAGTGAAGCTGCAGACCTTCGCAGTGAGTGTTACAGCTCATAAAGGCAATGTGGACCCAAAGAGTGAGCAGCAGCAAGATTTACTGCAAAGAGTAAAAGAACAAAGCTTCCACAGTGTGCAAGAGGACCTGAGTGGGTTGCCCCTGCTAGCTTGGACAGCCTGCGTTTATTCTTTTATCTGGCTCCACCCACATCCTGCTGATTGGTCCATTTTACGGAGAGCCGATTGGTCTGTTTTACAGAGAGCTGATTGGTCTGTTTTGACAGGGTGCTGATTAGTGCATTTACAATCCCTGAGCTAGACACAAAAGTTCTCCACCTCCCCAGTAGATTAGCTAGATACAGAGTGTCAATTGGTGTATTTACAAACCCTGAGCTAGACACAGAGTGCTGATTGGTGCATTTACAAACCTTGAGCTAGATACAGAGTGCCTATTGGTGCATTCACAATCCCTTAGCTAGACATAAAGATTCTCCAACTCCCCACCAGATTAACTAGATACAGAGTGCCGATTGGTGCATTCACAAACCCTGAGCTAGACACAGAGTGCTGATTGGTGTGTTTACAAACCTTGAGCTAGATTGGTGTATTTACAATCCCTTAGCTAGACATAAAGGTTCTCCAAGTCCCCACTAGACTCAGGAGCACCGCTGGCTTCACCCAGTGGGTCCCCCAGTGTGGCGCAGGTGGAGCTGCCTGCCAGTCATGCGCGTGCGCCTGCACTCCCCAGCCCTTGGGCGGCCAATGGGACCGGGCGCCGTGGAGCAGGGGGCGGCACTCGTCAGGGAGGCTTGGGCTGCCCAGGAGCCCATGGCGGGTGGAGGAGGCTCAGGCATGGTGGGCTGCGGGTCTCGAGCCCTGCCCCGCAGGTAGGCAGCTAAGGCCCGGCGAGAAATCGAGCACAGCAGCTGCTGGCCCAGGTGCTAAGCCCCTCACTGCCCGGGGCCGGGGGCGCCGCCAAGCCCACACACACCCGGCACTCTATCTGGCCCGCAAGCACCTCGCGCAGCCCCAGTTCCCGCCCGTGCCTCTCCCTCCACACCTCCCGGCAAGCTGAGGGAGCCGGCTCCGGCCTCGGCCAGCCCAGAAAGGGGCTCCCACAGTGCAGTGGCGGGCTGAAGGGCTCCTCAAGTGTGGCCAGAGTGGGCGCCGAGGCCCAGGAGGCACCACGAGCGAGGGCTGCGAGGGCTGCCAGCACGCTGTCACCTCTCACCATCTCATGCCTGTCACCCTTTGCGGCCAGGAGCACTGCAAGTCAGGGCACTGAAAGGTCCTCATCTCTCAAGGCTGATTTCTCGAGCGCCGGTCCTCTGGTCTGGTCTCAGGAGCTGTGAACTCAGTGGGGGCTTCAGCCTCTGGCCTCCCTCAGGCCAACGTCTTCCCAGGGGAGAGGCCTCGCTGCTGATATCAGCAGATGAAACTAGCCCAGGTGGGATGCTCCCTCACCAAGGACCCAGGAACAGCACAGGGTTAGTAATTCCAAGGACACAGGCTGGACTCCCGGACGGCCTCCCTTACCAGCAGGGGACAGAGCCTGAGCCCCATGCTCGGTTGATGAACGAAGAATGCTTTTCACTGCCCAAGTGAGGCCCAGGGGAGCATCCACAGGAAGGGTGGGAAGCACCCAGGCTCTGGCCCAGGCAGGCCCAGCCTCACCAAGACCACTAGCTGGGGGACAGGGACAGAGATGGAGAGGGGGCAGGACCTAGCCTTATGGACTTGGAGCTTTGCTAGCTGGGGAGCAGCCCTCAGTTCTGGCTGCTGTTGGATTGGTAAATATTTGGACACTGTGAGCTTCAGAATTTCTCCTAAAGTAGGCAGGGGCTCAGAACTATGGAGATGTGGATACTGACGGTGAATGCGTTTGTCCCTTGGGGCTGATAACATGGCCTGTGCAGAGATCCTGTGGAAAGGGCTGCTCCTCTGGAACTGCATGCACAAAAGGGCCTCCCATGCAGACCCACAGGCGCAAGGAGATTGCTGAGCTGCTTTGGGCAAAAGCAAGCGGGAGGGGAAGTAATGCGCTTGTAACAAAGTGACTGAGCCCCAAGATAAGGGTGACTTCAAGAGAATCAGTGCCACCCCTCCATCCCAGTGGCAGGGTAGGGGTCACTGCTGGCCAGACTTGAGAAACAAGGAAGCAACCCGGAAGAGGCCGGTCTGATGCAAAACACAGAGAAAGAGTCCACATTTGTAATTGAGATGAGAGAAGGAGCTGCATTATTTATGAACGGCTGAGCCCAGAGTTAACAAGGAAGGAGGAGGCCTTTAGAGGGGAAAGTGGTTTCAAAAGCATCCGTATTTCACTGAAAAAAAACACACACAAACTATGATTTAGAGTGTGCTGAGGTTTAGAACCGGAGGTGACTCTAGTGCAGTTAAGACCACGGGGGGAGGACGAGGGTGTGGGCAGGGAGGGCAGAAGGACAGAGGGGCAGGGGCAGGGTGTTCCCGCAGGCCCCAGTGAGAGAGGGGCATGTGGGGAGGGGGCTGCCCCTGGGGATGAAGCAGTGTCTATACATGTGCACGCTCGCACGCTCACATTCCCCAAGTGTGCAGTGTGTGTGTAAGAGGGCGTGTAGGCACTTGGAACAGACGAAGGGACAGAGGGAGGGTGCCCCCACTAAAGATAAAGAGCCTTCTGGGGCTTGTGTGCTTGCCAGCCTAATCTTCATAAGAACTTGAGCCAAAACTTTAAGAAGAGGGGTTTCTTCAATTTTTTTTTTAAATTTAAGGTATAATTTATGTAGAATAAAATGCACATCTCTTCAGTGTTCAGGTTTGACAATTGCATATGCTTATGTAATCACCATCAAACACAAGATATAGAACATAACCATCAGCCCAGAAAGTTCCCTCATGTTCCTGGCCACCTTTTGACTTGTACCAACATAGATCAATTGTGTTTGTTCTAGAGATTCATATAAATGAAATCATACTGTATATACTTTTTTTGTGTCTGGCTTATTTCACTCAGCACAATTTTTTTTGAGGTTCATCCTTGTTGTGGGTCTAACAGAAGATGGATTGTTGACGAGGCCTGGTGGTTCATGCCTGCAATCCCAGCACTTTGGGAGGCTGAGAGGAGAGGATCACTTGAGGTCAGGAGTTCGAGACTAGCCTGGCCAACACGGTGAAACCCCGTCTCTAATGAAAATACAAAAATTAGCCAGGTGTGGTGGCATGCATCTATAGTCCCAACTACTCGAGAGGCTGAGGCAGGCGAATCGCTTGAACCCAGGAGAGGGAGGTTGCAGTGAGCCAAGATCGTGCCATTGCACTCCAGCCTGGGGGACAGAGTGAGACTCCATCTCAAAAGATAAAAAATAAGATGGTTCATTGTATTGCTGAGTGATGTTCCATTAAACGGAGATGCTGCATTTTGTTGATCCTTTCTGTTGACATGCCTTGGGATTGTTTGCAGTGTTTGACTCTTATGAGTATGGCTACTGTAAACATTCTTGTATAAGTCTGTGTGTAGACATTTGTTTTCATTTCTTTTGGGTTAATAACTAAGAGTGGAACTGACTGCTGGGTCATGGGGTAGAAGCATGTTTATTTACTGCCATAAGAAACTGCTAGACACATCTTCATCCACAATGATAAAGAGTTCCAGTGTCTCCACACACTTGTCAATGTTCATCGTATTTCACCTTAGCAATTTTAGTGGACGTGAAATGTTATCTTATTGCAATTTTAATTTGTGTTGTCCTGATGACTGGGGACATTGAACACCTTTTCAGTGCTTACTGATCATTCATTTGTCCTGTGAGATACCTACTGAATTCATTTGCCTGTTTAAAAAATTAGGCTGTTCATGTTTTTTGTTGTTGATTTGTAGACATTCTTTATATATTCTAGACCCAGAAAAGGAAGGTTTTTAAAAGTAAAACAGTAGCCACTGATCATGATATCCCGGTCCTTTAAGCTGAATACCTGCCACCCCTCCCATTCCACCTCATATATCACTTTGGGTGGTGTGCTGACTTTAGAATGCACCCACTGTCACCCAAATGGCTGAAATGCTAAATTCTGTTTAATCAAATTCAACTGACTCGTGAAGATCCATTTCTACCGAAAGCAGAAAACAAAACAAATGAACCAATAAAAGCAACGAATCTTACTGCTTCCAGGTAAACTCTCTCCCATTTGACACTTAATCTTTGTATAATTACTCTGGCCATTGAGGATTTCATTTAATTAATCACAGGGTAAACTCTTTTTCAGAGTTTCATCCTCTTGAAAGTCCTCCTGTCCCACCAAGGGATAGTCAGGAAGTTGTTTCTATTCCTCATGGGGGCAAAGTAGACATTCCTGGTTCTCTGTCTGTCCTCTAGTTTCAAGTCTGACTGTGTGGGAGGAACTTAGGTTGTTCTTCTGGTGTCTGGAGGTCGGCTCCACCCCTGGGCCATGTGCTCTGCCCACCGTGATCCTCTCTTGGCCTCCAGCTGCAGGGGTTTGTCTCCTACCAGGCACCAACCTCTTCCTCTCCCGCGACCCTTTTAGTACTACTGCTCCCCACTCCCATCCCACACAGAAAGTTCTAGATCTCACCCAAGCCACACAGAAACCCAGGGAACCTCCTCTATGGCATCTCAGATTCCCTCCATATCTAAACGTTTCACACCATCATTTCTCCTCTACTGAAGCCCCCCAGCATGGGTGTAGATCACCTTGCAAGGCAGTCTCTGCCTGGAATTCTAAACAGAAAGTGGAGCACAAGCTTTCAGATTCTTCTTTGGACCATCTGAAATGTCCATAATCTCTCCTGCACTCTAGGTATAGTGTCTTAATCTAATAATCTCATTAACTGAAAATGTCTCTCATCTCTGCCCCCCACATCCCAGCCCAAGAAGGGCTGTTCACCTTGCTGGGGGACAGGGAACTGCTCTTGGGTCATTTGTGAATCCTTCTCTACACTATGGTGTGTGGTGAAAACCCCATGCTTGTCCTCTAAGATTATTGTATTTAAAAGAAATGTATGCGAATTTAGGAAACCCTTTCCTCTCTTAATGGCCCGGCTCTTGCAGTTGAAATCTTGGCTTTCAGTCCTCCTGTTCTTGAGTTTATTTAAGTATCTGAAGCTCAGCATCCTGTCTTCATTCCCACTTTCCATTTCTCCTTCATTCCAGCTACTGCTCATGAAGATAATGGAAACTGTGGCTAAGTAGGTGGAAATCACAAATAAGGAGTGAAAAAAGAAAGCACATTAATATAATTCAAGGTATTAATCTGAACACATTTACTTTGATGTTAACTATGAATGACTTATTCCCTCCTCCAAAAATAAAAAAAAAAGAAGAAGAAAGAAATCGTGTATTCCTGCACTCAGCTCCAACTTGGCTCCTACTTGGCCCTCCTACATTTGCTGAGCCTCTGGACTTTCCAAGCCTTAGGCTCTCAGATCCCTTTTGTGGCGCCTGCTTGACTGTCAACTCTATGTCTGGCATTGCCTGGTGTCATGAAAAGATTTTCTCTGGTATCCAGCTCCACAGGACCTATCACTCCTGGGCACGGAAGGGGCAGGATACAAACCCTGCGGGCAGGAACTCCTAGGAAATCCTCCAGATCGATTTCTTGATAATTCAGATGAGCCTAACTAAGTTTGGATTTTGAGCTTGGTGACAGCCACCTCCAATATGGCCATCTGTAGTCCCACCTCCTAGTATCAATGCTTTGTGTGGTCCCCTTCTACATCGGATCAGGGTTGGCCCACGTGACCGATGGAGTAAGGTCGAGTGATGGTACGGCTATAAAAGACATTGTGGCTTCTGCCCTTGTCGCTCTCAAATCACTAGCACTGGAGAAGCTGGCTGCCATGTTGTGAGGACACTCAGGCAGCCCCATGGAGAGGTCTATGCAGCAAGGAGCTGAGGCCTCCTGCCACAAGCCATGTGGGTGAACCATCTTGGAGCAAACCCAGACTTACAGTCGCAGGCTAATGTGGCAGACAGGACTCATCCATCTAGCCCCATCAGCTCAGAGCTGAGCAAGTAGAGGCCTAGAGAGGTCAAATGATCCATCACCACCACACATCTGGTCAATGTCCAAGCCACACCTTGCCTTCCAGTCCCATTTTAGATAAACTGATTGATCTTCAGCTCAGAGTAGCTTCTTGCGATGGGTGTGGTGGCTCACGCCTATAATCCCAGCATATTGGGAGGCCTAGGCAGGCGGATAACTTGAGGTCAGGAGTTTGAGACCAGCCTAGCCAACATGGTGAAACCCCATATCTACTAAAAATAGAAAAATTAACTGGGTGTGGTGGCACATGCCTGTGGTCCCAGCTACTCAGGAGGCAGAGGCACAAGAATTGCTTGAACCTGGGAAGCAGAGGTTGCAGTGAGCCAAGATCGCACCACTGCACTCCAGCCTGGGCAACGGAGTGAGGATCTGTTGAGACAGATCAAAAAAAAAAAAAAAAAAAAAAAAAGGGAGGGTGGCTTCTTGGATTTCACCATTCGTGTTTCCTGTGCGCTGGCTTCTCCATCCTGTGGCGCCTGGTCATTAGCAGAGTCTAGGACATCCTATTGCAGTAGGCAGGGAGCTGGAGTGGGGTAGGGCAGGCTGATGGGCATCCTGGGCTGAGATAATGTGTCTAAAGACACAGCAGTGTGAACATGGGTGGCATTTTTGGAGAGGGGTGAGTTGTCTACTGCAAAGGAAGGCAGGGGCCATACAGAAGAGCACCTTCACTATGGCATAAAGTGACACTTCCTGGAGCTCCTGAGACAGCCAAGGGCAGGTGTCAAAGTTCCTGCCTCGAGTTCAAAACAGGACAGTGTCTGTCCTCGAAGGTGGAGGGCCCCAAACAACAAACACCCATGGGAGGGTGTGTGTTATTAGCCTGAGTATTGTGCAAGGTAACATGCCGTCAAAGCAGGCAGGGTTTGGTCAGTCCCATTCATGCTTGATCAGGGGAGATGTTTCCAGAAAATATAAAGCTGGAGGGTGCAGAAGAGAGTCCCTGCAATAGCAGATCTGGGGCTAGCCCTGATGACCAAGAATGCTGACCTTTTCGGCAAACTTTCTCAGCAGGCTCTCAACAACCTCTGCACCTGAGCTTCCCAAAACAGGCTGAAGCAGCAAAGGCAGATGGAATGTATTGATTCCTTTGGTTTTGTTTCATCTTGTTTTCATTCACTGCAGTAATCTTCTTCCCAGGAAAGCAGAGGATTTCCTGGAATAAGGATCCTAGCCCTTCTCTATAACCTGCATATGGGTATCACTTTTCAAGGCCAATTTACAGACATATGTTTCTTGCCAGTAAGTTCAAAGATGTAACCACATCAAGTGCAGAAAGCCTGGTTCTTAAAGAGAAGGATAAAGCCGAGTTGGAAGACGGTGGGTTTTCTAGCCCCAATCTCCACCTTGTTCCAAAACCTATGGTAACCCCAAGAGGTGAGGAAGGTTGAAATTTTTCAGGCTTATACAGGCAAATAACTTACTTAATTTTTTTGATTGAATTTAGTGCAGCTCCTAACCCCTTATTTACATTCAGTCACTATCAAAATTTTCTCACTGTCCTTTAAGTAAAAATGGAATCAGTTATGGATTTTTTTTATTCCTCTTTCCTCTCTTTCTCACCAGGTGTTAAACTTGAGTGAGGTGTATTCCGGGTTGGGAGGCACCGTGTGTCTGCAACCCAGACAGTCAATGTTCATTGGCCCCAGGACATTGACACCTACCCAGCTACCCCCTGTATCTGTGGCCTCTCCACTCTCCAGTTGCCAGACCTAAGCAGGTGCCCCGTGTTCTCTTTATCCCACTACCAAGGCTCTGCAGCCTGCTCTCAGGCACACCTGTCCTCTCTACATGGCATGGAAACGTTGGCTGCGCCACCCTGGGAAACTGGGGGCTCTGGGAAACCACGTGTGGCCCATCCGCTGGGGCCCCTCCATGCTTCTGGTGCCACGGCACACGTGGGCTTCTCAAGAGACTTGCTGCCCCTTTGTCCCTCCCCTTCACCTTCAATTTACTTGAAGAAACCAAAGCCTGGGCTTTGTAAAGAGTATTGTCACTGCCATGTGTTTAAAGAAATCCATTCGGAAATTCAGATGGCTTTCCCTCCCTTTCTTTGGGTAGAGGCTGCCGGCCAACAAGGAAAATAAGATACAGAAACCTTGAGAATGGGCTTCAAGTAGAGGGAAATGCCGTTTGCAACAAGTTCTTAGTAGCAAGCAACAGACACCTATTTTGGCTAATTTCAGTGAAAGGGAGTCTCGTGAAAGGCTATGGGGCAGCTCCGAATCATTTTAGAGGACACACAGGCACAGAGCTGATCTTTGAGGAACCATGAGTCAAATCACACCACAGAACAGGGCTGATGGGGAAACCCTGCCACCACCTCTGAGCACCCACACCTCGCCCACCCCAGGAGCTGTGCCTGGCTGCCACTGCTCCTGCGGCCACCACTGTCCCTTCCCTCCTGAGTCACCAGCTCTGAGTCTGGTGTTGGCACCTTCACCTGGCTGGGAAGCCCCACTCTTTGAGCCCCAGCTGCAAGGCAGGCTGGAAAAAGGAAGTATCTGACCATCACTTACCTTTCAGAGAGGTGGTTTTGCTCTTCACAAAGACTCAAAAAATAAAAAAAAAAAGAGTGAGAGACGCAATTCTCCACATAAATATCAAGATCATGCTTCAGGTGCTGGGAAACCAAAGCTCATAACAAGGGCCTCCTTTCACACAAGAAACACACTGGGGCTGGCCTGAGAAGGTTCTCTGAGAGCCTCCAAGGTGCTCCACCCAAGGACACAAACCAAGCAGCATGGAGAGGCTGAGGGACACAGAGATTCTGCCTCCAGGAAGAGGAGCAGAGGCCTGACAAAGACCAAGGAGCTGGGAGAGAACTCATGAGAGGGCCGAGAACCACAAGGAAAGCCCCTCCACTGTGGAGGAGCCTGGGGTGAGGCACCAAGGAGGGGAGCCCCTCCCCTGAGGACTGCGTTTATCCAGCTTGAAGATGGGACTGAGCTGAAGGAAAGCCCACCGTGGCTAGAAGTACTTGAGCCGTCAACAGTAAAGCTACTCACTGTGGGCGGCACCAGCCCTCCCTCCCATTGCTAGGAGTGCAACACTGGGATGAAACCAGATTCTGTGGAAAATCGGTCAGGGCCAGGAGGAGAGGGAAGAACTCAACGCTTGGATGTGGATGTCGGAGCCCCCCTCCCATCCATCTGCTTGGGGGGAGGAGGGGTGGGAAGGGCAAGGCCGAATCGGGGTAAAGGCCCCAGGTGGGCAAATAAGGCAGCTCCCCATTGGTCCACATGTTGACCTTTTGTTTGTGGCCTTTTGCCCACAAGGACAGTATTTCCACTTAAAGGTCACCTCCCCCAGGCAGCAATCATTACTGTTTTGCAGCCTGTTGGGAAAGTCAGATGTAAGCCATCAGATAACAAAGAAAAAACACGACAAGAAGAGAAACAAATATTTCAGGGCACTGCTCTTGTCATTCCTCACCCCTGAATGCACCGATCACCCTGGCCAGCAGAGATGGCTCCCGCCTCCTTGTTCAGCTCTTACGGTCACGGGGTTTGCCTTCCTCGCTGATGCCACCAGCATCCTTTGGCTGGAAACAAAACAGCCCCATCAATTCAGATTGTTCTTAGGAGCTTTCAGAGGAGATATTGGTTGCATTTAACACACAGTCGGGGCCAAAATAAAGGCTGGGTAGGTGCCCGGGTTATTCAGCGGGAAATGACATCCTGCTCAGGTACACAAATGTCATGCTCCCCAAGCCCTGACACAGGCAAACCGTCTCACAGCCTTCCTTCCCCAGGACTCCAGATTTTCCAACCGATGGTTCTCTTCTTGCCTTCAGACACAACCTGTCCCGTTTGGGAAGGCCAAGACAGGAGACCACAGTGGCAGGGAGCAAACAGGAAACATGAGAGTGGTATCACTGACCTAATCTTTTCCTTTGCAGAAACAATCTCAATTAAAATGCATCACTTCAGAAACCCTATGAAGGACCCGCTCTGTGAATTCTTTCGAAGGTCATCTTAATAATCCAAACCAGTTGCCCAACCAGGAAAGAATTATTCTCTAACATAATTGAAAACACCCACAGGCAGGTGCTTATTGCTTGTGAAAATGAAGACTCATGCATCATTGGAGCCTTAGTTCCAGAGAAGGTGGGATGTGCACGGATCTGTTCTTTTGACAAAGCAGCATGAGGAAAAAGACTCTGTGGCCATTGCCCCTAAAAATAAAGGTATCCTGCCAAGCTTCTCACTGGCATCCTCAGCTTCCCCTTTCTGAGGCTGAGATGAGGTTTCCTTGGCCTCCTCACCCCCACCACCATAGAGCAGAGAGGCCCAAAGTCTGTTCTCAAAATCACTCACATTCAAATGTGAGTAACTGACATCAGCCAAATTGGGAACCAGAGTCAAATCTGAAACTCAAAGGAAAAAGCTTCCAGATAAACTTCAGAGATCTTCACTGTGGGGAGATGGGGGGGACCAACTAGATGGAGTAGGGGATCTTTATGGCCACTGTTTCTCTGAAGGGACAGAAGGACCAGGCTCACTAGGTCTGGGTGGAAACCCTAGCTCTGAAAGTTCCTTCTTACATGGCTTTGAGATGATTACTCGGGGTGGTTCTGAGCTTACTTATTGCATCATAAAAAGGAGAGACCCATGCGGACTTCTCAGGGCGAGGATGAAGTGGGATGCTATTTGTGAAGGTGTTTGGCCCATCAAGGTGTCCATAGGACTAAAGACCCTACGCAGAAACACTCGTGGCCAGGACCGGGCTCCTCCAGGCTGTGGTCAGAGCGGGCCAGGTTCTAGTGGAAAACTCTGCCTCAGTCAAGGGCTGCTCAGGGGTTGGTGCTCTCAGTAGAAAGCCAGTCTCTGGTACGTGACTGGCACAACCTACAGGGGCTTCCAGAACCCGTCACAGCAGTGTGCCTGGCCTGCAGGGTACCTGAGCATTGCTCTCTTAACCTAGCATTTATTCATCAACCTCCTGGAGCTCCTCCTGGAGGCCTGGCTTCAGAATGAGTCATATTGCCCGACACCACACTCTTTTGTTTAGAATTGATACAGGACATGGGGTTCCTGTGAAATTAGCTTGAAATTAATTTAGCCACAATAGCTTATTGTTAGATTTAATTGTAAATGAAACAATTCACCAGGGACGTTTCACTTTGTAAACAAGCACCTCAGAGTCAGCAGGGAATTTGGGTATTTTTTTTCCTACTCTCTAGTCGCTGCATAGGTTTTTACAAAATTTGTGGCCAAGCATAAAAAGCATTTTGGACACGGCTTTGGAGGGACAGCCCACTGCCATTCGTCACCCTCTTAGGTGCCCTGGCACTGGGTAGGAGCAGTCTGCTTTCACGCAGCCTGCTGGGCACAGGAAGGTGCTCTTTGCTGCAGTCAATACATTGTCCAAAAATCACCCTGACTCCATTCCAGAATCCCCAGTGCTCCTGCAGAAGCATCAGTGCTGCTCATATTAAAGAGTCCAAAAAACAGGGTCTGGGCAGTCCAGGCTATGGTTTCCTTCAGAAGCCCTGAAGCCAGTGTTTCTTAGAACATGATGCCACACCACCGTTGGAACATACAGTTATTATCAACATATAGTTCTCATGTTAATGGTTACATGTTCATTTTAAGATGTATTAAAACAAAAATCATTCCTCAAAACTGTGATTTCATGGCAATACACATAAGTTTACATTAAAAGGCAGGTCAGCCAGGGACAGTGGCTCATGCCTGTAATCCCAGCACTTCGGGAGACTGAAGTAGGCAATTGCTTGAGCCCAGGAATTTGAGATCAGCCTGGTCAACACGGCAAAACCCTGTCTTTACAAAAAATACAAAAATTAGCTGTGCATGGTAGTGCATGCCTCCCAGCTACTTGGGAAGCTGAGGCAGGAGAATCATCTGAGTCTGGGAAGTGGAAACTGCAGTGAACTGTGATTGTGTCACTGCACGCCAGCCTGGGTGACAGAGGACACCCTGTCTCAAAAAGGAAAAAAAAAAAAAAAAAAAAGGTAGGTCAATATGAAGAAGAGTAATTTAAAATTAAAAAAAATTAAAAAGTAAATTATATGCAACTTAAAACCAGGAGATATCATCTTACACCAGTCAGAATGGCTGTAAAAAGACAAAAAAACACAGATGTTGGTGAGGACGCAGAAAAAAGGGAATGTGTATGTACCATTGGTGGAAATGTAAATTAATACAAACACTATCCAAAGGAAAATAAATCATTATATCAAAAAGTGGCCAGGCATGGTAGCTCATGCCTGTAATCCCAGCACTTTGGGAGGCTTAGGCGGGCAGATTGCTTGAGGTCAGGAGTTCAAGGCCAGCCTGGCCAACATGGTGAAACCTCATCTGTACTAAAAATACAAAAATGAGCCGGCTATGGTGGTAGGTGCCAGTAATCCCAGCTACTTGAGAGGCTGAGGCAGGAGAATTGCTTGCACCTGGGAGGTGGAGGTTGCAGTGAGCCGAGATTGCACCACTGCACTCCAGTCTGGGCAACAGAGAGGGACTTCATCTCAAAAAAAAAAAAAATTACCTGTATTTGTATGTTCATTGCAGCACTGTATAGAATCAACCTAAGTGTCCATCAACAGATGATTGGATAACGAAAATGTGGCATATATATACAATGGAATACTATTCAGCCATGAAAAAGAAGGAAATCATGTCTTTTGAAATAACATGAATGGAACTGGAGGCCTGTCTTAAATGAAACACTCAGATAAAGAAAGACAAACACCACATGTTCTCACTTATGAGTAGGAGCTAAATCATGTGTACACACAGACGTATGGTATGGAATGATAGACAATGAATATTTGGAAGAGGGGGTTTGGTGTGAAGGGGGTGGATAATGAGAAATTGCCTAATGGATACAGTCTACGTTATTCAGGCAATGGATACTCCAAAAGCCCTGAGTTTACCACTCTGTAATTATCCAGGTATTAGGTTGGTGCAAAAGTAATTGTGGTTAAAAGTAATGAGAAAACCTCAATTACTCTTGCATCAACCTATAACAAAATTACATGTATACCCCATACATTTTACAAATAAATTTTTTTGAAAAATAAAAGCTTAATAATTAAAAAAAGATGACATGTGGCAAAAATCATGACTGAAGTTTTCTAAATAACACCATAAGCCTAGCTTCTTGGAAAGTGGTCATCAGAGAGATCAGGGACATTACCTGAGAGCTTGTTATGATTTTGGAATTTCCAGCCCCGCCCCAGACTTTCTCAGTCAGCATCTGGATTTTAGGCAGGTCCCTAGGGGATTAAGCATGCATTTTAGAGTTTGAGAAGAGTAGCCTAAGAAAACCTGGGGAGCAGCGTCCCGTGGTACTGCTGACATTGCTAGGTACATCAAATACATCTAGCTGAATCCCCTCTGGCACAATTGGGTGAAGTTTTGGCCAGCAGACACAATTATTTTGAATATCTGTGGCCCCTCCTTCACTCTCACAGCAAGATGTTTTTTTCCCACTGTGTGCGACTCCGGGCCGCCTCAGTGACCTTGCTTTGCTTGCACAGAAACATGGGCTCAGCTGGCCGTAGAGTAGGCAAAAAAGCCCAGAGCATAGGACAGTCTGGGATGGCCCGGGACGACTTCCCAGTGCACACGGCTGAGCCTAAAAAGAATGCCGCAAAGACTACGTGGAGGCCGCCAGCTGCAGGGGCCAGAAGATAAGAGTGTTAATTTAGCTTGGCTGGCATCCAGAAAGCTGAGCAAAGCTAGGCCTCCAAGCTCAGGGTAAAAATAAATAAATAAAAATAAGTAGGCAGATGTTTATGCTCGCTTCGTAACACTAGCTAGCATGTATCTGGTACATCCTATGTGCCTTGTAGCAGCTCCAGAAAAGGCATCGTTGTTCTCTGTCTCGCACTGAAATCCCCAAAGGTTAGCGTTGTCACCCCATCTCACAGTGAGGGCCATGTGGCTCCAGTGGTGTTCTGCTTGTGGTCACCCAGCCCTCCTCTAAGCCCCACCACTTTCTGCTGAGAGCTGGCTTTAGGCAGGAAATGGAAACAGGCTGGTCTTTTTCAAGGCTGCGGCATAACCAAAGCCCTAGTGGATTCTGCATGGAAAGAACTCTCGGTATCCTAATAAGGTTTCAGAACAGAAAGGAGTGTCTTCATCACTCTTGTCTTTGCCAGCCCCATCCCATCAATCTTCTCTGTACTTTGACGCAGACACGATGGACTGTTATCCACGTGGCAAACTTGGAAGCACCTTGAAAGAGAGTCTAAGTAAGTTGCCAAGACGCCCGTCTGAAGGCCGGGTGCCTCTATGACAAATAGCCTGAGCAGCTGCACCTCGCCGAGGTGCCAAACGGATGAAACGGGGTCACTTTGAGAAACTGCACACGATGTGCCTGATGCACGGTAGGTGCTCAGTACGTGGGCAGTTCCTTCCCCGTCCCCTACTCCCTCTGAATGTGGCTGACCACTGTGGACCATTTCCTCCACTCACCCCACAAAGAACTAAAGAGATGAAGTCAGCCTTTGTTCAAACAGGAATGAATTCTGCCGCTGGCAAGGCAGTTGGAACACTCTCCTTTATAATGCCGATTCTCCAACATTTTAAACCTATGTCCCATTTTGATCAATGTAAACATTGTGTGCCCTTCTTCAATATTATTTGAAATTTCAAATAAAAATAAATATTGTGATTCAAAGCAAAGGAAATGAATCATATAATTTAATACACTTTATGCAACTGTCCTCACCCTGCAAGATCCTGATATGACCATCCAGCAAGGACAGCCTGGCTGCTCTCAGTTGAGTCCTTATAGATCAAGCCATTGCCGGAACATGACGAAAACACGTGGACAGCAAAACGGAACGCTATAGCATTTGAACAGCACTCTGATCGCCCTGTCCCTGGTAAAGATTTTGCCTCTCCTACCCCACAGATAGGGGCATAGACAAAGCTGGGCCAATCATAGTACCTCACCTACCCCTGGATGCAGTGATGGGCCCAGGAGGTGGGCACATGACCAAATCTGGGCCAATCATAGTACCACACCTGCCTCTGATGCAGTGATTGGCTCAGGGGATGGGCACACGACCAAATCTGGGCCAATTCTAGTACCACACCTGCCCCTCATGTAGTAATTGGCTCAGAGGGTGGGCACATGACCAGATCTGGGCCAATCCTAGTACCACACCTGCCCCTGGTGCAGTCATTGGCCCAGGGGTGGGCACGTGGCCTAACCCTACAAGGACTTTTCCTATGGTAGGGGTGGAGGAATGTGGTCTCTCATCTCTGGTCTGGAAACTGGAAAGGGGAGCGGGAGATCCTAAAGCCCAGGCATGCTGTCTCCTGCCTCATGGAGGAGTGGTTTGAGACAGTGAAGCCCACTCAGAAAGAAAGGCCGAGATGAGAGGTAGAGAGCAGCCAAAGACGCCCCACTTACCCCATGGCAGGTACCCAACTCCCCACCCCACAGTTTGGCTTCAGGAGGTATCATTCTCTTATTTTAGCTAAATATTGTCCAGTTAAGGTTCTCTCCCACATCTCCAATCAAGAGTGGCCTAACTAAAACAAGGGGCGTGGGAGAGAGGATTCCACAATATCCCTGGACACGGAGGCACGGTCTCTCATTGCCACTTAGTTCGCACAGACCTTTCGCTGCACAGACGTGGCTTTCTTCCTCTGTCTGCATCTGCCGGTTCCTCTCAGTTTTTCTGCACCTCCCCAGATTATCTTCTTCTTCACCGCGTCCTTTTGTCCACCTAGGCCTCTGACTCTTACCTTCTTTTGGCTGTTGGTTCACACTTCCTGTAATATTTTTTCCCCTGGGAAATCAAGGTGCCCACATGCCCCTGCTCTTGGGGTTCTGCGCATGCTCCCTGGCTCTATGCTCTTGAGATGCTGGCCTGGCTGGACCTGGCTGGTCTGCCCCATCCACACACTCTAGCCAGATGCGCCTGGGGGTGGGAGGGTGGTGGGACTAAAGCCACAGCAGACTTGAGAAATACACACAGGAAGCAGCCCATTTCCTCAGAAGTTGCCCAAACTTCTGCGATACAATTTTAGCATCTGGCCAACCAAGCAAGTTGGGCCTGATACATTTATAAAATTGTTTGTTAAAGAAATCATATTCCAGAGTCCCATCTGTGATCTTTTATTTTCTGTTTGGTGTTGCACATGTTTGGGAAAAGAAGTCAATAAAAACCATCACAATTTAATTTTAATTCCCACAAATACAAGAGACCGCAGCAAGTGACATGATAGAAATCCAGAAGGTTCAGATGACAAATGCAAACTCATGTGAATGGCTGTAATGTCAACTCTGTGGTCCGCGAGCCAAGGTTTCTAGTCCCATCTAGTTACATCAGGTCAGCAAAGTTCCTCAATTTCTCTTAGCGTCTCTTTCCTCATCTGTAAAATAGAGGATACTAAGACTTTCTCTGTGAATTCAAGATGAAGTAAGTCACTAATACCACTGCTGCTCTGGCCCTAGAGTAGCCTACACCTTGTATATTTGCATAAGGAGTAGATTAGGGATGCAGTACCACAGCTGTATGTCAATTTCCAAATCTAAGTGGAGGCCAGGCACGGTGGCTCACACCTGTAATCCTAGCACTCTAGGAGGCTGAGGTGGACAGATCACTTGAGGTCAGGAGTCCAAGCCTGGCCAACATGGTGAAACCCCGAAATTCCATCCCTACTAAAAATACAAAAATTAGCCGGCTGTGGTGGTGCGCACCTGTAGTCCCATCTACTGTGGAGGTGAGGCAGGAGAATCACTTGAACCCAGGAGGCGGAGGCAGTGAGCTGAGATTGCACACTGTAATTTAGCCTGGGTGACAGAGCGAGACTCCATCTCAAAAAAAAAAAAAAAAAAAAACCACCAAAAAAAAAAAAAAAGACAAATCTAAGTGGAGCCTGTTGGGTTCAATAATGCCATAATTTGTGTTAAAATCTCAGTTAACCACATTGTGTGACATTACATAACACTGTTTAAAGTTTCAGGGAACAGTAACTCTGCTGTGATAATTCTGCCTGCAAACAAGCACCACAGTGGATTTGGAGAACTTACTAAAGCCACTGGCCATCCAAGAAGACTACAAACTTCCCATTTGTGGGGGCACTTAAAAATTACAAATTCAGTTTGGCTTTTCATTGCATTTTGCGCTATTACTTTGCATTTTAATGAGAATGGGTTTTTAAAGATTTTCAGTTATCTCAGTAGCTGGAAATTTAAACCAATCAATTTTCTACTTTAAAATTCTACTGTGATGTCTGTACACAATAAGGCTACATTTTTCACTATGGAGGAAGGGAAGGAAACCCTCATTTTACCCTTTTTTAACTTTTCTGTAAGTTTTTGCTTTAGAAATGTAAAAGGCTATTTCACACCCCAAGGCTGAGTGAGGGTTAGTGAATATACTCTTTTTGATAAAATACAGTTTTGTGGTGAAACGAACGAATAGTTTAGAAGCAGAAAAATAAGATCTTACGAAGAAAATACTAGACTTCTAATACCTCTTCTCTAAGGTCCATTCAGATTGCTGACTTTTTATAAGATGTCCAATTCTAACCCACCTAGGTACACCCAGACTTTATAAATATACACACACCTAACGCACGTCTAAAAGGAGTAAATGTGTGCTGGGGAAATATTGGAACAATGACGTTCCTGAGAGAAGCTTGTTTTTTCAAGTTATTAAAGGAAGGTGGCAAGCATTCATGAGGATATAAAAACTTAACGTCGTCTGAAGGAAACTCTTGAATATGGTTAACATCGCTGCCAAAAATCTCAGCTATGTTATGTCAGAATGTTCAATTGCAAGCTACACTTTAATGAATGGAAAGATAGGGTAACAGCAGGAAGTTTCTGCAGCAACTCACAGCAATCTTGAAAACCAAGTTCCCAGAGTTGGCTGGGCTCACTGGTTCAGGGGCTACGCTGTCTAGTTGCCTGATCTGCCAGTTAGCAATCAGGCGTACCAGGGGCCAACAAGGGAGCAGTGGGAGAGCAGGAGAGCAGGAGCTATCTGCCCTCTCCTCATTGTCCTAGCCAACACTTACATGGACAAGCAGCTCACTTTGCTCTTTCTGAAAAAGTAGATGGTCCGAGAAATACACCACTGGACTGGGAAGACAAGAAATCAATGCCACCCTGCATTAAGTACGTGACTCCCCTTCTTTTCTATGCAGCTTGCTTGCAGTGTGATGCTGCTATTTTTATCGGCTCTCTTCAACCCAGCTGTTGCTTCATGTTGACATGGCGAATGGTGTGAAACTCCCAGCAGAGGAGCGTGAATCCCAGAGGGACCCATCTTCTGTCATTTCTAGAACAGATAAAATGTCATGAGACTCAGTGGGGGATGGCGCAAGAACATTTGGCCAACGGAGCCAGTGAGAACATATCCCACATTAAAGTGACACAGAGCTAGGGGCCAAAGTTTGTCCTCAAACCCAACCGAAAGCACAGACGTCCAGTGGCCAGTAAGGATCACGAATCTTTGTGGAAAAATTGGGAGCAGGAGTCTTTGCATTTTCAGGGCAGGCCATGGTTGTTCCAGGTGTTTGACACCGTGGAGTCAAGAGGTTGGGACAACTGCCTGGAGTCCAGCCTGGAGGTGGCCCCAGAGAACCCACTTCCTTTTCCTGAGTTAGAATGTGACTTGTAATTTTAAGCCCACTCTTTGTATTTCCTCTGCGAAAATAACAGCATTTTGGC
This sequence comes from Homo sapiens, assembly GCF_000001405.40. Classification (NCBI taxonomy): domain Eukaryota; kingdom Metazoa; phylum Chordata; class Mammalia; order Primates; family Hominidae; genus Homo; species Homo sapiens. Next base: position 99,512,648 of record NC_000015.10, read on the forward strand.
AAGACTGTGTGTAGTGGGGAAAAAGTGCCACATAAAACTTACACAATTTAAAAATACAGCTCTAATTGCAGGTTTGTTGTCCCATGGTTTGGCAAATTAGGGGGGCAAATTGGAGAGGCCCTTGGAACTTGCTCCAGGCATGAAAAGATTGTTCAGTTACACATCTGACTGTGTAGCTGGTGAACTCTTTCAAAAACTTATGAAAATAGGATTTTAGGGGCTTCCTTCTAGAAGAGCAGCTATTTTCTATGGGGGGATTATTTTGTGACTGAGTGCTCAATTTAGAATTTAAGCATCAAGGGCTTGGACTTCTCTGTACTTTTCTTTCTCCAGCTTTATTATGAGAATAAAATGATTTCTCTTCCTACTCCAAAATTTTCAGATTCTCTCAGGTCTAGATGAAATTCAGTGAAAAATCAATACCTTTTAGTATCTAAGTGAAAATACTAAATGCCAGCAAATTTTTCATTTTTAAATGATTCATTTTAAAATCTCTTAGGATTTACAATCTACAGAACTCTCAAGGACAAGAGTTAGAGCTTCTATATTTCAATGCAAACTCTGATTCACTTTAAAGATTAATAGTTTTAAGGTTTAAAAACGTCTAAGGGGAGGCTAAGGGGAGAAGGATACTGTGGATGGACACACAGTCTGTTTGACCTTCCTAGTGGGCCTTTGTGTACCGCAAGGCTGGTTAGCTAGCATCAGCTTTTTCCAGGATCCCTTGCAGCTCAGCTTTTGATATGATTCTGTTTGGGCTTTTGCACAAAGTTTGGGAGGCAGAAGTAAGGCACAGACTATGCTTTTGTTGTTTCTGTGACAAATCCCACCGAGGCCGTGTTGGATCCTGCTGCAGTATTAGCCAGTGCTGTTTCCATCTTTTTCCCCAGAGGCAAGGCACGGCACGCTCATGTTTTTGCTGGTATGGGTCAAAGTCACTGCTTGGCTTGACGGCCAATATTTCCACAATAGTTTTCTGATCCCCGGATTGCAATGAAGGGAAGGTGTCCTACAGGCGATGTATCCAGGGCAGCTTCTGGATTCCCTTGCTCCTGGTTATGGCAGCTCTCAGCACACCAGTCATGTTCCTTCTTCCCCATCCTGAGGTCTGTGCGTGGTACCCTCTGATGATTTTTTTAAAAGCATACTGTTCCTTGTATTAATTTTTTTCTGTTCAAAATAGCTAGTGTGGTTCCTGATGTCTACAAATGAACCCTAACATAGAAAGTAGGGATGTGGGGCTATGGAAAGTGGGATCTTAGCCTCAGCTGTGTCCTCACATGTTGGGATGGGCTACCCTCTGCAAAATCTCTTCCTTGGCTCTGTCCTCCTCCCATTCTGCTAATACCATAGCCTCTACCTTCACAGAGAAAAGTGGAGGCACTAACTCCTTCAACTTTTCATTTTTACCTATAACCAAATGAGTCTTATGCCCTTTATGTTCCTTTACATATTAAGAGAAAACAAATCCATCGCCAGGAATCTTGATAAAGAATATAGGGCTTTACTTTTGGTATTTCTTCAGGGTGGATCTTTGGGGGTATTACCCAGCACACACCATGGATAGCTTCCCTCAAACCCCGTGTAGACCTTTCTCCCCCGGCCACCTCTGGGCAGCATCTCCCTGCTCTCCCTCATTGACCTTGGGCTTCCTTCCCTCCATGCACCCCCTTCTCTTTCATCCTCCCCTCCACAGTGCTCTCTCTGTAAAAAGTCCCCACAGAGACGTTTGCTTTATCTGCCACCAGGCCCGCAGGTGGCTGGGAACCCCACAGCACCGTACCCTCTGCTCCTCCATAGCCTCCCAGTCAGAGAAGCTCAGGAAGGCCCTAAGCCTGAGAAGCAGAGTTCCCCTATCAGTCTGACTGCTTTTCTCATGCGAAAACTTCTGGTGAGTCACGTTTTCCTGGCCATACACCTTTATACTGGAAGCAAACATATAAACAAGTCAGATCTTTTTCAAAGCAGATGGATATAAATCTAAGAAGGCAAGAAGATATTTCCATCCATTTTTTAAAATTTAGGTGAAATTCACAAAACATAAAATTAATCATTTTTAAATGAACAATTTGCCGGCATTTAGTATCTTCACAATGTTGTACCAACCATCACTTCTATCTGGTTCTGAAACGTTTCCATCATTCCAAAGTAAAAACTCCATACCTATAAATTAGTTACCCTCCGTTCTCCCCTCACCCTTCAGCCCCTGGCAACTACCAATCTACTTTCATTTCTGTGAATTTACCTACTCTGGATATTTCATATAAATGGAGTCATACAACATGTGATCTTATGTGTCTGGCTTCTTTCACTCAGTATAATGTTTTTGAGGTTCATCCACATTGTAGCATGTATCAAAGCTTCATTCGTTTTTATGGCTGAATAATATTTCAACGCATGAATAAATCACAGTTTGTTCATCCATTCATCCATGGATGGGTGTTTGGGTTTTTCCTCCTTTCAGCTTTTGTGAGTAGTGATGCTATGAACATTCACGTATAAGGATTCGTTTGGGTACCTGTTGACATTTTAGGGGGTTTACACCTAGGAGTGGAATTGCTGGGTCCTGTGGTAATCCTGTGTTTAACTTTTTGAGGAACTGCCTTACTGTTTTCCACCATGGCTGAACCACTTTCAGTCCCACCAGCAATGCATGAGGGCTCCTATTTCTCCACACCCTCACTCACACTTGTTATTTTCCATATTTTTTATTATAGCCATTCTTGTGTGAACTGGTATCCTGTGGTTTTGGTTTGCATTTCCCTAATGACCAAGGATGCCAAACATCATTTCACGTGCTTCTTGGCCATTTATTTATTTATTTTTGAGACAGAGCCTTGCTCTGTTGCCCAGCCTGGAGTGCAATGGTGTCATCTGGGCTCACTGCAACCTCTGCCTCCTGGGCTCAAGCAATTTGCGTGTCTCAGCCTCTCGAGTAGCTGGGACTACAGGCAGGTGCCACCACGCCCGGCTAATTTTTGTATTTTTAGTAGAGACGGGGTTTCGTCATGTTGTCCAGGCTGGTCTTGAACTCCTGACCTCAAATGATCTGCTGGCCTTGGCCTCCCAGAGTGCTGTGATTACAGGCGTGAGCCACCATGCCTGGCCCATTTATTTATCTTCTTTGGGAGAACTGTTCGTCCATTTTTAACCTGGAAAGCTGATAGTCTTTAGAACTAGTGAGACTTGAGTTCAGATATGTTCAACTATTTAGAAGTGGTATGACGTGAGCACATTATTTCTCCAGCCTTCACTTTCTTCCTCTACGAAAAGCGTAGAATAACTTCCCACAGCTGCCTGCTTGACATCCTTCAGGTCAGGGTTTCAGTGGACTGGCTCAGAGAAACTTTCCTGATACTCTTCTTCTTTCCTGATAGATTCCTGTGTTGCCCTGTTTCACAGTAGCCAATCTTTTCTTTCCTAGGACTCAACACAGTTTGTAATTACATAGTCATTTGTAAGTTTTTGTCATCTATCTCCTCTACTAGATCATTCCTTCTTTGTGGTCACCAGCCATTGACTATCTTGTTCACAGCTGTGTATCCAGAGCATAGCACCATGTCTGCATCTGGAGTGTGTGTGATGTTTGTTGAATGGGAAAAATTAGTAAATTATTAAATAATATTTGTAGGGAACTTAGCACAGTGCCTGGTGCATATTAAATTAATGGTTCACAATGGGGGATTTTGGAAATGTGTTGGTGGTGATGGTAATGTTTGTGGTTATCACAATAATTGAAAAGACAATACTGGTGTTTAGAGAGCAGAGTCAGGAGCACTAGACAATACCTGTGGAGGCATCCTACCATACAAAGAATTGTCTCACGTCCCACACAACTTTAGAATATACCACCAGACATCGATATAGGGGGAAAATCTGTTTGTAATTATCTGCACTTATAATGCTGTTTTTTTTTCATATAAACAGAGAGTAACATTTCCACAGTTTTAATATGCACTGAATTTTCCAAGAATGCAACACACATAAATTTCAAAAGTTGTTGTACATTTTGTTTGAAACTCCACTGAGAGTTGTTTGCTTTTTCAGAAAAATCACATCTCCGTGAGCAATACTGCTCATGGTGAATCCTCAATATAGCACTCCCTGATCAGCCTGTATTTGTAAGTGTGATTCCACGTATTGGTGCAAAAAAACCTGATTAGTGTATTATGTCTTCCAGTCTAGGCATGCCTGAATATGTACATGTTGCAATACATATTTTATTGTAATTTTTTTGCCTTCTTCTTTGTATTGTATTTAAAGTATTATATTTAATTATTTTGAAATTATGTATATAGGTAGATTATGAAGTTTATTACAGGATTTTAGAAAAAAGCCTTTTTGTTTTAAAGAAAAACATTGAGTCAAATAGGGATTAGATGTATTAGATGTGTATTAGATACTGTCTTTCTTTTAATAATAATAATTACAGTGGAACTTTATAGGCTTTTCTGAGATAAATGGCAAAGGAAATAAAATCTTATTTTTATCCTAAGATCTTATTTTCTTCTTCTTATTGCCAAAATGCTCCTTTTCACATACATGGGGACACTTTTAATACTTTGTGCACCCCAAAATTTTGTTGGTTCAACGTAAAAAGTACATTACAGAACTTCAGAGCAAAACTTCTACAGAGCAGCCCAAAGTGAGGTTTATGCAGCTGTAATGACCTACAAGGTCTGGCTGGTGTTTGAGAAGGATGTGTTTGCTGGACTTGAATCCCGGCTCCACTCCTTAGTAACTGCATTATTTCAGACTAGTTGTTTAACTCACTGGTCCTCAGTTTTCTCAACTAAAGAATGGGGTCAATGACAGCTGTCTCTAGGGTGCTGTGTCATGAAATGTAATCAGGTATATACCAGGCCCAGCACAATGCAGTCACATGGTAGGTACCTAGTGTTAATTTTCTTCTCTAAAATTATTTTCTTCATCTCCCAAATTATTCTAATAATTGCCATCAAAGACAGATCCTACATAGAACTTCATAAATGCAAAATCATAAAATAATACATCACAGACACCACTGGCCTGGATTACACAAGTGTATTTTTATACTACATTCCATGCACTCTGCTCAATGTAAGTCTTAGTCTGTGATTATTGAACCTACAGTCTGTGCATGTGGAGTTTTCCAGGAAGTCCCCAACTTTTGCCATTCTAAAAGGAGACTGCAATCTCCAAAGGTTAGAAATAACCACCTGGCTGGGCGTGGTGGCTCACACCTGTAATCCCAATACTTTGGGAGGCCGAGGCGGGTGGATCACCTGAGGTTAGGAGTTTAAGACCAGCCTGGCCAACATGGTGAAACCCTGTCTCTACTTAAAAAAATAAAATAAAATAAAAATTAGTGGGGCGTGGTAGCGCAGGCCTGTAATCCCAGCTACTTGGGAGTCTGAGGCAGGAGAATCGCTTGAACCTGGGAGGCAGAGGATGCAGTGAGCCGAGATCCTGCCACTGCATTCCAGCCTGGGCGACAGAGCAAGACCTGTGTCAAAAAAATATTATAAGGTAAAAGTAATTTAACCTTTACATATGCAGTTTCTTCTGTCAGGAATGTTCTTTTCCCCTTCACCCTGCTGATTTCTTTTCATCCTCCAAAATTCAACTGAATCATCACGACCTCAGGAAAGTCTTTCTGGACTTCCCAGGCTAGATTTGGTCTGGATACATGTTCCTGAACACCCTGGTTCTTTCCTGTGTTGTGGGAGGCAGCTGTCTGTGCTTATAACTTGATAACATCGACTAACCCTCCTGGGACGTATATATTCCATGGGGGCAGGGATTGTGTCCTACTGCTCACCTGGGCATCCCTATCTTCTTATTCAGTGCCTGACACATACCAAAAATTCAGTACATATTTCTTGAACGAGTGCATGAATTTTCCATCAAAACCAATGAATTGATTTCAAATCAACTTTTCTACTAGTAAGATTGAATTGACTATGATACAATAGCATATTTATTTGACCTCAGTTGAGAGGTCTTTGTAATATTTTCCTCCAAATATTGTGCTAGTCCTAGACCCATATGCATTGACAACCCCGAGAGTGTGTCACCAGGATTCCACCTCCTCCGACTTTACCTTTTCTATGGGAATTCTCCTCTTTGTTGAATGTCCTCAGTTTTGACACGTGCATCCTGAACTATAGCTAGTGACAGTTGCTCTAATTGTTCAGAAGTTGTCTGAAGTTTCTTGTCTCCTAGACTCAGCCAACAGCTCCTTGAAACCAGAGAATCATTCAAATCCCCATGGAGTATTTAGCATAATAGACAGCGGACGGATATTGGTGGTTGAACACCACTAACTTATCTAACACACTTCTTACACGTTTGTAAAGTACAAAACAACTTCACCATCTGATAATTGCATCAAAACTAATAACTTGACTCTGCCTAAGGTGGTTATTTCTTTTTCTTTCTTTTTTTTTTTCTTTTGAGATGGAGTCTCGGTCTGTCACCCAGGATGGAGTGCAGTGCTGCGATGATCATGGCTCACTGTAGCCTCAACCTCCCGGGCTCAAGTGATCCTCCTTCCTCACCCTCCCAAGTATCTGGGATTACAGGTGTGCACTACCACATCAGGCTAATTTTTTTTTCTTTTTAATTTTTTTTGTAGAGATGGGGTTCCACTATGTTGCCCAAGCTGGTCTCGAACTTCTGGGCTCAAGCAATCCTCCTGCTTTGGCCTCCCAAAGTGCTGTCATTACAGGCATGAGCCATCCCACCCAGCCTGCCTTGTAGTCTGTCTCTCTCTCTATCTATCTTTTTATTTTTTGAGACAGGGTCTTGCTCTGTTTCCCAGGCTGAAGTGCAGTGACATGATCATAGCTCACTGCAACCTCAACCTCCTGGACTCAAACTATCCTCCCACCTCAGCCTCCTGGGTAGCTGTGACTACAGGCACGAGCCACAGCAGCTGGCTACTTTTTTGTTTGTTTGTTTGTTTTGGTAGAGACAGGGATCTTGCTATGTTGCCCAGGCTGGTCTCAAATTCCTGGGCTCAAGTAATCCTCCCACCTCAGCCTCCCAAAGTGCTGGGCTTATAGGCATGAGTCACTGTGTCTGGCCTACAATATTTTTAAAGAAATCTGTAAAGATAATTCAAAATGTCTGATCCAGTTAATTCTGCATATGATATTATTCAGGCCATAATTAAACAAAATATTTTATATTTTTTGTGGTCTCAGTCAATTAAGAAAATGGCCCCTAAATATTTTAAAATATCATCCTAGAACCCCAAAGAAGACAATGACCTGGAGTCCACAAAACCTGTAGGGACAGGGGACGCCTACTGAAACAGCCAGATGATAGACTGGGTCTTTATCCAAGATAGAGACACGACTTGGAGAGAGACAGAGTGGTTGGTGTTGAGGACTGAAGGGCCATTGGGATTCAGCGACAAAAGCTGTATGCAGTGACAGAAGCTGCACTTCATTTGCCCTGAGTTGTAACTAACTAGTGGGAAGAGAGAATCATGGCATTTTAGATCAGAAATGATCTTAGAAAGAAATTTTTTCTATTCTCTTTTATTCTCAAATAGCCAGATTTTTGCTGTATTATGCCATCTGGCTAAGAACTTTTTGTTAGCTAAGAACTTTGCTCCTTTTTTAAAAAAAATGATAAAAGTAATGCACTCTTATTTTTGAAAAATTGGAAATTGTGAAAAAGAATGGCCAGAAATGCACTCATTATCCTGTATCTATTTAATTCTATTATGGAATACAAATATGGATAGACAATTGTTCCTACAGTATTTATTGAAAAGTCAATCCTTTCTTCATTGAATTACCTGGTACCTTAAAATTAGATAATTTTCTTTATTTCCTAATGTAAGTATTTAATGCTATTAATTTTCTTGTAAATACTGGCTTAGCTTCATTTCACATATTTTAATATGTGTTATTTTACTTTCATTCCATTCTGAATATTTTTTAATTTCCCTTGTGATTTCTTCATGAATTTTTAAATGTATTGTTTAATTTCCAAATATTTGGAGAGATCTCAAATATCTCTTTATTATCAATTTTACTTTAATTTTGTGTTTAAATAGTTCTTCTGGCCAGGGGTGGTGGCTCACGCCTGTAATTTGGGAGACGAAGGCAGGCAGATGACCTGAGGTCAAGAGTTCCAGACCAGCCTGACCAACATGGCAAAACCCCGTCTCCACTAAAAGTACAAAAAGTAGCCGGGCGTGGTGGTGAGTGCCTGTAATCCCAGCTACTTGGGAAGCTGAGGCAGGAGAATCGCTTGAACCCGGGAGGTGGAGGTTGCTGTGAGCCAAGATCGTGCCATCACACTCCAGCCTGGGTGACAGAGCAAGACTCTGTCTCAAAAAAAAAGCTCTTCTATATCCTCACAAATGTTCTTTATAGTTGATCTATCAATCACAGATAAAGGAAAGTGGAAATTTTCAACTATAGTTATGGATTTGTTTATTTTTCCTTTCAACTATTTCAATTTTTGCTTCAGGTATTTTGAAGCTCTGTAACTAGTTGCATACACATTTAGGTATTATCACATCCTCCTGATCAGTTGACCCTTTTATCATTATGAAATGCTTTTCTCTATTCCTGGTGATATTAGCAGTCATTAAATCTACCATGATGTTAATGTAGCCACTCCAACTTTCTTTTGATTAGTATTTTCATGTTGTGTCTCCCAAGACAACTCCCAGTTTTAACGATTTACTAGGAGGACACATAGAGTTATATTCATAGCCATAATGTATTATAGTGAAGAGATACAAAGCAAATTCAGTATACACGGATGCACTTAATTCTTCCAGCAGCGAATTGTAACAACACATGTGAAATGTTTTCTGCCAGGGAAGCTCGTTAAAGACTCATGGCCAAGGTTTTCTTCTGTTTTTTTTAAGAGCATTGGTCATATAGACACTCTCTGACTAGCACATATCAAAATTCCAGACTCCCACAAGGTAAGTGGTTGTTCACCATAAACCACATTATTTGTACAAACAGTTTAGGCACAGTAAGCCATTGTCATCCGTCCTGAAAATGGTAGTAACATTCCCAAAATTCAAGCTCCCACACACCATTGAAGGCCAGCTTTGCAAGAAGGCCTGTCTAGGGATAGCAGTTTTAGACTTTTATGTTAACTCTTTTCTGCACACAGGATACATTGTTTTCTATTCTTTTCTTTTTAACATCTTTATACTTAAAATATTTTCTCATAGGCAGCATATATTTGGATCTTGCTTTTTAAAATCTAATTTGACTATTTTTGCCTTTTAATAGGAGTGCTTAAATCATTCATATTAAGGACATTCCTCTTCAATAAATGGTGTTGGGAAAACTGGATATTCATATGCAGAAGAATGAAACTGGACCTTTATCTTCCACAATGTACAAAAATCAACTCAAGATGGTCTAAAGACTTACATGTAAGACCCAAAACTATTTTAAAAAGCAGTAGAAGAAATGCAGGAGAAACACTTCAGGATACTGGTCCAGGCAAAGATTTTATGGCTAAGACCTCAAAAACACAGGCAACAAAACCAAAAACAGACAAATGGGACTATATTAAATTAAAAAGTATCTGCACAGTAGAGGAAACAATCAATAGAGTAAAAAGACAACCTGTTGAATGGGAGAAAATAGTTGCAAACTATTCATCCAGCAAGGGATTAATATCCAGAATATACAAGGAATTCAAACAACCCAACGACAACAAAAAACAAATAATCACATTAAAAAGTGGGCAAAGGATATGAATAGACATTTCTCAAAAGAAGGCATACAAATGGCCAAAAGGTATGTGAAAAAATACTCAATATCACTCATCATCAGAGAAATGCAAATTAAAACCACAACGCGATATGATCTTACCCCGGTGAGAATGGATATTATTAAAAAGACAAACAAACAGATGCTGGCCAGGGTGTGAAAAAAGGGAACTCTTCTGTACCATTGGTGAGAATGTAAATTAGTAAAGCCACTATGGAAAATAGTATGGAGATTTCTCAAAAAACTAAAAATAGAACTACCATATATCCAGCAATCCCACTACTGGGTATTTAGACAAAGGCAAGGAGATCAGTATATCAAAGGGATACCTGTAGCCCCATGTTTATTGCAACACTATGTACCATAGCAAAGATATGAAATCAACCTAAGTGACCATCAACAAATGATTTCATTCTTTTTTGTGGCTGAATGGATAAACAAACTGTGTATATGTACACACAATGGAATACATTGAGCCACAGAAAAGAATGAAATCATGTCATTTGCAGCAATATGGATGGAACTGGAGGTCATTATGTTAAGTGAAATAAGCCAGGCTCAGAAAGACAAATGTTGCATATTGTCACTCACATGTGGGAGCTAAAAAAGTGGATCATATGAAGATAGACAGTAGAATGAGAGAGACCAGAGACTGGGAAGGGTGTGTGGTTGGGAAGCAGGGATGGAAAGAGGTGGGTTAATGCGTACAAGAATACAGTTAGATAGAAGGAATAAGTTATAATGTTCCATAGCAAAGTAGAGTGACTATAGTTAACAATAGGTGTTATATATTTCAAAATAGCTAGAAGAGAGAACATGAAATGTTTCCAACACATAGGAATGGTAAATTCTTGAGGTAATGGATGCCCTAAACACCCTGACTTGATCATTACACATTCCATGCATGTAACAAAATATCACAAGTACTCCATAAGTATAGACAAATATTATGCACCAAAAATATTTTTTTAAATGTACTTATAAGTATGGTGGAGTTTATCTTCTTATATTTTTATTTTACCTGGTCTTTGCTCCTTTTTTTCTTTCTTTCAATTATTTTTTAATAATCCCATTAGATTTCCACTCTGTTTATTGGCTATACCTCTTGATTTTGCTTTTTCAGTGGTTGCTCTAGGGTTTACAGTTATATGTGTGTGTATTTTATAATATATGTATATGTATGTACGTGTGTGTATATATATTTATATATACACACACACATTATCTTCATCTTATTTCAAATAACCTATTTGAAATATTACACCTTCTGTAGTATAAGAAACTTACAATAGCATAGTTCCAGTTCTACTGACCTTTGTGCTATGGTTGTCATATATTTTACTTCTACATATGTTATAAAACCCACAATACATTGTTTTTTATTTTTGCTCTAAATAGCCAAATACTTTTTAAAAACAATTAAAAATAGGTTGGGCACAGTGGCTCACGCCTGTAATCCCTGCACTTTGGGAGGCCTAGGTGGGTGGATCACCTGAGGTCAGGTCGTCACCTGAGATCATCATGGCCAACATGATGAAACCCTGTCCCTACTAAAAATACAAAAAATTAGCCAGGCGTGGTGGCAGGCGCCTGTAATCCCAGATACTCAGGAGGCTGAGGTGGGAGACTCACTTGAACCTGGGAGGTGGAGGTTACGGTGAGCCGAGATTACACCACTGCACTCCAGCCTGGGCAACACGAGCAAAATTCTGTTTCAAAAACAAACAAACAAACAAACAAACAAATAAAAGATTAAAAATAAAAAATATTCATTTTTACTATAACTTTATTCAAAATTCTGGAAAATAAGATACTCATGTCTGGCAAATGGCAAAGTTAAAAAAAAAAAAACAACTCCTAGTCATTTTGATTTAACTGTCAGCAAACCCTCCATTATTTTAATTGAGCAGTGTCCATGGGCGAACAGTGAGTGCTTGACTGGTATTACTTAGTACTCACCACAACTGTCTTTGTTTTGTTTCACCAAAGATTTATAGAGATTGCAGCAAGTACCTAGCATGTAAACATTTCTTTCCCATATAAAGAGGTTTTTTTCCTTAACTGTTCTTAATACTTTTATCCAGCAATCTAGCACCCTCAGACTTTTCTACACCATATTATGATCCACTTACTCCAAATACCCAACTCTGAAATTGGATCCTCATCTTTTATTGGTTTCTCTGAAAATTCTCTAGCTTCAATGTGAGAAATTAAAGAATCTAAACAGCTAAAATTCTTATTTACTAACCACAGCAGCAGGTCTATTGCAATAGCTTCCTCTAAACTGTGCCAATCAGTTCTTCAAATTAATTAGATTATATTTTCAATATTTTCATTAGCACCATGTTATTATATTTCTCTATTTAGGTAAATGACATCTCATCTTTTTTTTTTTAGTGTTAAGTTTCAGGTCTTGGGTTTACACAGGAAATAAAGAATTGTAGAGGAAGCTCTTTGTCATGAAGGAACAAATAGAACAGATATAGGACTTGTGTTTGGGAACCTTTCCATCAAGCTTATTATCATGGTATAATTTTGTTGCTTTCCTTTATCTACAACATCAATATTACTGATATAAACTATTGACTGACCTCGAAGGAAGCAGACTACTACGAGTTTAAGATACTTGAAATAATTATTTGCTCTGTATGAATAGGTTATCAATTTGATATAGTGTTTTTTAGTTTATGTTCATTTTTTTTTTTAATAGAGACAGGGTCTCCCTATGTTGCCCAGGCTGGTCTTGAATTCTAGCCTCAAGAGATCCTCCCACCTTGGCCTCCCGCAGTACTGGGATTACAAGCATGAGCCACCACACCTGGCCTAGTTTATGTTCAGTTTCAATTTTTCCTTTTTTTTTCTATTTCTTTTTATTTTAAATGTTATTTTTAAATATGTAAGACATTTATACAGATCAAAACTCAAAGCTATTAAAAAGGGGGTGGGAATCTTGCTATTCATATTCTCTTTAACACACTCCTGTCTACCCCTCCTAGGTAACCATTTTCATTAGCTTCCATGTTTCTATTTGCAAAAATAAGCAAATATGTATGTGTGTGAATATCATGTTTTTTCTCATTTCCCTTTCTTTCTTACATGAGAGGTAATATATTACATACACTCTTCTGCGTCTTGCTTTTTTTAGTAGTTCTTTAATCTTTGAGTTTGTCATCTGTGACACAGGGAGAACACTGTGTGCGAAAATTAAATAGAAGGGGGCACACAACAAGGACCAGGCACAGTGGGACCTACCTCCACATGGTGCCTAGAGCCTACTCCTGTTCCTCCAAATGGCAGCATCATGGCTACTGATACTCCCATTACTTCAGGTAGTGGTTTTAGATTAAAATGTTCTTGGAGAAGTTGGGAGCACACAGCAGATCATCCAGCATGAATAGTTTGTAGCGTTCTAGTTGCATCTACAACCAAGGCCACTGTTCCTTTTCAATCCAAGACAAACTCTCAGAACCCAAGGAGGGCTGCTGGCGAGTCTCCTCCTGATGGTGCCCAGCACCCAGTCTTCCCACAAATTTAGCAGTGAATCCATCCCATCTGCCACATGGAGGCAAACAGACTCATGGCCAGGCTGCAGGGCAAAGACTTCTTATTAATAAATATATTTTCTATTTGCCCACATATTTACCATTTCCAGTACCCTTCCTTACTTTGTGTAGATTTATTTCCATCTGGTATCATTTTCCTTTTTCATGAATAAATTCCTTACCTTTTCTTGTGGTGCAGGTTTACTGGGAATAAGTTCTATTGCCTTTTGTTTGTCTTTTTTACCTTTACGTTAAAAAAATCTTTTTGCTGGATATAATATCCTACATCGACAGGGTTTTTCATTCAGTACTGTTGCCTCATTTTCCAATAGCTTGCACAGTTTGTGACTAAAATTTGCCATCCTTCTTATCATTGTTCCTCTGTATGTAGTGTATCTCCCCCAACTACCCACACCTGCTTTTAAGATTTTTCTCTTCATCATGGGTTTTGAGCAATTGGATTATAATGTACTTTGGTGTGGTTTTCTTTATGTCTACTCTGCGTGAGTTTTGTTGAGCTTCCTCTATCATGGGTTTATAGTTTTCGTCAAATTTGAAAAGTGTTTGGCCATTATTTCTTTCATTTTTCTGCTGCTTCTTCCTTTTTTCTGGGATACCAACTACATGCCAATCAGACTACTTGTTTTGTCCCACAGGTCACTATGTTTCCTCAATTATTGAGACATCAGTAATTGAGAAAGGACTATTGAAATCTCTGACTATAATTTTTCTTTTTCTCTATTTCTATCCAGTCTTTGTTTAATGTATTTTGAAGTTCTGTTACTAGATGCTTACATGTTTAACATTGCTATGTCCCCTTGATGACTTGACGTCTTTATCCTGCCGAAAGAATCCTCTTTTCCCATGGTAATATCCTTAGCTCCGAAGTTTACTCAGTGTGAAATTAATATAAGCATTCCAGTTTTCTTTTAGTTAGTGTCAGCATAATATATCTTTTTCCATCTTTTTATTTTTATGCTATTTAGTTTTCATTTTTAAAGTATGTTTCTTACAGGCAGCATATACCTGGGTCTCTCTCTTTTATCCAATCTGATGATCTGTACCTTGTATTTAGGTCATTGAGGCCACTTATATTTAATGTGAATGAATATGGTTAGGTTTAAATCTACATATTGTTATCTGTTTTCTAGGTGTCTCATCCCTTTTATGTTCCTGTTTTCCCTTGTCCTATTCCTGTGGATTGCTTGAGTATTTCTTTTTATTTCACTTTTTCTCCTTTGTTGCCTTATAAGCTCAAACACTTTGCTGGGTTATTTTAAAGGTTGCTGTAGAGTTTATAGTAACTTTTTAAATCTGATCACAACCTACCACAAGTGATATTATATCACTTTATGTATCATATAAGAACCTTAGAATAGTACTCTTCTATTTCTTCCTTCCCAAACTTCGTGCTATTGTTGTCATACATTTTATTTCTACATATAAGCCTCACAATACACTGTTTTGGATTTTGCTTTAAACAGTGACATCTTTTCTAAAAAAGAGACTTAAATTATGTTTTAAAGTTTTATATTTATACATATTTCTAGTGCTTTTAATTCTTTTGTGTAGATCTTGATTTCCAAATAGCATGATTTTCTATCTAAAGGACTTTCTCTAAATTTTTTTTTGTACTGCAGACCTGCTAGTAATGAGTTCCTTCAGCATTTGTATGTTTGCAAAAGTCTTTAGTTTGCCTTCATTTTGAAAAGACTTTTTTCTGGATAAAGAATTCTGTGTTTACCATTTTATTTATTTGAGTTTTCTCTCTTTTTCTCTTAGTTTGGTGAAAGCTTTTTCAATTTTGCTTATCTTTAAAAAAAAAAAAACCAACCCTTAAGTTTACCAATATATGTTGTTGTCTAGTGTCTCTTTTATTTATTTCTGCTCTGATCTTTACTATTTCCTTCCTTATGCTATATTGGGTTTAGCTTGTTGTTCTTTTTCTAGATCCTTGAGGTGTGAAGTTAGGTTATTTAAGATCTTTCTTTTCTCTCAATGTAGGTGTTTATCACTACAAACTTCCCTCTTAGAACTGCTTTTGCTGCATCCCATAGGTTTTGATATGTTGTATTTCCATTTTGTTTGTCTCAAGATATTTCTTGATTTTCTTTTGATTTCTTGATATAACCATTGGTTGTCCAGGAGTATGTTGTTTAATTTCCATGTATTTATAATTCTTGTTTTCCTCCTGCTATTGATTTCTAATTTTATATCATTGTGGTCAGAAGACATATTTGATTGATTTCGGTCTTCTTAAATTTGTTAAGACTTGTTTTGTGGCCTAATGTGATCTACCTGGAGACTACTCTGTTTGTATTTAAAAAGGATGTATATTCTGCTGCTGTTGGATGGAATGTTCTGTATATGTCTGTTACGTCCTTTTGGCCTACAGTCTGCTATTTCTTTATTGATTTTCTGTCTAGATAACCTATCCATTGTTGAAAGTGAAGTATTAAAGTTCCCAACTGTTACTGTATTACTGCCTATTTCTTCCTTCAGTTCTCTTAATATTTCCTTTATATGTTTAGGTGCTATGATGTTTGATGCATATATATTTTCAATTCTTACATCCTCTTGATGAATTTACCCCATTATTATTATATAATGACCTTCTTTGTCTCCTGTGACAGTTTTTGACTTAAAATCTATTTTGCCTGATAGTAAGTATAGCTACCACTACTCTGTTTTGGAAAGAGAAGGCATTACTACGGATACCATGGAAACGCAAAGGATCATAACAGACTATGAACAATTATATGCCAACAAGTTGGATAGCCTAGAAGAAATTGATAAATTCCTAGAAATGTCCAGCCCACCAAAACTGAATCATGAAGAAATAGAAATTTTGAACAGACAAATATTGAGTAAGGAGATTGAGTCAGTAATAAAACCTCCCCAAAAATAAAAGTCCAGGATTTAATAGCTTCACTAATGAATTCTACCAAATATTTAAAGAAGAATTAAAGCCTATCTTTCTCAGAATCTTCTAAAAACTTGATGAGGAAAGAATACTTCCAAGTTCATTTTATGAGGCTAGCATTACCCTGATGCCCAAGCCAGACAAGGACACTATAAGAAAATAAAATTATAGGCCAATGTTTTTGGTGAACTTGTATGCAAAAATTATCAACAAAATACTAGCAAACTGAATTCAATAGCACATTAAAAGAATTATATACCATGATCAAGGGGAATTTATCCCTGGGATGCAAGGATAGTTTGATATACAAAAGTCAATAAACGTGATATACCATATTAACAGAATAAAGGATAAAAACCACATGATAATTTCAGTGGATGCAGAAAAAGCATTTGATGACAACATTCTTTCATGATTAACTCTCTCAATAAATTAGGTATAGAAAGAACGTACCTCAACACATTAAAGGCTATATATGACAAGTCCACAGCTAACGTAATCAATAATGAAAAGCTGAAAGCTTTTTCTCTAAGATCAGTAGCAAGACAAGGATTCACTTGCCTGGCATAAGCAAGACAAGCTCACTTTCATTGATTCTATTCAATATAGTACTGGTAGTCCTAGCAGAAATTAGGCAAGAAAGAGAAATAAAAGGTGATATGGTTTGGCTCTGTTTCCCCATCCAAATCTCACCTTGAATTGTAATCGTTATAATCCCCATGTGTCAAGGGCGGGACGAGGTGGAGGTAACTGGATCATGGGGACAGTTTCCCCCATGCTGTTTTCATGATAATGGGTGAGTTTTATGAGATGTGATGGTTTTGTGTCTGGCATTTCCCCTGCTAGCACCCACTCCATCCTGCCACCCTGTGAAGAAGTTGCCTGATTCTCTTTTGCCTTCTGCCATGATCGTAGGTTTCCTGAGGCCTGCCCAGCAATGTAGAACTGTGAGTCAGTTAAACCTCTTTCCTTTACAAATTACCCAGTCTTGGATATTCCTTCATAGCAGTGTGAGAACAGACTGAAACAAAAGGCAACCAAATCAAAAAGGAAGAAGTAAAATTGTCTCTGCTTACAGATGCTATGATCTTATATACAAAAACCCTAAAGCAAAAGTGTCACCAAAAAACTCTTAGAACTAATACACAAATTCAGTAAAGTTGCAAGATATGATATTAAAAATCTGTTACATTTTTATATACAAACAATAAACAATTTGAAAAAAGAAATTATGAAAACAATATTATTTACAAAGGCACCAAATATATTTAGGAATACATCAAACCAAGTAAGAGAAAGATCTGTACATTGAAAAGTATAAAACAGTGATGAAAGAAATTGAAGAAGACACAAATGAAAGGACATCCCATGTTAATGATTGGAATAATTAAAATTGTTAAAATATTCATACTACCCAAAGTGACCTATAGATTCAATGCAATCTCTATCAAAATTCCAATGGCATTTTTCACAGAATTAGAAAAGGCCATCCTAAAATTCATTTGAAATTGCAAAAGACCCAGAATAGTAAAAGCAATCTTGTGCAATAAGAACAAAGCTAGAGACATCACACTACCAAATTTCAAAATACACTGCAAAGTTACAGCAATCAAATCAGTATGGTACTGGCATGAAAACAGACATATAGACCAATGGAAAAGAATAGAGAGCCCAGAAATAAATCCACACATTTATGGTCAAAAGTGATTAACCTTTGATCTTTGACAAAAGTACCGATAACATGCACTGGAGAAAGAATAGTCTTCTTTTTTCTCTCTTTCTTTTTTTTTCATAGGATCTTGCTCTGTCACCCAGGCTGGAGTGCAGTGATGCAATCATGGCTTACTGCAGCCTTAAGCTCCTGGGCTCAAGCAATCCTCCTACCTTAGCCTCCCAAGCAGCTAGGACTATAGATGCATGCTACCATGCCCAGCTAAGACAAAAAAAATTGTAGAGATGAGGTTCTCCCTTTGTTGATTCTCTCTACACTGGCTGGTCTCAAACTTCTGGTCTCAAGGAATCTTCCTGCCTTGGCCTCCCAAAGCACTGGGATTACAGGCATGAGTCATCACACCTGGCACATGCAGAAAAGAATTGGACTCTTATCTCATACCACATGCAAAAAATCAACTAAAATGGATTAAAGACTTAAATATAAGACCTGAAACTGTATGTCAGTAGCAATAAAACAACCCAATTAAAAAATTGACAAGGGACCTGAATAGACATTTCTTTTTTATTATTATTATTATACTTTAGGTTTTAGGGTACATGTGCACAACGTGCAGGTTTGTTACCTATGTTTACATGTGCCATGTTGGTGTGCTGCACCCATTAACTTATCATTTAACATTAGGTATATCTCCTAATGCTATCCCTCCCCCCTCCCCCCACCCACAACAAGCCCTAGTGTGTGATGTTCCCTTTCCTGTGTCCATGTGTTCTCATTGTTCAATTCCCACCTATGAGTGAGAACATGTGGTGTTTGGTTTTTTGTCCCTGTGATAGTTTGCTAAGAATGATGGTTTCCAGCTTCATCCATGTCCCTGCAAAGGGCATGAACTCATCCTTTTTTATGGCCACATAGTATTCCATGGTGTATATGTGCCACATTTTCTTAATCCAGCCTATCATTGTTGGACATTTGGGTTGGTTCCAAGTCTTTGCTATTGTGAGTAGTGCTGCAATAAACATACGTGTCCATGTATCTTTATAACAGCATGTTTTGTAATCCTTTGGGTATATACCCAGTAATGGGATGGCTGGGTCAAATGGTATTTCTAGTTCTATATCCCTGAAGAATCACCACACTGAATTCCACAATGGTTGAACTAGTTTACGGTCCCACCAACAGTGTAAAAGTGTTCCTATTTCTGCACATCCTCTCCAGCACATGCTGGACTGATGTTGTTTCCTGACTTTTTAATGATTGCCATTCTAACTGGTGTGAGATGGTATCTCATGGTGGTTTTGATTTGCATTTCTCTGATGGCCAGTGATGATGAGCATTTTTTCATGTGTCTTTTGGCTGCATAAATGTCTTCTTTTGAGAAGTGTCTGTTCATATCCTTTGCCCACTTTTTGATGGGGTTGTTTGTTTTTTTCTTGTAAACTTGTTTGAGTTCATTGTAGATTCTGGATATTAGCCCTTTGTCAGATGAATAGGTTGCAGAAATTTTCTCCCATTCTGTAGGTTGCCTGTTCACTCTGATGGTAGTTTCTTTTGCTGTGCAGAAGCTCTTAAAGGAAGGAATACAAAAGTCCAACAGGTATATGAAAAAAAAGCTCGACATACTAATCATCATGGAAATGCAAATTAGAACCACAATGAGTTATTACCTCACATCTGTTAGAATGGCAATTACCAAAAAGACAAACAATAACAAGTGTTGGTGAGGATGTGATAAAAAGGGAACCCTTGTACATTGCACTTACTCTATGATCCAGCAATCTCACTTTAGGGCATGTATACAAAGGAAATGATATAAGTCTGTGGAAGGGATATCTGCCCTCCCATGTGCATTGCAGCATTACTGACAATAGCTAAGACATCAAAGCAACCTAAGTGTCCACTGGCAGATGAATGGAAATATTATACACACACACACACAGACACACACAATGGAATATTACTTGGCCATAAAAATGAAAGAATTCCTGTCATTTGGAATAACATGAATAAACCTGAAGGATATTATGCTATGTGAAATAAGCCCGGCACAGAAAGGAAGATAGTGCATGATCTCATTTATGTGTGAAATCTGAAAATGTCAAACTCATAGACACAGAGTAAAATGGTGGTAGCTTGGAGCTGTGGAGTGGGGGAAATGAGGAGGTATTGGACAGAGGGTACAGTTTTTTACACAGGATGAGTAAATTCTGGAGATCTAATGAACAGCATCGTGACTATAATTAATAATATTGTATTGTATATTTGAAATTTGCTAACAGAGAAGGGCTTAAATGTTCTCACCACACACACAAAAAGACAATTGTGAGATGATAGCTATGTTCATTAACTTCATTGTGATAATCATGCCACAATGTATAACTACATCAAAAAAATCCCATCATATACCTTCAATATGTATAATTTTTATTTGTCAATTTTACCTTAATAAAGCAGGAAAAAAGTTAAAAATAGAAAACTACAAAAAGGCATACATAGTTTAATATTGTTCAACTACATTGACAAAACTATTGATTTATGTCATAGATTTAGGAATTTTTGTATAAACAAATTCAGTAAAATTGCAAGGTACAAAATCAGTATACAAAATTTGTTGCATGTCTATACACTAGCAATGAACTAGCTGAAAAATGAAATTTTGGGTCTGGTCATAGTGGCTCATGCTTGTAATCCCAGCACTTTGGGGACCGAGGTGGGTGGATCACTTGAGGCCAGGAGTTCGAGACCAGCCTGGGCAACATGGTGAAACCCTGTCTCTACTAAAAATACAAAAATTAGCTGGACATGGTGGTGCCTGCCTGTAATCCCAGCTACTCAGGAGGCTGAGGCAGGAGAATCACTTGAATCCAGGAGATGGAGGTTGCAGTGAAAACAATCCCATTTACAATAGCATCAAAAAACATTTAGGAATAAATTTAACCAAGGAAGGGGAAGATCTGTACAGTATTATGTAAACATTTAATTACTTATTAAATATATAAATACTAATTTTTTAAAAACTTCTTAAAGGATTTAACATAAGGAGAAAAATTGTATGTTGATGGGTTTTTTGCTTTGTTTTCTTTTGTTATTTTAATACTTTGAGGATGTTGCTGTACCATCTTCTCACTTGCAGTTCCAGATGAGAAATGTGCTAGAATCCTCACTTTGTTCCTCTGTACAATAAGGTGTCTTTCTTCCTTTGGCTGCTTTAAGAGTTTCTCTTTTTTATTTTTTATTTATTTATTTATTTTGAGACATAGTCTCCCTCTCTCCCTCTGTTGCCCAGGCTTGAGTGCAGTGGTGTGATCTTGGCTCACTGCAACCTCTGCCTCCCAGGCTCAAGCGATTCTTGTGCCTCAGCCTCCCAAGTAGCTGGGATTACGGGTGTGCGCCATCATGCCTGGCTATTTTTTAATTTGTAGTAGAGATGGGGTTTTGCCATGTTGGCCAGGCTGCTCTCAAGCTCCTGACCTCAAATGATCCGCTCACCTTGGCCTCCCAAAGTGCTGGAATTACAGGCGTGAGCCACGGCGCCCGGCCCAAGAATTTCTCTTTACCATTGGTTTGAAGCAATTTGATTGTAATATGCCTTGGTTTTCTTCACCTGTTTATTTTTTATGTTTTAAATTTTGGAGACAGGGTCTTGTTCTGTCACCTAGGCTGGTGCAAAGCTCACTGCAGCCTCGAACTCCCAGGCACAAGTGATCTTCCTGCCTCAGTCTCCCAAGTAGCTAGGACTACAGGTGGACGCCACCATGTCTGGCTAATTTTTTTTATTTTTTTGTAGAAATGAGTTCTCGCTTTGTTGCCCAGGCTAATCTTGAATTCCTGGCCTCAAGTGATCCTTCCACCTCAGCCTCCCGAACTGCTGGGATTACAGGCATGAGCCACCATGCCCAGCCTTCTTCACATTTCTTGTACTTGGGGGTTAATTGAGTGTTTTGAATTTATAGTGTGAGTTTATATTTTTCATCAGCTTTGAAAAAATTGAGGGTATTATTTCTTCAATTATTTTTTCTGCTCTCTCCTCCTTTGGAGACTTCAATTACACATATAGTAGACCACATGAAATTGTTCCACAGTTCACTGAATCTCTGTTAATCGTTTTTTTATTCTATTTTTTCTTCTGTGTTTCATTTTGGATAGTTGCTGTTGCCATGTCTTCAAGTTCACTAAACTTTTCTTCTGCAGCATAAATCCTGTCCCAACTACTTTTCATCTCAGACATGGTAGTTTTCATCTCTTAATTCATGTGTGTGTGTGTGTGTGTGTGTGTAATATCTACCATATATCTACTTAACATGTTTAATCTTTATCTTCTGGTACACACGAAATACAATTATAATTACTATATTTATGTCCTTGGCTAGCAACTACATCATCTGTGTTATTTTGGGGCCAGTTTCTATTGATTAATTTTTTTCTCATCATGGGTCATAGTTTTCTGCTGTTTTGCACGCCTGGTAATTCTGAGATACCAGCATTATCAATTTTACATTTTTAAGTGTTGGACACTTTTGTATTCCTACTTCTATTCATATTCTTGAGTTTTATCCTGAAGTTCAGTTAAGGTACTTGGGTCCAGTTTGCTTCTTTCAGATTTTACTTTCAAGTTTTGACAGGAGGGCCCAGAATAGCATTTAGTCTAGGGTTAACTTTTTCCCCATTACTGAGGTAGAATCTGTGACCACTGAACTGTGAACCCTTCCCTGCTCAGGCTGATTTCCAGCGTTGCTCCCTGTAATCCTTTCAGGGGCTTCTTTCTTCAGCCGTGGGTAGTTTTCTCTTATGCATGTGCTGATCCGTCCATAGCTGAAGACTTACAGGGACTTCCTTGAAGATCTCCAGAACTCTTTCTCTTTGCAGCTCTTTCTTCTTTGATACTATGTCTTGCAAACTCTAGCCACCTCTGTCTCTCAGACTTCCAACTGAAGTCTTCTTAACCAGGGGAGACTAGCAGGCTCCAGCTGGGTTCCCCTGCCTGCACTCATGCCTGGAAACTGTCTTCTGGCTGTACACTTTGGCAATGGTAGGCTTCCCTTTATTCATTTCCCAGCTCTCATGGATCACTACACTTTGTTAGCTGATTTCCAATGTTTTGAAAATAGTTGTTTTGTATATTTGGTGCAGATTTTAAGTTATATTGATGGAGAGTCTCTGACCCATTATCCCATCTCGCCTGGCAGCCGAAGTCTTCAGAGGTAATCAAGTACCAAAGATTTAGTCTAATGTTGAATGTGGATGAAAAAGGAAGTACCATATTTTTATTTTAATGCAGTCATTCTTAAATGTTTTTATGCTGCAGATCCTCTGGCCATCTTGTGAAACCTATGGATTACTTTTGAGAATGTTTGGAAATGCACAAGGTAAAATACAGAGGACTACAGTGGAAATCATTATAGTGGATGTAGTTATTAGAATATTTTTCTAAGTGAATTTGTGCCATAGTAATAGATGTGTTTCTTAATTAATGCATTGAATAACAAGACCTAATAGTGGGTCTAATGAGTTCTGTAATTTTCAAGCAGTAATAAGCATAAGCATTATTTTGAGATATTTACAACAAGGTAATGTAATTTAAATATATCACTACTTCCCATTGCTGACAACGTCAGGGTACTATTGATGTTACTGTGGTTTGTTGCCAACATACATTACAGAAGGCAATGCTAAATTTCAGTCATAGGTTAATAAAAATAAACATCCAATTGCTCTTTCACCCAAGATCAAAGACCCCTGAATTCTGTCCACAGACCCCTGAGAAGTCCGTGGGTCCAGGATAAGAACCCCTATTAATGAATGGAAACTGGAGTGCCTGGGAGTTGTGAGTCTTACACAATTGGCTAAGCTTGTGAACTGACAATGATTTTGTCTGAATCTACCTTGGGAATGTGAGATGCCATGAGGATAATTTTGGCGTGGGTTGGGGGGATAGCATTTACAAGACAACTGGGAGTGTCCTTCATGCCAAGATGGGTCTCCCTACTGTGGTTCCCCACCAAGCAAGTTTGCCCCCACTGCTGAGGAGTCCACCTGTCAAATGGCTTCTTGCCCAACTCCCAGCCTGAAGCTCAAGATTCATCACTCAAAACTGACAAATTGGGCAGGTCTGATGTTTATTTTTGCCTCTGGTCCTTTGGCCAGGCCACACACTCTTGGATTTCTGAATATGCAGTTCTGTTCCTAACCAGTGTGTCCCAACCAGAAAGTCACTGTAATTTTTGGTTTTGTTCCCAATCTCCCTCCAAATGTCATTAGTCATATCCTCCTTCCCATTTCTGCCTTGAATAGGCAGTCATTATGATGAAGCCAGGCTTGTTTCAGAATTCCATGAGAACCACAGTGTCAGGCTGTGACAACTCTGGGGCTGGAAATGGAAAAGGCTGTGATCTGGGGTTGGCTGGCACCGTCCCCGTGAGTCATTATGGAAACACTGTCCCCGGATTCTGCTGAGAGGACTGGGTTGCTGGTGAGTCCATCTGTCAGATGAGATCCTGACCCCCTGACACCTTAAAACGTTCCATAATATGTGGGATGTTGGGCCTTCTGTCTGGTATCCTGGCTACATTAAAATTTGGGTTGTTTTATTCTATTTTTGGTTCCCTTGCAGTTTCCAATGTGTTAAAAAACAAAATACAATTTTTTTCAGATTACAAAAATAATACATATTCATTGTACAGAAATTGAAAAAGGCAGAAAAACATACAGAAGGAAATTCTACCACCCAGAGATAAGGATTTTTTAAAATGTTGCATTTGCTTTCAGATGCTATTTAGATTATAGTTTATAAAATACTTTTGTAAGCTGTGTGCTTTTTAAAACTCTAACAGTATAGCTCACACAGTCTGCCTTATAAAAAGCACAAATTCTATCATTTTTTTCTCTGGAGGAGGCCTTATATAAGACCATCTAGTCTAACACACTCTTTGTAAAAATGAGGCAACTGTGATCCCAAGAGGGTAAGTAACTTGCTCAGGGCTCCCCAGCGTATGAGCCACAGAGTCAGGAATGGGAGTATGGATCTTGTCTCAGCATCCTGCTGCCTCGTGACCTGCCCATGTGCTGTCAGTGTACATCTTCAGACAAGAGCTGAAAGCACTCCGGCCTCTCTGCCTCTTGACCCGGAGGAAATGTAGATGAGTTCCCAGGCTTACTGAATAGGACATTTGCCCCTGCTTTAGACCTTGAGTTAGGGAACTATTTAACATCTTTGAAATTTTCATTCCCTAGGGGAAAGCTTAAAATTTGAGGAAAAACAAAAGGCTCTTTCCCATGCAAAAATTATTTTTGGTTATCATTTGGAAAAGAAAAATAGGCATTACTAACAACTTAATGACTTCACTAATATACCTGCCTTTAAACTTAAGAATAGTTATTTAATAAAGTTTATAAACTCTACTAAAGTACGTACACAATAGTATGTATATTTTATAATATGTGTATTTCCAGGAAATGTGAATTCACCCCAGAAAGTAAGGAGGCTGCCTGTATGGTATGGGATGGGATGGGATGGGATGGGATGGGATGGGATGGTATTAGTATGGGATGGTATGGTATGGGATGGGATGGGATGGGATAGTATTAGTATGGGATGGGATGGTATGGTATGGGATGGGATGGCATTAGTATGGGATGGTATGGTATGGTATGGGATGGCCTAGTAACCGTATGGTATGGCCTGGCATAGTATGGCATGGCATGTTAAGGTAATGGCATGCTATGGTATGATAATGGTATGGTGTGGTGTGGTATGGCATGGGATGGTATGGGATGGTAATGGTATGGTATGGTATAGTGTATAGTATAGTCTGGTGTATAGTGTAGTGTTGTTATATTGATAGTATAGCATAGTATAATATAGTAAAATGACTGTAATTCAGATTTAGGTGGTCTTGGATTTAAATCCTATCTCAGCACCTACCTGGTTGTGTAATCTTGGAAACTGAGCCTCTTTGAGCTTTATTTCATTATCTGTAAAATGAAAATAGTAATAGCAGTTATCCCAAGATATAGATACAATAAATAAAACAATGCATTCCCATTTCCTTTTTAGAAGAAAGTAAAGAAAAGGTAAGAAACGAATTTATGAACTGGTGATTGTAATATTTCTGAATTGTTGATTATGACAATTGCCTACTGCTCATCAGTATTACTGTGCCAAACAGCTGTGATGAGAGGAGCAGGGATAAGGCCTCCCCCTAAGTATGGGTGCCAATTCCAAAAGAAGGAACTGCTGAGAGCCACACTGCCACCCCAACTGGTGAATATTTCACTCTTTACGATCGTCTCCTTCTATAATTTTTAATAAAATAAAAATCAAATCTATAAAAATTACAAAATCAAATATTTCAATTAAATTGAAATATTGGGTAACAGATAATAATCAATTTTTCAGAATACACAAGGACATGAACAACAGGATGTGTTAACTTCAAGGACAAATAATAGGGTCAGACTTCAAGTAGAACATGGTTGAGTAAATCAACATCTTTCACCTTGTCCTCCAGAGAATCCTACAAAAGCAGCAAGGAGAATGAAAAACACCCTACATACTCCACTTTCAGTGAAATCAAGATAGCTAGATATTATATGCAGACTCTAAAATTTGTGCAAGGAATGTCAAGGCGGCTGATATTAAGCAAAAGCTATAAGAAGAATATAAAGAAAAAGGTTCAGAGAGCAGCTAGATGGCCCAGGGTGGGGGTGGGGGTAGCAGAGTTGAAAGTGCCAATAAAAATAGGTAAGAGGCTCTACTCGACGTGTACATATGTGTCTCCTGTTTTCAGTTAAAAAAAAGCAAGAAGTATAGTAAGCAAAGCTGGGCAGCAGAAACACTCTTGGATGGGTCATATGATACAAAAAAGCAAAAAAGGTGGAGCTGCTCAAAGAATCACAAAGATGCGCCTTATCTGCAAGAAACAGTCTGTCTCTGTGGCAGAGCAGAGAAGAAGAAATTCTGTGAGTTGTAAAATTTAGAAGGTTATATTGTCTCCAGTCCACCTCTCCATACCACTCCCCTGCCGGAAACCTTTTGATCCGGGGAAACCCAAGTCATTCAAGATGAATAATTTTTAAAATGAACTACCCAAACACAAATTTAAAGATACCTGCTTTTATATCTTGCTGAAAAAATCAGCAAGATTTGCCAAGAAATAAAGAATACTTATCAGAAAAATGTTGTCATCATGAAACCAGTAAAATGTTGCTTAATATGTTGCCATGAAATTTAAAGATTATTGAAGAAATTTCCTCTAAAAGTAAAACTACAAGGCAAAAATTAATATTAAAAAGCAAAAATATCGGCCGGGGCACGGTGGCTCACACTGTAATCCTAGCAATTTGGGAGGCCGACGCAGGTGGATCACCTGAGGTCAGGAGTTTGAGACCAGCCTGACCAACATGGTGAAACCCCATCTACTAAAAATACGAAAAAAAAAAAATTAGCCGGGCATAGTGATGGGCACCTGTAATCCCAGCTACCTGGGAGGCTGAGGCAGGGGAATCGATTGAACCTGGGAGGCGGAGGTTGCAGTGAGCAGAGATCATGCCATTGCACTCCAGCCTGGAAGCGAAACTCCATCTCAAAAAAAAAAAATCTATCTATCTATCTATCTATCTATCTATCTATCTATCTATCATCTATCTATCTATCATCTATCTATCATCTATCTATCATCTATCTATCTATCTATCTATCATCTATCCATCATCTATCTATCATCTATCTATCTATCATCTGTCTATCATCTATCTATCGTCTATCTATCTATCATCTATCTAATCTATCATCTATCTATCTATCATCTATCTATCATCTATCTATCTATCTGTCTATCATCTATCTATCTATCATCTATCTATCATCTATCTATCTATACACATATATCAGGGAAGAGATGATAGAATAATAGGAAGAAACAAATCACGTGCTTGAAGAACTTGGGAAAGAAATAGAATAACATAGCAAAAGGACCATAGAATTAAGACAAAATTGACAAGAACATAAAAGAGAAGACACAGTATTGACAAAAAAGAGTAAAAGTGAAAACAATGAACAGATGAAATGGAAGTAAAGAAAGTTTTTCAAAAGATGAAAGAGAAAATGTTAGATGTAGAAGACAGGCAAAGGATATCTAACACATACAGACAAACTTCAGAAAACCAAGAGATGGTTGAACATAGCATATACCTAACTATAGTTCCAAGGCTTAAACAAATGTGGGGATTAGCATGACAGATCAGAAAATGTGTCCCATAATCTGCTGAGATGTTAGAAATGATACAATTCCAGAATAGAAAAGAGAAGGGAGGTAAAGGTGGAAGGTAGAATATGCTCACTAATTGACCCCTTTGTAGTTGCAGAAATCAAAGGATATCACTTAAGGTTGAACATCAAGTAAAAGATTTATGGGCATATTAAATTGTACAAAGATAAACATAAGAAAGATAACACTGACTAAAATTAGATGATGAAGGAAAGGAAAAGGTAGGGAAGGAGGAGGAAATATGCTAATTTCATTATTGCTCATAATAGGGACCTGACAGATATAGTCCAAAGTAGAGAACTAAGAGCATGATAGGAAGTTATCATTACAAAGGTAAACATCAAACATGCAAACCTGCCTAATTTGCAGAAGAAACTTGCACAAAAATAAAATGAGAGAATAAGGTAAGTAGTGAATGACTTTAATAGATAAAGTAAGCATAATATAAAATAATATGACAGTAGTGAGATCACACATATCTGTTATATCGATCACTGTAAAGCAGCTTAGCTTACCTATAAAAAAAGAGTTTCAGGTTGAATTACAAAACTAAACCCAATTCTATTTTTTTTTTTTTTTTTGAGACAGAGTCTCACTCTGTTGCCCAGGCTGGAGTGCAGTGGCACGATCTAGGCTCACTGCAACCTCCGCCTCCTGGGTTCAAGCGATTCTCATGCCTCAGCCTCTTGAGTAGCTGGGATTACGGGCACGCACCACCACAGCCGGATAATTTTTTGTATTTTTAGTAGAGACGGGGTTTTGCCATATTGCCCAGGCTGGTTTTGAACTCCTGAGCTCAGGCAGTCCACCCGCTTCAGCCTCCCAAAGTGCTGGGATTACAGGTGTGAGCCACCGAGCCCAGCCCAACTCTATTTTTGTGTACAGAAAGAGTGAGAGCAAAAGTTAAAAAGAGAAGTTTTCCTGCTGGCCTCTGATGGAGTAGCAGGCACAGACATAATGTCCCACCATCAACAATTAGAAAACTGGACCAAATATTTCAAACAATGGTTTTCTAACATCAGACACTGGACAGCACAGGACTGTGATCTCTCGGAGAAGGAAAATAAACGAGGTGAGCCCGACGATTGTCCCAGTCTGTCTGGAGACAGTTTCTAGACCACTGGGGCAAACGGAGGACACAGACTGAGCCCAGTGGCGTCGCTGAGCTAACGAGATGGAGTTTTCAGTTAAGGACATTCTTAGGAGAAATCTGGGAAAACAGCCACTCATACATTTCCAGTAGGAGTGTAAATTGGTACAAATCTTTATGGTGGCCAATTTGCCAATACCTGGCAAACTGATTTTTGAGTTAGTAATCTCATGTCTGGGAATTTATCTTACAGATATACATGCACAGGTGCAAGATGACATATATACAAAGTTACAGCAGCATTGTAATTTGTATTTGTATGAGAAAATTTTTGGAAGAATGTGAATGTCTGTTAATACGAAGCTGGCTAAACATGTAACACATTGATACAATGGAATAGTAGGTATCAAAAAGTGCCAATATATACAACAATCCTAATAAAATGTTAGCACCTCAAATCCATCAGTTAATTAAAAGCAATATATTACCCTAACTAAGGATAGGATTTGTTCCAATTAAAGGAGGAAAAAAAATGATTCTCCTGAGAGACACAGAGAACTCAGTTGACAAAATTCATGTTCATTCCAGCTCAAATCAGAAGGAAATTTTTCCTTCTAAAATCAGATGGAAAGTTTTATTAACTTGGTTAAAGGTATGTGATATTTAGTAGTGCTTTTCTCCAATGTTTCTAGTTTTCATCTTCCCAAGCACAATGTGTGGTATTAGAAAGATTGACCATCCATTGCGGAAAAAAAAAAAAAATTGAATTAGGCCCCTGTTTTGTGCTACAATTAAAAACTAGTTCTAGATAAAGAACAGAACTAGTCAATAATCGGGAGAAGGTGCAGGAAAATATGCTTATAACTTCTGATGGTATTACAAGCAAGATTCACACTCAACAATCCATGCCAAAAATGATGAATATAGTTGCCTGCATAAAAATGTATTCCTCTGTACCATAAGAGAATGTATTCAAAAGTTAAAATATAAGGATAAGACTGTGGAGAGGGGAGGAGTGGGGAGAGAATGGGGGGAGTGGGAAGAGAATGGGGGGAGTGGGGAGATTGTTGGTCAAAGATTACAAGGTTTCAGTTGCACAGGATAAATACTTTTTGGAGTTCTATCACAGAGCAGGGTGACTGTAGTTAATAAGAATGTCTTGCATGTTCCCAAATTGCTCAATTTCAAATGTCTCATCACAAAAAATGATAAGTAAGTGAGGTGATATGTTTATTTGCTTGATTTAATCATTCCACATTGTATACCTATATCAAAACATTACATTATACCCCATACATATATATAATTATGATCCATCAATTAAAAATAATATTAAAAATAGGAATAGCCTGAGTGAGAATATTTCAACAGAAATATTTTTGACCCTGTCTCAAAAAAAAAGGAAAATTGATACTTTGTTAATATGCAGGATTGGTGAAGGTGAGGGGAAATAGTTACTCTTTTTCACTGTTGGTAGAAAAAGGATTGCCGTCTAGACCAACCCTATCTGACAGGACTTTCTTTGATAATGGAAATGTCCTCTCTGCGCTCCTGAACAGGACAGCCACTAGCAATGCGGCTAGTGAGTACTTGAAATAGGGCCAGTGTGACTGAGGAACTGAATTTTAAATTTCACTTCATTAATTCAAATTTAGATAGACAGGCTGGGCACAGTGGCTCACCCCTATACTCCCAGCACTTTGGGAGGCCAGGGCCAGTGGATCACCTGAGGTCAGGAGTTCGGGACTAGCCTGGCCAACACGGTAAACCTCGTCTCTACTAAAGACAGAAAAATTAGCCAGGCATGGTGGTATGCGCCTGTAATCCCAGTTACTTGGGGGGCTGAGGCAGGAGAACCACTTGAACCCGGGAGGCAGAGGTTGCGGTGAGCTGAGGTCATGCCACTGTACTCCAGCCTGGGTGATAAGGCATGACTGTCTAAAAACAAACAAACAAAAAAAGCCACTTTTTTTTGATAGACAAATAGGGCAAGTGGCGAACCATCTTGACACTGCAGCTCTAGCGTTTATAAAGAACTCTTCTTAAAGATAAAAATAGTAAAAAGATAAATAGCAGACAAACTAGCCATGAATGTGAACATGCAAATCACAGAAAACATGCAAATGGCCAATAAAAGAGTAACAAATATTGAACCCCCTCCTTTTTAATGAGGCAAATTTTAACACAATAAGATACCTTTTTTTGGTAAAAATTTGTGAGTTTGGCCTGGCACCGTGGCTCACACCTGTAATTACAGCATTTTGAGAGGCCAAGGCAGGAAGATTGCTTGAGGCCAGGGGTTCGAGACCAGCCTGGACAACACAGCGAGATCCCCATCTCTACAAAAAATTACCAGAATTAGCTGGGTGTGGTGGCACATGCCTGTGGTCCCAGCTACTTGGGAGGCAGAGGCAGGAGGATCACTTGAGTACAGGAGGTTGAGGCCTCAGTGAGCTAGGATCATGCCACTGCACTCCAGCCTAGGCAACAGAGTAAGACCCTCTCTCAAAAAAATTGAGAGTTTGTTAATATGCAGGGTTGGTTAAGGAGAGAGGAAACAGTTACTCTCTTTCACTCTTGGTAGAACTATATATTGACATGACCTTTTTGATGGGCAGTTTTGCAGTATCTATTAAAACTTTAAATGTGTGTAGCCTTAATCTAGCAATTACCATTTTTATGGATCTCAATAAATTCATTATAAAATTCACCTAGAATAGAAAAAAATGAGAGAAAACAAGAAATTTTTTCAAAAAGAAAAATAATGTGAGAAGTAGGCTTTTGCCTCACCAGAAATCTCTTCCCTAGAGAAATATTAAATACAAGCACAGAGGCATAGATTAGATGTTAATTTTTTAAAAAACAGGTAAGTTCAGGTTTTGATGATGTGATGATATTATAGGGCAACCAGAACACTCACACACCACTGGAGAGAATGTTTATTGGTACAACTACCTTGGAAAACTATTTGGCAGTATCTACAAAAACTGAACATATGTGCATGCTAACGATATGTTAAAAAGAAATGCATAGCTATTTGCACCAAAAGACACACAAGGCCAGGCGCAGTGGTTCACACCTGTAATCCCAACGCTTTGGGAGGCTGAGGCAGATGGATCACTTGAGCCCAGGAGTTCAAGACCAGCCTGGGCAACGTGACAAAACCCCGTTTCTACAAAAAAATACAGAAATCTAGCCAGGTGGCACAGGTCTGTAGTCCCAGCTACTTGGGAGGCTGAGCTGGGAGGATTGGTTGAGCCCTGGGAGGTCGAGGGTTGAGGCTACAGTGAGCCATGATCACACCACTGCACTCCAGCCTGGGCAACAGAGCAAGACCCTGTCTCAAAACAACAAAAAAGTCATACACAAGAACATTGACAGCAGCACCATAGCAACATTCAGAATGGCCTCAACTGGAAATGCCCCAATTGTCCATCAGTAGTGTTATGGGTTTATAAATTATAATCTGTTCATGCACCAGAAAGCTCTACAATAATGACAGAGTGAACTGTTGCTACATGCAATCATATAAATAAATTTCACAAATGTTATGTTGAGTACAAAAGCAAGACAGAAGAGTACATTTCAAATTATTGCAATTACATACATGTTATAAACAAGCAAAGGTAATGTATGGTGGTAGTAGTCAGGATAATGGTAAACTTGAAGGGAAGGGAGAGTGACTGTGAGTGATGGGCATCCTGGCAGGGGTTAGTCCCCTTAGTGTCTGGTCCCTGGTTCCTTCATGGAAGTGGGGCCTGTTTTTCACTGGTCCATCTCACACAGGATGCTACATCAGCAGTCAAGATTTATTTCTCCCTGCTTCCCTTACTCCTGAGACCCATGCATTGAGAAATAGGAGCTTAATCTTTTCTGGCTGGAGGCTTCCTTGCTTAATTTTAGTAAGTGAGGCTGAATTGGAAACCCTAGCAACTGAAACCATTTGTTGTCTGGTAAGCAGGTCCTTGAATGGAGATTTTAGCTGGTACTTGAATCAATGTGTTAATCATTAAAGGGTTCAGAACTGTGCCTGGCACATTTTAAGCACATATATGTTTGCTTTGATTTGTATTATGCCTTTTTACATATCCAAGCTTAACATGTATCTCCCTTTTCTCATCTCCAAGGCAAAAAATCATATGCAGAAATTTTAGAAATCCCTATACACACCTAGGTTCCATAACATTTACTTTCTCCATCCCATCATTTTTTTAAAAGTTTATTTTGATTACGAAGTTTCAAAGGTACAAAAAAGTACAGAAAATAATATGACATATAACTACAGAGCCTCTACTTCCCAGATGTGACAGATGTTGATCTTCTGCTGTTTCTTTCAGATCTTTGTGTGTGTGTTTTCAAGTAAGCAGAAATAGCTGAGTCCTCCCCTCTGTTCCTCTTTCCTCTCAGGGAATTTCTCTCTCTTGAAGTTAATATTTGCCATCTGACTTTTACTCTAAATGCATCTATTAAGCGATATAGAGTCCCAATTTAATTATTTAAACTATTAATTAAAAGTTGAAATAATATACAATCCTGATGATCAGTTTTTTAAACATGTCTTTAGCAAGCAAAGAAAAAAGCTTCTTGAAACAAAGAAATGTCCATTCAAGGGGGATTTGGTGGGGTAAAGGAGTCCTATTCACACTCAGTAAAGTTTCTGCCTTGTACATAAACCCACTTTCTGTAGAAATAACTACTGGACCATAGCCCATCTACCAACTCATCTCAAAATTTTAAGCACTGGCATCATCTACCACACAACCCACAACATATGCTGCATGGAATGTCCGACAGCTGAATGATCAAGGTATCCACTTCTGGTCTACAGCATTTATGGGTGGCACCTGCTAGTGGCTGCTGGCCTGCTTGCCTGAGGCCAGGGACAGCTGTGACCTATAGGTGAGGCCCCTGTGGTTATCCAAATCCTTTCTTGCCCTTTGGATAGCTGGCCCTGGGTTCTTTTTTGTGACTTACCCAGGAGTTTGTAGCGGCTATGCTGACAGGTGCTCTAGCACCTGTTGGACCAAAGACTGGGCTGTTGCATGTCACCTGACATTAGACGTGATGAGTTGCCCAGGTCCTAAAGCTTCTTCTGCAACAAGGATTTCTGTCTCCCTGGAGTGGCTCTTCTGATTCAGCCATTACCTCCAGCCCCTATAGAGACACCTCTAGGGCTTGTGAATGCCCTGGCAGCCGCACAAGATCTGATCATTGCCTTGATAAGCATTTCTTGGGGAGCTCCCTGTGCAAGGCCTGCAGTAGTTTCATGAGAATTGCATGAACCCTGCTGCCTGAAACGACAGAAACATGTATCTCCAGCACATAGGTATCTGGGAGTACTAAGGAAATTCAAACAAGGGGAGATTTATGCTAGCACTTTCACAACTGCCACCTTGGAAGTGGCCCTTGATGAGCTGGTCCTATTGTCCCCCATCTCCCATCAGCCACAGCTGCCAAGATAACAAAATATGAGTTCTGCTCCAACATCTCTGGGGTGTGAGCCCTTCAGGGGACTCACACCAATTGCCTTGCAGATGATCTTTCTGTCTCAGCCGAGCCGTGCATTAGGTAATTTGGGGGTGGGCGGCTGTCTCCTGGCCTGGAACCTGGCTCCAAGGCGTCCACTCAGGCATTCCTAGATTGCTTTAGGAGCTCACACCTTCCAAGGTGGTTTTTGGATTCTCTGGGGTCTCATTTGGGTGTGTCTTTCTCCAGCTGTTTTTTGAAGGCAATAGCCTATTCTCCTGGTATTTCCTGCTTCTTTTCATTATCCCATAAAAAATTACCTTTCCTGGATGCCGTCTTATTAAGGCTTTATTGTTTTCTTTATTGGTACTTTTATTGGTAGCAGAATAGTTGATATGTGATACCATAAGAATTTTAGGGCAGGGCGTGGTGGCTCGTGCCTGAACTCTCAGCATTTTGGGAGGCTGAGGCAAGCAGATCACTTGAGGTCAGGAGTTTGAGACCAGCCTGACCAACATGGTGAAACCCTGTCTGTACTAAAAATACAAAAATTAGCCATGTGTAGTGGTGTATGCCTGTAATCCCAGCTACTCAGGAGGCTGAGGCAGGAGAAACGCTTGAACCCAGGAGAGGGAGGTTGCAATGAGCTAAGATCACACTACTGCACTCCAGCCTGGGTGACAGAGCAAGATTCTGTCTCAAAATAAATAAATAAATAAAAGAATTTTAGAGCTAAAAGTACTATTTAGTTCCAGAATTATTAATCTAATTTCAGAGCGAATGGGATTCTGGAGGCCCAGAGATAATGTGAAACTAAATGCAGTGTTTTCTGTGCATTTCAGTGGAAAAGGTCCGAAGGCCTTTCATCAGGTTCTTAGGAGTTCCTTGAGATAGATGATAGATAGACAGATGGATAGATGGATGCTAGGAACCATTGACCTATCGTATTCATTCACTGCATTGCATTCACGAACCTATATTGCATTCAACCAATATCAGACACTGGAGCCAGCCACTAACAAAGCAGACACAGCTCTACCCTCGTGTAGCTAAGAATCTGGTGGGGTGAAACAACAAACAAACAAGCACACACGACTAATGAATTGCAGGTAGTAATGAGTGCTGCAAAGGAAGCAGAGTGAAAGGATAAGGGATGGGGAGGACCTGTTTGGAAGTGTGAACAGGGGAAGTCCTGTCCACACTGAGACCTGAAAGATGTTTAGGAGTGGCCCCGAAAAGCCAGGAGAAAAGCATTCTAGTCAAAGAGAACAGCAAACGCACAGGCCTTGAGAAAGGAATGAAACTCGAGGATTGGAGAGGTAGAGGGGCCCGATGGCAAAGGGAGGGAGAGTGGGGCTGGATGGGACGGGAGGGGCGGGACCATGCAGCGGGTACCATGTAGGAAGCCACCATCAGCAGCCTGGGGTTTTTACAAAATGCAGTGAAAGCCATGTTAGGGGATTGGGCGGGGGAGTGAGGTGATGGTGCTCGTGTTTCAGCAATATCCCATGGCTATCGATGGGGAATAGGAATAAGGGACACGGGCCAAGAGTAAGCAGTCCAGGCGAGAGACAGTGGTGACCTGGCCTAGAGCAGTGGAAGAGAAGACGGGAAAAAGAAGGTAGAATCTGGATGTATTTCAGAGGTGAAACTGATGAGACTTGCCCACGGGTTAGACGTAGGGAAGAGAAAGGGAAGAATCAGGATAATGGCTGCGTTTGCAGATTGAACAACTGGCTGAATAGTGTGCTGCTTCCTGAGATGTGGAAACCTGGGGAGGAGAGTCACGGTTGGTTTAAGAGGTAAAGTCAAGTTCAGATTTGAACATATTAAGACTGAGAAGAGGCTGAGGTATAAAATGGTCACACTGAGCAAGAGGGGAGCAAGCTTATCAAGGAAATGTAGTCAGATTGCCTCAGGCATTGGGTGCCCATTTAAGATTTTTTTTCCTTTCCTTTTTTTTTTTTTTTTTTTGAGACAGAGACTTGATCTGTCGCCCAGGCTGGATTGCAGTGGTGCAATCTCAGCTCACTGCAACCTCCGCCTCCTGGGTTCAAGCAATTCTCTCACCTCAGCCTCCTGAGTAGCTGAAATTACAGGTGTTCACCACCACACTGGCTAATTCTTGTATTTTTAGTAGAGATGGGGTTTCACCATGTTTGCCAAGGTGGTCTCGAACTCCTGACCTCAAGTGATCTGCCTGCTTTGGCCTCCCAAAGTGCTGGGATTACAGATTACAGGCATGAGCCACTGTATCTGGCCCCACTTAAGGTTTAAAATCATGAATTAAACGCCGAACTGTGTCCAGCCATGTTCAGCTACTTAGGTGCAGTCCTCAAGAGGGCAGGTGAAGAGTTCATCACAATGTTGCAGTGTTACCAGCTCATGATTTTGAAGGCAGAGAGAGGGCCAAGAGAATTGAGGCTACTCGTCAGGTGCAACTACAGCGATTGTGGTGGAGACGGCAATGCATTCATCCAAATCCATTTTCCTCTCCTTCCTTCCTACATTTCCCTGATTTTCTTGCAGGCAGGTGTGGCCCTGGGACTGGTTCTAACCAGTGGAATGGGAACAGAAGTCTTGAGGGCCGCTCCTAAGCTTGGCCCATTAAAACCTTCCAGATGTGTCTTTCCATGCTCTTGTCCCCGTTGAGCTGTTTTGGTGACCTCTGGGGGAACCATAGAAGCTGCTGTTGAAGACGGCACAGTTGCAGTCAGTTTGTGTTGCTGGGGCCTGTGTGAGACCACTCCACCACCACACTCATATTCAACTTACCCTGACACCTGTGAGCTAGATTATGTGAGCTAGAAATTAATTCCTCTTATCTTGCGCCATTACACATTTTGGTACATTTGTTACTAAAGCCATGTCTGCCCCAACTAGTACAGTGACAGGTCATGTCAGAGGGTGAAGAAGGAGTGGAAACTGATGAGTCAGAGGGCCACATGGGGGCCCATATCTTCCACTGAAACCTCAGAGAGCTGAGTGGCTCACCTAGAGAAACTAGGGCAGTGGTTCGCAACCATGGCTGCACGTTAAATCACCTGAGGACCCTTAGAAAACCCTGAGGCCCAGACCGCCCAGAAGACCAATCAAATCCGAAGACCAGGGGAAAGAGTGAGGCCCAGACATTTTTTAAAGCTCCCCAGTTGATTCCAATGCGCAAAGTGGAGAACTACAAAACTAGGATGAATACCAACGGAACCAGATTCAAGGATCTTTGTCCAGTGGGGTTTCACAGCCATTTTATGATGAATAGGGCACTTATAGGAGCCTTATAGCTGAGTAAGGGAACACTGCATCCAAGCCATAGCAGACACCAACAAGGAAGTGGCTGTGCTTAAGATCCAGAGCGGACTGGAGATCTCAGGGGATGCCAATTGGTTACAGAGAATGACCGTGAACCAGCACCTCCCTCCCTCCACTCCAGTACAGCTCAGGAGCAGACTAAAAAGGCAGAGAGTCTTTTTGTTTTCTTTTGTTTTGTTTTTCTTGGAGAAAGAGTCTCACTCTGTCCCCAGGCTAAAGTGCAGTGGCATGATCTTGGCTCACTGCAACCTCTGCCTCCCAGGATTCGAGCGATTCACATGCCTCAACCCCCTGAGTAGCTGGGATTACAGGCACCCGCCACCATGCCCAGCTAATTTTTGTATTTTTACTGGAGACGGCGTTTCACCATGTTGGCCAGGCTGGTCTTGAACTCCTGACCTCAAGTGATCTGCCCGCCTTGGCCTCCCAAAGTGCAGGGATTACAGGTATGAGCCACCACATCCAGCCAGATTCTTGAATTAGATGGGATTCAATTTGAAATAACCCACTTTGCCGCCAGTTGGCTGAGATTTACATTATCTGCTTCTATCAGGAGGAATAAAAGTGTCACATTGAGACATTGGGTTGTATGGCTTCAGAAATAAGTACCTGCTCACCTGCATTTTAATCATGAGCATTTTGTTTTATTTTATTTTTTTCAATTTAAAAGCAGGCACTGTTTATTAATTGACCAGATTAGAAAAAATCCTGGTAGACACCTTAGTTCATTCTCCTAAGAAGCCTATTGATCCGGTCTTCCCTGTTGCCAGCATCTCCACCTTCTACAAAATAGGTGGTCTTTTTCTTCATTTTACCTCATGGAGAGGATAATTTGAAGAGCCGCAGGAAGTTATTAGCTTCTTTTAAGTGTTTTCCAACAGTATAGATCTCATGAATCAGATCCTCCATGCAGGCGATGCCATATTTACCAAGAGATCGAGCAATCAACGTGTTATCTGCCAAGGCAATTCGCTTCTTACTGATTTTGCCATAACCAGGCTTGTAGATTTTTACTGACTTCAGGCTTGGTTACCCCCATGCAATATGTGGTTCTACGATCCTCAACATGTTAATTGAAGTCTTGTTGTGCTTAACAAAGATTCCACTGAAGATTTGACAAAGGCAAAGAAGCTACAACACCTTTCAGACCTTTGGGCTCACATCATTGATACCTCTGTTCCTGATGACAAACGCCAATTTGGGTTCTGCAGGTACTTAGAAGTTGTCAGCTTTTCTTGCCATCCAAGCCATTTGAATTTCAGTTCTGTATATATGTCTGTATTTCCTGTGACAATGCTTCGTTTTTTCGTAGATAAGCTTCCTCCTTGCCTTTCAAAGCATCTTTTAGGCAAAATTCTTTCTCAGGTGCTCGATGTTCAGCTCTGCAAAATTCCTTTGCTTTTTCTTAAGGGTTTGGGCACAGCAGGAACCTTCTTCTCTTTGATACCTCCAGGGTTCCAGTGGACAAGAGTGCATTTTGTTTTAAAACAGCCTCTGTTGTCATCTCTAGGACTCACTGTAATGGTGGAGATTTCAGGCCCTGGTCCATCCACATGAAAGAGATTTTTTGTGGCAATCGGTACTCAAAGCACTGGTCCAGTTCATGCCCTGATCCTTTCTTGGATGTTACCCAAGTTTTTGGCCCTGGTTAGCTAGCTTACAGGCAGAATTCAGTGCAAACTCATCCCCTCAGCTGGCAGGTACCTCAAGGAGTCTATACCTGTGTCCATGTCTGAATCATCTTTATTTCCTTCATCAAATTAACCGCAAATGTTTTTTGCTTATTGTAGACATTCAAAAATACTAACAGATTAAAGGATAATAGTAACCATAATAATAATAATAATGATGATAATAACAAGACATGTTCCACTCATACTTTTTTTTTTTTTTTTTTTTTTTTGAGATGGAGTCTCGCTCTGTTGTCCAGGCTGGAGTGCAGTGGTACAATCTCGGCTCAATGCAACCTCTGCTTCCCGGGTTCAAGTGATTCTCCTGCCTCAGCCTCCCGAGTAGCTGGGATTACAGGTGTGCACCACCATGACCGACTAATTTTTGTATTTTTAGTGGGGACAGGGTTTCACCATGTTGGTCAGGCTGATCTCGAATTCCTGACCTCATGATCCACCCACCTCAGCCTCACAAAGTGCTGGGATTACAGGTGTGAGCCACCATTCCCTGGCCCCGATTATACTTATTCAATGGCATTGCTCATACTTGAGGGCTCCTCCATGTGCCATTTTTACTGTAAATAAATTTCGCTATAACTTTAAAGAAAAGTGTTTAATTGTCTCTTTAATTCCTTCGTCTTTTACATAGCCTTTTTTACATTCTGATGTTTTCTAAATTTTCTTTTATAACATTCATATGTTTGCATTTGTATAAGTAAAAAGGAATATAAAGAAAAATATTTCAAATAATCCATACTCTTACCACCCTGATGACATCTGTCAAAAATTTTTTAAAGTGCATGCATATGTACATGGTTAGAATGTTTGAACAGCACATGAGAGTATGAAATGCTAGGAGAAAGCTGCCTGGGACACTCACATTTACCCTGCCCTCAGCTCCTTTCCCCATAGCAATGATGTAAGTGACTATTATTCCTTTCAGAAAGTGAAATGTCTATGTGAAGATGCAATTTAATATATATATATGTACATAGACTGACAGATACAGACAAAGACATATACAGATAGATAATTGTAATTTACATAGAAAGAAGCCTATCATTCTTAGTGTTCTCCAACTTGCTTTTTTCAAGGAATGTGTCTTAGAGATTATTCCATATCAACACATATGGACTCACCTCGTTTTTTAACAGCAGCAGAATATTCTATAGCGTGACTATGATGTAGTTTATATGACAGTTTTCTCCTGGACTTTTAAAAGTTTTCAGATTCTTGCCATTATGAACAATGCTGCAACCAATATCCTTGCAGCCCTATCTCGGCAAATTTTTGTGGGTAAATTTTTATATGCTAAATTTGAGTTGGTGTTTAAAATATCTCAAGAACTAATATATATGATTTGAATAGTAAAAACTGCACATTCTGGCCATCAGAGAGCTGTAGCCCTGAGGTTAACTATCCTGAGAGGAAGAGAAAGAGTGATTTGCCTTTTTCTACATCTCCGAGTTCTAGAGTCAACGTGAGCAGAGGCAAACAGTCAAAGAAAGCTACCCACTTTTCTTTACTTTTAAAGTCAACACCCAACCTATCAGTGATGTTTCTGTCCCTGGGTGACCAGAAATGGCCCAGGAACTTGTGAATTCCAAGCAGTTTGTCTCAACCTCAAGCTCACTCACTGCATCTGCCATTTTGTCTAAGCAAGGAGGGGATCAAGGCAAAAGAAGATGAAGGAATGGCTGTTGTGAAACCTGCTGCTGTCTCATACCCAGCCTGAGACAGCCTGAGAATGCACATTGGAAAACTGGTTAGCATTTACTCTTTAACAGAAAATGTGGAATATAAACACGTGCCCACCAAGCCAAAAGGGTCTTCCAGTTTCCCTTCTTGGAGGAAGAGATTTGTCTAGAAGAAGGATTTTTCATCCTTGGCACTGTTGACATGTTGTGCTGGATGGTTCTTTGTTGTCCATGGGGAAGTGCTGTTCTGTGCATTGGAGGATGCTTAGCAGTGTCTCTGGCCTCTACCGACTAGATGCCTGTAGCACCCACTCCCCACCTCACCCACAGTTGTCTCCAAACGTTATCAGATGTCTCTCTTGTTAAAAACCACTGGTCTAGGAGCACACGCACACATATGCACATGTATTTGTGTCATATATTTATAGTAGGTAAATAGTATTCTCTTATATGGTTGTACTATAAATTATTTACCCAGTCTCACTTTGATAGGTATTTATTCCTTTTTTGAATTATTTTGTACTATAAACAATTCCGCAAGGAATATATTCTGCAAAGGACAATTCTTAGATGTGGAATTGCTGGGTCAAGGCTAAGCACATTTGACATTGTGATAGATATTAACTAAATTGCTTTCCGAGGAGAATGCACCAATATTCACT
This sequence comes from Homo sapiens, assembly GCF_000001405.40. Lineage (NCBI taxonomy): Eukaryota > Metazoa > Chordata > Mammalia > Primates > Hominidae > Homo > Homo sapiens. The sequence continues at coordinate 99,554,687 of NC_000015.10, forward strand.
CTTGCTAACAATGTATGAGAATGCCTGTTTCTATACGCCCTTGCCAACTCAGCATGTTAACAAACCTTTTCATGTTTTTTAATCTGAAAGGTGAAAAATGGGGTTTTTCTGTCACAGCTCTGCCTCTGTGTTCAGTTCTAGAACAGGTAGTCTAAAGGGAAGTTGCTCAAAAATGTACCCTCATAGAGATCCAAAGCCCAGGACAGAGAATTCTGGAGAAGAATTCTGATAAAGCACTTCAGTTTCTTTTTTCTTTTTCTAGGTTAGGCCAAATCCAACTTATCTAAGCTGCTGGAAATTGCAAATGATTCTCAACGAGAGACCCAGCCCCTTGAAACTGTGTGCTTAATTCACACGACATGCCAGAGCGTGATTTCTGGAAAGGCTTTTTGCATTCCTGTAGATCCATATGTGATAAATACTTTTATCATTTTCTGTGGCGTTCACCATCATGGTGCTGAGAGGTGCTGTCTGCTTTCATCTACGTGCTGAATTACAGATATACATGATCAAATAAAGTCAAGACAAGAATCAAACCTCATAAAAATCTTGCCTACAGCATGTACCCAAAAAAATCAGTCATGCCAAGGCTATGCAGGCCAAGTGAAGCCAGAAGTTGTGCAATTACCCAGAAGAGGTTGAAATTTCTGACAAAAACAGGGACCTTATTGAAAATGTAAGCATAAAATGAATCCTCATTAAAAGAGAAAAAAAAGCTGCTTCAATACTTTGCTAATGTGAACACTGAAAGTCATAATTTCTGACCTCCAGTATGTACTTCATCTGTGAAGCCCACAGTGAAATAGATTTTCCATTCCCCAATTTTCTGGGTTGGTCACTTTGGCTCTTAACTTAAAACAAGTTTTTGAATCAGACCAGAGTGTTCCACACTTTGCAGTTGCCTGATTGAAGACAAAGATCTATTCTTTCACTCAGGACTCATATATTGGAAGCCTACTATGTGTCAGGTCCTTAGCTAGACTCTGGGGAAGGTACTAACGAGGAAGACACCACGGCTGCTGGCCTGACCTCACAACAGAGAAGATCTGAGAAGAGAGGCTGGGGACTAGCAGAATAGAGGAGTTTGCTGGTGTGTGCAGTGGCCCCCACGCCTACCAGTAGGAGCTCTTGGGGTTTATCATAGTCCAGTCCAGTCTGAAATCAAGTGACCAGTGCAAAGGGCTCTTGGCTACTGTCAGGAAAGTAATTAGAGTGTAGTTCTGATCACCTCCTGTTTACTCTCTTGGTGAAGGAGGGATCCCTTGCTCTAATTAATATGAGATGGCCAAATACAAGACACTTGACACTGGGTAGGTGAGGTTGGCACCAGTCTATTAGTCACATATCCTCACAGCCTTGGGGAGGAGGATACCGCGCACCATGTGGAGCCACATTGGGGTTACACTCGGGGCAGAGGGAAACAGCAGGGGCCGTGGGAATCAGGCCTTGTAGTAACAAGAGGGTGAGGTGTCCCCAGGTTCCTGCAGGAGGATGTCATTGGCTTGTTTTGATAATTTTACAGGCTGGCAGTGACATGGAACCTATTAGGTTTAGGTCCAGATGGTGTGCAGCTGGTCTGGCTGATAGGGGAACTAGCTGGGTGAAGAATCTTTCCTGCTGGGTGGGGGCCATATCTGGTGAGAGAAAGCAGGGGGACTCAGGGTGAGACCTTTTGGATCTCATGAGGGTCAAAGACGGTCAAGGCAGCAGCACATGATATTTCAGGCCTTACAAGATAGTCTGTTACATTTCTTACTGACAATTTTCCTTCTCTATCTCTATCTCTTCAATAGTAGCCCAGGATTATCTTTGAGGATATGGACCAAATTTCTGCCAACTACAGCCTGAATACAAGCATACAATCAACACTTGCTGAACAACTGTTGTGATACTGATTTTCTTTTTGTCTGTCTGACGTACAGGCTCCCTTCTTCTGGTAATAGCATCCCAATTTGGGGAAAATAGCTCCCCTCACTTTCAGTCCATGTGCCCCTGAGGTTTTGATGAGTCTGAATCCCCTTCCAGGACTCCAGGGGTGGGAGAGCCACTCAGACATGCCCAATCAGAGTACTCCATCACCCTGGCCATGGTGATTGGTTAAGAGAGACATGTGACCTGGGCCAGGCTCAACTCTGGGACTTTGCTAATAAGAATGTAAAATAAAGCTCTTTTTTGATGGAGATCGTTAAGCTGGAAACTATAAGACCAGAGTTGAGGCCGGGAGTGGTGGCTCACACCTGTAATCCCAGCTCTTTGGGAGGCCGAGGTGGGCAGATCATGAGGGTCAAGAGATCAAGACGATCCTGGCCAACATGGTGAAACCCCGGCTCTACTAAAAATACAAAAATTAGCTGGGTGTGGTGGCACATGCCTCTAGTCCCAGCTACTCGGGAGGCTGAGGCAGGAGAATCACTGGAACCTGGGAGTTGGAGGTTGCAGTAAGCTGAGATCGCACCACTGCACTCCAGCCTGGTGACAGAGCGAGACTCCGACAAAAAATAACAACAACAACAACAAAAAAAAAACCCAGAGTTGTTGCAGGACCAGCTGTAAAGAGGGCCTGCATGGGAGTGAAGGTGACACAGAGGGGCACCGAATGTGGTGGTGGTGTTGGGGGACAGGATCTGAATGGATGATGTCATTTCAGCTTCTAATCCAGCAATGCTGGGATTGTAAATATCCCTGAACCTTTCAGTCAAACAAATGAATACATTCTTTCTCTTTTACTTTTTGGCTTAAGTTGGTTTGACTTGGGTTCCTGTTACTTGCAGCTGAAAAGCTAACAGACAGCCAGGGCCAGGTGCAGTGGCTCATGCCCATAATCCCAGTACTTTGGGAGGCCGAGGTGGGGGGATCACTTGAGGTCAGGAGTTCGAGACCAGCCTGGCCAACATGGTGAAACACTGTCTCTATTAAAAATACAAAAATTTGGGTGTGGTGGCGCACGCCTAATCCCAGCTACTCAGGAGGCTGAGGCAGGAGAATTGCTTGAACCCAGGGGGCGGAGGATGCAGTGAGCCAAGATGGAGCCACTGCACTCCAGCCTAGGGGACAGAGCGAGACTTTGTCTCAAAAAACAAAACAAAACAAAACAAACAAACAAAGACCTACTAGACAGCCAGAAGTAGAGTCACTTGTCCCTTTTGAACAGGAAGGGAGCAGTTTGTACTAACCCTGCTAACGATTTAATCTACTACTTATTCCTGATTACCCTCCTTAGGTAACAACAATGCAACAACCTTCCAGTGGTTTAAAAACCACCCCCTGCCCCCTAACCTTGCTCCAGCCGCACGTGTGCTCTTTCTGTTCTTTCAACAAAATAACCTCTGTCCCACCTGGGGAACTTTGCTATTTCCTCTGCCTGAGATACTCTTCTCCAGGTCTTAATCTGGCCACTCGGCTTAAATGTCATTGCCTCAGAGAAGCCTTTCCTGAACTCATAGCTAAGGCATTGGCCCAATTACTCTATCTCATGATTATTTTCATCATAGCTCTTATTACCATCTGACATTTTCTTGTTGGTGCATTTTTTATTGTCTGTCTACCCCCAAGACTACAAGCTTCATGAGAACATCGATCTTCCAGGGAAGATCGATGGAATTACTTCCTGGAAATACCAGGGCCTGAATAGTGCCTGGCTCACAGCAGGGGCTCAGAAGTTTGTGGAAGAAATCAATGAACCACATATGTAACTATTATTTATGTTGGTACATGTAGCTTATGGAAGCACTTTAAATAACCTTGAGTAAGATAATCTTACTCAAGATTATCATCTTTTATGATAACCTTTTATCATCATCTTTTATATGGAGGAAAATTGAGGTTTGGAGAGGTTGAGCAACGTGCCCAACATAACACATGTAGGAAATGGTGGAGATGTGATTTAAACAAAGGAACTTTTGACTCGAAAATATGTGGTCTTGCCATTTCAGTCACTCCCAGATTTGTCTCCAATCTCAACATTCGAAAATTCTTACAGATATAAATCCTTGCTAGATCATGAGTTGCAATCTGGAACTGATTTGTGTTCTCTCTGTAGCCATCACAGAGAACTGACCGTTCTCTCTGTACAAGATCTTTGGGGACATCCAGACCCAGAATTGGTCTAAATGGACATCTTAATAGGCATGGTAGAGTCTGATAATGCCTGGAATGCATTTCAAAAGAGATTACTGAGGGGTGACTAAAGGGTTCTTGGTAGGAGAGGTCAAGCCTTTAAAAGAAATGTTGAGACAAAAATACACAGGCAAAGAGGACAGTAGAGAGAGATCATGATGGTTATATATGCAAGGGTCGAAGTGGGTGGGATATCGGGAGATGTGTGAAATGCAGTCTGTCTTTGGATAGAATATAAAACATGAAAAGAAAATAAACTCAAGGTTTGAAATTCCTGTAATTGACATGTGAATATATTGTTGGTTGTGGAGAGAATCACAAAGTCTGAATAAACTCTGTACAGGAGAAAAAATACAATATAACAAAATGACAACATATAATAGAAATTGAAAGACTTATTTGAAGTTCAATTGTGTAAAACATCCAGCTGTCAAAGATTCAATTTCTTATATTTTAAAAGTTTGTTTAATCTTTAGGTGGACTTCTACATGCAAGAATATAAACTGAGCAAAGAAAAGCTCTTTTATCTGCTTCTTTGAGAACCTGAATTCATCCTTTTCATCATCAGCCATTCAAGAATAAAAGCCCATGTGATATTAAAATAAGAAAAGTGAAAACGCCCCTTTCAATACCTGAAAAGGGTGTAATGGGCCACATTATACATGTGTATGTGTCAGTTTCTGGTGTTTCGGAATAGCCACATGGTGGACATGGAACCCTACGGCTTTGTGTAATAATTGCAAACATTTTATTATTTTCTGTGATTTTCCCCCTCAATTCAGAGCACTGATCACCTTAACACATTCATACTTATAAACATTTTCCAATGGTCTTAATATTGCCCAAACTGAAGTTGAATTTACCATTGTAAAGCATCGTAAAAATACTTTATACTGGATATATTAACTCCATATGACGGTTAAAATTGGGGAATTGAGTAAAGCATAGAATAACTAAAATATTTTATCACTTAATTTTTTATCCTGAAATAATGTTAGACTTACCAAAAGTTTTAAAAATGCTGCAGAAAATTCATTGAATTCTTCCATAAGGATAGTATGATTATCAAAATCAGGAAACTAACATTGATATAACACTATTATATATACTCATAGAATACAGACCTTACTCAAATTTCACCAGTTTTCCCATTTCTGTCTCTTTTCTGCACCAGGATCCAATCCAGAATCCCATTTTGCCTTTAGTAATCAGGTCTCCTTGATTTCCTCCAGTTTGCAACAGGTCCTCAGTCTTTTCTTGTCTTTCATAGTCTGGACACTTTTAACGAGCATTGGTCAGTTATTTTGTAAAATATCTCCGCAATTGCAGTTTGTCTGATGTTTTCTTATGGTTAAATTCAGGTTATACATTTTTAGCAAGAATACCAAAGAAGTGAGATGCCCGTCTCATTGCTTCATATGGTGGGGTACATGACGTTGATATACTTTGTTACTGATGATGCTAGCCTTGTTCACTTGCTTAAGGTGGTGTCTGCTGGGTTTCTCTACTATAAAGTTACTATTTTTCTCCTTGTAATTAATAAATATCTTGTAGGAGACTACTTTGAGACTATGTAAATGTCCTGTTTCTCATCATCCTTTCACCCACTGTGACAATTATTAACAGTGGTGTCTGCCTAATGATGGCTTTGCATTGTCCTTATTCCTTGTACATTTTTTAGTTGGAATTCTTTGGTCAGGAAGATCTGTACCATCTCTCCCATTTATTTATTCACTTAATTATTTATTTGTATCAGTACGGGCTCATGGATATTTATTTTATTCCTTTGACATGCCCCCATCATTTTTTGAGCACTTCCTTGTTTTCTGGTACCATAAGTTCATCTTGCTTTTTTCTTGCCCCAGTCCTGAAATCAACCATTTCTCTAAGGAGCCACAGTTCCTTAGCCATAGTTTATTGTAAAACGGCACTTATTACAGATCTGGGTGTTTATCGTAGAACTTGCAATAGAAAACGAGTGTACAATTTTCTCTCTCTGGCACACAGACATTAGGGATCTTAAAGCTGAAGAACTTTCCATGAACAGAACAAAGCAGATTCTGTTTTTATCTCTAGGTTTAATTAATAGTGTAGAATTTTGATTTTCTGAAATAGTTACAAGTCACTAGATCCTCGATGTAACAAGTAAGACATAGTTCTCTTATATGTGGCATTTCTCAGCAAGATACAAGTCTTTATAGAAAGTTAAATTTGGAGGGAGAATTTACTACTAATTTGGGGTAACAGATTAAAAACCTTCAATTTTTAATTATTTATACTCATACAAGATCGATATATAGAAATACGTATTAGATTTTTTTTTTAGATACTTTGCTTGGGTCACACCATACTTAAAAAGTATCAACTTTGTGTACAAGTATTGGAGACAGAAGATTGAACATGGCATAGTCCCTGTCTTCAAGTGGCTCACAAAACTCCTTCGAGGCTCATTTTACCCCAATCACTTATTTGCTCTAGTTTTCCCTGGTTCGGGTAAACTGACTTTTTTCCTCTGTGAATCCATTCTTTTCCCTGACCACCTCCCTCTGGTCATTCTTCTACTCCATAAGTCATTTCCGTTTTTCTTCAGCCCATATACCTCAACTTCAAAAATCTGCTTAGATTTTTCCTGCTGGCCGGGCACGGTGGCTCACGCCTGTAATCCCAGCACTCTGGGAGGCCGAGGCAGACGTATCACCTGATGTCAGGAGTTCGAGACCAGCCTGGCCAACATGGCGAAACACTGTCTCTAATAAAAATATAAAAATTAGCTGGGCGTGGTGGCGGGTGCCTGTAATCCCAGCTACTCTGGAGGCTGAGGCAGGAGAATTGCTTGAACCCCGGAGGCAGGGGTTGCAGTGAGCCAAGATCACGTGATGCACTCCAGCCTGGGGACAGAGTGAGACTCCATCTCAAAAAAAAAAAATTTTTTTTTTCCTCCTCCAAGAAGTCCCCTGCTAACATGTCCAGTCTCATCTAGTTGTATCTTTCTCCAGCTCCTGAGGCTAAGGAGATATTGTCCCACAGGCATCTCAAATTCAACACAAGCATAACGGAACTCATCCTATTTCTTTCTGTCCAGCCCCAGCTCCTTCCATCTTGTCTTCCTCCAGGGTTCCCCACTTAAATAATGCTGCTACTGTCCACCCAGGAGCCTGAACAACAAACCTGGTGGGGACAACTGGGATTTCTTGACCCCCCCTAAGCCCTGGTTCAAAGGTCAGCAAGCCAGTGAGTTGTGACTTCTAAACAGCTTTCTATTTTGCCCCTGCTTTCTCATTTGTATCAGGAAACTGCCTTCATTCAGGTCCTCTTTCTTATCTCAGGTAGCATCGGCATCAAATAGGTCCCCTGAGAAGTAGACTCCCAAAGATTCTGGTGAAGGTAGAGTGTTTGGAAGGTGATCCCAGGAAGTGAGAGAGGGGAAAGGAGAAGAGGTAACAGAAGTGTGCAAATGGGTAGGTCACCACTGCTGTCAATGGGTGCCCAATCTACTGGGACATCCCATCCCTCCACAAGAGACTTGGGGGAGCATGCCTCAGAAATGTCTTCCTGAGTTTTGAGGAAGCTGGGATATTTATCTACGAAGACCAGCCCTCTAAGCTAGAGCATGCTCTCAAACACAGACACACAGGAAGTCATCAGCATGTGTGGGAACTTTGTGAAGATCTTTGGAGATGAGGGCGGGAGGGGGTCTGACAACATCAGTACCTCCTAACTGGTTGTTTTGCCTCCAGGCTTGCTCTCCCCACCAACCACTACTCCCTAAGTAGTCTTTCTAAAATGCCAAATAGCTCAAGCTCCTCACCTGCTTAAAATCTGTCAGGGGTTCAGAATAAAATCCAAATGGCTTGATCTTGACATGTTAATGATCTGCGCCATCTCATTCCCAGCTACTCTTTTAGCTGCTTCCCAGTACTCAATGCAGACTCCAGGCACACTGTGCTAGCTGTCGGGTCTCAGAGCCACACTCGAGGTCCCCGCACACAGCGCTCCCTCTGCCTAAGGTCTGCTCATAAATATTTAAGAAACATTTATTTGATTTTCTAGGACATTCCAGGCATTGTGCTAGACACAGTGAATACAATAAAGAATAAGTTACAGTTTTAGTCTTCAAGGAGCTCACTCTCTAAAGGGAGGAAACAGACATACAAAAAGAAATACACTATTCGTTGAGTAAAACCCCATATTAGAGAAAATGATGCCTAAGTGGAGACTTGATGGATTGACTTGATGCAGAGTTTACCCTGCAGACAGGAGGAAACGGGCTGGTGTGTACAGAGAAGCTTCTCAAATTTCTGAATGGAGAAAGTGGGGTGTCAGGAAGAAGAGGTGAGGGAGAAGCTGGCCAAGTCGTCAGGGGTTCCTTTGGCTTCTAGGCAGCTTGAGCATTATTCTTCTCATCAAGACACAGTGAGGGCCCTTTTTTCATCCTACCAGGAGGTTTTCCAGATTCACTGTGGGCATTATGTCCTCTAAGAAGCCTACCCTAATTCTTGTCCCTCCTTAGACACTCATCATCTGTGCTCTTCCTGCACTCTAGGAAACCCCTCATGATGGGTTGTGTTTTAAGGTGTATCCTCCCCACGGCCTGCCAGCCCCTTTGAAGAAAGGGCTGCTCTTTCTCACCTCTGTATCTCAGTGCCTGGCCCAGTGCACAGTCCCTGCAGCTCAGAAACATCTGGACCCCTGAGTGCCTTTAAGGAGGCCAGAGGGGAAAGACTGACAGATGCTGCTCCTCAGTTCCCTCCAAGCCAGTGGCACACGTAAGTGCTCGGCACAGGGTCTTTCTGAGCGCTCGAAGTTGCTAGAGACGCTAGACTTCAGGTATAGGTTTTCAACAGCTGAAACAGAGGCTGTGGCAATTTCCTAAAATTGGTTGCTTTTACTACAAATAACAGTGATTGTGCTCTGCTAATAGCTGTGCTCCACAATTCTTAAACTTAGCCTTCCACTTTTCCTTCTCTCCTTCCTTTCCTTCCTTCCTTCTTACCACTGCCTGCAATTCTCAGACAAGGGCTTTGACATGCAGAGTGGTGGGGAGAGAGGTGCTCTTTAAGGTGATGCAAACACTCTTTTCATTTCTGCTGTGGCTGGACTCATAGTTGAGTTCTCTGCTTGACATTTTGAGGGTAACAATAGCATTGGAATGGGTAAGGGCTGGGCAGTCTGAGCTGAGTCTTCTGTGCCTCAGGAGGCTCAATTTCTGGAAGGGTGGGAGCCGGAGTGGAGCAATAAGGGTGAAAACATCTTTTGGAACAGTCTGTTTTCATTGCCTCTTCTTCCAGGGTGACAGCAGGTGGCAAGGAGAGGGCCACTGATCACTGTGCCCCCACTCCAGACCCTAAGTTTTAAAGGATAAGTATTAAACTCTTCTCGTCCTCTTGGAGCAGAAGAGCCAAATCCAGCCGGCTCTGCAGCTTCTGGCAGGTTAAAAAGCATGCATTTCCACATGACTTGCTGATTTACACCACATTTTGACATGTTTTAAAAACCTCCCTGCAGTTCCTTTTGCTGGCTCCCCTGAACACTGGTGTTGTGGAGCTCTGAGCAGAGCTCCAGGTTTATTTTCTGGCGTCTGCTGTCTATGTGCCGCCTTTGTTTTGGGCTCTCCCCAGCACATTGCCCCGTTGTCCTTGAGGGAGGAAGCCAGCCAGTCTCTGGCTTCCTTTGTAACTTCCCAGTTCCTCCACTCACAGCCTCTGCTCATCTGCTCACCCACCCCAACCACTTTGTTTTAAGTGCTGCGGGATTGAATTTCTCATCTTCAAATGCAAACAACCATTTGGCTTCGTGTCCATTACACAGGCACCTCTGGGGGCACATGCAGGCACTGTGGCCCCGAAAAACTCTTCAGAGGTGAGCGGCTTTCAGGATGAGAGGGCCAACAATGGCTCATCTCCTAAAGACCTCGATAAACATAATCAGTAGCCCCAGAAAACACAACAGCTGTCCCAAGCCTATCCCCTTTGCACCTATCTCAGAAAAGGCAACATGCAGAGTGGTCAGGAGTTCAAGTCCTCAGGGCCCTACTCTGAAGCTGTGACCCTGACAGGTCACTTTAGCGCTCAGCTTCCCTTTCCTCATCTGTAAAATGGGAATAGAAACTGAATCTGCTTCATGGGGCCTTGTAAGTATTACATAAGCTGTCATATGCAAAATGTCCATCACATAGTTCACCGCCCCAGGCATCCTAGAAACTATTAAGTCACGATAAGGAGGTTGCTACTGTCCTGGGACCTGGGGAGCTCGGCTGTCCAGTCCGAAAGGGCCTTCTCGCCCTCGAGACCCCTTCAAGTCCCTTTCTCTCCGGGCCCGGGTCCCAGAGTCCCCTTGTGCTTGCTCCTGAGGGTGACCTGCCCGTGCCCCGGGGCGAGCACAGGTGCGGCCCTGGCCACAATGCGGGCGTGGCGAGCCGACACCCGGGGAGGCCAAGGGCGCCTCGAGGGAGGGAGGGAGGAGGCTGACCCGGGCGTCCCGAAGGACCCGCCCGGCCCCGGACTCCGGGCGGCAGCCGGCCTCGCGCCCCGCCCCCGCCCCGGGAGCCCCGCCCAGTCCCGTCGCGCCGCGCCGCCCCACCGCCCGGGTTGGCTGCCCTGGAGGCCACGCGCGGCGATTTGCCACGCGCCGCGTCACCGGGCCGCTCCCGGCCTGGGCTCCCGGGGGCTGGTCAGGGAGGTGGCGGCGGCTGAGCGGCGGAGCGGGGGCGGCAGGGCGCGACGCCGCCGGGCCGCCCCGCCCTGGGAGGCGCCCGGGCCCTCATCAAGTGACCAGTATCCCTTCCAGGGGAACACGGTCCTTCAGAGGAAAGCGAGCTCCAACCCGCGGCCCCGGCGCCAAGCCGCCGTCATCTTCTTCCTGTGCCAGGTGATCGTCTCCTCACCCACCCGGAAAAACATAGTCCGCCCCCACGTCCTTGTGGAATAGCGCCCGCTTCCAAGCACCGTGACTCTCTTTGCCCTACCCTTGTCTTTCCCATTCCAATTACTCTAGAACCCACCGAGAGGATAATTCAGTCCTGAAAAGAAACTGATGGGGAGAAGCGAGGAAGGGAACCCAGGAGGGAGGGGAGGCAGGGCTGCGGAGGGACACCGAGGCGGCGGAGGTAGTGCGCACGCGCAGCACAGAACGAGTTCCGGTCTGGCCGAGGCTTGTCTCCTAAAAATAGCCCCGGTGTGGGGATCCGTGCGCGGATGTCCCGGCGAGTCCCGGGCTGAAAGAGGCGGCTCCGGGCGGCGCGAAGCGCTGGTGGCGGGCCCGGGCTGCGGCGTGTGCGCGCCCGCCAGCTGCTCCGGAGATACGGTGAGGGCCGCGGGCAGCGGGGCTCAGTCCGCGACGCCGGTAGTGCTGGAGGGGGGCGGCGTCTCGCTTAGGGGACCGAGTAGGGGTTGGGGTGGAGGTGCTGGGGCGGGGGACGGCGCGGCCGAGAGGGTCGCCCGGGGGGCTCCGGGGACCCCTGGACGAGGCCGTGTCCGGCTTGGAGGGGGCCAGGGTCGCGTTCGCGCATTGGCGGGGCGGGTAGGGTGCTGGGAGGCGGGTAGGGTGCTGGGAGGCGGCGAGGGGTGGTCGGGTCGGGGTCGGCGCTGAGGAGCTAGGCGCCCGGGGAGGTGGGGGCGGGGTGCCCTGAGGGCGGGCCGGTGGGGCTGGATGGGGCTCGGCTGGGCGGGCCGAGGGGAGCTCAGTCGCGCGGGCTGGTGGCGAGCAGCCTCCCCGGGCGCGCACCCCTTGGGGCCGGGGGGCGGTGGTGGACGTCGCCTCCTTGAAAGTTGAAGGAGTTCTCGGGAGACCCCGGAGAAGGTGCGCTCTGAGGGCCCTTTCCTTCCCCTTTTCCCTCCAAGCCCGGGGGTCTCCCCGAAGGGATTAGCCCCAAGTGCGGGGGGCCTTCTGCCCTGTTGGACTTGAAGAAGTTCCCCCACTTCTGCTTTGGGAGAAGATTGGTCTAACGGGGTGGAACGCTTAGGTACGAATTCTGTGAGTGTGTAGATGTCAGTGGCGGGGTCGGTGTTTGGGGCGGACACCTGCGGTTGCGGACGCCCGATCGTGCGGGGAGACGTCGCGGGGACAGAGGGGCTGCACAGGGAACCGCTGGCTGAACCCCTGCCATCCGGCTAGATCCCAGCTCGCAGAAAATATTTTTTGTGTTAGAAACTTTGCTTTTTGGCTCGATTTCATGCCTTTGAGCTGTGAGGGTTAAAGTAAGTGAGATAGTGCAAACAAGTTTGGAAAAGGTGAGCAATCCTGAATAAGAAAACAGTTTTTCTTTAAAAGTGTAACTATAGAATTGTTGCTCACATCCGAAATAGATTCCGGAGCTGTGAAGCGAGCCTCCTGTTATGGTCCAGCAGGGAACCGTGTGTAGCTTGAATATAACATAGTGTTAACCTGCGTTTTAGTTTACAGTGAGATTGGGATTCCAATAAATGCCCTATTAGAAAGGCCTGCTGTGATGTGTTAACAATAGCATATGTATTTTTAAACAAACATTGTCTTAACATTTTTTCGGGTTTTTAGCACAGTATGTTTCCCATGTGTCTTGTATCATCTATTACTATATGAAGAGGAGGTTCTCTAAAGCTGTAATTAGGTGTACATTACCCAAGAGTACTTTCCCTTTAAGAATCCAGCTGTGTTGTTTTGGCAACTGCTAAGTACTCTAGTTGTCAGTTTTAGAATCTGTGTTACCTTGGCAGTTCTTGAACAGTCTGTGGAAAAGGTAAACAAAATAGTTCTTTTTTAAACATACAAAAATGACATTTCTTTTAATATGAATTTAGGAAGTGAGGATAAAAATGACTGCATTGTGCCTTTATGGCTTTTGTATGTACTGTGTGTGTGTGTGTGTGTGTGTGTGTGTGTGTGTGTATTTTTGGAGAGCTCAGTCTCCATTTCTTTTTCTGTAAATTACAACTTTTGTTTTAGGGAATCAAGAGTTTTCACTAAAGCAGATGCTGATTTAGATTAGTTTATATTAAATGTCATAAACACACACCTGTATATCATAAAACATTAAGATCAGTATTTGTTATATATGGTGACACATTGACAATAGAATCACCTTTATTTTAATTCTCAGTGAGCATTGTTGCAAAAAGTTGTGATAATGGTGTTACAATAATCAAAAGTACTCTGAAGAGCTAAAACTGGTGATTTGAATGTTTGTAGACTCTAGATTAACAGTTTTGTTGAAGAGTGTGGTTCCAGTAGCTACTTAGTGAAAACAGTGACTGTGAAGTAATGGTGACCTCTCTAAACGCAATTATTTGCTTACCTATTTCCTTTAATTCACACTATGGTTATATATAAAATTGTGGTTTGATTTCATATTAGAACAAAAGTGTTAAAATTACACTTTACTTGCCTTCAAAAGTTTTTTAAAAAATTAAATTCTGGGGGGTGTTCAGTGGAAGGAAAATAGCTTATTGACACCCAGAAATAATTGTAATGTCACCATGTTGAATTATGGTTTGAGAATAATTTCCTTCTGTATTCTTAGAGTTTGTTTTCATATGGGTATGTGTGACAAGGATTTTTTTTTGTAAATGCAGTTGGAAATAATCTCTTAAAAAGGTTGAGTTGTTTCAAATGGTGATGTTATGTTTTTCAAAGCAATTTCGTTACAATTTGCCTTTTCCATCATGCATTGTGGGTTAATATTAATTTTATTAATATTCCAGCAATAGCAGTGTCATCCATTAATTGGCTACCAAAAAGAGGAATATTGAATTATATTCTGAGGGTGGTTAAGAAATTATGGAAATGTTTATTAGAATATGATTTTGGAGTTTGAAATAGTCTAGCTAAATCTTTTCAGTAGATTTGTGTTCTGATTTAGGAGGAAGAAGCCATGAACAAATTTGTTACTGAAAAATAGCATGCTTGTCAGTTTGGAAAACCATCTTTTTTCCTCCCTTTGCTGCTTTTAGTCTGGCAAGAAGAATGTAGTGTAATATACGATGATGATGGGCCTGGATTTGGGGGCATTTCTAATTTCACATATTCTGTGTTGTCATCAGACCATACCCCGGTTACTCATGGTACATATGAATGTTTCAAAGTCTAGCTGAAGTTTTCTTTTATGCGATGACACTATGAGAAAACCATTTGTGGACCAAAAATGATCACTATTTCTTTTTTCTAGATAAGAAAGAAAATCTGTGGATTCTTAGTAAATGGAGAAGTGAGTGCCTTCTCTCCTAATGTTTAAATAATAAGTGTAAATATGGAAATCAGATCACCCTTTAAGCTGGATAACCTCGTGCAAGAGAATGCTTTTAACATATGCTGATTTGCAAGCCCCAGTAAAGGAAGGCTGCTTGACTCTGTAGTCAGATCTTGATTCAGATCCAGCTCCACTGCTGACAGAGTTGAGATATCTCCTGTAAAATGAGATAGAATTACACTACCTGCCCCGTGTTGGAATTAAATGAGATAGCGAGTGTAAAAGTTCTAACACACTGCGTGAAGCTTCATGTGCGAAAATGCGTATTGCCTGATCTCCCTGCATCCCTTCTGGCTTTTGTTTCTTCTTTCCTCTGAAGATTATGTAGGTACCCTGCCCAGTACCCATACGTTTAGTGTTTGTGACCAAAAGGATTTCGTATAATGTATCAATAGAGAATGCTTAATGTGTTTGTTTTGGATAAAATATCCCAGCATCTTAAATTCATTGTCAGATTATACATAAAACGCTTAATTGGCTGTTTTAAAACATTAGAATTTTGATCTTCAACCATAGTTTGTTTCTAATCTCCATAATCTCCCCAAATATTTTTCTAAAGATTCAAGTTAAATATAAATAGTTTCCCAATCTTCAGTGAATTCTGTCTTTTAGGGATTGACTGTGGGAGTGGTCTCTAAGATATAGTATTTGAAATTTAAAGTTAGAAGAATACTTCTGTAATCTACCTTGAATAGGTATTTTAAAATAGCTTAATTTCTGAAGAAAAGTTTTTAAATATTTTAATATTGAAGGTTATTTTAATATTTTAAAGTAACTTTAGTTAATCTGTAATTTTTAAAATACTTTGATTTGGTGTGAAATTAATGATTTTCTCGTGTATAGTTTATCTGTGTGCCTTATAATAAATGGACCTTGTGTCCAGTTTATTATAATTAAGAGTGTAAATCCATTTGTTAATTAGTAAATCTTACACATAGCACACGATATAGGTTGGTACTTATTTAATAAGTACTAAATTTTTATATAGATGCTTTATACTTTAATAATATTTATATTTACAGAATTTAATTGATATTTACTGAATTTAATATTTTAATTATTAATTATCTTAGTCGAGATGAAATCATAAGCATATGAGTTAAAAATATTAGCTCCTTTGTGAGGTGGAATACCATATTTAAACATTGGTGTATGAAGGCAGGTAATTTACTTCATCATTATTTTAACAAGTGATGTTGATAAAAGCCAGAGGAACAAACATGGGTGAAAAACATATTAATTAATCAAACTTCTAGTAAATACCAACCCGGGCATGTCTTTTTATGGTTGTCTTGAATTAATACTAATTTTACTTCCTTACACAAAAATACAAACTTCAAAAACAAAATAAACAAGAAAACATGAAAACATAAAAAGGAAACAAAGCAAAAACAAAACAAAAACCTTTAATATATGGACTTAAAAAAATTCTCACCATTATTAAAATTATATGCTTGAGAAAGGTTTTCAGTAGTGGTCAGTAAGTTTATACTGCATGAGCTGGACATTTTTACTTTGTTACTTGCGTGACCAGCAGCATGCATGTGCAGGTTGACGTGGATTCATTTGAGGCATGATTTGTGACACTTGGAACAAAGGGCTGCTTCCCATTCGACCTGGTAAAAGAAATTGTAACTTTTGGGCTTAATAAAACAAGCGGCTCTTGCATTGACTAATACTATATTTGCCTGTTTCACCTCTCGTCCTCATCCTTAGCTGTCCATCTTCTACATAGAAATTGGAATTATATTTCTAAAATTCAGATCTATATGTCATTTCTTCTTAAAGAAAAAAAAAAAAACAACTTTTGAAGGCGTATGAGATCAATAGAGTGGCAGTAATGTAAGGGATAGAAGATTGGCCTGTAAAATCAGACTTCCTGGCTGGGCGCGGTGGCTCATGCCTGTAATTCCAGAACTTTGGGAGGTGGAGGCGGGCAGATCACCTGAGGTCGGGAGTTTGAGACCAACCTGGCCAACGTGGTGAAACCCCGTTTCCACTAAAAATACAAAAATTAGCCGGGCATAGTGGCTCACACCTGTTATCCCGCCACTCTGGAGGCTTAGGCACGAGAATCGCTTGAACCCAGGAGGCAGAGGTTGCAGTGAGCCGAGATCGTGCCACTGCACTCCAGCCTGGGTGATAGAATGAGACTCCATCTCCAAAAAAAAAAAAACAACAACAACAACAACAGACTTCCCATCCTAAGTTAAAATACCCACTGTTCTTACTGTGTTCTTATTTAGTTACTTGCACTTTGTGTTCTTCAGCAAGTTCTTATGATTTTTGAGGCTTAGTGTATAAAATAGTAATTATAACATTATTTCATACAGTTTTTGAGAGGATTAAATGAGGTGTGTATTATAAAGTGCAGTGCCTGGTATATAACCTGCATTAATTTTCCTCCTACCATTACTATCGTTACTACTACTGCTATTGCTGTTAGTCATGGCTCACTTTATAATATGATTCCATCGTGTCTTTTGAGGCTCATTTTCAGCCATCACCTTTCAGTTTCTATGCCCTAGTCAAAGCCAGCTATTAGCGCTAATCTGAAAAGGCCATATGTTTTCATACTGATGACTACTACTTTTATTTTCCCAGCCCAGACTTCTCTTGAGTTTGATATTCACTTGGAAGTCTAGTTGGAATCTCAAGTATAATATAAATGATGTGGGTAAAATATAGCTATTTTTCCCTCTTCCCCCAACCTTCTTCCTACCCCTAAACCCTGGTGTCTCTGCTGGCATTCCCCATATCCATAAATGGCAGTACCCAAGCCAAAAACTTAAGATATTATTCTTGATTCTTTCCATTTCTCTTAAGTCCAATCCATCCCCACGTCCTGTTGCACCTTCACAATTTGCCTTGAGCAGTCCACTGCTCTTAGTCTTCGTTGCCACCTCTTTATTTGAAGCCATCATTCTCTTGCATGAAGTACTGCAGTAATTTTCTAAGTGGGCTGCTTCTTTTTCTTCTTGCTCCATAGAAGTTTTTTTTTTTTTTTTTTTCTTCACACAGCAGCCTGAGAATTATTTTAAGAGCCTATATTGGATCATATCATTTCTCTGCTTAAAATCTTCTGGTGACTTCCCATTCCTCTCAAAATCAAGTCCTCCATTCTGTGGCCTAAATGGCCCTGAATGAGCTTTCTCCTTCTCATCATTCTTCCCCTCATTCATCACATGTCAGCCACGAAGGCCTCTCAGTGTTTCTTAAACCCTCTGCACCCTTTTTTCTTCTAGGGCCTTTTGCACTTTCTGTACTCCCTCCTTGGGATATTCTTCAAATGTCTGGCTTGGCTAAACACTTTGGAGTTTGGCCCAAATCTCACTTCTCACTCAGAGGCCTAATCTGACCATCCTATTTAATATTGCAGTCTGTCATTTTACTCTCTTACACAGATTATTTCCTTCAAGACAATTGTAATTTGTGTATACCTGGTTTGTTTAGTTATTGCTTATTTATGGTATTTGTCCATTACCTGAATGTAAACTCCATAAAGGCAGAGGCCTTGTTCATCTTACTCTTAGCTGTATCCCCAGGCATTAGCATGCCGCCTGGCATTTGGAAGATAGTAAATATTTGATGCTTCTGTATCTTTGTTCCTGTTTTTTGCCAATGATTGGAATGCTGTCTTGCACACATAGTTATAGTTATTGAACTACTTATCCTTTAAGTCTTAGCTCAGATGTCATCTGTGATACCAGTTTTAATCTCCTAGACAAAAGTTTTTTGCTCTTGCTCTTGTGTGCTTCTAAAGCCCATGATACATGCACTATTTGTAGAGTAAATCCCATGTTAGGTATTTAGAATATTATTTGATTATTTGAATATAATTGATGTCACTGTCTTCTATTAGGCTGAATTGCTATGTCAAGGACCAGCTGGCTCTTTTGTGTGCTCAGTATCTACCAACCAACCTATTATAGTAGATATAGTGAATTCTCAGTAAATGTTGAATTGAGTAGAAGTTGTCCTAATCGGCCGGGCGCGGTGGCTCACGCCTGTAATCCCAGCACTTTGGGAGGCCGAGGCGGGCGATTCACGAGGTCAGGAGATCGAGACCATCCTGGCTAACACAGTGAAACCCCATCTCTACTAAAAATACAAAAAATTAGCCGGGCGTGGTGGTGGGCACCAGTAGTCCCAGCTATGCGGGAGGCTGAGGCAGGAGAATGGCGTGAACCCTGGGAGGCGGAGCCTGCAGTGAGCCAAGATCGCGCCACTGCACTCCAGCCTGGGCAACAGCGAGACTCCGTCTCAAAAAAAAAAAAAAAAAAAAAGAAGTTGTCCTAATCAACGGAAATAACCAACCACAGACCAGTTTTCCCAAATCACACTTTAAAAATCATAAAGGTACTTTCCAAATTATAATCTTACTTTATGTGTTTTCTATTAACATACGGTCATTATTCTAAGGGCAGGAATTTGAGAGCTGTGGAGCACAAGGGGCATTTCCTCAGATTCTATTTTGCTTTCTTGCTGGGCACTGAGTAGCCATCTTGTCTGAGGGAAGTATTTCCAGTTTGAAATGCATATCTCTGTTGTTCATTACTAACCAACATCCCTTCTGGCCCTATTACTTCCCTCTAGCTTATCCAACTAATTTCATATGTTTATAGAAAAGCTCCAAGTTGAGGGGGGAACCTTATGGAAATTAACACAGTATACATGAAATACATTACTAATTCAGCTGTATTGCTAATGAAAATACATCAAAGAACTTTTGTAGCCAACATTAGGAACCCAGTCACCATTTGTAATAGTGAAAGTCATTCCCCATTCTAAATAGCTGACTTACAAATAGGCTTTTGGAACATATCCCATTTGTAAATTGGGGATTCCTTTGGCAAAATGTTTATTTTGATACTGAAAACCTTTTTATTAATGGTGTTAAACCTAATTGATGGTATGGATTACGAAGAGAAAGGGAGAGAAGAATCTAGGAGTTAAGGTTTTGTTTTTGTTTTCTTTCAGAAATGGCTTAATTTCCACAAAGTACAGTTTTAGGGTTGACAGATTTTTTTTTTTAAATTTATTTCGGAAAAAAATCAAACCTAGAGAAAAGTTACAAGAATAGTACAATGAACTCCCATTTATATCTGCCGCAGATTCACCAGTTGTTACCATGTACCACATTTGCTTTGTCGTTCTTGCTCTCTTTTTATATTTGCAGAGTGGGTACAAAGTCTGGAAACAGAGATTATTATTTTATTTACAGATTGAAACTCCTTGATTACATCTTCTGCCTAGAGCAGCTATTACCAGCCTTTTTGGCACCAGGGACCAGTTTCGTGGAAGACAATTTTTCCATGAATGGTGGGGGGAGGGGATGGTTTCAAAATGATTCAAGCACATTACATTTATTGTACACTTTATTTTCCATTATTATTACATTGTAATATGTGATGAAATACTTATACAACTCACCATAATGTAGAATCAGTGGGAGCCCAGAGCTTGTTTTCCTGCTACTAGAGGGTCCCATCTTGGGGTGATGGGAGACAGTGACTGATGATCTCATCAGGCATTAGATTCTCATAAGGAGTGCACAACCTAGATCCTTTGCATGTGTGGTTCACAGTGGGGTTTGTGCTTCTGTGATAATTAAGTGTTGCCGTTGATCTGACAGGAGGTGGAGCTCAGGTGGTAATGCAAGCGACGGGGAGCGGCTGTAAATACAGATGAAGGTTCACTCACTGGCATGCCGCTCATCTCTTGCTGTGTGGCCCCATTCCTAACAGGCCATGGACTGGTACTGATCTATGGCCCCGGGGTGGGGACCTCTGGTCTAGAATATGTCAAAGATGCAAGTTTATTTAGTTAAAGTCAGTGGCAAAACATCACAGGTATGATTAAATTCAGGTTATATACAGGGATAGATGGAAATGCTATGTTAATGCACTGTGTACATTTCTAACAAGGAAACCTGACATGTTATTATCATTAACATATCAGGCATTGTTATATAATATCAAGAATCCACTGTGTAGATCTTTTTCCTCATCTCCTTTTTTTCTCTTTTTTGTTCTCTTCCTATTAAAATTATTTTTATTGTTGAACCATTTGAGAGGAGGTTGCACACATCAAGTTCCCTTACCCCTAAATACTTCAACTGATATCTCCTAATAAGGGCATATTCTTACATTAGTATGGGGGATTCAAGAAATTTAATATTGATCTTATTGTTTAATGTACAGTTCATGTTGAAATTTTTCCCATAGTGTCAATAATATCCTTTAATATTTTTCCCATTCCAATATTATACAATGCATTTTAATTATATCCCTTGTATTGTTTAATCTGAAACAGTTCTTCAGCCTTTTTAATTTTTGGGTTTTGTAGAGTACAGACCCTTTGTTTTGTAGGATGTCCATCAGTTTGGATTTGTCCAGGTGCTTCTTTGTAATTAGATTCAGGTTTTGCATTTTTGGCAAAAATCCCATGTAAGTGATGGTATATCCTCAGTGCATCACATCATGAGGCAGTACGGTGTCATTTTGACCATGTTGTTGATGTTTATTTGGACCACTTAGTTAAGGTTTTACCTGCTAGTTTTCTCTATTACAAAAGGTATCATAGTCCCCTTTGTTATTACTGAATAATCTGTTGGAGACACTTGGAGACTGAAAATTTCCTCCTCCAAACGCTTACAGAATGGTTTTAGCATTCATTGATTACTCTTGCCTGAATCACTTACTACACAGAATTGCAAAATAGTGTTTTTCTAACCATCGTTCCCTCTCCATTTATTAGTGGGCATTCTAGTCTGTTTTAAAGAAGACCTTGTCCTATTCATTTTGATATCAATATGATATAATGGATTCTTTTTTATTAAGTAGGTTGTTTTCTATTACCTGCCAGTATTCATTTTGATGTTCCAAATTAACCCACATTTGGTTAGTGGAAACTTCTTCACATTAACTCATTGGTTGTTTTAACATGCCCCCATCATTTGTTGAGCACTTTCTTGCATTCGGGACCAGTAAGATATTCCAGGCTCATCTTATGGTCATCTCCTGCTGTTGTCCTGGAATCAGTCATTACATTATTTCAAGTTTTCCTTTATTGGGTAAGAGTATTTAGAAACCAGAAACCAGGCAGCAGGTATGCTATTGATATTGGAGTTTCATTGTTTTAGAGCCTTTTGGCTTATTAACCTGAGAAATTTTGAATTTATGCTGATTCCTCGGGCAGTAGTTTGTAATTTATCTTTATAGTCCCAAAACTCCTAGGAGAAACTGTTTTCTTTGAAAGTGTTAACAATTTAAATAACTACTTTCACCGAATTCTTAATAATTCTACAGTGGTTGGGTCTTGTTTTCCAAAACATTTTAAAACAGGAGTGTGAATCCTGTTTTATATCTTTTACTTACTCAGTGAGTATGTTCATAGTGTCTTGAGCGTGGTTGATTTGTCTCGAACAAGGTTGTTGTTTATAATTATAATAATGACCCAACATTATTTTTATTACTTTCATATGATAATGAACTATTCCTGTATTTGTTATAATATTTTAGTTAATTTTGTGGAAACCTTTCTTTTAAGTGAAGTGTTGATTTTATATATTTTGTTTTTAATAACTGTTATTCTAGAAGAAACATAAACTTTAGTTTTTTTGTTTTTTTTTTTTTGAGACGGAATCTTACTCTGTCACCCAGGCTGGAGTACAGTGGCGCAATCTTGGCTCACTGCAAGCTCCGCCTCCCAGGTTCACGCCATTCTCCTGCCTCAGCCTCCTGAGTAGCTGGGACTACAGGCGCCTGCCACCGCGCCCGGCTAATTTTTTTTCTTTGTATTTTTTAGTAGAGACGGGGTTTCACCCTGTTAGCTAGGATGGTCTTGATCTCCTGACCTCATGATCCACCCACCTCGGCCTCCCAAAGTGCTGGGATTACAGGCGTGAGCCACCACGCCTGGCCATAAACTTTAGTTTTTAACTTAAAAATTTTAAAAGCCTAATTCCTGAAATTAAAGTATATAATTAATGAACATCAAAATGCCTAATGTTGGCGTTGCTGTTATACTGTTTCGTTCATTAGCAAGTAAAATAACCTTTCTGGGCATCACTTTAATTATACAATGATATGATAGCTAGATCCTTTTTAACTCTGTGTTACACACTGTATATGTAATTAATGTTAAATTGTTTATGAAAGTGAAATTAAGTGCTATAAAGCATAGTGGAAGGAATATTATGCTTCTGATCCAGGAGTTATTGAGTTCAAATTCTTTGTAACTATTGTGTTACTTTGGCTTATATATTTTGTTTTTAATAACTATTATTCTAGAAGAAACATAAAGATTTATTTCACAGTTTGAAATAACTGGTAACAACTGGTAACTTCATTACTTTATTCAGTCCACTGGGCTAGGTGCTGCAAGGCTTGGCTTTCACGGTCAGGGGGGAGTATGGACATAGACGATTTGTGCTTGATTTTGATGTGTAATAGATGTGTACGATGCAGAGTACACATCTGCAAGGGTAATTAACCTAGTTTCAGGAATGCCAGGAAAATAAGCTTTAATGTTGGACAGCTATATAACCATAATGTAAATGCCAAAACCAGGAAAGTAATACTGGTATGATACTGTTTACCTTTTCACTATGAAAACCTTCTTTTGAATTTAATCAGTTTTTCTTCTAATGGTGTTTATCTGTTCTAAGTTCTAAGTTTCAATCCATAATCCCACATTGCATTTATTTGTTGTGTTTCTTTAGTCTCCTGAAATCTGTGATATTAACTCATTTTTTTTGTTGTCTTTATGATCTTGATGCTTTTTTGAAGAGTACTGGTCGTTACTTTGTAGAATGTCTTTCAATTTGGGTTTCTCTGATGCTTTCTTATGATTAATGTGGGATTATACATTTTTGGCAATATACCGAAGTAATGGTATCATATCAGGAGGTATGTTTATATCAGGGGCTACAGGATGTCACTGTCTTATTACTAATGACGTTAATCTTGTTCACTTAATTAAGGTAATATCTGCTGATCTCTCCTCTGTAAAGTCATAGTGTAGTTGATAAATATTTTGGGGGAGATACTTTGAGATTATGCTAATTTCTGTTTTTTCTTCCAACTTTCATCCATTCACTTCAGCATTCATTGCTGGAACTTATCTGTGATACCTACTACTGTAGTATTAACCTCATGGTGATTTTGTGATTTCCTTGTTCCTTTCTCATTTATTAAAATTCTTCAGTGAAGAAGTGTCCCTTCTCCCTCGTTTATTTATTCATTCATTTATATCAGTATGGACTTAGAGGTTTTTATTTTCTAGGTTGCAATCTGATGCTGTTGCTTATGTTACTGCTCAGATCGTTCTGCTTTGGCATTGAGAGCTCTGTCCGGTTGGTTCCTTGTCCTTTTTACATTCTCCCTTCAGCTTGAAAGCTCTTCTTCACTTTCTGGTACTGAAAAGTTTCTGAGAAACTTCAGGCTCATCTTGCATTTTACCAGCTCCAACCCTGTAATCATCTTCTTTCCCACAAAGCCCTGGCTCCTTGTTTTGGGGGATAGCATTTAGAAACCGAGATCTGGGTACTAGGACTGCCGCTCATTGCTACTGGGGAGTCTTTTTCCTTCTCAGCAGACAGAGCTAAGAAATACGTGTGTATACGAACCCACACATTTACTCACATCCACAGTCAATTCTGCTATAACGCAGCATATTTATTCCCCAAAATCACTATGTATGCATAATCATGCAATGAAAGCCACAGGGTTCGTGTGATCAATGAAGTTAGAGAAATAGCATTCAAAAACTTTATCACTGACACAGTAAAAGAAAGGATTGGAACTTAAACCTGATTAAAACAGTGGCATGGTTTTAGACATGTTAAATCATTAAGGAATATATAAGTACATGATAAATGTGTTACTTTACCATGAAAAAGGCATGAAGTTTGCTTATGTGAGTGTCCTAAGGTGTGTGGCTTTTGAGTTACTGTGAAATGGTGGAAGGAGAGTTGTCAGATGAAACCTAACACCAGATGTGGATAGATGGGGCTCATAACACATGACCTGTGGTAGCTCATTTTCATTTGAATCACTTCTTTCTTGGGTGCCTTGCAATTTAGTCTTCATTTCTGTACTAATGTTGTATTTTTTCCCATTTCTTGTCTGAATTTAGCCACCTTTTAAATTGCTCTTTGTATTTTGTCCATTTAGTTTTTAGATTTCTGATTCACGGTAGTTTTCATATCATCAAATGCTTGTTTGAATGTATTTAATTCTGTTTAGAGTATTGGCTTATAGTTTTTTTTTCTGCTTTAGGGTTTTTTTTTTCGGTCAGTGGAGGGTGGGGCAGGGTTCCTTGCTGGATATGTACCACATTCTCTTTCTTAATTTTCTGGACTTTATTTTTCTTTTGTCCTTTTTTTTGAGACAGAGTCTCACTCTGTCACCCAGGCTGGAATGCAGTGGCGTGATCTCAGCTCAGTGCAACCTCTGCCTCCCAGTTTCAAGCGATTCTTGTGCTTCAGCCTCCCAAGTAGCTGGGATTACAGGCACGTGCCACCATGCCTGGCTAATTTTTTGTATTTTTAGTAGAGACGGGGTTTTGCCATGTTGGCCAGCCTGGTCTCGGACTCCCGGCCTCAAGTGATCCACTTGCCTCAACCTCCCAAAGTGCTGGGATTACAGGCGTGAGTCACTGTGCCCAGCCTTGTTCATTTTTATAGTATTGAGTGTTTTATAGTATTCCTAGTTTATTGATTCCCTCTTTTGTCAGTATAGAGTAGTCCTGTTACTTCAGTGATTTTCATTTGTTTCAATGGTTGGAGAAGAGTTGTGGGACTTGCAATTTTATGAGTCTTTTAAGGTCTTGTAGGACCTTAACTATTCCCTTTTCTTTTTCCTTTTACCTTACAGTTACTGAAGAACAGTTTCCTCTCCCTTTTGCCCATTTTTGCCTGCTGCCAGAAGCTGTGTGTTTCGGTGCGCCTCTTTATGTGGCCCTTTAAATCAAGAGAATTTTGAAATTCCTTCCCTGTAGTCTGTGTTCTAATCTCTCCAGACACTTCTCCACTATTTTCAGATTTTAGGGTGGGTTTAATATTTCTGATGATCTTTCCAGATGATCCTTAGGTCCCATTGCTAGCCTCTTGCCACAAAGCTTTGGGGTTTCGGATGGATGAGAGTTTGGGGGATCAGTCAAAGAGTTGGGGTGAATGACAGTTTGAGGGATCAATGGCTGGGATTTGGTGACTTCCCCCGCCCCCCTCACAGTTTTGCATTGTCAACATTCTTTGTCTTCAGGCTGTGCTGTGTGGTTTGGAATAGAATTTCCTTTTCCTTTCTTGTTTTTTCACATGGTTTAGGGATAGTATTTGAGTGCATAGATACACTTGCACCACTGTGGCAAGTCTTTACTTTGAGAGGGGTGAGGAAAACCCATTGACTTATCCTGCCCGTGCTAATAAAGCTTTTAGTTATGAAAAGACATAGGCAGTCAACTTCCACTGGTAAGCTAGAGTCTCCGGAAGGTATTGTGGAGGAGGAGAAATAAACTACATTTAAATGCCCTTACTTCATTCTGATAACTTGCAAATACTGGTTCTGGGTTATTGCAAGTCTTACTGCTTTTTCTGAAAAGCAAGGTTATTCAGAGGTTTGTGTCTATAATATAAATAGGAAATGGCTTGGTTTTATTATATGAAGGAGTTATAGGCCTGTATTTGACCAAGGGCCTCCTTTGGTACTTTTTATTCCAATGTCAATCTAACATAAGATGTTTTCTGAAAAGGTAACTTCTAAACTTGTGAATTGGTTTGGTAGATGTTAGCTTTTTGAAAATTAAACTTCATTACCTCTTTATATATTTATTCTACTTTTGGTTTTCTTGGTTTTATTTTATGGTTTTGACAGTTGTTCCTTTCTTCCAATAAATGGTAGGTATGATGTTATTCCTTGACTCTACACTTGTTATTGTGTTTAGTAAGATGGCACTAAATCTGTTAGGTAGCTTAATTAGTTCTCTTTTATGCCTTTTATCTATTTTTTTAACATGAGAGATTTAACATAAAGTTGGAATTGTGTAGAAGTTCTTTATGCTTGGTTTTCCTCTATAAATTAGTTGCTTAAAATATTTATTACTTGTGAACATTTCTTTCCTTAGAGTTAGTAAGTAGTCTGTCAGTATTTTCTGTTGGAGTAAGAAATAGACTTAACTTCATTAGTCATTATACATTTCTTTTTGTAAAAATATCAACCAGAATTAAAGGGCATATTGGCTTTTAACATCAGAATTCCATCATAATATAAATTAAAATCTTTTGCTATTAATGACACAGCTTTGGAGTTATCCACATGGCTTTCAAATGTTTAGAGGCAGTCGGTCTCTATGCCCATGTGTCTGTCATTGGGACTTCATTTATGAGCTTTCTTTTTTTTTTTTCATAGTTTCCACAAGTCTTAATGACTTCTCAGACTCATTATACCTTCATTTCCTCATTTGAGTGATCATTTGCCAAAACTCTTTCTTTTTATTGACCTCCCGTGTTTTTCTTTCAACTGGTGAATATGGATCATCCCCATACAATGGCCTAGGTTCTGCTTCCCCCAAACCCTTCCTCTTTTGGACTCTGTCCCTTATCTGTTTCTCACTGTTTTAGTGATTATTTCTATATTGTTGATTCTGAAATGGAAACATATATAAGATATAGCTCTTTGCTTCTAGGAGGTAATGGTTTAGGCAGGGTAAAATCCCATTAATTACTAAGTGATGTGTAAATCTTACACATGATAATGGATTAGGGAGTTCAGGAGAGGAAGAGTTTGGAGGTGTTCAGGGAATGCTTCACGGAAGGATTGACATTTGAACTGGATATCAAGTTTTATTGTCAGAGTTGTGGAAAAAATACACCACATAGAACAGTTTGAGCAAAAGAGCCAAAACAGAAAAAGAAGAGCTGCTTGTTGGACACAGTTTGGCTAGATTGGAGGGTTTTTCAGAAAAAGAGATGGTAAAGTGGGAAAGAGAGCTCGAGACCAGTTTTTAATGCCGCTGGAATGTTCAACAGTTTAAATTTTGTTCTTCAGGTAAAAGAAAAAAAAGAGCCATTGACAGTTTGTAATCGTGGAAGTGACCAAAGCCTTCTTTAATATGCCCATATAAGATAATGAAGATAATGTATATGTCCTTTCTTATTATTAACATTAATAATGATTAATAAAGCTTGGTGCCTTAAAGAATAATGCTGAAGATACTTTTTTAGAAAGCATAGTGATAGGCTCATTCTTTGATTGTTTGAAGGGAATTGGTAGGAATACACAGCTTTCGAGTGGAAGATGGGGGTAAAGATTGTCCTTTCGTCATTCTTCCTTGTATCCCGCTTTCTTCTTGATTTCCTTTCCCAGGCCAGACTGTGCTGTCCTTGAAAACTGGATTCCTTCTCATTAGTAGTTTTTCTCTTTTAAAATCCGATAGTATTTTTTCTGCCTTACTGTATTTTTCATATTTGACCTTATACTAAGGTAATAGATGTATACACACTGCATTGAAGGCTTTTCTGCTTGTCTTATTTCTTCTTGTATTCTCTTGATGTAGCATCTCAGTGAAAATGTGGTATGTAAATGAATCCTTTACATTGCTGTCTTACAAATGACTCAGGATTTTACGCTTTGCAAAGTCGCTATTCATCTAGCATTTGGACTGAGCTGAGCTTTCGACATATGGCTTTAAAGTCATCTCTGTAGCTCTGCTGGTCTAGATAAGTAGTTGTCAGCCTTTTTCTTCTGTGAGATACAGTAGGTAAAATTTTGACATGCATGATGCACTCCCTTGACTTTTATAGCAGAGAGGTCTAGTATTACAGTAATTTATAATTGCCACAACTATCCTGGGATATGTTGTAGATAGAACAGTTACTAGGTAATGTGCAATTCTTAGGGCAGTAGCTATAAATCACCCCAGTTCTCTTCCACGGAAGAAGGGATATCATAGTGTAAGCAAAGGGGATGTTATGAGGATAGTCTGAAATAAACTCATTTTTCTTTTAAGATTCAAACTAATACTTTAGGAGTGTCACGTTACTTGTAAGAGAACTCCCAAGTTGTTATGTTCATCTGTCAAGTTAGCTTTAAGACCTTTTGGAATTTTTATTTTCCGTTAGTTCAGGTGCTTTTTGTTCGTTTTAAATAGATAGAACCCTATTTCGATATAGATTAGATTGGTAGTTGGTATTATACTGCTGGATTCTATTTCATTTCTCTGAGCTTTAGAGTTTGCATTCCTCAAATGTCCTCTGAGGCTTCTTCCAGTTCAGAACTTTAGGAAGTTGGTGAATATCATGAATAGAGCATCCAAACTTTTTCTACATTCTGGTTAAAAGCCTTATTAATATGGAAACCTGTTTGATAGACTTCGACACTTTACTAGATTGTTTAACCAAAGTCATGCATATTTGGCCATTATGTGAAGTACAAAAGATTACATTTTAAAGTGTTCCTATTTTTAAAGTTTGTGTTTGTGTGTGCTTCTTGTTACAGGTGTTTGGGTGGTTGAGGACTGTAAAAGTGATGGATTCCAGTCACCATATGCCTGAGAAGGAATACTGGGAATATTAGCTTGTACCATGATACTGAAGAGTAGGGCAAATAGAAACTTAGCATTTGGGAAGTCACATCCTCAATCTGAAGAATTAAAATTCTAATGAATTTGTAATTGATAATATGTATTAATAAATATTAGCCTTAATATTTATTACAGGCTAATATTAAGTTTAATGTGGAAACTTTCAGTATGGTTACTGATTATAGATTTGAGGTGGTAGTAGTGATAACTTATTTGGGAAAATACAATAGGTACAGTCATGAGTCACTTAATGACAGGGATATGTTCTGAGAAATGCATCATTAGCCAATTTTGTTACTTTGTGAACATCATAGAGTGCACAGTATTTACACAAACTTAGATGGCACAGTCTACTACACACCTAGGCTATATTTGGTATAGCCTATTGCTCCTAGTCTACAAACCTTT
The DNA here is from genome assembly GCF_000001405.40 of Homo sapiens. Taxonomy (NCBI): domain Eukaryota; kingdom Metazoa; phylum Chordata; class Mammalia; order Primates; family Hominidae; genus Homo; species Homo sapiens. Next base: position 99,584,013 of record NC_000015.10, read on the forward strand.
ACAGCATGTTACTCTGCTGAATAGTGTAGGCATTTGTAACATAGTAGTGCGTATTCGTGTATCTAAACATATCTAAACGTGGAAAGGGTACAGTAAAAATATGGTATAAAAGATAAAAAATGGTAGACTTAATATAGCACAGCTCCATTATAATCTTATGTGACCACCGTCATTTATGTGGTTCATTACTGACTGAAATGTTGCTATGCAATGACTGGGGAATGTCAGCCAATATGTGGATCACTATGGAGAAGATGTTAGATACCCCAAGGCAGTGATACAGAAAATCTGAAGACACTCTTAGGTTTTTTATTGTAAGAACAGAAGCTAGAAATGAACACATAGATTCATGTGAAAACTTGTGTACAAATGCTCATAGCAGCATTAGTCATAATAGGTAAAAAGTTGAAATCACCCAAATGACCATCAGTTGATGAAAGAATACATAATAGGTTGTATTTCCACACAAGGGAATATTATTCAGCAATAAAAAGGAATGAAGTGTAGATATGTGCTGCAACAGGGATGAATCTTGAAAACATGTTAAGTGAAAGAAGCCAGCCACAAAAGACCACATATTGTGTAATTCCATTTGTATGAAATTTCTGGAATAGGCAAATGTATAGAGACAGAAAGTAGGTGTCCCACTGCCTGAGACTGAGCCATAGGGGGCTGGGGTAGGCATAGGGAATGGGGAGTGAGTCCTAATTAGTACTGGGGTTCTTTTAAAGGGTGATGAAAATGTTATGGAATTAGATAGTGGTGAGGGTTGCACATACCTGAGGGTATCAAAACATTCAAGTGTATGCTTTAAATGGGTGAATTGTATGTAAATTATATCTCAATAAAGCTACTTTCTTTTTTATTTTTTCAGAAAAGAACGGAAGCTGTTTGAACAGATGTTTTGGGCCTTTGGGTAGTTGAGTGGATGTAGATGGAGGTGGAAGGGCATGGGGGGGATAATGGGTATTTCTTGGCATTACTGTGTTATCACATTGTCACACAAATGCTACCTTCTCCATCCACTAGCTAAGAATGTAATAAGTTGTGTTTTAGTGGAGATTGTATAAAAACCTATCTTTTTAACCTACCTAGCACTTGGGCTGGAATTGTGCTTTATTCTAGTTGACAGGATTAATCTTACCATTCTCTTATCTGTATTTTTTAATATTAAATTCAGATGCTTTCCTATTTTCAGGGTTAAGGTTATACAAAATTGTGTTCTGCCCATCTGTCTATCCTACACCCTCCTTTGCTGTTTGTTCATCCCTATTCAAGTTTGTGTCATTTTTCTTTTTTACCTCCTGTAATTGGAACAATCTCGTTTCGTGAGTGTGTATAATCACTTTCTTCCTTAAATGCTTGCTTGTGTGAAATTTTACTGACTTAAAGATATTGTTTCCTGTGAATTAGTATCTATTTATATGTTTTGAAATAAATCTGTTCTTTTAAGACCTTATTAGTTTTTTTAAAAAATTATAGTATTCAGCTATTTAATGATTCTAAATATATTCCAAAACTTCTAATTTGGCTTTTACTGTAATATTTGCCTTTCTGATGTCTTGGACGCAGTGACGACTTTTCAATAAGAATGTCATTAAGAAATTAGTCGTGTGTACCACAGTAAATACTTGGTACTTAAGGAGTTTTTAGTGTATGCCAGTCACTGTGCTGAGCACATTACATGCTTACTTAATTCTCACAACTGAACTTACGAGGTATAGATATTACACCATTTATAGATGAGGAAACAGACTCAAACAGTAATGCTGATTGTTCTTGGTGTTAACTTTGTGAAATCACAAAAATCTTTTAAATTATAGCTTTCCAGTGTTGAGGAGTGGCTTTCATAATGTATGAATTGTGGATCTTTTTGTGTTCTTCGGTGGTATCTTAAAAATTTGTAGGTTTTTTTCCTAAATGGAATCATGCAATAGGTATTCTCTAGTGTCTGGCTTTTGTCCCTCAGCAAAATGTTTTCGTGATTCATCTGTGTTTGTATCTGTCAGTAGTTTGTTCCATTTTTCTGTTGACTAGTGTTCCTTTTATGTTTAAACTACAATTTTGCTGTTTGCCTTTCATGGACTTTTGGTAGTATTATGAATAAAGTTGCTATGAAGATTTGAGTACATGCCTTTGTATGGACATATGCTTTCATTTTTCTTGGGTGAATATTATACCAAAGAGTGGGATTTCTGGGTCACATGGTATATGTATCTTTTATTTCATAAGAAACTGTGCAACTGTTTTCCAAAGTAGTTGTATGATTTTACAGTCCCATCAGTAGTAAATGAGAGTTCCAGTTTCTCCATATCTTCACCAACACTTTGCATTGTGAGCCTTTTTAAGTTGAGACATTTTAGTGGATATTTACTTGTATATCCATATCGTTTTAATCTCCACTTCTTTGATGACTAATGATTCTAAATGCTTTTCATTTACTGAGTGGCTCTTCATACATCTTTTTAAGTTTAATGTTCACATCTTTTGCCCATTTTTAATAGGGTTATTTGCCTTCTTATTACTCAGCTGTAAGACATCTTTATATATTCTACATAGAAGTCTTTTTTTCATTTTCTCCATTATGTTGTGAATATTTTTATCCCTTAATGGTATCTTTCAAAGAGCAGAAGGTTTCAATTTTGATGAAGTGCTGTTTGTCAGTTTTCTCCCTTATGGATACCTGCTTTTTTGGTGTCCTGTCTGATAAATGTTTGCCTTACATGGGGCAGTGGGATTTTTGTCTCAAACTATAAAACTTTGAGAAGTTTTATAGTTTAGCTTTTATTTATAAGTCTACAGTTCATTTTGAGTTAACTTCTGTGAATGTTATGAGGTAATGTCAAGGTTCAAGTATCATTTGTTGATAAGGTTTTTCTTTTCCCCTTGAATTACCTTGACATCTTTGTTGAAGATCAAATGACCGTATTTGTGTAGATTTATTTCTGGATTCTCTGTTATGTTCCATTGATGTATGTATTTTGTTATTACAAGAGCACACTGTATTAAATAGTCTTAAAATCAGGTAGTGTAAATCCTTCAACTTTTTTTTTTTTAAATTATACTTTAAGTTCTGGGGTACATGTGCAGAACGTGGTGGTTTGTTACATAGGTATACATATGCCATGGTGGTTTGCTGCACCCATCAACCCATCATCTGCATTAGGTATTTCTCATAATGCTATCCCTCCCCTTGTCCCCCACCCCATGACAGGCCCCGGTGTGTGATGTTCCCCTCCCTGTGTCCATGTGTTCTTACTGTTCAGCTCCCACTTATGAGTGAGAACATGTGGTGTTTGGTTTTCTGCTCTTGTGTTAGTTTGCTGAGAATGATGGTTTCCAGCTTCATCCATGTCCCTGCAAAGGACATGAACTCATCCTTTTTTTATGGCTGCCTTTGTTTCTTTTAAAAATTGTTCTGGCTGTATTATAAATTTTTAGTTTTTTTGTCAATCTTTACAAAAATGCTTTCTGAGATTTTGACTTAGATTGTGTTGAATCTATAGATCATTTTAGGGAGAATCAGTATCACAACAGTATTAACTGAGTGTTCAGCTCCATGAACATGGTATATAATTATTTTTGTATGCCTTCCTTAATTTCTTTCAGCAGTATTTTCTAGTATTCAGAATGTTAGTCTTGCACATGTTGTTAAATTTGTCTTTAAATATTTTCTGCTTTTGAAACTAATATAACATATTTTTACAAAACTTAATTTTACATTTTCATTACAAATATGTAGAAATACAGTTGATGTTTAATAGTGATCTTGTATCCTATACCCTTGCAAACTCCACTTCTTAGTTCCAGTTACTTTATTGTAGTTTTTTTTTGTTTTTTACTGTGTGTGATGTTTGTGAATAGAACCTGTTTTAATTCTTCCTTTCCAATCTGGATGCCTTTTCTTTTTCTTACATTATTCCACTGCTTAGGACCTTCAGTAAAATAGCAATTAAAAATGGTGAGAGTGGACATTCTTGTTTTGTTCCAGTCTTAGAGGGGGCAATTAGTCTTTTACCATTAAGTATGATCTTAGCTGTAGGTTTTCTGTGGATGCTCTTTATAGGTTGAGGAAGTTGCCTTCTTTTTTAGTTTGCTGAGGTGTTTTGTTTTGTTTTGTTTTGAGACAGGGTCTCCTCTGTTGCCCAGGCTGTTGTACAGTGGCACCGTCATGGCTCACTGCAGCCTCGACTGCCTGGGCTCAAGCAATCCTCCTGCCTCAGCCTCCTAAGTATTTGGGACCACAGGCGTGTGCCACCACACTCAGCTAATTTTTTTTTGTTGTTTTTTTCTTTTCTTTTCTTTTTTTGAGAAGGAGTCTCACTGTTGCCCAGGCTGGAGTGCAGTGGCACGATCTTGGCTCACTGCAACCTCTGCTTCCTGGGTTCAAGCAATTCTCCTTCCTCAGCCTCCCGAGTAGCTGGGACTACAGGCACACACCACCATGCCCAGCTAATTTTTGTTTCATATTTTAGCAGACTCAAGGTTTCACCCTGTTGCCCAGGCTGGTCTCGAACTCCTGAGCTCAGGCAATCTGGCCATCTCACCCTCCCAAAGTGCTAGGATTACAGGTGTGAGCCACTGCACCTGGCCTTAATTTTTGTATTTTTTTGTAGAGATGGGGTTTCTCTATGTTGCCCAGGCTGTTCTCAAACCCTGGCCTCAGGCAGTTTTCTTGCCTCAGCCTCCCAAAGTGCTGGAGTTATAGCCGTGAGCCACTGCACCTGGCCAGTTTGCTGAGTTTTTGTTTTTGTTTTTTTTTTTAAATTTTTTCCTGAATGGGTGTTTTGTTATTTCTCTATGTCTATTGGAATTAATCACATGGGTTTTTTTGGCATGTTAATGTAGTGAATTACATTGATTTTTGAATACTGAACCAACCTTGTATTCCTGAGACAAACCCCATCTGTACTGATATTTTCTTTACATATTTTGCTGGATTTGACCTGCTAATATTTTGTTAAGAATGTTTGCCTCTATACCCAAGTGACACTGGTATGAAGTTTCTTTTACTTGTGGTCCTCTTGCCTCATTTTGGTATCAGGGTTATTTATACTGGCCTCCTTAAATGTGTTAGAAAGTGTGTCCTCTCCTTCTGTTTCCTGAAGAGATTGTGTACAGCTGATATTAAATCTTTAGATGATTGAAGAATTCACTAGTGAAACCATCTTGGTTTGGAGTTTTCTTTGTGGAAAGCTTTTAAATTACGAATTTAGTTTATTCGATACAGAATTATTTAGACTTTTCTTTCTGTGTCAGTTTTGATAGTCTGCATGTTCTAAGAAATTTTGTCTACTTAAGTTGTCAGTTTTATTGGCATAAAATCACCCTTAGTATACTTTTAATGTTTGCAGCATTTGTGGTGATGTCCTTTCTTTTATTTCTGATGTTGGTAATTTGTGTCTTTTTTCTTGACCAGCCTAACTAGAAGTTCTTTTCAAATAACCAACTTTAATTGATTTTATCTAGTTTGTCCCACATCTCTGTTACCATTTTCTACTTTTGTTATTCCCTTACCTCTACTTTTAGTTTAATATGCTCCTTTTTTCTAGTGTCTTAGGGTGGAAGTTTGGAACGCTGTTAAACCATTATTTTTTCTTCTAAAATACGCACTTAAAAGCTGTAAATTTCCAAGTACGTATCTTTAGCTTTACCCTATATAATCTAATCATGTTTTTGCCATTTAGTTCAATGTATTTTTAAAATTTTAAATGATTTATTTGATCCATGAGTTATTTAGAAATCTTAATTTCCAAATGTTTGGAAAATGTCCCAAAATAGAAATGTCCCCCCCCAAAAAAGTGTCCTTTTTGTAACTGATCTTTAATTCTTTTGTGGTCAGAAAACAGTTTCTATGTCATTTCAGTTCTTATAAATTCATGTGTCTTGTTTTATGGTCCAGCATATGTTCTTTGTTGTTGATTGTACCAAGACACATGTACATTTTCATGTTTGTTCTTATGTGGTTGGTTGTAGTATTCAGTTAAACCAAGGTGGTTTATAGTGTTGTTCAGGTCTTATACATCTTCACTGATTTTCCATCTACTCATTTTACCAGTTAGTGTGAAGGAAGTATTTAAATCTCCAGCTGTAATTGTAGATATCTATTTCTCCTTTTAGTTCTGTCAGTGTTTGCTTTATGTGTTTTGGAACTTTATCATTGGCTGCATAAATGTTTAGAATTATTTTGTAGTTTTGATAATTTGAGACTGTAAGCATTATGAAACGTATTCCTTCTCCTAAAATCTTCTTTGTCTGATATTAATATAGGCACTGCTGCTTTTAGGATTAATGTTTATATGATATATCCTTTTCTATTTTATGTTTCCTATCTGTGTTAATTTAAAGTGATATCTTATAGACAACATATATATAGTTGGGTCTTGTTTTTTTACTTAATCTGACAATCTCTACTTTTAATCTAGTATGACAGTCTCTACTGTTTAATTGAGGTTTGTAGATAATATATATTTACTGTAATTATTGATATAGTTAGATTTAAGTGTACCATCTTGCCATCTTTGTTTTCTACTTGTCCTATTTTGTGTTTTATTTTCCTCTTTTTATACCTTTTTTGGATTACATATTTTAAAAATATGCATTCCATTTAATCTACTTTCTTGGTTGATTAGTTTTATTTTATGTATTTGGTAGTTGCCGTAGGGTTTTACAACATGAATCTTGAACTTATCGCAATCCACCTTCATCACTTTAGAAATAATGTAAGATCCTTACTGTAGTGCACTTCCAGTTTCCTTCCCTTCATTCTTTTTGCTATTGTCATTGATTTTATTCTACATGTTATTACCATACATTATTACTACTTTTGCTTTAGATAATCAAATATCTTCTTAAAACTTAAATGTCTTATAATTTGTCACGTTTACCATTTGTTACTCTTTCCTTGTGTAGAGCTAGGTTTCTATCTGCTCTTTTAAAAAATTTCATAGACTATATCTTAGAGCAGTTTTAGCTTTACAGAAAAATTGAACAGAAAGTACAGAGTTCATATATACTACCCCAATCCCACCCTTTGCAGGTTCCCTCTTGTATTGGTGTGGTACATTTGTTACAACTGAGGGCTGATACATTATTCTTAGCTGAGTCCATAGTTCACATTAGGGCTCACTCTGTGATGTACAGTTCTACCATTTTTCTGCTTCTTAAAACTCTTCCTTCAGTGTTTCTTGGATTGCAGGCCTCCTGGTAACAGATTGTCTCAGCTTTTGTTTGTTTGAAATGTCTTTATTTCCCCTTTATCGGTGAAGAATATTTCTGCTTTATATAGATTTTAGCTTACAGAGTTTTTTTTTGTCCTTTCTAGCACTTTACAGATGTAATTCCTTTGTTGTAAACTTGTTGCATTACTCTTGACAAGGAGTCTGGTAATTATTATCTTTGTTCCTCTGTGTGTAATGTGTCTTTCCACTTCTTTGGCTTCTTGTAAGATTTTCTCTATATGACTGGATTTCTATTATGTGCCTTGGTGTGGTTTCTTTGTGCTTAATCTGCTTTATGTATGTTGAGTTTCTTGAATATGTGTGTTCAGTTTTCCTCAAATTTGGACCTTTTTCTGGCCCTATTTCGTCATGTATTTTTTGTTTCTCCTTCCTTCTGCAGTTCCAATTACATTATGTTTAGGTTGCCCTTGATCTTCTCACAGGTTCTTCATAATCTGTTTTTGTTTTGTTTTGCTCTTTTTGATGTTTTTACATCTTCAATTTTGTCATCTTCTTTTCTGCAGTTTGATCTACTGTTAATTCCATCCAGTTACTTTTTTGAGATACTGCACTTTTTATGTTTAGAAAATGCATTTTATTCTTTTAAAAATCATTTTCTTTTTTGTTCCTTTAAAAAAATCGTTTAATATATTTATAATATTTTGAAGTTTATGCCTTTAAAGACACCCTGTCTTGCTTCTGGGCTTCTTTCTTTTATCGGATTTCCCCCCTGGTGGTGTGGGTCACACATTTCTTCATTTTCTTACATTTAGTAAGTTTTGATTGACTCCTGGACATTCATCACACTGTTGTCTGGATTTTGTTGATTTCCTCTGAAGAGATTTTAATTTTGTTTTGGCAGACTGATAAATTTCTTGCAGACGTGTATGAACCTTTTGAGCTTGCTTTTACACTTTGTTCTGGCAGATCTAGTGTAGCCTTTACTGTAGGACTAGGTTAGCACGCGGCGGTGCTGCTGCTGCATTTTCTACTGATTGCCCAGGTTTCTCTGGGTGGAACTTGAACATTCTGCAGTCTTATGTAATCTTTGGGAACTTTTTTTTTATTATACTGCTTCCTGATCATTGTTCTTTGCCTGGCCTTGTGAATTTCACTTTATTCATGCACACATTCAATGAAAAACTATAGAGCTGTGTTGTTACATGTGGTATCCATTAGCCATATGTGGCTCTTGAGTGTTTGAATTATGGTTATTCTGAATTTAAATGTGCTGTATGTGCAAAACACACTGTGTTAGTCTGTTTGCATTGCTGTAAGGGAATAACTTAGACTGGATAATTTATAAAGAAAAGAGGCTTATTTTGACTCATAGTTCTGCAGACGTACAAGAAGCATACTGCTGGCATCTGCTTCCAGATGAGTGTGTCAGGAATGTTACAGTCATGGTGAAAGGGAAAAGGGGAGCAAGCTTGTCACATGGTAAGAGGAGAAGCAGGAGAGAGTGGGTGGGGGGAGGTACTACACTCTTGAACAACCAGATCTTGCGTGAACTCAGAGTGAGAACTCACTACCAAGAGGAGGGCACCAAGTCGTTCATGAGACATCTGCTCCCATGACCCAAACACCTCTCACCAAGTCCCACCTCCAACATTAGGGGTTACATTTCAACATGAGATATGGGTGGGGACAGATATCCAAATCATATCACACACACTGAATGTTAGGGATGTAGGTTGGAAAAACATATATGAAAATCTCACTTTTTAAATATCAGTTACATCCTGAAGTGATAATATTATGAGTGTATTGGGTGGTATACAATATTGTATTAAAATTAATTTCACCTTCTTTTTCCTTTACAGTGTAGTTACTAGAAAATTAAAACTTACATTTTAGGTTCATAATATGTTTCTTTTGGGCAGTGCTGCTCTAGAATCCCTCTGCAGATTTCAGGAGCACTTTCTCTCCTGAGTACCATCCTTTTTGCTAATCTGTCGCACAAATTCCCATTACCTCAGACTTCCTGAATTTTTATCTGTCTCTTGTACTCCGTGAGTCTCCGTATTCTTCTTGGCTTCCCTTTTCTGCACTGTCGTCCTGACTGTGCATCCAAGCATTTGTAGAGACACTTTCCCTTTTTCCAGGCCTCACAGTGCGGGGCTGTTCATTGTCTGATGTTTTAAAATTGTAGTTTTATATATTTTATCAGTTTTCTAGTTTAGTTCAATGGGAGAGCATGTCCGATACCAGTTACTACATCATGCCTGGTAGCAAATATCTTAAGGCATGAGGAGTTGGGTGCCCATATGAGTTCACCCTTATTTGGAATTAAAAATACCCGTTGCAACTAATCCTAAATTTTGATTACAAGTGAAATTCATAATTTTGTGAGTTTCATTTTGGATTGACTTTGGAACTGTTTTCATGTAGAAACTTTTGTTTTCTTTGACACTGCATTATGCTCAGTACAGAAGCATCCAGTGAAATTTTGATAGTTTTTGAATGTAAGGTAGTTCAAATAGTTTGAACACTGATTGAAGTCATTTCATTTAACCATTCCTACTAGTATGGAAAATTGGAAGCTGAGTTAAGTTGTACCGTGGTATAAAACATGATATTCAACATTTAAATGTCCTTGATAATGCTTCAAAGGTCTTGTTTCTTTCAGGAGTACCTTCTATTAAAAAAGATGTTTTGTTTTGTTTTTAATCACCTATTTGAGATAGGTAAAAAACAAATTATTTTTTTTTTGTACTCTTTCACACACCACTCACCACAGGATACGTTGCCTTCGGTCACCAAAACGTGTGTGAGGGTTTCCCACTTACCAAGTAGTTCTCCAGTGGACACCAGCTGGATTTCCTATAATTCAGTTCAATTCTGATACTATCTACCTGGAGATGGCATCATATCCTACAGGTTGAGGGCTCAGCCTGACAAGACTGACCCACTTCAGATGCCAACTACAAGTCCCTGGTTGTGATCAGTACTTCTGATCAATTGGCTGTAAATCAGGGGTTCTCACTACCCCTTCTTCTGGTTTGATTAATTTGCTAGAGCAGCTCACAGAACTCAGGGAAACACTTTACTTATGTTTACCCATTTATCATGAAGGATATAGATGAATGACCAGATGGAAGAGATGCATAGGGCAAGGTGTATAGAAAGGGGCACAGAGCTTCCATCCTCTATCTGGTTGTGCTACCGTCTAGGAACCTCCACGTGTTCAGCAATCTGGAAGCACTCCAAACCCTGTCCTTTCTTTCTTTTTTTTTTTTTTTTTTTTTGAAGGGTTTGTTACCTAGGCATGATTGATTACATACATCATTGACCGTTGGTAATCAACTCAACCTTCAGTCTCTCTCCCCTCCCCAGAGGTTGGGAGTTGGGGCTGAAAACATCAACCCTCTGTTCATGCCTAGGTCTTTCTGATGACCAGCACACGTATTGAAGCTACCTAGGGCCCCCTAGTCACTAGTCATTTCACTGGCATGCAAGAGACACTTGCCACTCCAGCAGAAACCAAATATGTATTTCTTATTACATCACATTATTTCTATCTGTGTGATTTGTGTGATATTGTATAATTTTTAGTTCTGGTAATTGTCATATAGAAACTCTAAATATATTTTAAAGGGTGTTATGAAATTATCAGTAATTGTAAATACTTCAAAGCAGGTGTCTGTCTACATGTTCATGGTCTCTATCATATATAGGTATTGATGTACAACGTATATCTGAACCTGCTCAAATGTACTGGTCCTCTGAGACTGAATTTGCTTTGCTGTCTTGAATCTATTGCTATAGTAGGCATTCATTTTTTTTCCACCTCTTTATTCACCAAAAGCATTTACTGAATTGTGGTTATGTATAGCAGTTAAAAGCATTCCTGGATTCTAATCCTGGCTTCACCACTTTACTAGCTGAATACCTTGGGAAGTTGCTTCTTTAGTATTTGCGTTCCCTCTTGAGAATAGTAATGGGGTAATAATGAGGTTGTTGTTGGCATTACATCAGGTAATGACATGTAAAGCAATTAGTATGCTGATTAGCATATGATAAATACTCAAGTATTACTGCTGCTCTTGTAGTTGTTGTTATTATGTTAGGCTTTCCCTGGATGCATTGTCTATAGTTTTAATCTCCTTCCTCTGGCAGTACTTCCTTCCCTGCTTAATTTTTTTTTCTCATTAAGGACTTTTCCACCAACCTACCACCTATATTATATATTCCTTATTCACCTTGTACTATAGGTCTCCCCACTAGAATGTAAGCTCTATGAAGTCAGGAATAGGGATAGGGATTGATTCCTAGCACCTAGAAAAGTGCCTGGAATATGTTGGATGCTTAGTAAAAATTTTCCAAATGAATTATATTGAATCCTGGGCCAGATATTGAGTAGATATTGGGGATATAAAAAGAACAAAGTACAAAGTTCCTTCTTTTAAAAAAGCATATGGTATAATAGAGGAGACTCATACTTGTACAACTAACTACAATAATTTTACCCCCTGGGAGTGATGGTGATAGTTAAGGTGTACTGAAGATGGCGTCACAGAACGCGTCATTGAAGTGTACGTTTGATCTATATAAGAGACACAGGGGAAAGTTATTTCCAGGTGGAGGTAAAAACAAAGTTAAAGAGCTTAACAGTCTCAGCAATGGCTTGTTGTCTAGGTTAACAGTGTGTGTCAACGGGTAGTCGAGGGAGATAGGGATAGCAATTAGAGGACCAGGCTGTCTCCCTTTTAGGTGGGTGGAAGCAACGGGATTTGAAGGCTCAGTGTATGAAATTTGATGATAACTGACTCAGCACTAACATTCTAGTTTAGTTTTTTTTTTTAAAGAGCGTGTCTCATTACAGATTATTGTAAAATAACTATAAAAACTTGATTTTTTACAGTATTGTCTTTTAGAAACTACTTGAAAACTAGGTACAACATACATCATCAGTAACAGTACATTTATATAATTGAGGAATGCATTTTGAGATGAGAATATGTACTGTGATGTGTAACTATCAAATTTGTGTTTAATCACTTGTTTGCCATGGGCCAAATAGCTAAATTTTGGCTTTACTTTGAATGATTGTATTTTAGAAGTTGGTAATGCAACTAAATTTGAGGAATTTTTTTCTGCATTTTAGTACCATTAGATTAAAAGCTGAAATTGGTGTTTTAAAGTAAGCTCCTTTTACCTTTGCAAAAAAAAAAAACTTGTTTATGTGTTTTTATGTCTTTTACAGTTTGGGTTTTTAATACTTAATTTGTTAGTATAAAAAGAATACTTGGCAGTTTGTGTTTTTCCCGCCCCCAGAGGAGGTGTCCGTTTCCAAATAGAAACAAAATCAGGGTCATAATAATTAATACTGCTGAATCAGATTCAAAAGATTGGTGTTTCTGTGGATAAATTACCATTTTCATTTGATGAAATGGATTTACTTGGGGATTGGTTGAATCACCGGATCATGCAATTCTAAATTATTGTGTTAGCATTATAATTGATCCTGGCCAATAGGAGCGAGGAGAGAGATAGCTTTCCTTTTTCTACCTGAATGTCCTGCTCTATCTTCAAGCAAGAATGTAGCAGGGCTGGATTATTGTTTGTGCACCTAATCCATTGAGCAGTGTTCACTAGTTGTTGCGAGAAGTCAGGGACCCCAAACGGAGGGACTGGCTGAAGCCATGGCAGAAGAACGTGGATTGTGAAGATTTCATGGACATTTGTTAGTTCCCCAAATTAATACTTTTGTAATTTCTTATGCCTGTCTTTACTTCAGTCTCTTAATCCTGTCAGCTGAGGAGGATTATATCATCTCAGGACCCTGTAATAATTGCATTAACTGCACAAATTATACAGCATGTGTGTTTGAGCAGTATGAAATGTGGGCACCTTGAAAAAAAGAACAGGATAACAGCAATGTTTAGGCAGCAAGAGAGATAACCTTAAACTCTGACTGCCGGTGAGCCGGGTGGAACAGAGCCATATTTCTCTTCTTTCAAAAGCAAATGGGAGAAATATCGCTGAATTCTTTTTCTCAGCATGGAACATCCCTGAGAAAGAGAATGCGCACCTGGGGGTGGGTCTCTGAACTGGCCCCCCGGGTGTGGTCGTCTCTTATGGTCAAGACTGCAGAGGTGAAATAGACTCCAGTCTCCCATAGCGCTCCCAGGCTCATTAGGAAGAGGAAATTCCCGCCTAATAAATTTTGGTCAGAGACCAGTTGATCTCAAAACCCTGTCTCCTGATAAGATGTTATCAGTGACAATGGTGCCCGAAACTTCATTAGCAATTTTAATTTCACCTCGGTCCTGTGGTCCTGTGGTCCTGTGATCTCGTGATCTCGCCCTGCCTCCACTTGCCTTGTCATATTCTATTACCTTGTAAAGTACTTGATGTCTGTGACCCACACCTATTCGCACACTCCCTCCCCTTTTGAAACTCCCTAATAAAAACTTGCTGGTTTTTGTGGCTTGGGGGGCATCACGGAACCTACCGACATGTGATGTCTCCCCTGGACGCCCAGCTTTAAAATTTCTCTCTTTTGTACTCTGTCCCTTTATTTCTCAAGCTGGCCGACGCTTAAGGAAAATAGAAAAGAACCTACATGAATATTGGGGCAGATTCCCCGATAACTAGTGTTCCTTTATTAATGTGAATCATAGACAGCCATCAGTCTTCTATTCATTTTTGTAGTTTTGTGTTAATTTCATTGTTCCCTTTAAAATATAGCTAGCTAGTGAAAATTACAAATATACACATTGTATTGAAATACAGGTATATTTTATGGTGATAACAATTATTTCACAATTTTCTTGATGAAAACAATATGGTGAACATTTTAAACTATTTAAAACAAGTTTAGTTTATTGAAACTAGTAAGTTCAATAGGCTATACGCACAGTACAGATAAATATAAAGCATAACATGATACAGAGGATAGGAAAATGGGACCTAGGAAACCAATTTTTGAATCTCGCGATGCAAAGAATATTACTGAACATTTGAGTAATACTTCCTGAAGAAAAAGGATTCGTAATAGTAGAGATACTCAGTTGGCTGACGTTTTGTTTTATTCCAAATAAATGACTTTTTAAAATTTAATTTTCATTTAACAGTATTTGTGGAGCTTTCTGCTAGGAATGGTGTTGAGTGCTAGAATTTTGTATAATGTATATTTAATTCAGCTTTGGAGTCAAGAACAATAATGCATCTCAAATTTTTTTCTTTTTTAAGGAATTGCATTTTGTGAAAAAAGAACAAGAATTTTCTGCAAGGATCATATCTAAGTGCACTTTTTGCTGATACTTCATTTCTAGTAAGACATTTTTTCTTTTCTATGTTAAGTAGATACAATGGAAATGTATTTTAAAAATCAGGCTGTTCTTGTGAGATTGAATGGCAGTTATTTTAGAGGTTTTCTTGGGGGCGAGGGGGGCTTAATTTAGACCCAGTTGAGGAAATTTGTAAAATTCGGTTGAAATGCGTAATATTGTGTAGTGGCAGTTTCTCTTATATTTTGTCTGACGCTGCTGAAATCATCTCATATTTTTTCATCTTTCACACTTCTTCCATATTCTCTATCAGTTAACCTCTATTTGAAGAAAGAAGAAAAAAAATTAAGTAGGTAGTTGGTAGTTACTGAGACAGTTAATAGGATGAAGGGAGAGTTGGGGGACATGAGTTACATGAGCTGAGGAAAGATTTTCAAGTGAAAGATGACATGCATGTCTAGCCATATCTCATGAAGCATGGGAAAGGTCAAATAGAAAAAGCAAATTTTAGGGGATCTTTTAAAAATGTGGACATTTTTAATGACTTGGAATTTACTGCCTTAAATTAATGGGTTCATATTTGCAAAGCTCAGGAGGAGACTATTTTGATTAAAAAACTTACATTGGCCTAGGTTAACATTCACAGTATCTCAGTAAGATGTGTAGTCCTCAAAAGTTTTCATATGTGTAGTCCTCAAAAGTTTTCATGAGTGAAACCTTACCTGAATTCCACCTTCTACTTAAAATGGAAAAGAAGTGAATTATATTAATGCTAGAATATTTTAAAATAAGTAATTTTGAAAAATGTTAGGGGATATTCTGCAGTGTGTTATAATAAGTTAACATTAGCATTTTAAATATTAGATATCATTGATCCAGGCTGATGATTATGTCAGTAAAAATCTTGGAAAAGGTATCTTAAAAATTTTTATTTTGCCCATTTCAGGAATACTTTTGCTACTTAACATAGGTCTAAATTTTTTTTCTTGAATGATTAAATAGTAGAAAGAAATCACATTTTACAAACTTAGAAAAATGAGTTCTTTGTTGAAGTATGATATTCTGACATCAGTTTCATATGGTTATATATTTTTCTTGTTATAACTTGACTGAAGAACAGCCCATTTAATGATTGATAATCTTTAGTTTAGGAGACTAGGAGAAAAAGGCCTGTTTATCCAACTGATGCAAAGTACCTTCAGTTTAAAACTTGTGTATGTGTAGGTGGGATGGGAACAGTGGAGTTTAATTCTCATTTTAAAATATAAACCTTGGTTAGTCTTCTGTAAATCTTTTTCTTTTCTCATCATTACAGTTGGCCCTCTCTACCCATAGGTTCCTCATCTGTGGATCAACCAACTGTGGATTAAAAAATACCCTATACTTCAAAACAATAAAAAATAATACACCAATAAAAAATTTTACATTGCATTAGATATTATAAATATTCTAGAGATGATTCAAAATATAGGAGGATTTATGTAGGTTGTATGCAAATACTGCACCATTTTTATATAAGAGACTTGAGTGTCCTAGGATTTTGGTATCCATGGAGGATCCTGGAACCAATTTCCCACTCCACAGATACTAAGCAAGGATTTTACTTAAATTTCTCACCTGTTTGTTTTGTTCATTAACTGCTGGAAACTGAGTGATATGAGCTAAAGCACTCATGCCCTTAGCTGAGAACTCTGTACTTTCTCTGAACCTCAGTGATGGCTGTGGGTATAACTTCAGATGTTATATTTTGAGTCATGTTTAGATTTTAGGGAATTCTCTATGCTGCTTCCTCTACTAGTCTCTAAGGATGTAGACAGTGTCTTATCCTTCATGACGGGCCTTCTATGGTTCTATGGGTTGTGCCTGAGTTAATAACTACTTGTTTAGGAGTTACTCTTGAGTGTTTAGATTGGAAATGTCCTTTCTTTTTGAATAGATTCGTATGTTAACTGGCGAAGCTCAGATTAGAGATTTTCTTTACAATTCTGCTGCAGTAGAAATTGAAGGTTTGTCATAGGGATTAGACAGAATTTCTCCTGGCTTTCCTTCATGTCTTGGAACTTCTTTGGACTACTACATTGAGGTCAGTGATCCATTTTGAATTAATTTTTGTATATGGTGTGAGGTAAGGGTTGAAGTTTATTTCTTTGAATATAGATATCATATTGTTCCAGCAGTTTTTTTGAAAACATTATATTTTCCCCTGTTGAATTATCATGGCACCATTGTTGAACATTAATTGGCCATTATGTGTGGGTCTGTTTCAGGACTCTGTTCTGCTGATCTATATATCCTTATGACAGTGCTTCACTGTCTTGATTACTGAAGCTTTTATAGTAAATCTTAAAATCTGGTAATGTAAATCCTCTAAGTTTGTTCTTCTGTTTCAAAGTTGTTTCTTCTATTCTGGATCCTTTTTATTTCTTTCTATGTAGTTTAGAATCAGCTTCTTAATTTCTACAAAAAAAGCCTAACAGGATCTTGATTATGAATGTTTTTACCCTAGAGATCAATTTGGGAGAATTGACCTCTTAAGGATATTGAATCTTATTAATGCGTGAGCTTGGTACCTCTATTCATTTAAGTCATCTTTACTTTTTCTCAGCAGTGTCTTGTAGTTTTCAGTGCAGTGGTCTGACACATAGTTTGTTAAATTCATCTCTAATTATTTTAACTTTGTTATTATAAATGGGAATTTAAAAGAATATCAGTTTCCAATTGATTGATGCTAGTCTACAGAGATAGAATTGATTTTTATATAAAACTTTATAATTTGTAATATTGCTAAATTAATTATTAGTGCTAGTGGCTTTTTTGTAGATTTCTTCAAATCATCTGTGTAGATCATTATCTTCTCTGTGAATAAAGACTATCTTATTTCCTCCATTTAAATTTATGCACCTTTTATTACTTTTGCTTGCTCTATTAGACTGGTTAGTAGTCCCAGTGCAATGTTGAATAGAAGTGGTGAGAACTAACATCCTTGCCTTGCTTCTGATCTTAGGTGGAAAACTTTGAGTTTTTCACCAGGTCTTGGTCAGAGTTTTTTTTTTTTTTTTTTTCGTTTTCACGAGTAGGTGTTGAATTTTGGCCAAATGTTTTTTCTGCATCTATTAATATGGTCACCTACCTCCCCTCCTGTTTGTCTGTGCATATGGTCAGTTACATTGATTGATTTTAAATATTGAACCAACCATTCATGTATTCTTAGGATAATTATCACTTGGTCATGATGTGTTATACTTTTTGTGTATTGCTGGATTCACTTGCTAAAATTGCGTTGACTCTTTTAAAAAGTCTACATTCATAGAAGGCATTGGATTGTAGTTTTTGTCTGTTTTGTGTGTGTGTGTGTGTGTGTGTGTGTGTGTGTGTGTGTGTGTGTGTGTGTCAGGGTAATGCTGGTCTCAGAATGAGTTAAAATTTCTTGTTCTTGAAGAATTTGCATAGAATTGATGTTATTTCTTCTTTAGGTGTTTGGTAGAATTCACCAATGAAGACCTCTGGACCTGGAGGTTCTTTGTGGGAAGGTTTTAAACTGTTACCAGCGGTGAATCTGCATGGGTCTACGGCAACCTCAGTTCTTGCCCTCTCAGAAGAAAGAATTCAACTGAGGGGTATAAGGCAGAAGGAGAGACCGAGGCAAGTTTTAGAGCAGGAGTGAAAGTTTATTAAAAAGCTTTAGAGCAGGAATGAAAGGAAGTAAAGAACACTTGGAAGAGGGCCAAGTGGGCAGCGTGAGAGATCAGTGCGTGGTTTGACCTTTGACTCAGGGTTTTATATGTTGGCATACTTCTGGGGTCTTGTGTCCCTTCTGCCCTGATTCTTCCCTTGGGGTGGGCTGTCTGCATTCACAGTGGCCTAGCACTTGGGAGGGGAGCCTGTGCAGTGTGTTTACTGAAGTCGTATGTATGCTTCCTTGAGGTATTCTTCCCTTAACAGTCCAATGTCCCTAGGAAGTCATATACCAGTTAAACGCTACCATTTTGCCTCTTAATGCGCATGCTGGAGCCCATATGTCCAACTCCTGAGATGTTATAGGGAAGCGGCTGATCACCAGCTTCAGGTGTTTTCTATCTGTTGGGAGACTGCCTTTCACTGGCTTGGGCCGCGACCAATTATCATTTTAGAGAGACAGTTTAACAACTGCCTGACCGTCACCTGGTGGTTGCCTGACATTCCTGGGGTGTGTGTGTGTGTGTGTGTGTGTGTGTGTGTGTGTGTGTGTGTGTAGGGGTGGGGAGCTTTTTGTGTGTGTGTGTGGGGGGGTGGGGGTGGGGAGCTTTTCGTGTGTGTGTGTGTGTGTGTGTGTGTGTGTGTGTGTGTGTGTGTAGGGGTGGGGAGCTTTTCCTGCCCTGCTCATGTCTGACTAGCTACCTACTGTAACAAAACTATGAATTTGGTTTCCTTAACTGATACAGGGCTATTTGGATTTATGTTAATTCTTGTTAAATAAGCTTTAGTTGTTTGTTTTTCAAGGAATTTGTCTATTTTATGTAAGTTGTCTAATTTATTGGCACGAAGTTGTATTTTAGAATCCCTATTCTTTTACATTTGAAGAATCTGTAGTGATATTCCCTCTTTCGTTGCTGATATTTGCAAACTTCCTTCTTTTTCTAAAAGAGTATTTAATCTTTTAATTTTCCTTTGTTTGCATCCTACAATGTTAGTAATGTTGTGTGTTCATTTACATGGAGTTCAGAGTATTTTAAAATTTCCATTGTGATTTTTTTTCCTTGACCCACGTCATTTTCAAATATTTGGTTAATTTTCCAGATTTCTTTCTCTTACAGGTTTCTAATTTAATTCTACTGTTGTCCAAGAACATACTTTGTGTGATGTAAGTTCTTGTCAACTTGTGGAGATTTATTATAAGACACAGTTGTGGTGGTCTGTGTTAGTAAAATTTTTTTTTTTTTTTTTCAAAGACAGTCTCACTCTGTTACCAAGGCTGGAGTGCAGTGGCGTGATCTTGCCTCACTACAACCTCCACCTCCTGGCTACAAGCAATCCTGTGACCTCAGCCTCCTGATTAGCTGGGACTGTAGGCATGCAGCCATCACACCTGGCTGATTTTGTGTGTGTGTGTGTGTGTGTGTGTGTGTGTGTGTTTGGTAGAGATGGGGTTTTGCCATGTTGGCCAGGCTGGTCTCGAACTGCTGACCTCAAGTGATCTGTCTGCCTTAGCCTCCCAAAGTGCTGGGATTACAGGTGTGAGCCACCATGCCCAGCCAGTGTTAGTAAATGTTTTGTGTGTACTTAAGAAGAATGTGTTGAGTGGAGTTTTCTAAAAATGTTAACTAGGTCACATTGGTTGATAGTGTTCTTTTAAGACTTCTGTGTCCCTTTTGATTTTCTGTTTGTTTCAATAATTTCTGAAAGAGAAGTGTTCAATATTCAACTTCAATTGTGGATTTATTTTTCCTTTTACTGGTTCATGTGTTTGGAGGCTCTGTTACTAGGTGCATGCGTAATAAGGGTTTTTATGTTTTCTTGATGAATTAGGTCTTTGTCACTATTAAATTTTGTGAAATAGTTTGTGAAATAGTTTGCATAGTTTCTGACAAAAAGTCTGCTGTTCTTACCTTTTGTTCCCAGTATGTAAGTTTTCTATTTTCTTTGGCTACTCTTAAGACTTTATTACTAGGTTTTAGTCATTTGATTATGATGGGCCTTGTATGGTTTTCTTTGCAATAATGCTGCCTAGATTTTTTAGTTTATTGTTTAAAACCAAATTTGGAAATGTTTCACCACTATTTCTTCAAATATCCCACTTACTCCAGGTTTTTGTTTTTGTTTCCCCTGTAATTTTAGTTATATATTTGAAATATTGTCTCTCTTGGCACTGATACTGCTTTTGTTTTTCATTCTTTTCTTTCTGTCTGTGCTTTATTGGTTGGTTAACAGTACCATGCCTTCAAGTTCACTGATCTTTTCTTCTGCATTGAATAATCCCATCCAGGGTGTTTTTAATTTCTGAAAATCATTTTTCATTTCTGGAAGTTTTATTTCTTCCATTATTCTCTTCATGTTCTTATTTTTCTTTGTCTTCTGTAACATACTAAGTTTATTTATAATCTTTTTTTAATGCCCTTGTCAGTTCTGTTAACTTTATCATTTTTGAATCTCTTCATATTGATTGACTTTTATTATATGGGCCACATTTTTTTGCCTCTTCTCATTCCCTATAATGTTTGGATGCTGGATGTTGTGGTTTGACATTGTTGGGCTTAGGGGTTTTGTTTTTTTTTTTTGGTATCTTCTATATAGTGTTGGACTTTGTTTTTGTACGTGTATAAGTTAGTATCAGCTGAATCTTTTTGTTTAAGCTTGTCAGTGTTGGTCCAGAGAAGCCTTTTCCGTGGGGTTAATTTACTGCCCATTAAGGTTATATCCTTTTGAGGGCTATACTCCATGCTCTTCTGAGGATTATTCTCAATTCAAAGTAATCCCAAACAATATTCCAAAAATTTTGTTAGTTTATCTGCTTTTGTTGGAGACAGAGTCTTGCTCTGTCGCTCATCCTGGAGTACAGTGGTGTGAGCTCTGCTCACTGCAACCTCCACCTCCCAGGTTCAAGCTGTTCTCTTGCCTCATCCTCCCAAGCAGCTGGGACTACAGTCACGCATCACCACACCCAGCTATTTTTTTTGTATTTTTAGTAGCGACGGGGTTTTGCCATGCTGGCCAGGCTGGTCTCGAACTCCTGGCCTCAAGTGATCTGGCTGCTTCAGTCTCCCAAAGTGCTGGAATTATAGGTGTGAGCTGCTGCGTCCTGCCTCTCTTCCACTTTTAAAGATGTGTTCACTTTGAGCCAACCCAGATAATCCAAATTAATTTACCTATTTTAAGGACAAATGATTACCAACTTTAATTCCATCTGCAACCTTAATTCTCCTTTTCCATGTAATGTAACATATTCACAGGTTCTGGCAATTTAGGATGTGGTTTTCTTTCCTGCATAATTATTCTGCCTATCACAACTTCCAAAGTTGAACTATATTGTGCAAGGTGGACATCCAAGCTACCAACAATGTTGAAAGCTTAGATTTGTTCAACACATTTACAGACGTTACATTCTTCTTTATGCCTGAAAGGTAGACCTTATACATAAAGCATGAACAAGTAAATTGGTATGCTTTTTTGTAGGATTCTTGGCTCAGGGCCCAAGGAGCTTTACAGTACTTTTTAGATTTTAGATTTAAAAAAAAAAAAAAAGGGGCTGGGTGCAGTGGCTCGTGTCTGTAATGCCAGCACCTTGGGAGGCCAAAGGTGGGTGGATCACCTGAGCCTAGGAGTTCAAGACCAGCTTGGGCAACACAGCAAAACCCTGTCTCTACAAAAAATACAAAATTAGCCAGGCATGGTGACGCATGCCTGTAGTCGCAGCCACTCAGCAGGCTTAGGCAGGAGGATCACTTGAGACCGGGAGGCAGAGGTTGCAGTGAGCCGAGATCATGCCCTGTGTTGGATTTTAAAGGAAATTTTGTGGCCCAAGAATAGCTAAAGTAGTCTTGAAAGAAGATCAGAGTGGAAGAACTTTCTCTATTAAAAACTTATATAAATCTACAGTCACTGATTTCATGAAATAAAGCCACAAGGATAAACAAAAGAAATTAAATGCCTGGAAAAGGGTTCACATGTACACGGACACTTGCTTTATGACAAAACGCACACTTTAGTAGGGAAAGAATTAGTCAATAAATCGTCCTGGAACAAGTGATAATCTGTATGGAAAGAAATGACTTATGTTCCATACCATATGCAAACATCAGTTTAAGAATGATTCGTATATTTCAACATGAAAGACAAAACTGAAACTTTTGGAAGCTAATATAGATGAACAGGTTCATGCTCTTTGGCCAGGAAAATATTTCTTAAAAAAAAAATCAAAACGGCAAGTATTAAAAAATTGATAATTTTGACTACCTTAAAATTAAGAAATTTTGTTCTTGCAAAGTCACCATTAAGAAAAGAGAGGCAAGTCAGAGTAGAGAAGATATCTGCAGTACCTTTAACAGACAAAAGACATGTATCAGAATATTCAAAGCGCTTCTACAAATCAATGTGACAGAGACAATCCAATAGAAAAATGGGCAAGAGACATGAAAAATACTTCACAAAAGAAATTCAGATATTTAAGAAACGTGGAAAAAAAAGTGCTTAACCTTATTAATAATCTGGGAAATGCGAATTAAAAAAAACTAGGCTCCACCATATGCCCACTAGAATGGCTGAAATTTTAAAAAGGGATTTATAGTACAAGTTTTTGAGAGGATGTTAGGTTATGGGAACTCAGCCACTTTAAGAAACAT
This sequence comes from Homo sapiens, assembly GCF_000001405.40. Classification (NCBI taxonomy): domain Eukaryota; kingdom Metazoa; phylum Chordata; class Mammalia; order Primates; family Hominidae; genus Homo; species Homo sapiens. Next base: position 99,606,783 of record NC_000015.10, read on the forward strand.
CTTGACATTTACATACCCTGTGATGCATTAATTTCTTTTCATGGGTATACACTTGAGTAATACATGTACATGTGTGTGGAGGGATGTGTTAAAGAACGTTGGTAGCTGTTTGTAATAGCCTCACACTCAATATGATGTTCATCATAGTTGGCTACATAAATAAACTCATGATACATTCATACAGTGGAGTACTTTACAGCTGTAAAAATGGAATAACTATAGCTATGGATAAATATCACAAGATGTTTCTCAAATGAAGCCAGAAATCACACATTATGTGTGATTCCACGTATATAAAGTAAAAACAAAACATGCAAAAATAAAACAGGTAAAATAAGCTATGATGATTAGGGATATGTGCTTATGCCATGAAACGGAAAATGAATAACAGCAACAACAACCACAAAAGAGAGTTGCTACCACAATAATCAGGAAAATTGTTGACTTCTAGGTGTGGTGGAGGAGGGATTTAATGATTGTTGAATAGTGGGTGATTTTAGGAGTGCTCATATTCTCTTAGATCTGAATTGTAACTTGAGTTTGTAATCAGTCCTTGAATTGTGAATTTTTGTTTTATGTATTTTTACATCTCTGATATATACTCAAAATCATATTTGACTGAATAAATATTGATAAGGTTAGACTTAGAGCACATTTATCAGGTTTGATTCAGATGATATGAGGTTAAAAGGTTTTAATATATTTGATATTTGAATCATGATGTAGAGAACCGAGATTATTTCTAGTAATGATAATTCATCTTTTTGTATGATTTAATTATTTGTAAAACATTTTTTCCCCCAGTAGTTATGACATCCTGAGAAGTATTTGAGATAGGCATAAGTATCTGCATTTTACAAATGAGGGAGCATTAATTATGAGAGTGAGTTGTTGGTGGTAGAGGATTAGAATCTCATTTTCATTTCTATGCCTTGCCTTGCTGTATCCTTTATTTCTCTTTTGTGTCCCATGTGAAGACAGGACGTTGTTCTTTATGTTGGTGTAATTAATCTGAGGATGAAAGAGCATGGATGGAGGGGCTCTCCTCTTAACAGGGCAGTTTACAAAGTCTCCTTTCTAATGATTTTCGTAATACTATGCTTATCTCTAAGGAGTTCAAGGTGCCCTGTGATTATATCATCAGTTCTTATAATTTCCTGTAGGAGTTTTGAGCCATAGTCTTGCTGTGCTTTGTAGAAATGAATTGAGGTAGTAGAAGACATGAATCACCGAAAATCAAATTATAATTCATTGATACATTTGATATTTTATAGACTGGTCATCCAGATAAAAATTTTGAAGTTAGTAGTTTGGATGATTTACCATGATCAACTAATGGTTTATGTAGTTTTAAAATAATCATATGTCCTGTTTAAGGAAGCCCAACTTAAAAAAACTTTGAACTTCAGCAGTTAAGTGAAGGGAGTGATTATTGACATTACAAAAAAAAATTACTTACAGCTTTAATCAAATTTAGTTAATTTCACTGTGAATGTAAGGTACTTGCACTATATTTGCTATTCATTGTATAAAACATGTTGCATATTTCACTAATAGTAACAGGCTGTAAACAGTTTACCCTTAAGCTTCTTTTATTTTTCAACATTCAGCTTTGAATGTCTCTAATCTAAAAACACTGTGTGGAAGCATACAAAAATATATAACTTGTTATTAATCAGAGAAATCCAAATTAAAATAGAAAGATGCCATCTTTCAAACCATGTTTTAGATTTTTAGATGATTTCTCCCCTCCTCCCATCCTGTTTTTGTTTTGGTGTATTGACTATTTTACCTAAAACATAAGAAGTAAACACATGATAAAAAGTAATACTTTGGGCGAGCGTGGTGGCTCACGCCTGTAATGTCAGCATTTTGGGAGGCCGAGGTGGGTGGATCACCTGAGGTCAGGAGTTTGAGACCCAGCCTGGCCAACATGGTGAAACCCCATCTCTACTAAAAATACAAAAAGTTAGCTGGGCGTGATGGCAGGCGTCTGTAATCCCAGCTACATGGGAGGCTGAGGCAGGGTAATCACTTGAACCCGAGATGTGGAGGTTGCAGTGAGTTGAGATCGTGCCATTGGACTCCAGCCTGGGTAATAAGAGTGAAACTCCGTCTCAAAAAAAAAAAAGAAGGTGCTATTTTGTTGTTCTGATTTTAGGCAAAGGTACCAGTATTCAGTATTTCAGTTGTCTTAACTTTTCTAACAAGTAGATAGTTTAGAGGTATCATAGCTAGACCACAGCTAGTCTTTGCAAAGTTGGAAAAGGCCCCTCTGATTTTAAGTAAATAGTGGCTTCTGCTACAGTTAAGGTGCTAGACAGTGGAAGACAAGTTGGCTTTCAGACCCCACCTGCTCACTCTTGGCCCCAGGCCCATGTGCATGGCATGACATTGTTCATAATGGCTTTGGGTCATAGTGATTTCTTGCTCTCTTCTAGTTAGTAAGGGATTATTTTTCTCAATGCTGTGTGTATTTTTGTATGTTTATTGATCTTATTTCTTGAATCAGATGTTAGTATTTTTGAATTTTACCTAAAAATGTATAATAACCTAATTTAATTCAGAACTTCATAAAATTAGTGTGAGTATTTGTAGGGTATGTTCTGCCTTTATGAAAGTTACATAAAGCCAAACTGCACTTTCAGGTAATGACCATAAGTCTATGAGATTTATATTCAAAGTACAGTTTATGTTTTTGTTATCGAATCCTTTCTTTATGGCTGTGATTGTGTTTGTACGACATAATGTTGTATTTTAAAAACATATGATAATATAGCATGTACAATTGAGGCTCAAATGGAATACCTTAGTCATTTTCCATAAAATAATAGCTTATGATAGTCTCAGGCTAATTTAGAATTTGAATTTTGCCTGGATTTAATTGTAAACATTAATTAAAACATCTTAGTTTAGTGGGAACAAAGAAAAATTATCTTATATTAAAAGTAATTAGAAAATAATTCCATAAGGGTAAAGAATCTGCCATTGTGTTACAAATTATAGAATAATTCTCCTCAAGCTTGACAAAGAGAGTATACAGTATGAGTGGGTTTTTATTTATATATTTTATAAGAAAATATATGGCATCATTTTTGTGTGTGGAATGTAGTTGCCTTGTCTTATATTAAAACTGGGATTAAAATTAATTGGCATTTCTTGATTCTGGTTTTTCACCATCTTTTAGCAAAGTAGACAGCCACTTGGGTTTCTTACTTAGATCAATTTTTTTTCATTCTAGTGGATACTATTTAGAGGACCCAGGGTATCATATTTAAATACAGTAAAAATTTTAAATTAACCATCTTTTATATTACTGGAAGCATTTGAAATCAAGAATCGTATAGAGCACTGGCAGTGAACAATCCAAAAATGAAATTATGAAAATTATATTTATAGTATTATCAAAATAATACAGTTCTTAGGAATAAATTTCACAAAAGACACAGAGCACCTGTACACTGAAAACTACAAAGTATCATTGACAGAAATTAAAGAAGACCTAAATAAATGCAAAGACGGTACCATCTTTATTGATTGGCAGATTTAATCTTGTTAAGATTATAGTCATCCCAAATTAATCAACATATTTAACACAATTCCTATCAAAGTCCAGCTGGTCTCCCCCGCCCCCCCCCCCCCCCACCCCCCCCCGAAATTGACAAACTGATCCTAAAACTCATACGGAAATTGAAGATACTTAGAATAGCCAAAACAATCTTTAAAAAGGATAAAGTTGGAGGCCTCCCACTTTTGAATTTGAGAATTTACTACAAAGCTACTGTAACCTAGACAGTATGTTACTGGCATAAGGATAAACAGATCAATGGGACAGAATTAAGAGTCTAGAAATAAACCCATGCATTTATGGCCAATTGATTTTTTTTAATTATTATTTTTTTTCACAATGATGCCAAGACAGTTCAATGGAGGGAAATAGCCTTTTTAACAAATGGTGTTCAGACCTCTAACACTATATACAAGAATTGGCTCAAAGTGGATCAAGTACTTAATGTAAGAGCTAAAACTATATAGGCTAAGTCTTCATGATCCTGAATTTGGCAATGGTTTCTTAGAAATAACATCAGAAGTAGAAATAACCAAAGAGGAAATAGGTAAATTGGACTTCAGCAAAATTAAAAACATTTTGCTTCTAGGGACACTATCAAGGAAATGAGGCCGGGTGCGTTGGCTCATGCCTATAATCCCAGCACTTCGGGAGGCCGAGGTGGGTGGATCACTTGAGGTCAGGAGTTCGAGACCAACTTGGCCAACATGGTGAAACCCCATCCCTACTAAAAATACAGAAATTAGCCAGGCGTGATGGCAGGGACTTGTAATCCCAGCTACTCAGGAGGCTGAGACAGGAGCATCACTTGAACCTGGGAGGTGGAGGTTGCAGTGAGCTGAGAATGTGCCACTGGACTCCAGCCTGGATGACAGAACGAGACTCTGTCTCAAAAACAAAACAAAACAAAACTTGATGAGTGGGAGAAGGTATTTACAGATCATATATTTGTAAGTGTTAGTATCCAGAATATATGAACTCTTACATCGCAACAATGAAAAGACAGTAACCCAACTTCAAAAAGGATTTTCTCCGAAGAAGATAAATAAATGACCAATAGGCACATGAAAAGATGCTTAATGTTATAGTTGTTAGGGAAATGCAGAATTAAAACCACAGCAAGATACCACTTCACACCCACCATGATGGCATAATAAAAAAAGACAGAAAATAAGTGTTGGAGAGAATGTGGAGAAATTAGTATCCTCATACTTTGCTGGTGGTAATGTGAAATGCTTCAGACTCCTTAGAGAGTAGTCTGGCAGTTCCTCCAAAAGTTAAATGTTGTTACCATATGACCCAGCAGTTCTGCTCCTAGCGATATATCTGGTAGAATTGAAAGTATATGTCTGCACAAAAACTTGTACACCGTTATTCATAGCAGCATTATTTATAATAGTCAAAGTGGAATCAACTCAGATGTCTATCACCTGATGAATGGGTAAATGAAATGTGGTGTATCCATACAGTACAATATTATTCAGCCAAAAAAGGATGAAGTACTGATTAATGTTATAACCCAGATGAACCTTGAAAACATCATGTTAAGTGAGAGAAGCCAGACACAGAAAGCTACAGATTGTATAATTGTATATTTCCAGAATAGGCAAATTCCATAGAGACAGAAAGTAGATGAGTATTTGCTGGGGACTAGGGAGAGGAAGGAGTGGGGAATGCCTGCTAATGAGTATCAAATTTCTTTTTGGGATGATAAAAATGTTCTATAATTAGATAGTGGTAATAGTTGCACTGCTTTGTGAATACGATTTTTAGAAAAACACCGGGCCGGGGGCAGTGGCTCACACCTGTAATCCTAGCACTTTGGGAGGCCGAGATGGGTGGATCATGAGGTCAGGAGATCGAGACTATCCTGGCTAACAGGGTGAAACCCTGTTTCTACTAAAAACTACAAAAAAATTAGCTGGGCGCGGTGGTGGGCGTCTGTAGACCCAGCTACTTGAGAGGCTGAGGCAGGAGAATGGCATGAACCCGGGAGGCGGAGCTTGCAGTAAGCCGAGATCACACCACTCACTCCAGTCTGGATGACAGAGTGAGACTCTGTCTCAAAAAAACAAACAAAACACTGAATTATTCACTTTTAAAAGGTGAGTTTTGCGGTATATGAATACCATTCACATACCATATTTAAACTCAATTTAAAAATCATATAGAATTGAAGACACCACCCTGAACAACACAGTGAGACCCCATTTCTTCAAAAAACTTTTTTTAAAAATTAGCAGAGTCAGGGCAAAGGAGAGGAGCTGAGATGAGAGGGTTCCTTGAGCCTAGGAGGTTGAACTATGATTGTGCTACTGCGTTCCAATCTGGGTAACTGAGTGGAAACCCTGTCTTTAAAAAATAAATAAAGGAAAACAGTGGTGTACTTCTAATAAACTGCTATCAAACCTGGATACTTTTGACAGTGAGGGGTCTTACTTAATAGTTACACCTGTCTCAGGTAAACCAGAATGTATGTTCTCCCTACTTTGGTGTGTTGAAACTATTTTTCCTTCAGAAATGTGAAGAATATAAAATTCTTCTCATATTCTTCTTTAGCAAGTGAAAAAAAAAAAAGGAAAAGACCAAGAAAGCCATGTAATTCAAGGAAACGGGAGAGAGAGATTTCTCTATGGAAATGAAGGCCATAAATGTGTGTATAAATTGCAGTGCGTAGATATAATGCAATCAGGACTTGATTCATTTGTATGATTTTGCTACTTCACTCTTGTACATAGCCAATCAGTGTTTGAATAAAGAGTGTAATATTGTAATATAATAAAACAGAGGCTGTGAACTAAAGACGTACATCATCGTAATCTGTGGAGCTTTTAAAAAGTACTCTTGCTTGGATATTAGTCTCAATTATGATTTGCTGGTTTTATTGTGGGGCTAGGGCAAGTTTGTGCATGCAGAGTATATGTTTTAGTTCCTCAGTTGAATCCGGTGTTCTTTTAAATTGAGAACCACTGCATTAGATCAGTGAGTTTTATTGATCCATTTATTGAACTATCTAGTTATTATTGTTTTATGCAACAATAGTAAACGGCAGTAGGAACTGAGAGAACCTCAATCTAAACAATACACACTTTAACAGTCCCCGCACCCACCCCTCCTAGGGCCATCCCTGTGGGTAATCTAGCAATTGTGATTCCTCTAAGTCTTTAATAATTGAGATTGAGAGGAGTCATTTATTTCTCTTTTTTTAAAGGTACCTTGAAGCAGGAGTAGTAGTGGGAAGTAAGAAGCTCAAGTTCCTTTGCAAATGCTTGCAACTACAGTATATCCCTGGAAGGCAGGGAAAGGTTATCAGCGTTGATAGCAGAGCAGGAGGGATTGGGAAATGGAGACCTTTGAGGAGGTCAGAACTCTTAAATTAGCTGATAAGTGCTCAAGGCATTTGTATTTTGACAGCCCATGGTAGCATCAGATAAATTGCCTTTTAACGGGGAACGTATTGACATGTAGTGGTCCTTCCACATGCTCTAGTTTCCCTTGTGCAGCCATACACAACTTAGTAGAAATTGTTTTAATATTCTACTACTGAAAAGTACCATAAACTCATGAAATTGGGGTTAGATGGCTCCTTGAAGGTTTTATCACATCAGTGGCATTTTTAACCACTATTTAAATAGTTCCGGTGGTGATAATGTACTGTTATGGAAAAAGACATGATATTAGGGCCAAAATTTCAACTCTGCCTCCTAGTGTGACTTTGGGTGAGTACTGATTGTTTTTACTCGCAGTTGCTTCATTTAGAAAGTGGAACAGATGCCATCTACCTCACAGGGTTATTGTTACTGTTACATGAGATAATATATATTAAGGTCTAACACAGCTACTGATAAATGTAGAAGATATTTAATAAATATTAAGTTACCTTCCCTTCTGCAGTTCAGTGAAGAATAACTTCTTTTTTTTTGGAGATGAGGTCTCACTATGTTGCTCAGGCTGGTCTTGAACTTCTGAGCTCAAGTGATCCCTCACCTCACCGTCCCAAAGTGCTGGGATCACAGGCGTGAGTCACCGCGCCAAGCCCAACAATAACTTATAACTCCAAAAAATTGGTTCTTAGAGAATGTCCAATAGCCTGGGATTGTGAAATCTCATACTTTGACTTTTGCTTTCATTTGTTAAGCAACTATGGTAGCAGCTGAGGTTATAGGAGTAAATACAACAGACTTGATCTTCTCCCTTGGTTACAGTTTGGTTGGGGGAAAAGAAATCAAACATTTAATTGTATAAGGAAGTAATTACAGTTGAGGTAAATGCCATAAGAGAGAAGTACAGTCTGTTAGGAAAGTGCATTAGAAATCCTAACATAGTTTGGATGTTAGGGAACATTTCCTTGAGGAAATAATGGTAATACTGAGACACAAAGGATGGGTAGGACTGTCAGTAAGGAGAAGGGCTTGGGATAAGAGCTACTGAGAGAGAGCAAGGTGGTAGTATGTATGAAAGCCCTGAAACAGAAAGGAGTTAGGAGCTTTCTAAGTACATAACAGCTTGTGTCAAGAAGCTTGCTGGGCAAGAGGAAGTGTGGCATGGAATGAGGAGTTCCATGAGTAGAGGAGTGACAGGATAAGGCAGAGCCTTACAGGCCATGTTAAAGGCTTGGGCTTTTAAGAACAGTGATAAGTGACATGATTATATTGGCACGTTAAAAGGTTGCTGTAATGAAAATGAGGAAATTGCACTGGAGGGAAATAAAAGTGCCTGCTGAGACCAGTTAGGGGGCTGTTGCAATGCTTAGGGTAAAGGTGAACAGTGGCTGGTACAGAAAAGGAACAGGCTTGGTGTGTTTGGTTTAAGAAAATGTTGGGTTTTGAGATACCTGTAGGGTATCTTAAGTTGAGTAGTTGAGAATGTGGTTGGATATAGCCAGTTAGGCTAGTGAGGTAGCTCTGGCTGAGGCCTTTGCAGTAGGCTGATAAGCTGAGTTTCTGGTATTTGTCTTTTATGCAGACTTAACAGCAACTTGAGTGCATGTGTTGTGAGTATTTTTATACTCATTATTTTACAGTTTTTAATATTAAGTAATGATTATCACTTAAGTAATGGGTATTGCATTATTTTACAGTTTTTAATATTAAGTAACGGTAATAATAATGGCCAACATTGAGCACATGTGCAGATTACTAGGCCAAATACTTCATATGTGTTATCTCTTAATCTTTACAAGTTTATGAGCTTTATTATTAGTCCAGTATTTTAAAGATTTGGCATCTGAAGCTTAGAGAAATTGAGTAACTTCTCAAGGCAACCCATGTAGTAAGAGGTGGAGCTGAGGTTTGAATGCAGGCGGGCATGCTGCAGACCCTGTCCTGTTAACCATGTTAACCACTACCGTATGCCACTTCTCTGTGAAATTTGAACCAACCAGACAAACCAAACAGAATGACTGAGGGACCATTTATTAGTGAACTTTTATGGAAGACCTGTGTATACTACACGTTGTACTATAGGTGATTTGATACAGTCTCTTATTTACATCAACATTCACATGGCCTGTGAAGTATGGTTTTTGCCTCATTTTAAAAATGAAGAAACTGTGGCTGAGCAAGTAAGTGACTTGGTCAAGATCACTAATAGCTATTTAGTGGAACTTGGATTCAAAATGGACTCTTCTGTGTTATACTACTTAAAAATAAAAACTGTGTTGACTTAAAAATAAGAAAATTTCGCTGGGGAACACAATTAGATTTAGTGGTTCCCATATATCAAGCCACAGTCAGACTAGTTCTTAAAAAAAAATTAGATCTCAATGTTTAAAATTATAGATTGAATTTAGAGAACAAACAGCTGAGAAAATTGAGATACTTAAAAATAAATAATAGGTATTTTACGTGTATACAAAGTAAAGACTTTATTAAAATTATTTTAGAAAAGATAAAATGAGAAAATATTTTCTAGGAAATGTGTATCCATTTTATAATATCTGCGAATAGGTTAGACAAAATTACAATATTGATGACTGGGTTTTTTTTGTCAATAGTTAATTGTTAGCATTTGTATAGGACTGCATCTTGATCTTGCTGTAATCACTCTGTCCTTTAAAATTTCTTCTGTTTCTTCCTTAGTTTTGAGAAGACAAATGGAAATTAAGTCAATGAGGTAACATATTATAATGCATCTTAAATATTGGCTTCTTTTAGCATCAGAGTTAAGACTCATCTTACCAGTACTTTCTACTGCCTACTAAAAATTAATAAGAGGCAATTAAGCATAGTATTAACAGTGTAGCTCCTTTGGGATCTGGTTTTTGGAATACTCTGTTTTCAGTAAGCCCTTTGCAGAGAGATTTAGTCTTAGGTATATACTAAAATAAATATATATATATATACACCCATCATGTGCCTTCCACTTTTTTACTGACAGTTGATGATGAGGGACATCTTTTGGGTACCGGATATCTGTAAAGTAATGTTATATTTGGTTTTCTTTCGGTCGATGGGTACACCATTGAGAGCTGTGGCCATGGGGCTTGTTATTACAGTAAGAAAAAGCCTATCTCCTGAGGCTAGCAGAACCTGTCTGAAACAGATAATTGGATTTTGATTGGTTGGCTGGATGTGAGAGCCTTTTTGAAGCAGTCTTATAAGGTGCTTTTGATTTTAGGAAGCCAAATCAACAAGTTACTCTTCCACTGTCTCCTGCCTTGTCTTTGTTACAGTCATTTATTTGTCTTTTTTCATGTGATTATGATCTGTGTATCTTACGAGAATTGCTTGCTCTTCTTTGAATGCTGTCTTCTGTCACCCAGCACTGCTGTTCAGCAGTTTTTGAGGACTTAACTCACACATCATCATTTCTTATAAAGACTGCCATACTGAGTTACCTATAGGATATCAGAAACAGTCAACTTCAGAACTGTATGAGAAGTTTCATTTTTAAGGCCATATATGTGTTTGGTTTTTTTTTTTTTGTATGGTCTGTATTTATTTGTAAGGTATCTTTGCTTTCTATTTCTAGCTTTCTGTATCATCTGGCATTTTGACTTAGATGATTTTGGTCTTCTTGACACTTTAGATATGTTATTAGTACAGTTTTTATGGCTAGAATAGAAAATATAAGATGAAATGACAGAGCAGAGAAAGAATATTTATGATTTGACATGAAAATGACCTACCTAAAACATTTTTGAATGATGTATAATCTCCTTGTCCTTTTGGGAACAGATTATAATCAGCTCTTAAATTATCAGCATGTATGTATCAGGATACTTTCTGCTGCAAGTAACAGAGGCTAATCAAAACAGGAAAGATTTTACCATCTCATATAATGAGAAGTACAGTAGGGTGGTTCCAGGGTTGGTTAACTCCAGTCACTCTTTCATCTTTTCTTTGTTATTTTCATTTTCTTCCACTCTTTCATTCTAAATTTTTTTTTGTTAAATTGCCCATAACTATTAGCATAGTCTCTAAGCAGTGTGTGGTTGACATAAACTGTGTTTATGCCTGTGGGGGAGAAGAAGCAGTAGTCATAGGCTTCTTTGCTCTGAATTGTTTCTAATGATTCTAGTGTATTTTCTGTTTCATCTTTTATTCTCGTAGTTGAACCCAAAGGAATATGAATTGTTGTCTAGATACCTAACAGTGTTTATTTGTAAATTACATGTAAACATTTAATGAAACAAACTTTAAAAAAGCACAGAAAATCAGTGTTTCTCTCTGTAGTCAGAAGCCCCACAGACAATAAAGCATCCTGTCAGTAAATCCATTGCACTTACTGTGATGTCCCTTGAGTTGTAAAACATACTAATCTTTGCTTAGCAGAAATTATAATCTTCAATTAATATTACATATTACATTTTTAGAAGTGCTTTATAGATATTAGAACCATGGAATGTTAGAGCTATGTTACCCTAAGAAGGATCGAGAATCACTTGTGTAGTATTTTGGCTGGAACAATCCTAAACTGAGGAATATTCTGTATAATGACTGGCTTATATTCTTGAAAATGTCAGTGTCACAAAAGAGAGAGGCCAAGAAACTGCTCTAGATTACAGGAGACTAAAGAGACTGACAACTAAATGTGATATATAATCCTGAATTGATCCTGTTACTGAAGAGGGTAAAAAATGCCCTAAAGAACATTATTGGGATAAGTTACAAAATTGCAATTATGGCCTGCGCTTTAAAGTACTGCGGCAATGTTATATTTATTGAATTTGATAACTGTGCAGTGGTTATCTTTATATTAGAGAATATTCTTCTTAGGAAATTTCGACTTTAAATATTGAGGTGTAAAGGGCGTGATATATGCAACTTACCCACAAGCGGTTCAGAATAATACATTTATTTATCTATGTTTATATAGATGTGTAGTACATATACACATAAACATATCCATGAGAGTGAGAAGAGAGAGAATGAAAGTTAATGAAAAATGTTAAAAATTGATGAATCTAGGTAATAGGCAGGCATTCTCTATACTGTTCTTGTAACTTTTCACTAAGTTTGAAATTATTTTTAAAATGCAAAGTTAAAGTTGTAAGTTAAAAAGTAAAATAAAAACAGTTTTTCTAAATGGTTGCAAATATGAGTATACTTGCTAAAGACAAGCTTTATGTTTTAAGGCATGTGTGAAATTTAAATTGTGAAAGGATAGGTATACTGGATCTAGGAAGATCTACATTCCAAAGTATGAGCAAATAGGAGGTGGCAGCACTTGAAGCTTGAAAGATTGTAACACCTCTGGCATGGCTATTGAGGATGGAAGGGGGAAGGAGGGAAAGAACCAGGCTGTGAGAGCGGTGGTGGATTTCTTTATGTCTCTAGGGTTTATAGTCAACGCTCCTTTGGCAGCAGTGAGATGAGGATTTCTGTGGTAGGGCTGGGCAAGTAGCAGCCAGACTCCTTACCTTGGGGAGAGCCCTGGATCTACAGTCCCTGGGCAAGGCTGCTGCATTGCGCCTCAGACTAGCTGCTCCGAAAACCAAGGCAGGGCTTTAGCTTCTCACCCCCTCATGAAGGCAGCAGAATACAGCGGTTGGAGTGCTGTTCTGGAATACCACAGACCTGAGTTGTCTTGGCTCCAGTATTTAGCATCTGCGACCTTGGCGGGGTGATATTTACTGCCTAGTCTTCAGTTATTTTTCAGATTTAAAATGGGGATAATAATAATGCCTGTCTTATAAAGAGGTTGTAAGAATTTAAAAAGTTATGTGTGAAGTGTATTGCTGTTGTTACTATGCAGCAGGGCCCTAGAAAACCTTTCTTTCTCCATTCAGCCAACTGATTACTCATTTTGTTTTCAGATCATAAATATTCACATCATAAATGTTAATGTGTTCTATACCATGATTGAAAATGTGTGTGTTAGTATTGTAGTAATACTGTCTTTTGGACCCCTTTCTTCAAAATATTTGCAAATGTGTGGTATTTTATTCTGGCCTCATGTGGTACATATAATGCATATAATTGGATTTTCCTGTTATAAAAAGTCACTTTTACTTAGAAATTGTCAGGTGCCAAAGGTTATACAGCTAGTTTAGTGACAGGTTTGGGGCTGGGATGTAGGTTTTCTCACTTGGCTTGCAGTAAACCTTCTCAGTCAGGTTGTGAAGAAAGAGTAACTGGAAATTGCACAAGATAGTAAAGTAGAAGCAACATTTCAGTAATGTTTAAAGTTTTCTGGCATTCAGGATGTTTTTCTTCTTAACCTTAAAAGCATCCATTAGTTCTTGTTTTGTAGTAACTTTTTTTCGTACCACGACAGTGGTGTGTATTTTAGAAAAAAGGAAAATAATTTTTTAAATTGCCTTTAAGTTATTATTTTAAATAACTTGAGTATATGCTGCTAGTCTTTTATCTGTGAACACAATATCTACAGAATTTTTTTCTTTGACTTTTATTTTTGGTTCAGGGGTATGTGTGTATGTTTGTTACATGAGTAAATTGCGTGTCACTGGGGTTTTGTGTGTGAATATTCATGTCACCCAAATAATAAGCACAGTAGGTGATAGTTTTTCAATCTTTACCCACCTCTTACGCTCCTCCCTCTAGTAGTCTCCAGTGTTTGTTGTTCTCAACTTTGTGTCTATATACACTCAATGTTTAGCTCTCACTGATAAACGAGAACAGTGGGATTTGGTTTCTGTTCCTGTGTTAATTCGCTTAGAATGATGGCCTCCAGCTGCCTCCGTGTTGCTGCAAAGGACATGATTTTGTTCTTTTTATGACTGTGTAGTGTTCCATGGTGTATATGCATCACGTTTTCTTTATCCATTCCACTGTTGTTGGATATCTAGGTTGATTCTGTGTCTTTGCTATCATGACTAGTGTTATGATAAAACGTACATGTGTCTTTTTGGTAGATTAGTTTATTTTCCTTTGGGTATATACCCAATAATGGAATTGCTGGGTCAAATGGTAGTTCTGTTTTAAGTTCTTTGAGAAATCTCCAAACTGCTGTGCACAGTGGCTAAACTAATTTACATTCTCAGCAACAATGTGTAAATATTCCCCTTGCTCTGTAACCTCACAAACATCTTTTTTTTTTTTTTTTTTGGGACATTGAGTCTCACTCTACCCCCCAGGCTGAAGTGCAGTGGTGTGATCTCGGTTCACTGCAACCTCCGCCTCCAGGTTCAAGTGATTCTCGTACCTCAGCCTCCCGAGTAGCTGGGATTACAGGCGCCTGCCACCATGCCTGGCTGATATTTATATTTTTAGTAGAGATGGAGTTTCACCATGTTGGCCAGGCTGGTCTCGAACTCTGGACCTCAGGTAATCTACCCTCCTCGGCCTCCCAAAGCGCTGGGATTACAGGCGTGAGCCACTGCGCCTGGCCAGCCTCACCGATGTCTATCTACAGAATATTTAATAACAAAACTAGAACTACATTTTTCCTACCCACAACAATACATTGTGAACATTTATTGTACAGTGTTCCACCTTTTTAATGGCTACAGTATTGTAGGGACAGGCCACCTCTGTAGGCTTCTATATTATTCCCCTGCCATATATTCACTCTTTTGATTGTGTTGGGATGAACATCCTTATTTGTATATTTTTCTCATTTTTTTTTTCTTAGACTAAATTCTTGAAAGTAGAATGGATTTTTCAGGGGAAGCTGAAATTCATTTCTTTTTGAAATACTAAATTTTTAAATGTTGCCCAAATTGTTTAAAAACTTTATATCTACAGGATGATTTGGGGGCCATTCATTTGCAACAGTAGTAAGTGTTTCTGTTCCTTGGGGCTGAGTTTGCTGTTTTCATTTTACATTTTGTCCCTTTACTATTGTCTATATGCCCAAGACTCCCAATGCTTATTTTTAGCCCTGATGTATGAGTCTTATGTCTAGTTTCCTATTTGACATTTTCACTTGTCCATGACCATCTCAAGTTTCGTATGTCCAAAATTAAATCCTTAAGTTCCATTCTTTTAAAAAAGTAATAGATCCTTAAAGATTTTCTTTTGATAGAGATGCCTGTTTATTTCTTAAAGGAGTTCAGTTGTTGATTGTACATAATCATTTTTATTCCAAAAATCATTTGCTAGTTTAAAAAAAATTTTAATGTGTAGTTGATTGGCCAGAGTCATCAAAATGGGGTGTTCTGATGAACTCAGTGATTGGTGTTAATAAGGACTCAGTTTAAAAAGTAAAGTTTACCCCCTGTTTAAAGTCCATGCTCTTAAAATATTTATTTACTTAAGCAACAAGTTTCTTTAAAACAGTAAACAAAATTGAGTTTAAAAGACTGTGAACATTTGTAATCAGTATTAGTATTAAATTGGTCTGAATATGAGTGCTAGATTCTATGATATCTTTTAAATTAAGACAGTAGAGCCCATATTGGGAATGTTTTTAAAAATCTGGTTCCTGATTTTTTAAAAACATGACACATTTTTTTCAGTTACCTGAGTATTCAGTTTAAAGTAATTTTTTCCTGCATTCCTGTTGCCTGAATAACAGATATAGGACTTGGGATTTAATTGGAGAGATTCTTTTTTCCCTCCTAGGAAAAGATAACATTAGTTTATGGGAGAAATGCCCATCTGTTTTCTAAAGGTAGATTTTAAATGTTGCCATTTTGAGTAAAACTCCTTTAGCTTTACCATATTGAAAAATCAGTACTTGCATGATTTAAAAAGTTAGTGGTTAGCTTGAATTAATAAAATCTGACTCCTGGAATTATTTGAAAGATATATGCATTTTTTTCAGTATTTGAATATTTTGAAATTGTACATAAATTTTTTGAAATTGTTTGAAATTTGTAAAACATACTTAACATAGAATTTACCACTTTAACCCTTTTAAAGTATATAGGTTAGTGGCATTAAATAAATAGACATTATTGCTGTACAGCCATCACCACCATCCTTCTTTAGGATGTTTTCTTTTCTTTTTTTTTTTCTTTTTTGAGATGGAGTCTCGCTCTGTCACCCAGGCTGGAGTGCAGTGGCGTGATCTTGGCTCACTGCAAGCTCCGCCTCCCGGGTTCATGCCATTCTCCTGCCTCAGCCTCCCTAGTAGCTGGGACTACAGGCGCCGCCACCATGCCCGGCTAATTTTTTTTTGTATTTTTAGTAGAGACGGGGTTTCACCGTGTTAGGATGGTCTCGATCTCCTGACCTCATGATCCACCCGCCTCGGCCTCCCAAAGTGTTGGGATTACAGGCGTGAGCCACCACGCCCGGCCCGGATGTTTTCATCTTCTCAAACTGAAACTCTGTACTCATTACACAGTGACACCCTCCTCTTGACCCTCCCTGCAACCCCTAGCAACTAACTACCATTCTACTCTATGTCTCTGAATTTGACTACTTTACGTACTTCATACCAATGGACTCATTAGTAGATTGGTCCTTTTGTGATTGGTTTATTTCCCTTACCTAATGTCTTCAAGGTTCATCTCTGTTGTAGCATGTGACAGGATTTCCTTCTTTTTTAATGCTGAATAATATTCTATTGTATGTATGTACCACCTTTTAGTTTATTCTCCCACAGGTGGACATTCAGGTTGCTTCCACCTTTTGACTATTGTGAATAATGCTTCTATGAACATTGGTGTACGGATATCTGAGTTCCTGCTTTAAGTTTTTTTGATTATATGTCTAAAAGTGGAATTCTTGGATCAGATGGCAATTCTATATTTAATTTTCTGAGCAAACGCCATACTGTTTTCCATAGCAGCTGTACTATTTTACATTCCCAAGAACAGTGCACAAGTGTTCCAGTTTTCCACACCCATGCTAGTGCTTGCTGTTCTGTTTCTTAATAGCCATTTGAATGGATGTGAAATGGCATCTCATTGTGGTTTTGACTTGCATTTCCTAATGATTAGTGATGTTGAGCATCTTTTCATAGGCTTATTGAACATTGGTTTATCTTCTTTGGTGCAATGTCTATTCAAGTCCTTTGCCCATTTTTAAATTGGGTTATGTTTTTGTTGAGTTTTTAAATATATTCTGGATATTAATCTTGTATCAAATATATGATCTGCCGTTTTTTTTTTTTTTTAATTGAGACGGGGTTTCGCCCTTGTTGCCCAGGCTGGAGTGCAATGGTGCGATCATGGCTCACTGCAATCTCCGCTTCCCGGGTTCAAGTGATTCTACTGCCTCAGCCTCCCAAGTAGCTGGGATTACAGGCATGCACCACCAACCCGGCTAATTTTTTGTATATAATAGAGATTGGGTTTCACTATGTTGGTCAGTCTGATCTTGAACTCCTGACCTCAGGTAATCCACCCACCTCGACCTCCCAAAGCGTTGGGATTACAGGCATGAGCATGGCGCCCGGCCGTGATCTGCAGTTATTATCTTTCATTTGGGGTTGCTGTTTTACTCTGTTGATAGTGCCGTTTGATGCACAGAAGTTTTTAATTTTGATAAAATGTAGTTTTTTTTGTTGTTGTTGTTGATGGTGCTTTTGGTGTTGTGACTAAGAAATTATTGCCAAATCCAACATCTTGAAGCTTTTGCTGTATGTTTTCTAAGAGTTTATAGTTTTAGCAGTTGGGTTTAAATCTTTGATCTATTGTGATTTAATTTTTGTATATGGTGTTAGATAAACATCCAACTTTATTCTTTTCCAGGTAGATATACCATTTTACCAGCATCATTTGTTGAAAAGACTGTCCCGCATTGAATGGTCTTAGCATCCTTTTTGAAAATCATTTGACCATATGTGAGGGTTTATTTGCGGGTTCTCTATTCTATTCCACTGGTCTTTATGTCTGTCTTTATGCCAGTACCACACTGTTTTGATTACTGTAGCATTATAGTAAATTTTGAAATCAGGTGTGAGTCCTTCAACTTTGTTCTTTTTCAAGATTATTTTGGCTATTTGGAGTCCCTTGAGATTTCATACGAGTTTTAGGGTGACCTTTTCTATTTCTGCAAAAATACCATTGGGATTTAGTAGAGATTGCATTGAGTTTGTAGATCCCTTTGTGCAGTATTGATATCTTAATAACATGATCTTGAATCTATTAATATAAAACATCTTTCCATTTGTTTATGTCTTTATTCTTTCATCAGTGTTTTTTAGTTTTTAGTGTGCAAGCTTTTCACCTTCACCTCCTTGTTTCATTTTCTAAGTTCAGACGATACCCAACTTACAGTGGTTTGACTTACGATTTTTCGACTTTACAGTGTTGTGAAAGTGTTGAATTAATTACATGAGGTAGTCAACACTTTATTTTAAAATAGCTTTGTATTAGATGGTTTTGCTGAACTAGACTAATGTAAGTGTTCTGAGCACGTTTAAGATAGGATAGGCTAAGCTGTGATGTTTGGTACGTTAGGTGTATTAAGTGCATTTTTGACTTAGGATATTTTCAATTTATGGTGGGTTTATAGGGATTTAACCCCATCGTAAGTCAAGTAGCATCTGTATTCTCTTTGATTCCATTGTAAATTGAATTTTCTTGTTTCATATTGTTCATTGTTAATGTATAGAATTGCAGCTGGTTTGTGTGTTGATTTTGTATTTTGCTACTTTACTAAATTTATTAGTTCTACCATTTCTTTTGTAGAATCTTTAAGAGTTTTCTACGTGTAAGATCATGCTTGCTCATGAAAGGATTCTAGGGGACAAAAGACATCATGTCATCTTAAAACAGATATTTATACTCCTTTTTTTCTAATTTGGATGCCTTTATTTCTTTTTCTTGTCTAATTGCTCTAGCTAGAGCTTCCATTACAGTGTTGAATAGAAGTGGTGAAAGTGGTCATCCGTATCTCATCCCTGATCTTAGTGGAAAGGCTTTCAGTCTTTGATCATTGAATATGAAGTTAGCTGTGGAATTTTTATATATAGTATTTATTATGATGAAGTAGTTTCCTTCTTTTCCTAGTTTGGTTGAGTGTTTTTATCATAAAGGGTGTTGTATTTTGTCAAATCCTTTTTCAGTACTAATTTAGATGATCATGTTTTTTTTCCCTCTTTATTCTCTTATGTGGTGTGTCACATTGATTTTAGTATGTTGAAACATCCTTGCGTTGCAGGAATAAATCCCACTTGATCACCATTATAATCCTTTTAATATTCGGTAGAATTCAGTTTGCTAGTATTTTATTGAGGGTTTTCGTGTCTATTCATAGGGTATATTGGTCTATAGTTTTCTTGTTGTATCTTTGATTTTGGTATTAGGGCAATAGGACCTCATAGAATGAGTTAGAAGATGTTCCTCTTCAGTTTTTTGGAAGAGTTTGAGGAGGATTGGTGTTAGTTCTTTAATTGTTTGGTAGAATTCATCAATGAAGCCATTGAGTCTAAAGCTTTTCTTTGTCAGGAGGTTTTTAATTACCAATTCAATCTCCTTACTAGTTATTGCTCTATTCAGCTCTTTTTTGTTTCTTTGCAATTCAGTCTTGGTAGTTCTAGAAGCCTTTTGTGTTTCTAGGAATTTGTCCATTTTATCTAGGTTATCCCAGTTGTTGGTATATAGCTGTTTATAAGTACCCTCTTACAGTCTCATTTATTTCTATAGAGTAAGTTGTAATGCCCCCACTTTCATTTCTGATTTTAGTAATTTTGAGTCTTCTCTTTTTCTTCCTAGTCAGTCTAGCTAAAGGTTTGTCAATTTTGTTAATCGTTTTGAAGAATCAACTTTTGGCTTCGTTGATTTTTTTTTTCCGTTGTTTTTCTGTTATCTATTTCATTTATCTCTGCTCTCAAATTTGTTATTTCCTGCTTTCTGCTAGCTTTGAGTTTTCCTTTGGGGGAAAATCACAGCATCTTAATTTTTATGGCTTTATATAGTATGTGTGTCTTTTAGCTTTATCATTCAAGGTTTTCTTGGCTATTCTTTAACCTTTGTATTTCCAAATGAATTTTAGAATCAGCTTATCAATTTCCACATACAATAAGAGAGAACCCGCTGATATGTTGATAGGGTTTGCATTCAGTCTGTACATGAATTTGGGGAGAATTAACATCTTTATAAAGTTGAAATTTCTGAAATTCTGCAAATATAGATTTGCTTATTATTTTCTACATTTTAAATTTCTCTCAGGATCAAGACAAGCAAAGTCATCTAACCGAAAGCGAAGATGACTGATGCATGTTGGAGATGTAAGCAGAGAGAATATGGCATAAAATAATCAACAAGGAATTGGGAAATGGAAGGTTTCTGGAAATGGAAGATTGTAATATGAAGGGAATATTTGAGGTTTAAGGTTCATGACCTTCATGAACTTAAAGTGAGATTAATTGGCTTGATTGGCATGCTAATTTTTTTTCACCTAGCCATATTTAGCTACATGGAAGCTGGTCTTCAGGGGTCAGATTTTGCAACAAAATGGAGGCAAGGGGTTGGAGCCAAAAGGAGGTGAGGGTGTGAATATGTAACTGGATAAGGAAGATAGTAAGGAACACGAAGTGGGTTAGGGCCAGTGAAAAAGTGGGAGTTTGAGATCAGCCTGGCCAACATGGTGAACCCCGCCTCTACTAAAAATACAAAAATTAGCTGAACATGATGATGGATGCCTATAGTCCCAGGTACTCGGGAGGCTGAGGCAGGAGAATCACTTGAACCCAGGAGGTAGAGGTTTCAGTGAGCCGAGATCACGCCACTGCACTCCAGCCTGGGCGACAGAGTGAGACTTTATCTCAAAAAAAAAAAAAAAAAAAAAAAAAAAAAAAGACTTGCTATAATTGTAGACTTGACTTAGTTTTTTTGGTGTTGGCTTTATATATAGGCATACCCTGTTTCTTAGCTGAAGTTTATTTAGGAAAAGTGTATTTTTACATCACAAAACTCAGTAGTCTAACAAACTGGTATATGTGAAAAGTCACAAATTATATTCCAAGTATAGTTTGTAGAATATTAGAATTACATTTAGGCATTTTGAAGCATGTAAAGGGAATGTGCATCTCTGATGTTGCTGGCAATAAGCTAGACATTACAATATTAGAAGCCTTTGAGCCATTGTCTTCCATGTGTGTTTGTGCTAAACATTTTTCTAATTGCCTTTCATATTTAGCCCTTATTTTTGCTTAGATTTGTAGAATGCACAAAAAAGTTGAGGAAGTGTTAAATTGTGGAGAAGGAAAAAAAGCCAGTGAGAAAGTAACTGCATATGAAGTCATGTAGTAAGCATTTTACATCCCTTAGCCATGGTAATTTACTATAAAAGGGGATTTTTTTGTGTGCTGAATTTTAAAAGAGAAATGATTGGGGATTATGGTTGATGTGTAACGTATTATAATTTTTCCCTACTTGAAATAATGGGAAATAAATTTCTGGTTATGGTTTTTGCACAGAATATCTGATTTTCAGGAGCAGATTCCTAACTGTAAGTGTTGTTAGGTACACTCAGATTTAGAACTGATATGTCTTCCTGGTGAATTGAACTTTTATTGTTTTGAAGTATCCTTCTATATCTATCCATGCAATCCATGTATATGTATCTAGTGTCTGCCTCCTGCATTCAAGTTTACTATGATAGCCACACAACTTTCTTTTGGTTTGTGTTTTACATGGTGTGTCTTTCACTATGCTTTTACTTTTTTTCTGTATCCCCATATTTAAGATGTGTCCTCTGTAATCATCATATAATTGGGATTTTTAAAAATCCACTTCTATTATCTTCTTTTAAAAATTGAGGTTTAGTTTAATCCTATTTAATGTAATTACTTACATATTTGGATTAAATCTGTCATCTCTGTTTGCTTTCTATTTGTCTTTCCTTTCTTGCCTTCTTTTGGGTTATTTATTAATCCATTTTTCCCCCTCTTAGCTGTTTGTGCTTTTACTGTTCTTGCCATAGTTACCCAAGAGATTACCACATGCATCCCTGACTTTAAGGTCTAAAGTAAATGAGCATTTTTTCTACTTCCTAATCAATGAAAGGATTTTAGGACACTTTTATTTCATTTTGCTATCCTCCCCTATTATGTACTATTACTGTTATGTATTGTAACATTTGAAATCCCACAAAGTATTATTGTTTAGTCAGTATTCCTTTATTCCTTTGGAGTTACTCAGTGAACCCTCTCAACCCTGTTCATTGCACTTCATCTTTTGTGCATATCCAAGCTGTATATAGGGTTCTTTTTTCTTTATACTTGAAAAGTCCCTTCAATATTTCCTGATAACAGACTCTGTTTGTTTGCCTTAAAGTTGCCTCTCTATTTTGCCTTCATTTCAGAAGGATTTTTTTTTTTTTTTTTGTCAGATACAAAATTTTGGTTTGGCATTTCCCCACCAGCATTTTGAAGATACCATTTCACTGTCTTCTGGCTTTTATTATTTGGGAAAAGTCAGCTAGCTATAACTCTTATTGTTGCTTCTTGAAGTTAATCTTTTTAAATTTTTCTGGCTGCTTTTAAGATCTCTCTGGCTGGCTGAACGCGGTGGCTCATGCCTGTAATCCCAACACTTTGGGAGGCCGAGGCGGGTGGATCATGAGGTCAGGAGATCGAGACCGTCCTGGTGTTAGGAATAACACTCAAAATCCTAAGGAAATTGAACACTCGAACAAAGGATTCTTAGCAAAGCAATTTACTTCTGCACAGAGGGGTGCCTCATTGGCCAGTCGCCATGAGAGCACACCTGAACAAAGGGGCACGAGAGCCTTTATTCCTGACGCAAGTCCTGCCCCTGTACCTTTTTCCCATTGTCTGGGGTCGGGTCGTACAATCTAAACTAATCCCGGTTGGCTAAACATTTGATTTTTTTTTAGATAAGGTGGGCATGTAAAAGAAAGCGGAGAGGAAAGGGGAAGGGGTGTCTGTAATGAGCTAGAAAGTTAGTCCTCTTTCCAAATAAGGAAAGGAATGTGAGCTGGTACTGATAACGCCTGGTACTGTGGCGTGCCTGGGCATCTAACAAAGGCAAAAGGAGAAAAAGGGAAAAAGGCCGGGGTGGGGGTACTATGAGTTAAAGAATAAAAGATTGATCATGTTATTTGAAGAGAAACTTCATTGTATCCCATCCTGGCTAACACAGTGAAACCCTGTCTCTACTAAAAATACAAAAAATTAGCCGGGCGTGGTGGCACGTGCCTGTAGCCCCAGCTACTTGGGAGGCTGAGGCAGGAGAATCGCTTGAACCGTGGAAGCGGAAGTTGCAGTGAGCCGAGATCACGCCACTGCACTCCAGCCTGGGTGACAGAGCAAGTCTCTGTCTCAAAAAAAAAAAATCTCTCTTTGGGGGTGGGGGACCTCCTTCTCCCTCCCCCACTCTTGCCCCCGTCCCTCTCTTCTCCCTCCCCTCTTTCTTTCCTTCTCCCCCTCTCTCCCCTTTGATGTTCCTAAGTGTGGTTTTCTTTGTATTTATTTTGCTTGAGGATTGATAGAGCTTCTTGAATCTGTGGCTCGATGTCTCATTGGTCAGTTTTGAAAGTTCTTAGCTATTATGTCTTCAGATATTTTTTTCTTGCCTATATGTTTTCTCCTCCCCTCTGAGACTCCAGTTACATGTACTTTGTATCCGTTTTCCATGTGCTGTAATTTCTCATTCTTTTCTATATTTCTCATTCTCTTTTTGTGCTTCAGTCTAGGTGTTTTATTGTTTCCTGTCTTCTGGGTTGATTCTTTCTTCAGCTGTGTCTAAAGTATTATTAAAACCATCCATCACTTCTTTTTCAAAATTGTATTTTTTGATTTCATGTTTTCCACTTTTTGTTTATGAAAATTCTTCATTTTACTTTTTAATTCCTTGAACATTTAACTTGTTTTAAACTTTTTTCTGATAACACCATTATCTGGATCTACTGTGAATCTGTTTCTATTGCCATTTTAAAAATCTTGGTTTCAGTTGGGTTTTGACCGGTTATATTTTGATTTCCAGACATTTATATGAAACGTGAAAAAATGTGAATTTCTAGATGATGTTATCTTTCTGCTGAGAATTACTTTTGCTACTGGTATGCAGCTAGGCCAATAAGAGTAGTTGGCCCGGATTGCCTTAATCGAATGAGGGATTGAGATGATTTAAAGCTGTGCTTCTCTTCCTGCGTGGGCTAGTCTGTTGCTAGTTCACCTTTATACCTAGAGTATAGTTCTTTGGAGTCTGTCCCTATGCCTGATGTGTTTGCCAGGGCTGCTCCTCCTTGGCAGACCCTAAATCCAAGTTTTGTATGTCCGCCCACAGGTCTCTTGAAAGCTCTGTTAACTTTCTCAGTCTCTCGGGCAGTAGTTTTGGAATCTACAGGCAGATGAGTCCAGAGACTGGTCTCACCTATTTCTTCCAGATCTCCGCCCTGCAGATTCTCTAGTTTTGAAAGTTCTCTAGTGTATAAAACAGATTATCTTGTGTTTTTCTTTTCTAGTTGTTCTCAAAGGAAGGTTGGTTTGAAGCAAACTACTCCACCATTGTCAAAAGCAAAAAATGCCCAAATATGTTCTGGAATTAAGAATTTTTTAGGTGATATAAGGTAGTACACTGTATCCATCTTACAGCCATTAAAATATCTTGCATGCCTTAGCGATACTGTCTCTGTAGTAAAATGTATTAATATTTCTCTTGCCTACTACAGTACAAGTGTTTATATTGGGAATTGGATACAATGTGATCTGTTAAAAGAAATATTCTACAACACAGCCTGTTTGATTGGGCCCCACGAGTGACTAGCCATCTTTCAGTTCCTCTAATGTTTCCTGTTCCCTTTTGTCATGGGGCTTTTGTACATGTTGTTCTCCCTGCCTAATATGTATATCTCATACTCGAGTTTGAGTATGAGACACATCCTCAGGGGAGCCTTTCCTGAACCATAAATTTAATTCAGATAAATGAACTTTCTAGTTTGGAATTATGCAAACTCATTTGCATTATGGTTTGATTAATGTCTTTTTCTTCTACTAGACTCTGAACTCTGCTAGATTAGGAATCATATCCTTTTTTTTTTTTCTGACCATGTTATCCTCTGTGCATAGTTCAGTGTTTGGAAGTACATTTATTAGAAGTAGGTGAACAATTAATAGGTTATCAGTTAATAGATGATCAACTACTGTTTGTATCAATGAAGAAATAAAATAATGAGGGAAGATAAATAAGAAATGCTGTGCTGATGTTAGTGCTGGAAATGATAAGAAACGAAAGGCTTATAGCTTTTGAGCAAAAGCCAGATTTAATCACACACTGGATTTGCACAGTACAATTGAAGTTTTATTGATACACATGTACAGTATTGAAAATACTTGCATAAAATTCCCATGGGAATGTATTATTATGACTGTTGTATTATAGCATTCATGCCCCCATCTCCTCGTATTTTTATTATGTAAGTCTGAAAGCACTAGGTTTTTAAAATGACACAGCCATCATTCAGAACATGACAAACTATATCATTTCCAGTCATCCTACTACACAGAATAAATGGAATAAAAAACGCTTGAAAGATTTTTTAAGTCTTGAAGGAAAGCAGACTTAAAATTTATACACACACACACGAAGGTGCTGTGGTTTATTCTACCAAGGGAAATTGATTTTCACTTCATCTGGAAGTGCAAACTGAATCTTGACTGATAAGGAGGTGTTCATTAAATGGCCAAAGGAATGTTTCATTTAAATGCATATTTTTACGAAAGTATATAGTGGCTTTGTGAATTGACAAATAGTGATTTGGCTGGAGGCTAGGGCAATTTGCAAGAATTTGAAAAGACAGATTGGGGCTATCCAGATTAGTTCATTGTTTGGTATGGAGGTCATCAGAAGTTTTTAAGGATATTCTGTGTTGTGAAGAACAGAAGTGCTGGAACCAGATTCCCTGAGTTTATAACCCCAAGCTCTGCCCCTTACTACGTGACCTTGGGCGTATTGCTTAATTTTTCTGTGTCTCAGTGTCTCTATTTATAAAATGGAGGTAATAATTATAGATTGCTATTAGGATTGAATGAGTTAAGACATGTCCATGCTTAGGAAAATGTCTAGTACATAGAAGAATCTCAGTAAGGCTTGGCTCTTGTTGCTATTATTGTATACATTGAGAAAACCTCAAACATTATTGTTGCATTAGTTTAACCAGAACTAGAGACACAAAGAGATTCAAGAGGTATTTTAGGGGTAAAGTTAACAAGACTTCAACTTATTTACTAATTTTGTATAACCAGAAATTTCAACTAATAATGCTGTGTGCAGTGTAAAAGCAAATTTGAAATTTGTATAACACTTACATGATTTGTAAACTTACAGATTTTAAATCTTCTAATTTGTGTTTTCTTTTAGATCTTGTAGAAAATTTCAGCTGTAGCCCTTGGACTAGAAGCTGAAATAACAGAAGCTGTGTACGATGCATTAGGGTATTGAAGAAAATTAACTTTTGAATTAAATATTTGGAATATAAGGAAATAAGGAAAGTTGACTGAAAATGGGGCGGAAGAAAATACAAATCACACGCATAATGGATGAAAGGAACCGACAGGTAAATGAAAATTTTAATTTATTTAATTGATATGAATATTCTTTTAAAAAAAGAACATAGGACAGAATGGTTGGGTTTTTCTTAAACTTAATTTTAAGTCTAAATATTTTTAGTTACAGACTAAATGAAAAATTCTAACAATCATAAAATTGTATCTTTTCATCATCTGCTTTAAAGAGACTTCCTTATTATAGATATATGTCACCAAAAATATAGATACTCAAAAGTAAAATCACCACAATCCCCACCATTACCAATCCATTGTATAGATTTCTCATAAGATATTTAGTCTTCTATGTATTTGATTATATATTTGACTGTTAGTCTTTTTTATATTGATTATTTTTAAGTTATCACATCTGTTTTTATAATTAGCTAAGTTAACTATAATTATCAGTGAATGTGTTCTAGTCAGTTAAATTTTCTGGTTAACCAATATGTAATGAGAATTTTTTATACTTATTGCAAATATTTTTAAATTTATATATGTACCTCAGTTTTAATTGATAAAATATATTGAAGTTATTTTATGGTACCAGTGTGGGTAAATCCTTACAGATTCAAGGTAATTATAATGATGCTGGTATATGAAGAGGCCAGAAGTTTTAAGTGTCTAATGTTGGCTTAACAAACTATGGTCCATGGGCTGGCCATCTGTTATTGTAAATAAAGTTTTATTAGAGCACTGTCATGCTCATTCATTTACATATTGTCTATGGCTGCTTTCGCATTATAACAACAGAATTGAGTAGTTGCCCCAGAAACTATATGGTCCATAAGCGTAAAATGTTTACTCTCTGACACTTTTAGAAAAAGTTTACCAACTCCTTAGTTCAGAAGAAAGAAGGAAAAATAATTTCATAGCATATTATAAAGGAACTACTGGAGAGATGCTATCTCTGGGAAAGTTGCGTATCAGGAGAAGTTTCAAGAACAAGTGGTTTCAGAAAGTTTACCAGGAACAGAACGAAACTGAAGATGTGTTCTGCAAATCTGAGTAGTAATTCACTGGAATATAGATATAATTGGAGATAAAACTCAACTGAGCAGCCTGTAAGGAAGTTGGTGGGAGAGATGAGGGTTGCCCATAGACTGAATTAAAGAGGAGGCCCTGGTTTCAACTCATGAAGATTGTTCAACAAAGACATAAGGCCCACACAGTATGATTCATTATGAAGGTTGGTACAATAGGGAAGATTGGTAAACTATCCATGCTATTATTCCAAAGGAATCATTCCAAGCAAGGCTGCAAATTATCTTCCCTTCACAATCTGAGGATTATGAAGTGTAGAGGAGGCATAGGGACCTGCTTCATGGATATATGCAGTATAAATATAAAATAGGGTTTATTGGGGAATAACATACAAGCAAAGAACTGGAGGACACATAAAATTTTCGAGCCCTTATTATTCCATAGATAGTCGTGTTTAAATTGGACATAGCTAAACTGGACCTACCTATGGAAGGGATTCACATTTGTAGAGAGAAAGAGCAGCTAGGAATGTGTAGGTGACGGTAATGGAACTTTCTGAGTTGAGGAAATGACCTTGTTGAAAAGATAGATACTGCCACTAAGCAACTAGAATGAGGCTGTTCTTACGTTGGACTTAGCTGCTGTGTCAGCTTCTTGCCTAGCTGCCAAATGGGGCAAGGACTATCTGAATTTCTGTCTCAGATAATTTTGGCAAAGATTGGAGAAAAGACATAAAAGAAATAATTGGACAGTTTATTTTTCAGGTTAAATTAGACACAGAAACAATTTGTCACAAACTAAAAGAGTATCTTTATTGATTTTAGAATTTGATTCTGATTTAAAAGTTTCATGTTTCTTCATGAAAGGGAGAAAAACTGTATCTTTGCAGAAGAAAAGAGATGTCATTTATTTGTCCAGATTCAGATATATACTATATCCCAAGAGACTGTGTTAGGTCCTGGAAACTCACTAAAAATATATAGCCTACATAGGAGATCTAAATATGTGGCAAATAGAAATAATATCAGATACTGGGAGAGTTTATAGAAGAAACCGCTAACTTCTGATGGAGTGGTTTAGGGACTATTGGTTGGAGGAGGTAGTAGCAAATAAGAGTTTTGAATTACAGGTGTGAACTAGCAAGATAAAAATCACACTTCATTATTGGAACAGTACACAAATAATCTTGCAGGTGGTGGAGGGGTGACAGTATCATAGACTTAAAGAGCTGCTTCACTTTACTTCCACTTAGAAGCCTCTGGTGAAACCTTATGTTTGTTCTTCCTTATCTAGAACACTTTTAAAAAAGTAAACCGTATTAAAGTATAAGATTAAGAAAAATTCAGAAATCCTAAGAGTGTGGTTCAGTGAATTTTTGCACAAAGAAGAAGACCGTGTAGCCAGCATATCCCAGAGCACCACCCGAGAGGCACTCTATCCTGTCTCCCAGTTGTTTCCCCCTGCCCCAAGGAAGGTCATTATCCTGACTTCTAACACTATAGATTAATTACACCTGTTGTTGAGTTTATATGAACAGTGTGTCTTCTTTCGCACAATATTACATTTGTGAAATTTATCAGTGGTATTGTTGCATGTAGATATATGTAAGTATATCTTGTACATTTTCATTGATGTATAATCTATTGTGTCAGTAGAATACAATTTATGTATTTACTTTTTTCTATTGTAAATGGACATTTGGATTGTTTTCTACTTTGGTACTATTATGAAGACTGTAATTTTGAATATTCTCGATAGTATACGTGAACACTTGGGTAAATAGGAGTGCGGTTGCTGAGTCATAAGGGTATGCATTTGGTTAGTAGTTGACGGAAGTTTTCTAAAGTAGTTCTACTGGTTTACACTCTGCTGGCAGAGTGTAAGAGTTCTAGCTGCTCCGGTCTTGAGCAATACTGGGTACTGTCCTTTTCATTTTAGTCATTCTGGTAGGTGAACAATAGTAATTTAATGTTAAGTTTCCATGATGTCTAATGAAGGTGCTCACTTTTTCATATTTTTATTGGCCATTTAGATATATATCTTCTGTGACTAGTCTGTTCACTTCATTTTGTTTTCTTCTAATGGGCTGCCTGCTTTTTTCTTATTAATATGCATTCTATATAATCAGGTGAGTGTTTTGTCCATGATATGCATTATAAATATTAGCTCTAAAACTATGGCTTGCCTTTTCACTTTCTTTTTTAAAAATTTTATTTTAGAGACAGGGTCTTGCTGTGATGCCCAGGCTGGAGTGCAGTGGTGCGATCATAGGTCACTGTAACTCAAACTTTTGGGCTCAAGTGATCCTCTCATCTTCACCTCTTGAGTAGGTTGGACTACGGGCATGTACCACTAGGGCCGACCCATTCTTTTATTTTTTTGTAGAGATGGTGTCTCGCCTAGACTGGTCAGGAACTCCTGGCCTTAAGTGATCCTCCTGCCTTGGCTTCCCAAAGCACTAGGATTACAGGCATGAGCCACCACACCAGGCCTACACTTTCTTAATGTTTTAAAAAATCAATAATATTTTAATGGTTTCCCATTTACCTTTTTTTCCCTTTCCTTTATGAGTAGTGCCTTTTGTGTCACGTTTAAGAAATCTTTACTTACCATAAGGCCATAAAGATATTCTTCTATGCTTTCTTCTGTAAGGACTCTTTTTTTTTAACCTTTCATGTTTTAGACCTGTTATCCATTTGGTGTTTATTTTTGTGTTTGGTTTGAGGTGTAGGGGTCAGGATTTGTTATTTTCCAGATGGATATTTAGTTGTCCCAGTACAATTTATTGCATAAAACCATCCTTTCCTCACTATATGACAGGGTTGCCTTTATCATGAGTCGAGTAACCATATGTGTGTGAAACTGTTTCTAAATTCTCTGTTTTGTTCCATTTGATTATTTGTATATCCTTGCTTAATTCTGCACTGTTTTAATTACTATAATTTGATATCTGGTGGTGTAGTTCTGCACCTTTTTTTTTTTTTTCTCAGAACCAGCTGACTATTCTTGCCCTTTTTCAGAATATCCAAATGAAACCAAGTGTCATTGTTCACTTAAGAAAACAAAAAACCTACTGGAATTTAGATATTTTTTTTCCACTGGATGTAGGGATCTATTTAGGGAGAATTGAAATCTTTACAGTGTCAAGTCTTGTAATCTATGAACATGTTTGTATTTCATTTGGTTTTCATTAATTCTCTCCATAATGGCTGATAGTTTTCAAAATAAGTCTTCTACATTTTTGTTATATTTATTAGTAGATATTTGATTTTCTAAAGCATTATTAACATTTCTTCTCAAATTTTATTTTCTGCATATTTGCTGCTAAGTATATAAAAGTATACTTAAGAATTGCTAGATGACATGGTAACTCTTAAGTTTAACATTTTGGGAAATGCCAGACTGCCAAAGTGGCTGCACCATTTTGCTTTCTGCCTGCCATGTGTCAGCATTCTAAGTTTTCCACATCCCAGCCAACACTTGTTATTGTCTGTCTTTTTTTTTTTTTCTGTGTAAGACGGAGTCTCGCTCTGTCGCCCAGGATGGAGTGCAGTGGCACGCTGTCGGCTCACTGCAAGCTCCGCCTCCCGGGTTCGTGCCATTCTTCTGCCTCAGCCTCCTGAGTAGCTGGGATTACAGGCGCCTGCCACCACGCCCGGCTAATTTTTTTGTATTTTTAGTAGAGACGGGGTTTCATGGTGTCAGCCAGGATGGTCTTGATCTCCTGACCTCGTGATCTGCCCGCCTCGGCCTCCCAAAGTGTTGGAATCACAGGCGTGAGCCACCGCCCCCAGCCCTGTCTTTTTTATTGTAGCCATCCTGATGGGTATAAACTGGTATCTTGTGGTTTTAGTTTGCATTTCTCTGATGGCTAATGATGTTGAACATCTTTTCATGTGCTTATTGGACATTTGTATATCTTCCTTGGAAAAATGTCTATTCAAATCCTTTGCATAATTTTTAATTGTTTTTTAGTTGTATGATCATTTTGAAAGCTGTTTTTATTGGTTGTAGAATTCTAGATTGGCAGTTTTATTCTCTTAGTACTTTGAAGCAGTTGTCTTCCAACTTCCATTCATTTCTGTTAAGAGGCCAGCTTTTGATCTTAAAAAAAATTTTTTTTTTAAAGATAATGTGTCTTTCTTTTCTTTTGTTGCTTTAAAGCCTTTTGCTTTTCCTTTGTTAATATACATTTTTACTGTGATGGACCCACAAGGGGCATGTGTCTTCAGATATTGCTTGTGTCCCATTTTTTTCCTTCTCTGGGATTCTAGTTACATATAACGGTTTTGTATCCCATACATTTCTTATGTATTTTGTCCTCCTGTATTTTTTACTCTTTTTTTCTCTGTACTTCAGTTTGAATGTTTTCTAGTTATTTTCTAGCAATCTATTTTCTAGTAAGCCTTTCTCCTGCTTTTTAAAATTAACTGATAAAACAGCCTAGTACGTTCTTAATTTCTGATAATATAGTTTCAATTCTAGAATTTTTTGATTTTTCATTTTTATGGAAATGGCCCATCTTGTCATCCATTTTCTCCATTTTTAAGCTTTTTTTTAAATATTAGCCATAGTTATCTTTAAGTTCATGTCTGTGAATAGCTATATCTGGATTACCTGTAAGTCCATATCTGATCCCTTTTTCTCTTTGTTCTCAATTATACGATGCAGTCTTTTGACATGTCTAGTGGTTTTTAATGAGCCTTCAGACCTTGTATGTGAAAGAGATTATAGAATCTTAGCATCTCCAGTCTTCCTGCTTTAGCAGCTTTCTGATGTCTTTAAAGAGGTATTTGTTGTATTTCATCCTGTTTTACTAGTTGATTTCAGTGGGTTCTTTGGTCTTCCAACAACTACTCCCTCTAACCTAAAAGCAGACATCCTCATATACTTAAAAAAAAGAAAGAAAGCAGTTTAAAAATAAAAGTTTTTTCCAAAGGTTCCAAAGGTAGAGTACAGAGAACGATACTTCAAGGTTTGCTATATTCATTATCCAGAAGTAACATATGTCAGTGCTGACACATTTGTTATATGTATTTTTATTTTTATTCATAAAGTGAAAAAAATTAGAGATTTACTGTCCTCTTTATAATTTTTCCTGGTCTCTTCCTACTTTCCTTCTCATAACCACTATCATGAATTTACATTGTGTTTTCTTTATATTTTTTAACAGGTATTATTTAATATTGTTTCAACATGGGTTTAAAGTTTTACATAGTGACGTTTTCATTTGCACTTGCTTTTTCACTCAGTGTAGTGTTTTGAGATCCATCTGCTCTCATTCAATACAGCTAGTTTTAGGAATAAATATTCTTAATTCATCAATACTTCTATCAAAGAACAACTATGTTGTTTCTAATTTTTTACTGTTATAAATGGTGTTGCAGTATACATCTGTTGACCTGTCTCATTATACATGGGTAAAAGTTGCTCTGTGATAGTTTCAGAAGGAATTGCTAGGCTGAGTATGTCCATCATCAGCTTTACCATGTTTTCAAGTTGCTTTCCAAAGTGATTGTACTAGCTACACTGCAGTAAGTTTGTATGATAATTCCTATTTGCCCATATACTTTGCCTTTCCTTCTTTCTGTCTTGTCTGCCTTTCTTTTCTATTTTTTCTGTCTTTGTCCCTTTTTAAATTTTATTTTATTCTTTTTTCTGGTCTTAGGAAAGTGAAATGCAACCTGTTTTTGTGGTTTGCTTATTTTGTGCTGGGTTGTTGGTTTTGGTTTTTTTCTCTTAGAAGTTCTTTACATATTCTGGATATTAATTCTGTATGTATTGTCTCTGTTTCAGATAGTATCTTTCAGTCTTTACCAAAACACTTTGTAAACACTTTTATGACGGGACTTACCATAGTGTTGTATATTGCCCTTATTTCAGTAGATTGTGAGCCTTTTTAAGTGTGTTAAGACTTGCTTTATTTCCTAAATCAAGATTGGTTTTTTTAAATGTTCCGAATGGAGTTGGGTAAATATGTATTCTTTGATTGTTGGATGCATGCATCTCCATATATCTTTCAGATAACTCTCATTGTTGTGTTCTAACCTTCCGTATTCTTTGTGACTTTTTGTTTTTTGTTCATTGAGACTTATCAATAATTGTATGTACCACAATGGTGGATTTGTCAATTTCTCTGTATATTTTATTGATTTAATAATACTGTTTTATACATTTTGGGACTATTTCGTTAGGCTTGCACATATTTAGAGGTGATGTACCTTCTTGGCAAATTTTGCAATACATATTGACCATCTTTATCCTCAGTAAGGCATGTTTGTCTTAAATCTACCTTACCTCACCTTGATATAGCTACATATTTCTTCCTTTCCTTTTCTTTTTTTCTTTTCCTTCCTTCCTCCCTCTCTCCCTCCTTCACTCCCTTTCTCCCCTCCCCTCTTTTCTTTCTTTTCTTTTTTTTTTTTTTTGAGACAGGGTCTTGCTCTGTCACCCAGGCCAGAGTGCATTGGCATGATCATGGCTCACTGCAGCCTTGACCTCCTGTGCTCAAGCAATCCTCCTGCTTCAGCCTCCAGAGTAACATGGGTATGCGCACCATGCCTGGCTAATTTTTGTACTTTTTGCAGAGGTGAGGTCTCACCATGTTGCCCAGACTGGTCTTGAACTCCTGAGCTCAAGTGATCCTCCCACCTGGCCCTCCCAAAGTGCTGGGATTATAGTGTGAGCCACGGCGCCCAGCCAGTGTTTTCTTGGAGGTCTGAAACTCTGTGTTATCTTTCAACCTTACTGTTTCCTTATGTTTTAGGTATGTCTTTTATAGATAGTATGAGAGGCTGCATATTGGTTTTTTATCTAGTTTGATCCATCTCTTAACCCACCAGTCTAGTTGATGTTTATTCCCTGTGATCTCGCACGTATTTGCACTAGTTTGCGTGATCCCAGTCGATCATATAAATGGGTTAGCGGGTCCCAGCCGTCGAAAAAGCCATAGTGTCCGCAAAGAACTCTGATTGCAGCTCCACACAGAGCCCCCCAGGGAAGAGGACATCGGAAGAAGATATTTCATCTACCTGGCAATCCACCAAACGTGGAGGTTCTGAGTAAGAATGGTTGAGAAGTCACCCTGCCAGAGGTTAGTCAGTTTCTACCTGATGTCTTCAACTCCTATCTCCAGCAGAGCTTTTGTACTGCCCAGGTTTCATTCTGGAGGGCGTCTGTCTGCATCAGCATGGCTGCCAGTTCTCTTGTGATGTAGCAGGCATTGAGTGTTCCAGGCAGCGGAGGTGAGAAGCACAAGCTGAACCCAAACTGCTGTTTTAAAAATTTGTCTTCTCGGCCGGGCGCGTTGGCTCACACCTGTAATCCCAGCACTTTGGGAGGCCGAGGCGGGCGGATCACGAGGTCAGGAGATCGAGACCATCCTGGCTAACACGGTGAAACCTGTCTCTACTAAAAAATACAAAAAATTAGCCAGGCGTGGTGGCAGGTGCCTGTAGTCCCAGCTACTCGGGAGGCTGAGGCAGGAGAACGGCATGAACTCGGGAGGCGGAGCTTGCAGTGAGTCGAGATCGTGCCACTTGCACTCCAGCCTGGGCGACAGAGTGAGACTCTGTCTTAAAAAATTTGTCTTCTCATAATCCCACTGGCCGATTTCTTCTCCAGGCTACAAGCCTCCACATCCCTGACCCCGTACATTTTCCAGCATACCCTCTGGGGTTTCTCACTTTTTCTTCATTATTCCTTTACAGATTTATTCAACAAATTTGTTTAGCACCGCCTCACTGCCACACAGTAGCTTTGTTTTAGAAGCTGAGCGTGCAGCATTGAACTTTTTTCAACTTATGTTCTACTCAGATGACTGGTTTTTTTTGTTTGTTTGTTTTTGTTTTTTCAGCAAGTAATGCTTGTTGGTTTTTTTGCCCCTAACAAGGGCTTGTAGGTGTTATACTTCCTGAGTTTTTTTATGTTTGAAAATGTTTATTGTCTTTATACTTGAAGTCTGACTTGGCTAGGTCTAACGTTCTAGGTATAGGCCCTATTTCTTTTCCCCAGAACATCGTAGAGATTTGGTCTTCTGACTTTGAATGTTGCCAGAATTCTAACACCAGACTGAGTTTTTTCCCTTCTTAAAAGTCACTCACTTCCTTCCTTGGTGTACATGGTATTCTTTCTTTGACCTTGACATTCAGTAACTTAATCTGAATATGCCATGAATTTGATTATTCCTTATCACTTTTTTGAGAGATTGTATGCCTTTCTGTATTTTATTTTTTAATAAATATTTTTCCTTTGCTAAATGCTCTGGGCTTTTTTGGTATCTTCATTATCTGTCAACAATACAAACAACTTTTTTCTATTCATTTTAGTTTTCTGTTTTGATTCTTTGATTTTCATTATTGTGCTAAAAATCTCTGTTATGATTTGATTTTTTTTCTCTTCTCATTCATTTCCGAGCCATACCAGCTCACATTTTAGATCTGTTATCTCTGACAGTTTTTGGCAATTATATTAAGTATGAGTTAACAGAAATAGCTTTCCTATAAAATTATTTTCTTTATTTATTTTGGTTTCACCTTCCCTGGCATTCTACATTTAGAACAAGATTCTTCACTTATTTCATGGGCTTCTGATACTTGTGAATCTTGTAGCACTAATCAGAGGATCCTCTCAGAGGACACTGCCACTTTTGTGAAGAACTCAGTGTGAATTCTCTGAATCCACTTTCATTTTCTTCTAAATTTCACCAAATCTGGCAGATGAAAATTTGTAGTTAGGGATTCTTACTTTCCTTGAAGAAAACCCAGTCTCTTTTTTAGTATTATGTATGTGTATGTATGTATGTGTCCATGTTTTTAGAGGAGTAGAGAGGAGTAAACATGACTTTATTCCATTTTGAATTTAAAACTAACTTTTGTGATTTCTTTTGAAGTTAATATAAAGAATTTACATCATTTTAATGTAATTGAAATCAGTTTAAAAATATTGTCTTAGAATAATAAAGTTGAGTCTTGAGTTTTAATTATGTAGTTAGTATTCTGTAGCCTAATTTTAGATTACGTTACCTCTTTCATGTCAAATTTATGAACTGAAACGTGGCTGTATTGTAAAATACTAATTAACACTCTACTAATTAGTTGGCTTTTACTGATTTTTCACTTTTAGATGTCTTAGAAAGCTAGTATGTAGAAGGAAAATCTCTGTATGACAACCAAAAACTTACTTTGAACTGAAAACACTAAAATCAAGGGAAAATGTACTCTTAACAGCTTGTTTTCTTGCTTTGTGACTTGTTATATTTTGTTATAATCTAATCTTCTAGGCATATACTCATGTCATAAGTGATAGTATTTTTCATTCCTTTCCTTATTGCTTTCCTCCATTGTATTCTATTTTGTTTTTGTTTGTTCCCAAATGTATTTGTAAAAACAAGTACATCAACAGATGCGGAGGTTTTTCTACTTGTAATTTCTGTTTTATATTGAGAATTTTTTTTTTTTTTTTTGAGATGGAGTCTCGCTCTGTCGCCCAGGCTGGAGTGCAGTGGTGCGATCTCGGCTCACTGCAAGCTCTGCCTCCAGTGTTCATGCCATTCTCCTGCCTCAGCCTGCCGAGTAGGTGGGACTACAGGCGCCCACCACCACGCCCGGCTAATTTTTTGTGTTTTTAGTAGAGACGGGGTTTCGTAGTGTTAGCCAAGATGGTCTCCATCTCCTGAGCTCGTGATTCGCCTGCCTCAGCCTCCCAAAGTGCTGGGATTACGGGCGTGAGCCACCGTGCCCTGCTGAGAATTTTAAAGTATCAAATATAGACCAGTATTCAAAGATGATTCATAAAAGGTGATTTGGGTATATGACACAATTTACATGTAAATATGTATCATGAACAGACTAGATGGTATTGGCTAGTTAAATTTTCTTGTTAAATGAATATTTAAAGAACCTTCTCAACTCTATTTTCATTCAGTTTACTAGCTAACAGAATATTTGAGCGGTCATATAATACGTGGAGTATTGTGCTTTGTGCACTTGACAAATACAGAGAAAACATAAGGTTTTGAGACTGTTAAAGAGATTAGATCTACATAAAATTAAGAGGGATTAAGGTGATTAAATGCTAAGATGAGTAGATGTTAAATGCATTTGGTGTTACTATAGGGAGAAAACAGATACTCTGCTTAAATTTAGTGAAAACCATTGAACTACTATACCACTGTTTAATTTTATCATGCTACATAGGAAATAGACTGAAAAAATACAGAAACATCATTGAATTGTACATGTGAAATGAATTTTGTTGTTGTTTTGCTTTTACATGTACGTATTGTATCTGTAATGAAAGAGGATATTAAAGTCATGCCCGTGAAAAAAATTTCTAGTGGTAGTAATTGCTTTTCATGATACTGGAGATCCTCTACTTCTTTAATAGCTACTGCAATAACTGATTTTAAGTCTAGGCCAGTAGTTAAAGTTTATAGGAAGAAAATCGTATGATAGGTATCCATGGGGAAAATTGCTGAACTTTATGTTGTTGCACAATTCCAAAGATTATTCAAAAGTATATTCTTACTGACCTTTCAAAAACTGTTTTTTAAACAGACTTTATGTTTTAGAGAAGTTTTAGGTTCACAACAGCATTGAGCAGAAAGTAAAGAGAGTTCCCTTGCATTCCTTTCCCATCCCGTATTAGAAGAAGAGGGATCAAGGGTAACTCTTGCTCACCCCAAGGAGGGTTGTTGGGTGGTATAATTTTTGTATGGCATGAGCTTCAGAGTATTTGAAGTTTTTGAAGGGGAGGGAAAGAAAAGTAGTGTCGAAGAGAGAATACAGAGCATAAAAAGACATCTCTTTTAGGGCCTTCAGTCAATATAAAGGGTGTAAATAAAAAAATTTTTTGGGGGGGTCTCTGTTAGAGAGGATTTCAGGTAACAGGTTTCAGTTAAAGAAAGAAACAGTTAAAGAAGAATTTGAGGACTTTGGGGAATTTGCTGATCCCAGACTGTGAATTTCAGTGGGTACAATAGAGAAGGGCTTGAGAGGGAGGAGAAATACTTCAGATTAGTGGATGTATTTAGTTGTTTAGGGATCAAAGTCTGGCTGATGCTACATTACCTGGCTGGGATTTGGGGTTTCTGATGGTAACAATTTTAACTGAATGATAAGGGAACACTGATCAACTGTTCCTTCTGTGGTGCTTCACCCTCTGTAGTGGAGTGGCAGCCAAGGATAAGGAAATACTTCCCCAGGAGACAGCTCTGTCGGAGAACTTGGCATATACAAAACAAATGTAGGACTGTAGCACAACAGGAGAGGGAAGGCTCATATGGAGGACAAAGCTGGGAACCTTTTCCATCTTTGAAATCTGGCTCAGTATTAAGAAGAAGATTCATCTTCAGATAGCCCATATTCAAGTACTACTAATGCTTTTAATAAAAATATACCTTTTTTATTGTTTAGGTCACTTTTACAAAGAGAAAGTTTGGATTAATGAAGAAAGCCTATGAACTTAGTGTGCTCTGTGACTGTGAAATAGCACTCATCATTTTCAACAGCTCTAACAAACTGTTTCAATATGCTAGCACTGATATGGACAAAGTTCTTCTCAAGTATACAGAATATAATGAACCTCATGAAAGCAGAACCAACTCGGATATTGTTGAGGTAACACATATCTAGTAATACGTGAATTGCAAGTAATACTGAAATATTTTGTTTAATAGCATTAACTGTCAGAATGACTTGTACATCTAAAACATAAATTAGGTGTATATGTATCTTTTCTCTAAATCATTTCTTAGAAGAGTGATTGCTGTATGGCGACTCACTTGTGTTATAAACATACTCTATTCATTCAGACAAAGTAAACTATGTTGTTTTACCATGTATA
The DNA here is from genome assembly GCF_000001405.40 of Homo sapiens. Taxonomy (NCBI): domain Eukaryota; kingdom Metazoa; phylum Chordata; class Mammalia; order Primates; family Hominidae; genus Homo; species Homo sapiens. Next base: position 99,645,991 of record NC_000015.10, read on the forward strand.
CCAGCATAATCTTAACATTTCATCTATGATTACTTATTTTGTATGAGTTTTAAAATTAATATTGTAAGAGACTATCATTTTTGGACAGTATGAAGTTACAGTTTTGGTATGTCTTAATCATTTCATTATGTCATTGACAGCTCACAACTTTAAACACTTAAGAAAACAATGACAATTATGTAAATAATATTTGCTTTGTTAATAGTGTTTTAGTTGGGCAACAGGAGAAAGTCCTCATTTTCTTTGTTTATCTGCTGCCTATTTGATAGCTCTCATAGTTCTCCCAACCTAATTAAGTGAAAAAGAAAAGGATTTATTATTAGAATGATCTTCTCAGAAATAGTGTTTTACAATAAAACCTTCAAAATGGAAACCAGTATGCTTCCCCCTTTTTATCTTCTCTCTTTCAAGATCTTCCATAAGATAACTTTTCCATGTGTATTTCTAATCACATTTTAAATTAGCTTCATAGTTACTTTTGTCTCTTTTGTTTATATTTGGAGGTTTTATATTTATTCAGTGGAGGAATTTTTTATTACTTGAAAGATGCATATTTTGGCTTAGTTTGTAATAGAAAAGTATTAGGCATTTCTTTGGTGAAAGTACTGAAACCATGTGAGGATTATGTAGAACAATTGAAAAAGAACAAATGGAGTCCTAATCTAGATGGTATTTCTAATATTTAAAATTAAAGATAATTTAGCTGTTTTGTTGTATAGGAATCTAATTTATTTGCCTCCTCAAGTTGTTATTGTTCCGAAAATGCATTTTAAATTTCCCCTATACTTCTTTGCCTTAACTGTCCCTCTTCAGGCAGTGATTGATACCATTACTACACACATAAAAACTATTACTTGTATTTTAAAAACAGCTTTTGTTACTTTTTAGTCATTTTTTCAAATGAGAAGTAAAGGTATAGCATAATTACAGCTAGGACTCATCTCTGTTGCTTGACTTATCCATAGTTTTATTTATGGGGCTCACTGCTGTTAACCTCCCCTGAATTGTATATGAAATTTTTTATTTTGCTTTTGTTGATAACTTTGATTAAACTACATGGTTATATCTTTAGCTAAACCCCTTAATGCAGTTATATTTATGTCATTTATAAATTATATTATTTAGCAGTTATGTTATATGTTATCATTTATTTATAATACTGTATAGTAGACCTTTCCCCTATTACATGTCATGAATACATTTTGTATTGTAATATTGTAAATTAGGGTATCATTCAGGTAAGCTTTGTTAAGAGACTTCATAACTGGATTTCCTTGAAATGGAGAGTAACCCTGTTGTGTTTAAAATAGCTTCTTATCTTATAAATCTATATGTCTCATCAAAAGTTACACTGCCTCAACTCAAACCAATGGAGCTGACTTTGATAATGTCAGCAAATAAGTATTCTAGCTAATTTCATTATAGAGGCAACCACCTCCTTAACCCTAACTACACTGCTCTTTCATTGCAGCAGTTGTTATTCTTGGTCCGTGGAGGTTGAGGGTACTTCACACTGCCTAAAGCTTACTTCCCTAGAGAATACGGAGAATGTAGTCTGATTTAATCCTCATAGAATTTTCAGACTACCTCAATCTTCATCTCTGTTGTGGACAGCAAAGTGTAAGAGAGCAGATCCCAAACATTTTTTTAAGCAGTCTCCTATATTACAGTCTGTTTCAATATGAAGGAAAACTTTTGCGGCTCAATTACATATTGGGATTTTGATGTTTTCTTTTTAATTGCATTTCCTCAAAATAAGTTAAAATGAATCGTGTTAATAGTTCCTTGTGAAGTTCTAAATTATATAAATACAGTAGATAGAAGACACATTAGATTATTAGGGATTAATTTATTGTGGTAGGATAAATTACAAGGCTTAATTCACACTTCTTGTATATTAATGTCTTACTGAGTCAACTTTTATTAAGAGAGTGGTTGTTAAGCTTGTGAGATAGGCCTTTTTTCACATATGAAGATGATGCAGCCTACATCTTCACTAGTAGTGCAATTCACATACGAGTTCTTTTTGCCAGTAGTGTAATGGCTTACGCTAATGCATCTATACAGTTTGCTATGGTTCAAATTAAATTTACAGGATAACAGTAATGAAGTTACTTACATAGAGCTTCCTATGGGTCTTAGTTTTTACAAAGTACTTTACAGTTGCCTCATTGAAGGATATTTTTGGAATACCATTTTTTCCTTTTCACAGTTTCCTTTCAGGCAGTTGTATTGATGGGAAGCAGGCTTTTTGATGCCCATTTACTCATTTGACAAAGATTTGAGGGGGTTCTATGTGCTTTGCAAGTTGATCTTATTTAGAGATTCCTAATTCAGGCCAGAAGAATATTCTTCCTACCCATATTTTTATAAACCATTGAGGTATACTTTTACCAACTGAAGATTTTATGTATATTTATAAGAACTTTGAACAAGTTGGTGATAAGCTTCTGGACTCCTTAGCCATCTCATGTGGTTGAAAACATCAGGATAAAATAGAGGCATGAACAGTTATAAGTGATCTACTTTAGAGTGATTTCTAAAGTATATGACCAATATACTTAAGAGTTTGTGTCATTATGTAAGCAATAATGACACAAACTCTGAAAACAACAACTTCCATAAGGCCTATAACCTGACTCCACATATTTCCGTTTGCATATATGTTAGTCTTTAAAAAATCAGCAGGATTTTACTTTCCCTATATTACTGAAATATGCTTTGACAGAGTCTTGAGTATATTAACATGGCGTCTTCATTAGATGTGTTCCTCTTCTGTTGCATCCAATACACAAGCCCTTTGAGGATGTGCTGTGAGGATGTGCTGTCAGCCTCACCTGTGTAGTCTGTAGTACAGGACGCACGTGTATTAGGTCTGCGGAGTTAGATATAGTGTGTTTTGTGGGAGTACTGTAAGATTAATATAATGTATTAAAAGTAGTTGGTATTTGAATATTGTTGATTATAAATAGGTAGAAATGGTGCTCTTATTTTTCTGTGTTTCAATTTTATGTATAAACTTAAATCCATCTATCTTTGTTCTGCCTCATTTTATATTAATTATGTTTTTAAACTAGTTCTTAAATTTAAAATTTTAATCAATTTTTTAAACTTTGGTTAGAGTTGATAAAATTTAAAAAATTCTATACAGGTTTATTTTTTTAATTTGTACTTACATATTTTAAATTGCATTTAGGTATTTTAAATTAAGGTCTGCAGTGTCTTGAGGATGTATATATCCCCTACATTAAGAAAGCTGAATATATGATAAAGCAGACTTACACATTAGTAAATTAAGAGATTGCCATTAGGGTAAGATTCATAAGAGACTTCATAACTCAATTTCTCTGAAATGAAGAATATCATTGCTGTGTTTAAAATGTTTCCACACTGCTTTTCAGTAGTATATTTCTTACAAAACATGAGTTTTATAACTTTATTTCCCATATTTCATTAGGTGACATTCCACAAAGAATGTTGTCAAAAACACACATTTTATCTTTTCAAGTTATTAAGCATTGATACAAAAATAGGTGGCAGACTTTTGTTTGGTCCTATAAAATGTAGTAATTTAATTTAAATGTATGAAGAAAATGTTATAACTCCTTAGTTTTTCTTTTCAGTAAAATTAAGATTAAAAATTATGAACTATATTATATAATTTTACAGGAATACTAGGTATGTCCTAGAGTGTAGGAAACTACAGATGGAAATTACCAACACAAGCAGTTGCCATTGTTCATACACATGCATATGTGTGTAATTTGAATTTATACTAAATAAAAGCCTAGAGCCAATAGAGGCTTTGGGATTCTGCATCAAAAGAACAATTATGCTAAAAGGCAACAAATGATACCTAAAAAACACCTGAGAATACTTTTGTATCCATGTTTTTTCCTGTCATTTGGCAGAAATATTGAAAATACTAAATATTTCTGCTTATAATTTTTTAAAAATAGCCGTGACTTGGTAACATTCAGAAATCATTTGTATGGCAATTCAGATTATTGTGCTGTCATTTAAGGATGTAAATAAAAGGGTCATGGCCGTTTGTCTCTCTTGTTAATATCTGGTGCACTATTCCCAAAGAGAGGAGGTTTTCACCACAGGCATACTACGGTACTTAAAAAAAAAATTCTTCTCGCAGTATCTCATTTAAGCTTCATATTCAAGGTAAGCTTTTTCAGAAGCAAAAATTGGGATGCACATTAAAATGACTTGCCCAGAGTCATGTAGCAATGTAGTGGCAGAACCAGGATTAGGACCCAGGTCTGTGACATTAACCTTTCCCCTTGCTCCTTAGTTCACTGCATCCAGGGGAGCTCTGGAGCATTTTACCGTAAGTAGATAAGATTTTATACATACACCAATCATGTACGATCTATAGCAGTCACGAATAAGTTTTCCTCAGTAATGAACAGAAAACTAGTGAGGATAATAGCAGTAAGAATGATAGGTATTATTAAGCACTTAACATGGTCTAGTAAAGACTTCATTTGAATTATCTTATTGAATCCTTACTGTTGCCCTTATTTCACATTGAGGCAATGGAGACACAGTGATAAATTAAGTCAGATGTTGATAATTTGGATTCTGAAGAAAGAGAAAATCTGTTTGAGTCTTAAAAATCCCTTCCTATTTTCAAATTACAAAAGAATTTGGAAGTAACATCTGAAAGAAAGGAAGATAGGGAATCAGTATAAGATCCATCTATCAATTAGAAAATAAAAGCAGATGGTAGTGAAAGTGATTATACTTGAGAGTACCTTATTTAAAATCACTGGTCCTCACAATGTGTAGTGCCCTGACCAGCAGCAGCAGCAGCCCCAGAGGCTTCCTAGAAATGCAAGTTCTTGGTCCCACCTTAGACCTTCTGAATCTGCAGCTTTTGAGATGAAGCCAAAGCAGTCATGAATTAATTTGAATTAACTTGCCTTAAGTGCAGTTATAGACTAAAAGTTTCCAGTTAACAGTTTCTTGGGAGTGGTTATCCAGCTTTTTAAACATTTTTATCCCCAAGAATATCCCCTGAAATAATTTCAAACAAAGAGCAAGCACAAACTGTAATTTTTTAAACCCTCTAAAAAGTAATTCAAACTATGCAGTATTTGTGTGAATTGCACCTAAGGAATACATTTCTAATGGGTTACATTTCAGTTCGATTCCACATGGTTATAAGAGCTTGTGTGAGTGTGGTTTCTTTGAGGGGTGCTTCTTTGAGAGGTGTGGTGGGGATGAGTCGGAGGTGGAATCTGGCTCTTCAGATGAACAAAAAAGAAAGTTAAATGACCTATCTCCTGAGATCATCTAGTGCTTGACCTTACAAAAGTAGAAGCATGATTATGCTTGGATTTTCTGACAGTATCATGATATTCTCAAAGAGGCTTTTTGAGCCAGTCCTCTTTTCTCCCCATGTTATAGACGAGGAATGGAACAGACAGGGAGTATTTAAGAGGCTTGCCTAATGTTTTACAGGGCTGCAGTGGAGCATCAGGGAAAGGGAAAAAATAATGAGACATCTGAAGACAAGACAAAGCTTTCCTCCACCTCCAGTCCCCTGCCCTGCTCTTTTATTCCTAACAGAGCCTGAAGCAGCAGGATGATGATTCACAGGGTGAGGCACATAGTCCTCATGGCTCTCCTCCGCTTCCCACATGTCACTGCACCATCGCCTCACACAGCAGTCACCATAGCTCTTGTAATTTCAGTTTTACTACTTTTATTTTGCTGTGCATGTGAATATTATTTAATCATACAATTATTGGTTTTCATTTATGTGCTTTGTATAAGGGACTACACGTCTCTAAGTGTGGTTTTTCTTGAGGTCATATTATTCTCCATTAGAGGTTCATGTCATTGATACACAAATGAGAGTTCATGTGGGGAGGAAAAGATGATAGATATCACTTGTATATATAACTGAACTTTTTTCTGTAATACATTTCTTGTGATTATTGATGGATACCTCCCTATGTGTTCTTTTTATGTCATATGTGTCAGGGATTGAATATTTTATTAATAGTACTTACCATCAGATAAAGTGTTCCTTTTTCTCCAGAAGATATTTGATGCTTTGGTCAAATTTTTGACCAATAAGAAGAGGAGATAAAGAGGATGGAGATAAAGTTGCTCTAGAGGTGATGCTATCACCAGAGTTCTTTAAAGCAGCAGTCCCCAACCTTGTTGGCACCAGGGATGGGGGTTGGGGGTGGGAGGAATGTGGACAGGGAGATGGTTTTGAGATGAAATTGTTCCACCTCAGATCATCAGGCATTAGATTCTCATAAGGAATGGGCAGCCTAGATCCCTTGCTCGTGCAGTTCGCAGTAGGTTTCATTCTCTTACGAGAATCCAATGCTGCTGCTGATGTGACGGGAGGCAGAGCTCAGGCAGTAATGCTCACTTGCCCACCACTTACTTCCTGCTGTGCAACCTGGTTCCTAACAGGGTCTGTGGCCCCGGGGGTTAGGGACCCTTGCTTTAAAGGTTATGGTAGGTGGAAAACAAAGATGCTCTAGGTCAGAGGGGCAGCTTATATGGAAATTAGGAAATGAGACACTGCAGTTAGTGTACGAAGTTGAAATCAGCCAAGTGTCACTGTAGTATACTGTGAAGAGTGGAATAGCTAAGACCTGAGAAGTAAACCAGGTCCACATGAGCTATATAAGGCCCTTCACTTTATCCTGCAGGTTTGGATAGCCACTGAAAGAGCTGAATAAAATAGCTGCTTAGGTTTCTCCTTGCATTTCCCAAGCAGTAAGTTGTGTTAGAACTGCGTGGTAATTTTTTGAAGGGAGTTGAAGAAAAAGGAAAAGAGGTAAAAATATTGAATGTAATAGTTCTACATTTTAAATTTATTGTACTGATGTTTGTCGTACTATGTACCAGGCATTTTGCTAAACACTGGGAATATAGTGGTAACTGGCCCTATTGCTGCCTTTTTCCTAATAAGATGATATGCTGGCTATTTTATTATCTTATGGCAGAAGTGCTTTTGTTAGATACACTTCAATATCGACTTAAGACCCTTAGAATGCCAAGATTTTTATGTTTCTCATCAGATATTAATCATTAAGCATATAACTATTATAAGATAAGATATTATACTGCTATTCAAGCCAGAAGTTCATTTAGGGCAGAAGATACTAGGTGCTTCCCGTGTTTCTCAATGTTCTGTGTCAGCCTGTAAGGTGAGATGTATATAGTCTAAATGATCTTTCAGTTCTCTTATATATAGATGGGTAATGCGGACATGCAGTTTTGTGAAACCTGGCACTTCAAACACACAATTTAAAATTAAAGAGACAGCTGTATAGTTTTCATATTTATTTTGAAGTTATTTTTGTGGCTCTGTTCTCAGAGAGAGACTAGGGATCTAGATTCTACAGAAAGACACCTTCTTGCATAGATTAGTCATAACTCAACTTTTTAATTTACAATTATGCAATCAGTGCTGTACTGGTAAAAGAAATTCCAAATGATAGTATGAATTATATTTTAGAAAATGAGACATACCTTATAATTTTCTAGGTTTTTGTTTAGTTGGTTGATTTTCAAATTTCTAACGTGTTTCACTGATTGTGTATGCTAAGGGTATTTTATAAAGAAAATTTGATATGGGATTATGGTTTTTTCCTCAAATAATGTTTCTTGTAGTTCTCATTTTAATTCATTAGCAGTAAAACATGAGAAGGTAAACCTTCCATATTGTTTTTAAAATGTTAGTGATTTTTAAGACTTGGTAAATAGGCACTACATGCTTAAGCCTTCTAGAATAACCCAAAGCTTTATTATGCACGTTGGACTTTATCTCCTGTAACTCAGTGGAGAATATTTTTCTGTCATGCTTTGTTTTTATATAAATTTTCTTTTCAAATATCTGGTTTATTTTGTGGTAATTTCTGGGCTTAAGTGTTATTTCCAGAATGTATCTCGAAAACTTTAAAAATGTTTATGCTCTGAAAAAAGAACGTAGAAGTAGCAACTAGTATTTGTAGAGGAATTCAAGACATTAGCTTGCTTTTTTTGCGCCACCCACGTTCATATAGGATTATCCCATAATATTATATAATTAAAATATTTTTATTGTGGTTTTCCACATTTATGTAGTTGAATTAAGTTTTTAAAAATGGTTTCGTTACTTTGGTCTCTTATAAACCTATCAGTTTTGTGCTGTAGGACAGTATAAAATAATGTTTTAGATATTTTGTGAAAGTTATTTGATATTAGACTCTCAAATCCTACTTAATATGTCACTTATTAGTAAAGTAGATATCTGTATTTAATATTCTAACTAGCATATATTTGCTATATTATCCATTTATTTATTGAATGGTTAGTGTACTGGGTTACTAAGCTCAATGTTTAATAGGGCAGAGAGAACAGTATTAAAATTTTAAATCTTATTAAGTTTTGATGATCAGTTAAAATAATGTATGTGAAAGCATTTTGAGAACTATAGGTTGCTTCTGGATGCAGGCAACAGAAGACCTCACTGAAATTGGTCTTAAAAATAGGGGTATTGGGGGACAGAGCGAGGCTCCATCTCAAAAAATAAATAAATAAATAAATAAAAATAAATTAAAAAAAAAGGGGGGGGTATTGGTTATTTCATGTAAGAAAAATTCCAGCAGCATGGTAGAGATTTGGCTGTGTTCAAGCGGGCTCCAGGTCTCTGCCTTTGCCCATGCATCATTGTCTTCACACTGGCTTTTTCATGTCGATAAAATGGCAGTGGTAGCTCTAGGCCTTATATGTGAACACAGCATCATATAAAGCAGCACTATCTAATAGAATTTGTTCCATATTTGTGCTGTCCAATATAGTAGCCATTAACTATGTGTAGTTATTGAGTGTGTAGTGCAACTGAAAAACCTGAGTTTTTAATCTTTTTAAATTTTAATTTAACCACATGTGGCGATTGGTTACTATATTGTTGAGCATCTATCTAAAGTATCAGAGATCAGTTGTGTCCCAGAATCCACAGCAGATGTTCTAAAATTAATTCTAATTGTACTGTTTAAATCGCTTGCCTCTCCATCTCCCACTCTGAAAACACTAAACACAGTGGTAGAGAAAGGATAGAATATCCTGATTGGCTTATTGTAGCTAGATGTTACACCCCTGGGATTTACTACAAAACTAAAGTAATTCAGTGTGGTATTTGCATAGGGATAGGCATGTAGTTCAATAGAACAGAATAGAGAGCTCAGAAATGTACCCACATATACATGGTTAATTGATTTTTGACAAAAGAGCCAAGGTAAATCAATGAGAAAAGGACAGTCTTTTCAATAAATGGTGCTGGAAAACCTGGATATCCATATAGAAAAAAAATAAGCCTCAGTATTTACCTTACATCATATACAAAATGTTTATGGAATAGCGGCTTTGCATAGGGGAGTAATCAAAGGTAAGGAAGAGACAAATTGAATATAGTTGATAGATGGTCTTGAATACCCAGCTGTGGTATTTAATATTTGTCCTATAGGCATTGGGCAGCCTTTAGAGGGGTGTTTAAAAGTTTTAAGTAGTCAAGTCATTGTTACAGGAATTAATCTGGCAGCAGATTAGCAGTATTTTAAAAGAAGTGTGTAGCTTTTAAAACTAAACTAAATTATCTCACTTATTACTCATGATAGGCTTTAGTAATGTTGAGAATTATAGAAAGAGGAATGCAATTCCATTTGGTTTGAATGGAGAGGGGAGATTAAAGTGGGGGGTTAGGCCATGTTCTAAGGAATAGAATATATTGACACATCATGCTGTTTAAAAATTGATTTATAGAAAATTTGCATAATTGTAAAACATATATATTATTATAGAGAGAGAGAATTGACCTAATAATGCTGTGAAAAGTGGTTTGTGTGTTATAAAACAGTTAGGAAACTCTGATCTGGCTCTCTCTTTCATTTAACTGATGAGGAAGCCGCGTCCAAATTGAGCAAGAAAGACTGTAGATCCTTTGAGGCAAAGACTTCGCTAAGGAACATTAGTATTTTTCACAGTGCTCAGTAAAGATTCAGCACACAGCTTAATAATGACCTATAAAATGGAACTAAAGGTAGTGTTGTGTACTTCCGCATTCACTTAATCATAAATTAAGAGTATTTATGATACTCAGTTAAAACTTCATCAAATATTACAAAATCTAGTAGGGACAAAAATATAAAATATGTTTAAGTTGAAGGAACACTCAGTGTGTAGGAGGTGATTCTTTTTACTCTGTTAACACTGGAAATGATAACTTTATTTCCTTATCTCCCCATCCTCCACATCTACTAACATATATTACTTCCAGCCTTTAGAGAAGTAAATGTACTTAAAAAGATAAGTATAGAGGCCTCTGCTGTATTGCAGTGTATGCATTCTTGAATAATCTCATAAACCGCAAAACCTATGCAGCTTTGTATTCTGCACATGAACATAAATGATAATTGGAGGGATAGCTTGAAATGCTCAATGAGGCATCTTAGTAGCTAGTGGCCACTATGGTGGGTCCTGTAAATACACAAAATTACTTGAATAGAAATGCTGGCAGCACTTGAATTAGGATGGGCTAGTGCATCTTAGGACAATATGATATGATTTCCAGTGTGATAACTTCATGATTGGAGTATACATTCCCAGAGCTTTCAGTAACCTAATTAATCAGGTTAATACTGTAGTAGTACTGTCACATTACCTTGTATCTTTATAAATAATTGCTCCAGACATCCTTAACTATCATGTGAAATTGAATGCATATTTTAATTGCTTATTGAAATGTGGTAGGCATACCTGAGATTAACTTTTTTGCTCTTCTTTTAAATGAGATATAATTCGTATACCATAAAATTCACCAGTGTAGATTATGCAGTTCAGTGGTTCTTAGTCCATTCACAAGTTGGTACAACCATGAACGCTATCTAATTCTAGAACATTTTCATCAATCCGAAAAGAAACCCAGTACCCATTAGCAATCACTTACCAACTCCTCCTTCCCCTACATCCTGGCAACCACTAATGTACTTTCTGTGTCTATGGATTTACCTGTTCTGGGAATTTGATATAGATGGAGTCATGCAATATGTTCTTTTGTCCAGCTTTTTCACTTAGCATAATGTTTTCAAGGTCCATCCGTATGGTAGCTGTATCAGTCCTTCATTCTGTGACCAAATAGTATTCCATTTGCTACTGTGAAGTTTGTATACAAGTTTTGGTATGGGTATAAGTTTTCACTTCTCTTGGGTATCTAGTTAGTAGTAGAATTTCCTGGATTGTGTGGTAAGTTCTGTGTTTAACTTTTTGAGGAACTGCCAAACCCTGTCCTACATCTAACTTAAAAAAAAAAATAGCAAAAACATCAACTAAAACCAATAACTTTATGGATATTATTAGAAAATGGTTGATTTTTTTTAAAATTTTGATATTGTTGGGCTAGGTTATCTGGATCAACTCTTCTGTTGAAGACATCTAAAAACTAGATAAACTGTAAAAACAGAACAAAAAAACTTTTTTACGTTATCAAAGAGCTCAAGGAATATGCCAGGCCAAAATTTAAGAGAAGGTAAGAACATAAAGGTAAAAAAGTATTTAAAGTTCTAACCACCCTGAATCATTTGCCCATCTGGATAAAGCAGTTTGTAAAACTGAGATTTGGGTTCTGATAGATTTGGGTTCTGATAGATTCAGAATCAAGGGGAAAATGATCACTTCTAGGTTTATGAGCCTAATAGATACCCCCAAAACCCTTTAAACTGGGGCCTTAAGAAAAGAGGAAAATCCACTGCCTTCTCCTGCTCCCAAAGGATTCCAAGGAGAGTTATTTAGTACTGAGCAGATAGGGGAAAGAAGAGAACACGAAAAGAAAAATAGAACATATCTGACAGATTGTAAACCAAGTTACCAGCATTGTGTGGAATCGTAGTTCCAAGTCATATAATACCAGACATTCAAGAAAACTAGTGCCCTGTTAACTGGGGGAAGCAAATTTATATCCTTTTTGAAGAAAGTCACCTTATTCTGTGTATCAGAAATCTCTTTCAAATAACCTTTCAGAACTATAGAGCATCATACAAAGATGACCAAGCATACAAGAAAACAAGGCACAGTGAGGAAAACACAGCAGGATACAGCAGAAAATAGCTCTTATATATTTCAGATGACATTGTTATTATATGTAGATTATAGAACAGTTTCACTTTCTATGTTTTAAGAAATAAGCTTGAAAATATCAGTAGGAAACAGGAAGTTATATAGGAATTGACATAGCAGAGTTGAATGAAATACTTCAAGATGTGAAAAAATACGATGACCAAAACTAATTAATGCAGTAAACATGGTGGAAGTAGATTTTCCATAACCGCAGAGAGAATTTGTGAACCAAAGATAGAAGAAATTATCTAGAATTCAATGCAAATATTAAAAGGCAGAAAATATCAAGAAAGGTTTAAAGAAAAGGAGGATCATGTTTAGAAGTTCTAGCTTATGCTTAATTGGCATTGTAGAAGACGGAAACAGAGAATCGGGTAGAGGCAATATTTGATGAGATAATGACACAATTTTCTAGGATTGATGAAAGCCCACCATCCTTAGATTTAAGAAATTCAAATCCCATGCAGAGTAAATGTGTAAAAAAAAAAACAAACAAAAACTCTATATAGACATAGTGAAACTGTGCAGAAAACAAAGACAAGAAAGACGTAAAGAAACTATCCTCAAAAGAGTGCTATTTCCAAATAACAAATGAAATCTGGAGTCAATGAAATGATATCCTAAGTGTGCTGTTTAGGAAGGGAGTAGAATGCAACCTAGAGTTCTATACCCAGAGAAAATTTCGACAGGGAAAGCATAACACCTGTATATCAGTGTTACAATCAAACCATCTACTGCTTTGGAAGAAAGGGCCAAGACCAAGTCAGGCTGCCATGGTAAGCAGTCTTCATCGAATGACCAGATGATCTCTACAGTCTTCATGTGGACGATGATCTATGTCTAATTTATCAGTAAATATCAGCATCTAGTAGGGTGCTTTCGATAAATTTTGTTGAATGAAAGAAAAAAGGCAAATTAAGGTATTTATTCAGTAAACAAAAAGGGATAGTGAAGAACCAAGCTCCAGGACTTTTGAAGATAGACTTTCTTGTCTGTGGTGCACTGAGAATCAGCTCTATCTTAGTATTCATTTACGTGTGGAGATCTAGAACAGAGTTACATTCTTTCTGGTGACAAGCTGAGACTACCTGGCTGCTCAATATCCAGCTCCTGGGAGACAAGGGCCTCAAAACTGTTGGGATTGGGGGGTGGGGCAGGTAGGGAATCTTACTACCATTTGTTAGGATTTTTACCATCAAACCTAGGAGTAGCTTGGAACTGGGTAAGATCTTAGAATTTAGAGAAGCCATAGCCTGAACACCACACACTTCTCACTGAGGAAGATAGGGGTGATAAGATCATGGAGGAACTGGAGAGGAATATGAAGACAGTGCCTACAACCACCACATACACAGTAAACATTCTCTCTTCTCAGTGGTTGAAGTTGTTCCTGATTACAGCTCTCTTATCTGTTCTCCCTTTGATTTGCTGACTGATGGATGCAGTCCATTTAAGAAATGAGCATAGCATATTGGAAAGAGCACTAGACTTAGATTCTAGTCCCAGTTCTGTCACTTAACAGCTATGTGTTGAGGTGAGGTGAGGGAAGAGTACTTGGATCTCTGGATCTCTTTTAACTTTAATATTCTCCTCTATAAGGGTAGAAGATGAACTAGAGGATCACAACAGTACCATTTAGTTTTCCGTTCAGTGGCAATTTTGACATACTTTTTTGAGCATACATAATCTCAGAATCCTATGCCTCAAAACTTTGATTCATTGGACAGATTTCAAGAAAAATATAATTTAACAAATGTAATAAAGAAAAAATAGAAAAATTGAATAATCTTGTCAAGTTTTCCACAAAACTACAAGTCCAGATGGCTGCATAAGAAAATACTAGCAAATTTTTAAGAAGGAAGTAATTCCAGTATTTCACAAACCCTTCCAAAGAATAGTAAAAACAAAGAGCTTTCCTTTCCTCGTTATCTAAAATTAGCCTAACTTTGATAGCAAAACCAGCTAGGAGAGTTGCAAAGATAATAATCAGAAGCCAGTCTCACTGAACATAAATGTGAAAGTCTTCAGCAAAATATTAGTCTACTTCGTGTTCACATCTTTCTTATGGGAGACTTTTTTGTTTGTTTGTTTTTGAGATGGAGTTTCGCTCTTGTTGCCCAGGCTGGAGTGCAATGGCGTGATCTTGGCTCACCCCGACCTCCGCCTGGGAGACATTTTTATTTTCAGAATGACCCATTTTCTCTACTGTTTGGGCACAAAACTAGACTCTGTATTAGCCTCCCCTGTGGTTAGGAGTGGCCATGTGACTGACCTCTGACCAAGGAGATGTGAGTGAAAATGATGCAGGCTGCTTCCAGGTGTGACCAGTAAGATACTTCCCACATAATCTTCGTACTCTTTCTTCCCTGTTTGGCATCCCATGTGCTAAGAATGGGAACCCTGAGGTCCTATATGTGGAACCATAAGGTAAATGTCTTTGGGCTCTGAATCTCACACAGGGCTCACTGAGAATAAGAAACATCCTTCTTGGGCTTTGTATGAATAAGAAAGAAATAAACTTTCATTGTGTTAAGCCACTGAGATTTATGGATTTATTAAAGCATCTAGCATTACTTATACTAATACAGAGATTAAATCTAGTGATATGTAGAAGAGATAATATATTATGACTAAGTTGAATGTATCCTAGTAGAGTTATACCATATTCATAGATCAGAAGTCTCAAATTATATATATCTGTGCCACATAAGATAATCTCTGTAGAGTTGATGAAATATCAATCAGAATCCCAAGAAATACTTTTTGAAAGAACTTCAACAACTGATTCTAAAGTTCACAGAGAAAATAGAACAGAAGACACTGAAGAAGAACAAGGTGAGAGGGTTTGCACTGCAATATATTGAGACTAATTTTAAAGCTATAATAATGAACATACAGTGGCAGTGGCACAAATACCAAATGCCAAACGTACCAATGGAATAATAGCTCAGAAACAGGACCATGCATATTTAGATACTTAATATATGATAGAGTGGCAGAACAAACTCCTTAAGCAGTGGTATAGGGACAATTGGGTATCCATGTAGAAAACTCATGAAATTGGACTTACCTCAGATTTTATACAAAATTACCTCCAGGATGCTTATAGACCTAAATGTAAAAGGCAAAATTATAAAGCTATTTGCAGGATAATATAGGAGAATATCTTCATAATTTTGGAAAGGATTTCTTATATAAGGCATAAAAATCACTATCATATGGATAACTGGAAAGGAAAAAACTGATAAATTTGACTCCGTTTAAGAACTCTGCATCCAAAGATAAGCGTTTTTTTTTTTTTTTAATGCTACATAATGGGAAGATATTTTTACAATGTATAAAATTAGCCAAGGGCTTACATTGACTACTTATAAAATAATTACTATAAAAATAAATAATTAAAAGAACTACTATAAAACAATTATCAAAAGGCAGTAGAAAACTTAGCAAAGTACTTGAATAGGTGCCTCACAAAAGAGAACATCCATGTGGCCTATAGATATGAAATGTGCTTCATTTCATTAGTAGTTGGTATTGCAAATTAAATCCCACAGGTAGGAATGCATATTGATACAATTACTTTAAAAGACAGTTTGGCATTATCTAGTATAACTGAAGATCCACATGTTTTATGAACTAATACTTCTATTCCTAAGAATACATACCCAAGAGAAATGTGTGCACATTATGCAGTAGACTATCTACAGAAATGTCCACAGCAGCATTTTTATAGATTCAAAAGATTGAAGCCACTCCAATGTCTGTCTGTTGTAGAATGGATAAAGCTTTTTTTTCAAGCCATGTAATACAGTATTTAGTGAAAATGAGCCAGCTATAATTCTGTGTAACTCTATGGCGGAATCTCATAAACAGTGTTAATGCTGAATAGTGTACTGTGTGTGGTTCCATTTACATATCATTCACAAATAGGCATAGCTAAATTATATTTTTAGGGATATGTATATATGTGGTAAATGTATAAAGAAAATCCAGATAATTGTCATCACAGAGTTAGGATGGTATTAACTGTAAAGGTGGGAGGAGAGGGTTATGGGATGAAGGGAGATAGGGAGGGTTCTGGCCTTGGTCTATTTTTTTGACTTGATTGAAATGACTGATGTTCACTTTATAATTATTTGTTGAATTTTATATAAACTTGTACATACCTTACATATTTCACAATTTTTAAAAATTGTTTTTATGTGTTGTCAGAGTAGCTAGAAAGAATAGTATATGTTTCAAAATTGGAAATAATTATTTACAATGAGGAAAGACAACTTTTCTCATTTTTAAAATATCACAATAATCTAGTTTCAATTTCCTGAAACTTAAGACATGATTTCTTTTTTCCTCTTTTTTTTTTTTTTGAGACAGAGTCTTGTTCTGTCACCCAGGCTGGAGTGCAATGGCACCATCTCAGCTCACTGCAACCTCCACCTCCTGGGGTTAAAGCGATTCTCCTGCCTCATCCTCCTGAGTACCTGGAATTACAGGTGTCTGCCACTACGCCCAGCTAATTTTTTTGTATTTGGAGTAGAGACAGGGTTTCACCATGTTGGCCAGGCTGGTTTCAAACTCCTGACCTAAAGTGATCTGCCTGTCTCTGCCTCCCAAAGTGCTAGGATTACAGGCATGAGCCACCGCGCCCGGCCCAAGCCATGATTTCTTTATTTTACAAGCACTTGCTTATACTTATGCTAGATTTACTGACTACTTAGCCGGTGTTTATGGAGCATGTACTGCTCAGCTGTGTCATAGCAATGAGATTTAAGGTGGGTGGTCAAATTTTTTGTGGGTTTATTTAATTGATTTAAATCAGTTAACTCCTCATGCATTTAAAAACCATGCATTTATACCTTTTGAGTAGTTTTAATTCCATAGTTTCACTTGTAAGTGCTATGATTCTATTAGCTTGGAATGGAATTTGGCAATAATAAAGTTGAGCGTATGTTAATTTTTTTTTTCAGTTCTTGGTAGGCAGGAGTTAAAAGTGCAGGCATGGGCTCTAGCAGATACTCCAGCAGTATAGGCTCTTCGATCCAAAATGTAGTGTCATATGTCAAGATTCCAGAAAATGCAAGTCCCTTGGGATATTTATAAGTTCTTATTTAAGAGCCCATATGCTTTAAATATTTATTAAACATATTTAGAAAGATAATCCTGATTTATTTACTCTGTAAACAGATGCCAAAGATTATAGTAATATGCATTTGTGCACGTATATATATGCACACATTATATACGGAAATGGACTGCACTTTTAACTCCTGACTACCAAGAACTGAAAACACTTTTAACATATGCTCAACTGTATAATTGTCAAATTCCATTCCAAACAAATAGAATCACATATATATATTTAAAATTTTAGACAAGCTTATTTTCCATGGAAGTTTTTATGTATATAAAACTTTTTATATTTTATGTATAAAAGTTTTATATTTAACTATTTTTTATATATGTATAACATTTCCATGGAAAATGTGGCTAAAATTTTAAATATAGAATTTCTTGCTGAGTATTTAACATGAAAGAGCATAAGCTAAAAGAAACGCATTTTAAATGAGTTGCCCTGCCTAATTAGTAATTCATTTTGAAATAAATTTTTGTAAGTTTATTATGTAAAAGAAAACCTCAACATACTTAAAAAAAAGTTTATACAGTATTGTTTTTGTCCTCTCAAGTATCTTTTTTCTTTCTTTTTTCACCTCTTCCCTTAATCCTTTCCATCTCTAGTTTCACCAAGAGGTTTAGTATATAAACCAGAAAATGAGAGGCAGATGTACAGGGTCAGCCAAGTGGTAACATATACCCAGAATTCTGTAAATGTTTCCTTGAATTTGAAAGGTAAGGTTGTCAGTACTCTATAAGTAGAATGATAGGACGTATGACTTTAAAGATTTTTGTTGGGGTAGATACCATTGTTTCAATCAGTTATCTTTGACCAACAACAGTAATTAATCATCACTTCTAGGTTTGAGACTCTTTCTGGATTCTATGTTGTAGAGGTACTAGCCAGACTTATTTTGAGAAATATGTGACTTGGGTAAAGAGACTAATAATGTGTTACCTAAAGGATCACTAACAGTTTTCTTCCTCATGCTTCTTTGATTATAAGGGATAGAAACCCATTTAAAGTAGCTCCAACTAAAGAAAGAATTTGTTGAAAGAATGCAGACAGATAGCACTCAAAGGCAAGAGGCAGGAGTAGCTGGCTTCCTGAAGGCCGGACACCAGGAACTTCATATTAAGGGCTCCATGGTCTCTCATCTCTGCCACCAAGGCTGGTTTGCAAAATAACTCTCCTTGCAAGCACAACTGATAATCTTCATGTAGAAATGAATTGATTTAAAACAGGTGAGAAATTCAAAATGATATTGAGGGGAACTGAATTGGTAACAATTTATGGAACAGATAGAATGGAGAGAGAGAAAAGTGGAAAAAAGATATAAGAGTCTAGACATAAGATAGTGCAGGCTTGAGTGAGTATGGGGACAGTAGAAATGGAAATAATATATAAAATTTGGTATTCCATGTGAATGTAGAGAGAGAACAAAGGGAATAAGGTCGACTAGGTTGGTAAGTCCCAAGGAGAGACCGGTTTAATAAAAGATAATGAATTCTATGGCAGTTAAGTTGAAATAGAAATGTTAGTAAAATATCCAAATGAAAGTGTGCAGCAGGCAGTTGGGATTATAAATCTTCCAAGTTGCAGATTAGATTTGGATGAAGGCATAAACATTACTATCATAAAATTATAAAATGAACATATTAGAGATTTTATTTGAGTCATTAATGAATGAGGGAACAGTAAGATCATAAACAGAGGAGAACTCAAAAATATAACACATTTATAGTTAAAGAATGCAGAAGTAAATTTATAAATAGAAACAAAAGTGGCCAGTATCCACAGGGTGACAATCAATGGTATTCCACAGGAAACAATTTCTGGAAACAAGAATTATTTGCAGCTACTACAAGTTTTCTATAAGTTAACTAATGTCCATCTCTGCAGTGTTGTAAAATAGCCTCATCAAAGAAACGGAAGTGGATGTAACTAACCTAAATGGAGGTTCTAGCCAGGGCACTCACTAAGTTTCAGGCTTTCATTGTTTTTCCTTAAATTGGTATGGAAATTTTAAACTCAAGAGCCTTCCTACTACTGGAGTGTTTGGTCAGCAGTAGATAGAAAGAAAAACAAGCAATGGGGAAAGGATTCCCTATTTAATAAATGGTGTTGGAAAAACGAGCCAGCCATATGCAGAAAGCTGAAACTGGATCCCTTCCTTACACCTTATACAAAAATTAAGATGGGTTAAAGATTTAAACGTAAGACCTAAAGCCATAAAAACTCTAGAAGAAAATCTAAGTAGTACCGTTCAGGACATAGGCATGGGCAAAGATTTCATGACTAAAACATCAAAAACAATGGCAACAAAAGCCAAAATAGATAAATAGGATCTGATTAAACTAAAGAGCTTCTGCACAGCAAAAGAAACTTTATCATCAGAATGAACAGGCAGCCTACAGAATGGGAGAAAATTTTTGCGATCTATCCATCTGACAAAGGGTTAATATCCGGAATCTACAAAGAACTTAAATTTACAAAAAAAAAAAAAAAAAAAAAAAAGCCATCAAAAAGTGGGTGAAGGATATGAACAGACACTGCTCAAAAGAAGACATTTATGCAGCCAACAAACATATGAAAAAAAGCTCATCATCACTGGTCATTAGAGAAATGCAAATCAAAACCATCATGAGATACCATCTCAAGCCAGTTAGAATGGTGATCATTAAAAAGTCAGGAAACAACAGGTGCTAGAGAGGATGTGGAGAAATGGGAACACTTTTATACTGCTGGTGGGAGTGTAAATTAGTTCAACCATGGTGGAAGACAGTGTGGTGATTCCTCAAGGATCTAGAACTAGAAATACCATTTGACCCAGTAATGCCATTACTGAATATATACCCAAAGGATTATAAATCATTCTACTGTAAAGACACGTGCACACATACGTTTACTGCGGCACTGTTCACAATAGCAAAGACTGGGAATCAACCCAAATGCCCATCAGTGATAGACTGGATAAAGAAAATGTGGCACATATACACCATGGAATACTATGCAGCCATAAAAAAAAGAATGAGTTCATGTCCTTTGCAAGGACATGGTTGACACTGGAAACCATCATTCTCAGCAAACTAACACAAAAACAGAAAACTAAACACCGCATGTTCTCACTCATAAGTGGGAGTTGAACAATGACAACACATGGACACGGAGCGGAACATCACACACTGGGGCTTGTCAGGGAGTGGGGGGCTAGTCTAGGGATAGTGGTAGAAGTACGTAATGTAGATGATGGGTTGATAGGTGCAGCAAGCCACCATGGCACATGTATACCTGTGTAACAAACCTGCACGTTCTGCACATGTATCCCAGAACTTAAAGTATAATAATAATAATAATAATAATAATAATAATAAAAAGATCAGCAAAGAAAAAAAAGGAAGGCTTTTAAAGTTCCTCTTCTTTTAGGTAAAACTGGTTTAATTAATGCTAGACAACAAAGCAAAACCTTCTAAGTTTGATTTGGGCATTTACAACACAGAAATAGTGTGGATATGATGTAGGGATTCCTTTTCCCTAGAAATATTTTTAGGCAGTATGCCCTCCTCTCTTCCTCCACCAGCTTGAATTTCATTTTAGATCTTAATAGCTTCCGACAGAAAGGAAGGTTGTGGGATTTGCTGTTTTAGACAGTTAACATTCTTAATGCTGCAATATAAATAACAATTTATGAATTACCACAAGAAGATTTTGAAGATGAGTATTGAAAGGCCACAGGCCCTGTCTTGTCATATTTCATCGATACTTGATATTATAACGAATACAGATTAATCAAATATTTTTAGAAAATTTTAAAGAACAGCATACTACTTCTTCCTTTTAAAAACCAATACTTGCTCCAATAATAAGTTCTATCGAGGGTTACTAGGAATCTCTTCCTGAGTTTAGATCTGAAATCAGTGAGTTGGGTGGTTTCACACTCGTAAGTGGTAAAATAGTTTTGTTTTTTGGTTTTTGGTTTTTATTTATTTATTTATTTATTTGAGACAGAGTCTTGCTCTGTCGCCCAGGCTGGAGTGCAGTGGCACGATCTCGCTCACTGCAAGCTCCGCCTCCCGGGTTTACGCCATTCTCCTGCCTCAGCCTCCCGAGTAGCTGGGACTACAGGTGCCCGCCACCACGCCCAGCTAACTTTGTTTTTGTATTTTTAGTAGAGACGGGGTTTCACCGTGTTAGCAGGATGGTCTCAATCTCCTGACCTCGTGATCCGCCCGCCTCGGCCTCCCAAAGTGCTGGGATTACAGGCGTCAGCCACCGCGCCCGGCCGTAACATAGTTTTTTATAAAGGTGATTATATCAAGTGAACATGAGTCAAAAATTTTAAGTAATTAATTAGTGAGGGAGCCTGAAAAAAATGTTGCCTTTGTAAATTCAAAGATCAGACAAATGTATAAGCCCACCAAGAAGGCCAAATGAATTTGCTTCATAAATACAAAAACTGGCTCTTCCACAGTTGAGAGAGGAAGTCAGTTGAACTTCCACCAGGCGGGATTTGTTTGCACATCTACAAACACAAATTATTTGCATTACTCTCACTTTTCTACACATTATCTTCTGTTTACAGAGTTGGAAAATAGCTCAGAAACCAAGGTACAAACCCCCTAGAATCAGATAACTTGGCATGTGCTCTAAACAATACAGAGTTTTAAGAGATATTTAGTTTTTTGGGTTTCATTTAAAAATATTTCAGTATCCTTACATAACTAGCGTTGAAAGGTAAATATTAGCTAAGTTTATTACTTAAATCCTGCGTTTTGTACCATAAATGACAATGTGCAGAAAGTACCTGAATTGGCCCAAGTCAAAAAAAAAACTGTTAAAATAATAATGGAATTTAACTTTGTTGTGACATAAATAGAAAAATGATTGTTTCTAACAAGTGCTTAACTGACCCTCCAAAAATAAAATTACTGTCTTCTATAGACGTGTACTGATGAAAAATATAGGTGTGTTAATTTTAGGATTTTATTTAAGTAATATTGCCAATTGGGACCTTTAAATTAGTTTGGAACATGTATAGAACAGGGTGTATCATCGGCTTAAATTGATTAATAATTACTCATTAATATTGATCTTTATAGCAGCCTGTAATGTATGTTGTAGAAGACATTTCTTTAAGAAAAGCAACTAGGATAAGTCAACTTAAATGGGTACACACCATTGAAATTTGAAATTATTTTGGCACAATTGAGTTTTCTCCTTAAGTTTGTTGGAATGGCATTGAAAAACTCAATCACGTTATTTACAAGGAGTAAAATATCTTTGAAGTTTTATTTACTTTAGAATGGATTATAATGACTAGTAATAGCTATAGAGAGTACTCAGTGCTAGCACTCTTGATGCATTTTTCTACTTTTTCTTTATGAGGAATAAGCAGATCTCTCATAGTGGTGACCTTTCACACTGTGTTTTCCTCATTGAGCAAGTGTCTTTATTGTGGCTAACTTGTGTGTGAGAAAACTGAAGCTGGCCAGGATCGTATGTACCTGGGCCTGGCCTTCTTAATAGATTACGGCATTCCACTTGATAATACCAGTGGCACAGGAGAAACTTCTACTGTTGTGCTATTTGGTAATGTGAAGACAGAAAAAGTCTTTTTATGGTAGTTGGGTCCTCAAAACAACTCTTCATGGTTTAGTGATAAGGAGACACAAGTTGCCTATCAAACAGAGGTACATTAGCTTATTATCTACAAAGCTGATAGAGCCTCTTAAATTCTCTCATGGTGACAGAAACCCCATCTGAAGTGAAGGCTTGCAGAGCTGGAGATACCAGAGCACTTTCCTTCCTCATAAATACAAGTAGAGTTAACCCTACTCTTGTAGAATAAAAATTGCATGTAATTGTTGAACAAAAGCTGCCTTCTTTTTTCTCTGGCAATTAAAATGTGGTCAAAGAGATATATACTTGGTGATTGCCATTTGTGAAAATTTCAGTGATAAGCATTACAGCTTACTAAGAAGAGCAAGACTAATTAACTAGTCTTAAAATAGATGAAAATTGAGGGGAAATATCAGAGATTTAGGACTAGAATAAGTCAACAACTTTATGATAAGATCTGTGTGTAGGCACCTACTATATTTGTTCTGTTTCTAGTGCTGTGTAGGTTTTAAGAGTTCAATGTGTTCCAGTGTTCTGAGTGTCTACATTTTCACTCCTCATAGCTACTTGGAAAGATTTGGCAAGTAAACTTGCTACCATGGTTGGGGGAGGATAAATGCCTTTATCCTTTAGTGCTCCCAACAACAGGACCTTTTATGGCCAAGCACACATAAAAGTCCATGTGATTACTTAGGCTCATAGAGCCTAGTGCCATGGAGAAAATGTTGGAGAAATAGATGTTGTGTTTGCTATATGCACATGCCAAGTAATTTAATAAGCTAACGTATCTGTACTAATGATTGTTTATGATTCTTCATGAAAAATTTTTAAAAATCACATTGAATAAAGTGAATTTTAAAAATAATTTGACTTTGGAGAATCAAAAAAATTCTTGAATCTTAATGTACTGTGCTTATGTTCTACTTCATTCAAGAAAAAAGGAGTAAAATAAACATCCATAATTATTGCTAATCATATTTTAAAGGATACTAAGATCTGCTATGAAATAATCAAAAATATCTTTAGATCTAATTTAATCGTTTATTGATGAACTTCTCTGGGACTAGTTCAGTGATCAAGCTTTGTTTCCTAACTAAGCTCTGTTAGTTAGGCTTACTTAGAAATTTTAACTTCCTAATCCTTCTCTGCAGTTGGTCAGAAAATCAAGAAGTCTCAGCCATTTCAGTGTTGAACCCTGTAACTCTACTTTAAAATACGACCCACTAGGATTTTTTAAAAAAGAAGAAAGAAAGAAATAAGACATTCTGAAAGTAAAGGAATATTCCATATATCTTCAAGCTCTTGGTTTTTAATTTATCCTTTTAAGTACTGGACAAGTTATTTCATGATGAATTTAAGTTAAAAATAAAAATCAGAAAACCAACTGTTTTTTGCATTATACTAAGAAAAAAAAAGTCAGTATAATCCAGGAGATATTTTAATGGCACTCAAGAATATTCTCCAGAAAGGGCTGGGCACAGTGGCTCACGCCTGTAATCCCAGCACTTTGGGAGGCTGAGGTGGGTGGATCACGAGGTCAGGAGATCCAGACCATCCTGGCTAACATGGTGAAACCCCATCTCTACTAAAAATACAAAAAAAATTAGCCGGGCGTGGTGGCGGGCGCTTGTAGTCCCAGCTACTCGGGAGGCTGAGGCAGGAGAATGGCATGAACCCAGGAGGCGGAGCTTGCAGTGAGCCAACATCGTGCCACTGCACTCCATCCTGGGCGACAGAACGAGACTCCGTCTCAAAAAAGAAAAAAAAAAAGAAAAGACAGTTCTCCAGAAAGTCAAATCAGTGGATTAAATCAAACCATGAAATACACTCTGAATAACTTTTGAGTGCAAATTTTAAAAATATGTAAAGTCACTGATAATTTGTACATTCTACATAGGAGTCATTGCAGACATAAATAATTATCAAGTTTGTTGTATTTCAAAGTTATACAGGAAAGTGAATAATAGGAATGAAATTATTGGGATATTGTGCTGATTCTTTCTGTTGAGTAGGATAAAAACTCCGATAGGCAGAAAGGAAGAATACGTGAAGTTGCTGAAATGTTCAATTTATAAAGGTACGATAACTTCTCAAAGCATCATTTTTATAGATTTCTATCTTAGTTCTTTCATGCATTGGTTATATCATATAAATTGATCAGGCTTTAATCAGATTTGAGTTTTAACTGTGAGAGCAGTGAGTCATTTAGTATTTTGAGAAGTTTAGAAAGGAAGAATCCAAACAAATATTCCTTTTCTCTTAACATACAATGGGAGAATTAATTTTACTTATATTTAATGTTTATCTTATTTGAAGAAGTAAGTACATTTGTGATCATTTAGAAACCGTTTCAGTGGCTCTTGTATAATTCAGTTCATTCCGTCTGTGCTCTCTTAATAAATTTTACAGAAAAACTCATGGCAAGTTAGCATTATTTGTGTGTGAATTTTCCAATTGTATTTCAGACTTTAAGAAAGAAAGGCCTTAATGGTTGTGAGAGCCCTGATGCTGACGATTACTTTGAGCACAGTCCACTCTCGGAGGACAGATTCAGCAAACTAAATGAAGATAGTGATTTTATTTTCAAACGAGGCCCTGTAAGTACTTTTACTTTACCTCTACTTTTTATTTGTTGATCCTTTTTGTTAACTTCATTATTTAGGCTCTGAACAAGAAGGAACACAGAGGGTGCGACAGCCCAGACCCTGATACTTCATATGTGCTAACTCCACATACAGAAGAAAAATATAAAAAAATTAATGAGGAATTTGATAATATGATGCGGAATCATAAAATCGCAGTGAGTACTAAAGTATGGTTTGTGCTTTTATCTTGTGCATGAAGAGATTGACCAAACATCTTGTTGCTTATTTTTATAGTGGGTGATGACAACAATAAGTAGAAGGGAAGAAATGCATTTTATTAGTATTTTTTATAAAACTTCAAAATAAAATTGCTGAAATCTTATACATGTTCAGTATCTTAAATGTAGAAGTGAAGAGAAAACATGCCGATCCAGACTTTGCTACTTCTTACCCCAATACCTTTGGATAGGGCACCTAAACATTTTGAATTCTTTCTCCATCTATAGTGAGTTGGCTCTCATGATTTTTAAGGTATCTTCCAGCTCTAAAATTCTATGATTTATAGTATAGAGTATGTATAAAACTTTCCCTCTACTCCCATGACTTAAAAACATATGTGTTCTTAAATAGATCTTGAGAAAGCAAAATGTAAGGTAGTTAGGTTTGTTGCGAAACTTGTTTTTTTCCTAAATTATCTTCAATTATTTTGTATAGTTGCTATAATAGCAGAGCTAAGCTTACTGCTTTGCAGTTTGTAAATGTCCCCAAATCACTTAGCAACAATACCACCAGACTTTTGTTCTTTTCTTATGCTGTAGATACTAAGGAAGAGCAGCTTGGCTTAATTTTAATTTAGGGCAACAATGTTCTTAAACTGATTGCAAAACAAATAGTGACTTTACAGTTTCTGTATACTCATTCATCTAACCATAGTGAAAGAGTATTTTTCTTTGAGCTCATGCTCCTAGACTTGATAGTTTTTCAAAGAATTCTCACTGGAAGCTCCATTGGCAAGAGCTACTTAAAACAGTTATTCTGGATCTGATTTCCTAATTCTGTATATGTAGGTCAGCCGCCCTTGAACAAATTAGTTTCAATGCTGATATTTATTTTAGCATCAGAGTTAATTCTTTCAAAACTGTGCCCTAAAGTATGCATGATGGATCATTTCTTCAGAGTAGTCCTGTATTACAGGTTGGGTATTCCTTATTGGAAATGCTTGGGACTAGAAAGTGTTTCAGATTTGGGATTTTTTTCAAAATTTGGAATATTTGCATATGTATAGTATCTTGGGGATGGGACCCAAGTCTAAACATTAAATTTATTAATGTTTCATACATACCTTACATACTCATGGACTGAAGGAAGTTTTATACAATATTTTTCATAATTTTGTACATGAAACAAGGTTTGTGTACATGGAACCATCAGAAAGCAAAGATGTCTCTGTCTCAGCTACCCATGTCATAGGTCTTGGCTCCATGTGGAGCATCATTGGGAACCTGCTGTTAGCATGTGTAGCCTACACACGTGCCATTTTATTACCCTTTGTGGATGTGCTTGTGTGAGGGAATCTGGGTGTGCACAGAAAAGATATATTGAAGCTGATGGCAGACTGGAACGGTCCTTTTCCCCTTGGAGACACTGAATAAACTGTGTATTGTATGCCTGCATTTCCACATGTCAGGTTTGGAATTCTCTATGGCATCATGTTGGTGCTCAGAAAGTTTTGGATTTTGGATTTTCAGATTAGGGATGCTCAACCTGTATAAGAAGCCAGCTCACAAAAAAATAGCCTTAAGGAGTTACTTTTGGGCAAATACCATTATTATTCTTAAAAACAATACAGTAGCAAATAAAGGGATGTTGCTGACCTTGCAGTTAATGTTAAAGCTGCAAAGATATCGCACAAATAAAAGTGTTTTACTTTTGAAAAAAATTGTCATATACCCACTGTTTTTATATTTGTTGATGTATAATTTTTCTACATGAAATAAACTACTATTGAATAAAGTACAATAAAATATATTCTTCCAACTTTGAATTAGCAGTGTTACCTTATTTTTGTATGTTAGTCTTTTAAAATGAGGGCAGAGTAAAGTTGTTTTATTTTCTCCCACTTTAAATTGTAAAGAGCAACATATATTTATCGTGGTTAACAAGCATATTGTAAATGGTGTGTGGAGGAAATGCAAGATGAAAATAGAAAATAGAAAAAAGGGGATATGGAATAATTTGGAGGGAGGGAAGGTTAGCATTTATAATATTTGTAATTTAATCTTTATACAATTTAAAGAAGATACCAAAAACTTTATTACTTTTATTACTGGCTTGGTTAGTAGTTAATTTTGTTGTTTAGATTAGATTTCTTTGCATTTTCATTAAACTCAAATTGCATTGTTATGTATATAATTACTTTTTTTTTTTCTTAGTTTTGCCCTTTAGAAAGTTAGTCAATTAAATCAGAATGGGGAATATTTATGATTTATCAGATTTGACATATTAAGTTAATAATATGTGTACACACTTTTCTCCTTCCGTTATATTTGGGATCTCTCAGTAGAAATGTAATGTTATTAAGGTTTACATTGAAGTGCCAATTTATGCTTACTTGGTGACAGTGATATATTTTGTAATGTCTAAATATGACAACACTACTTGATTATCAGGTTTATCCTCTTAAATTTGTCTTTATGAATATTTGAAATATAGAATATAGACATTAGTATATATTAATGTATAAAGTTGAAATTGAAAAGGCTCATGTCAGTCATATTCATGTTCAAACATAATTCTAAAGAAAATAGCTTTAATCTGTAAATTGGTTAAGAACCTATCCCTATCCTCTACTTTTAGTAACTTGAGTTACCTTGCCAAATTAAAGTTCAAAAGTTACTTTGTAGATGAATACGAAACCAACAGTTTTTTCCTTCTTTTTCTTTATTTACAGCCTGGTCTGCCACCTCAGAACTTTTCAATGTCTGTCACAGTTCCAGTGACCAGCCCCAATGCTTTGTCCTACACTAACCCAGGGAGTTCACTGGTGTCCCCATCTTTGGCAGCCAGCTCAACGTTAACAGATTCAAGCATGCTCTCTCCACCTCAAACCACATTACATAGAAATGTGTCTCCTGGAGCTCCTCAGAGACCACCAAGTACTGGCAATGCAGGTATGTAGTGATACCTATTATGCTGGTTCTTTAATAAAGAGGGTGAAAAAATTCATTGCTAACATAAGCAGTTTCTTATTTTGCTATTCTTTTATTGCTTTGATGAGCAAGAATCACTGATACATAATTGGCCTCATTTTAAAGTATTTTTTTGAAAATCAATTGTGGGTGTAGCATTGTGTCATGCAAAGTAGAACAGTACTGAGAACCTGCCATTTATATGCTTTCCTTCTCATGGGAAAGCCATACTTTGACAGGCAGAAAATTTAGTTAGATATCAGAAGCAAGGATTTAAAGTAGAGTGTGAGCCATTCATGTTAGAAATATGGGTGATAGACTACCTGATTGGAGTTAGAGTATCTTTTACATCTCCTCCTGCCTGAATTACTTCATTAATTCAGCAAAATTTATGTTACATTTATTGTATTAGTCTATGAAATGCAGTGTCTCCTCTCTCTTAAGTCCTAGATTTAATTTAGTGATTTAATCATACTCCTTACACACTGCCCCCGTTTTTATCAGTATGTACTATTTTGGTATTGATGCAATACCACTATTTGGTATTGAAGGCGACATCAAGCTTGAAAGGTAAACTCATATATATGAGATATAATAACTACATCAGATTACATGTTAATGCCAACTTCAGACTGAGCTAGTTTTTATTTTTGTGTCTTTTTAGGATTAGAGTGAGAGTTATCTCTATTCAGTTCACGTTCAGTTAGGTAAAGAGAGCTAATTCATATTCATTCTCTGCCCTCTGTCTTCTCTCCGTAACGTTGTTAGGTGGGATGTTGAGCACTACAGACCTCACAGTGCCAAATGGAGCTGGAAGCAGTCCAGTGGGTGAGTGAATTCCTACTCTTCTGTTTTGTAGGTATCTATCCTATATGAGATCAAAGGAATGTTGTTCCTGAAATAAAGCTTTCTGGGAAATTTCCTTCTGAAGGGTACTTTCACTAATACATCAAGATAATTTCTTAAGGGGAGACTTTCTCTAACTTCCCTGCTTACCAAAGTTAGACTGTTACCAAACTACTCTATCTTACAACAGCATGAAATGTTTTCAGAGAGACTAGAATGAAAAGAAATGGTGGGTCTATCTACTTCTACAGATAGAAAGATAATTAACATATTTGTCTTGGCCGGGCGTCGTGGCTCACACCTGTAATCCCAGCACTTTGGGAGGACGAGGTGGGCAGATTGCCTGAGCTGAAGAGTTTGTGACCAGCCTGGGCAACACTGTGAAACCCTGTCTCTACTAAAATACAAAAAAATTTAGCTGGGCGTGGCAGTGTGCACCTGTAGTCCCAGCTATTCGGGAGGCCGAGGGAGGAGAATTGCTTGAATCCGGGAGGCGGTGGTTGCAGTGAGCTGAGATCGCATCACTGCACTCCAGCCTGGGCGATAGAGTGAGACTCCTTCTCAAAAAAAAAAAAATTATGGAGATGATTGAATGACTTAATAAAAATGATGAGGAAGAAATAAACAAACATCAATAAAGATATTATTAAGACAAGTTACAAAATATTTAATGACAAAGTAGGAATAAATGCCTAATTATATCTGCCACAGTATTAAATATTTTAATGGAATTAAACAGATAAGACCTATTGTGGAGTCTTACTTAACAGAAAACAATTAAATGTGGGAAAATACATAAAGGTTGTACCAGTTAAACACTAGGGCTGCTACTCTTGTATGTGTATTTCCAAATATTTATGGTTTTTTTTCAGCTCTTGTTTTAGTTGTTTGTATGCCTACATACTGTTTTTGTGTCCCTTTTTTTTTTTATTCCCCCAACAGAATAATAAGTTCAGGGCCCACCAAGAATTGTGAGAGCCTAATATGCTTCTCTCACATTGGGTTGACACCCCAAAAGGCTGGACTCTAGAAGTAAAGTAAACCAGAGATAAACAGTTCTTCTCAGTAGTGACATCTTACAGATGCATCATACAGTTTTGTTTTTTTTTTTTTGAGACGGAGTCTCGCTCTTGTCGCCCAGGCTGGAGTGCAGTGGCGCCATCTCCGCTCACTGCAAACTTCACCTCCCGGGTTCACGCCATTCTGCCTCAGCCTCCCGAGTAGCTGGGACTACAGGTGCCCGCCACCACGCCGGGCTAATTTTTTTGTATTTTTAGTAGAGACGGAGTTTCACCGTGTTAGCCAGGATGGTCTCAATCTCCCGACCTGGTGATCTGCCTGCCTTGACCTCCCAAAAGTTTGTTAAAATTAGATCGTAGTGATTAGAAATTAGATTTAGGGGTTCCAGAATGCCCGGAAAAGCAAATAGTCTCTGGAAGAATAAAATAAGCCTGGCCCACATGGCAAAACCCCATCTCTACTAAAAATACAAAAATTAGCCGGACGTGGTGGCAAGTGCCTGTAATCCCAGCTACTCAGGAGGCTGAGGCAGGAGCATCACTTGATCCCAGGAGGCGGAGGTTGCAGTGAGCCGAGATCATGCCACTGCACTCCAGCCTGTGCGACAAGAGCAAAACGCTGTCTCAAAAATAAATAAATAAATAAATAAATAAAATAAAACACCATCTCAGACCTTATTATTTCTAACTTGGCACATAAGCTGAACTAGGCACACACACAAATAAAGCAAATGAAAACTTGCAGAAATAAACAAACAATGGAATCAGCCTCCTGGGAACTCCAGAATTTGGAGTTACTAGGCACAGACTTTGACTTTAATATAACAGTGTTTACTGTGTTCAAGGGTATTTAAAAAACAAAAAGATTGAGAATTTTAGCAGAGAACTGAAATTTATTTAAAAAATGGAAATTTTAGAACAAAAAAACCCCGTAATGTTAAGAACTTAACAGATGGGCTTAAAAACAGATTGGACAAAGCAAATACAAGAATTAAGAAACTAAAAGATAAGATAGAAGAAAATTATCCAGAATTTTGGAGACACAAAGGGATGGAAAATTAAAAAGAAGACCCAGAGCATGCAATAAAAAGGACTAGCATACGTTAAATTGAAGTCCCAGGAAGCAAAGTCAGAGAAAATTGGGCAGAAGCAGTATTTGAAGAGATAATCACTGAGAATTTTCCAAAACTAACAACAACAAAAAAGCCACAAATTGGGAAGGCCTATAAAACTCAACGTGGAATACAGATAATGCTGTGCTTTATGAGAAATTTAAACCTTTATGAACAAAAGACTGGAGATGGTGAGCTAAACCTCCTTCTCAGGAAGTCAGAAAAGGACAGCAAATTAAACATAAAGTAGGTAGAACCAAATAACAAAGATACAAGCATTGAAATAGAAAATAGAAAATTTTCTATTTCAGGCATGGTGAAACAGATGATCTCATACGTGCTTTTGTGGTATTGTAAATCAGTAACAATCTTTCTGGAAAGGTTTTGGCAAGATGTTTCAGTGGTCATAAAAATACAAGTATTGATACTGAAATAGAAAAACAAATTGAATTAACAAAACAAATACTGATTATTTAAAAGACTAATAAAATGGAATGTTTTCACTAATATTCAATTCGAAATATTTTCTAATTTCCATTATATCTTTTTCTTTAACCCAACTTGTAAGTTATTTAGAATTATATTTCTTAATTTCAAATACATGGAGATTTTCCAGTTATCTTTGAGATATTATTTTCTAGCCAGATTGTTTTGTTACCAGAGAACTTACCTCTATATGATTAAGTTCTCTGAAATTTGCTGATACTTTTTTATAGGCCAGCATGTGCTCAATTTTTGTCTGTGTTGTGTACTGGAAAGGAATGTTTATTCTGTATTATAAGCATGGATTGCAAATTCTACTTGTTTTAAATACGTTTTATCTGTATATATGTCATAACTTACTGTATCAGCTCCAGTTTAGAAACTCGTGATAGGTCAGTTCCAGATAGTTTTGCGTTACCTTTAAACCATATCATTTTTACCAATATTGTCATTTTCAAATACGTAATTTGTTTATAGGCGAGTCTTCCATTTGCCTTGTTCGTATTTTAATTTTTGTTGCATCTTCTGCCTGCTTCCCTAAAATTGGAATACTTCAGGCCCATGTACTGCTAAAAGAAGAGGCATCCTTGAGACTTTTAAAGCACTGAACGAACTCAGGAAAGGCAAAGACTTCTTAAATAAGAAACCAAAGAAAGTCTAATGGAAAGACTGATTGATTTGCTTGTGTGAAAATTGGAAACTTTGTGAATCAAAAGCACTGTAAAGAGAGTAAAAAGGCAAGACAGAATGGGAGAATATATATAGTATGTATACAATCAATAGAGAGGTTTTTTTTTAAGAATACCTACAAATCAGTAAGAAAAAGAAAACTCGACTTTTGAAAATGTGCATGAGAACACATCACTTCACAAAAGAAATGTCTGATAAATGTGAAGAAATGCTCAGTCTCAGTAGTCATGGAAATGCAAAATTAAACCACAAAGAGAGAACACTGCACACCCACCAGAATTGCTAAGATGAAATAGATGGTATACCAAATATTGACAAAGCTATGAAAAAGCACAAACTCATACACTGGTAATGGGAGTACAAGTTGTTGCAACCATTTGGCATTATCTGCCTAAGCTGCAGATACGTGTATTGTGTGACCCAGCATTTTCACTCATCCTTATGTACTGTAGAGAAATGCATTTGTGCATCACGAGTACCAAGAGATATGTAAAAGAATGTGTACAACATTATGTTAAAGTCATTGTCTAGAAATAGTACAGATCTCTGTCAACAGTAGAATGGATAAATATAAGAGTACATTCATATGAAAGAATATTATACTGCAGTGAAAATGAAATCACAGCAGTTCTCAACATGGATGAATGTCACCAAACATTATGAATTAAAGAAGATAGATACATACTCAAGATTCTAACTATATAAAGTTTGAAAAGCAGGCCAAAAAAACTATAGTGTTTGGGATGCTTGTGTAGATAGATGGCAGAGCCATAAAGAAAAACCAAGAAATTACTGTAAAATTCACAATAGTGGTTACTTTGGGTAGGTGGGACTCTCGGAATATTTTAGGGGGCCCAATTATGGAAACTTCTGGGGTTCTGGCAGTATTCTTAATCTGAATGGTGGTTACGTGGATCTTCACTTTATGATAAATCCTTAACCTATACGTTTTTGTTTTGTACATTTTCTGTTTATGTGTTACATTAGCAAGAAAACAGTTTTGAAAATAAAAGAATACACTAGATATAATAATAAAGGAACTATAACAACAAATATAAAGGCACTTTTTAAATTATAAGAGAAAATAATGTACATTTTGTGGTATTTATACTATTCCAAAATTCAGAGAGAAAATGTATAGACACTCAACACTCACATTCATGCACAAACTAGAGGTAGCCTTTGAGTCTTTGGACATTGTTGTCTGCATGTGGCAGCTGGAACTCAGCACCCATCTTAAGATCATGAGACAAGTCAGTTTAAGATGACAGGTCAAAATGCCAAGGTTGATGAAGTGAAAAGCTGGTGGCCCTCAGTGTTGAGCTGCTGAAGCAGCTGAGTCTGGGACCACTCTTCCCCTAGTCTTTTTATGTGAGATAATACGTGTTGCTCATTCTCCAGAGGAAAAAAGCAAGATAAAATCCAAGCAACAGATAGGGGAATGTTTAGTAATGGGCATTTAATTGTACCAAAATACACAATTCAAAAAAGAAACCTAACTAGTATTTTAAAAACTGAAAAGGTTGTTCATCATTGGTAGTATTCATGAAATTCAAATTAAAATGACAAAAAAAAATACTACTCTTACTTACTAATTCCCAACTATTAGCACTTTTTATTGTGATATTCAGTGCTAATGAAGGCATGGTGAAACTGATGATCTCATGCATGCTTTTGTGGCATTGTAAATTAGTAACAATCTTTCTGGAAAGGTTTTGGCAAGAGGTTTTAGTTGTCATAAAAATGTTTATACCTCCAAGCCCACTAATCCCATTTTTGGGAATCTCTCCTGAAGAGGTAAGTTAGAATAAGCAAAGCTTCATTGCAACTTTATTTGTAGTAATGAATAATAGGAAGAAATCAACATATTCAACAATATGAAAATGAAGTAAATGAAATTTCAACTGAATTTCTTTTTAGTTGTGATTTAAAACGAGCAAAAAATATGAGCATGGAAAACAAAAAGGGAAAAATCCAAAGAGATTATAATACTTAAGATGGTGGGACTGTGTTTTTCACTCTTTTTCTAGTTTCAGTGATGCTGTATTAATACAGTTACCTCTACAGTCATAACATCTTTATTGTAGTAAATTAGAATATTTCTTTATTTATTACTTATAACTTGTTTTCCATTGTCATCTGTGCAAATAAAACTTGGCAGCTTTGTACATATTGTAATTTGTATAGATCTTTCATAGAGGTAATTTGCTTATTTGTTTATGATTTACTAGGTATATTTCTCTATGGGGAGTTTAATACTGGGTTTATACTATAGTTCAAATGACTTTGGGGACTTTTTACTTTGGGCACACTTTAAAATATCAAGCATAAAATAAAGTCAGATATCCAACAACTTCACTTTTTAAAAACACGTTGAGAAAGAGAAAAAACATATATGGTACTAGACATAGAAAGGCTCAAGATGCTCTTGGAATTATTTGGGGTTAAATGAAGGTAAAATAAGGGTTTGCATTGTAGCAGGCACATTGGCAGTTAAAAAGAAGAGATGGAAGAGGTGAAAGATATCATGAAGAAAGCTTGATTGCTCTGAAGGTGGGGATGGGATGGCGGAGGACAGCAGTAGTTGAAGTCTTTAGAACAAGCTGAGTTGAGATGACAGCAGCATGTCTGGGTGAAAGTGGCCACCAGATTATTGAATATGTACTGGAAATTAGGAAAGATAAAGCAGAAACCCAGTTTTCAGTCATTCACATGGAGGTGATAGTTGAAGTTGTATATGCTTCAGCATTCATGCTTCATGAAGATGCTGAAGTTTCTGAAAGAGAAGAAGATATGTTGCCTTTTGGGGGCTGCCCACATGGGATAGAGATGGGGAATACAGTATTCAGAAAGAAAAGAAGCAGACCCCATGAGCATTGCCTATTTTTGTTATAAATTTTTATTGGACAGGATCCATGTTGTCCATCTTACAAGACATTTCATTGAATCAAGTACACATGCATTCAATTATTTCAAAACCTGTGATCTTTATTATTTTATTTTATTTTAGACTAGTCAGGTGCAGTAGTGAGAAGGGGGTAAAGAGTAGAACAAGGAGTTGGATAAGTTGAGATAACTCACTGCCTTCGAACCAGCCCTGTAATCTTTTCTACTTTCAGAAACCTCAAACAGTTCTTTGTACAAATGACATAATTTTATAACTGTTAGAATGTATTTTTGTTTATTGAATAATCAGCTGAATGTCAAATTTTATGAAAATTTTGCCAAATATGATTGAACTTTGCTTTGGATGAGTTTTTCAGAATCCTTTGAAGTTTGCACATCAGTTGGACTTCTGAAATGAATTCATAGTGAAATATTAGTGACATCATTGTCTGCAGTTTAACCCTAGAAGAGTAGTATCTAAGGACACAGAGTACTTGCCAGCTACTTGAATGCATTATTTCAGCTGATGTGATTTATATTTTGAAATATGAGCCAGACTGATGGAATTGACTGACCTATCTTACAGCTATAGGACTGTAATTGAGATCAAGTTCTGTTAAGTTTCTGAAGGCATGGGTATGCGGTTTGCTCAAGAGCATTTTTTCACATTTGTGTTAGGATAGTAAATTACCTTGAAAACTGGAAACACATTTTAACAACATTAAATTGGATTTATTCATTTAGTGTAGATACTGTAGTTCCTAGGTTTGTAAACTGTGGCAAGATGAGTTATATACTGAAAGTATTTACCTCAAAAGTCTATCTGAAAAATATCTTCATTTTTGTAATAAAAATTGAGCTGGAGGTAAGAAGGTACATATTAGGGTATATATCACTGCACTCTACAAAATAACAAGTCGTGCATAGGAGATTCTCTTAGCTTCAGCCTGGCAAGTTACCAAACACTTACATCATCCTTTAATCATCATCTGCTACTGACTCCTGACTTTACATCAAGAAATACTGTGCTTTTAAGTCCCCTCTTACTCTTGAAATTTGGTTCTCATGAGTTACCATCATGTCATATCTATCTAAAGCACCATAGACTGCACATGGGAAAATAGTATTTGTGCTTCTTGATGATGTGTGGCTCTGAATTATATATTTTTGTCTTTGAGAGGAAATTCTACTTTCTTCTTCAGATTTGAGTATAAATCAAGTAAAGAAGAATCTTCTAAATAATATCAGAATCAGAACACATATTCATGCCATTGTATATTTAAAAAATTATTAATCTGACATTCTCATACTGTTAACGCAAAATGAAGTTTCTATTTAACCTTCCTATTTTTGAATAAAATTATTTAATAAACATTTTTAATTCTTCAACTGTCTGGCTTAGCGGTTACCTCTGTCCAAGTCATATATGATCTCTACTCGACAGGATGGCCTGGTGAAGTGGTTGTTTTTTAAACTGCACTGCTTTCTGAAGCTTAACAGGATGCAGGAAATTACTCTATGGGGTGTGGAAAGGATTTAATTCATACCCCTTCAAGATAATGAAAGCAGAATGCAGGAAATAACCTCATGAGGTTAACTGAAATACCAGTCCCCACAGCAAAATTAGATCATACATATGAATTAAAACTGAGTGGGTCACTTGGTAAACGTTTTGGAGGAAACAAGAGGAATTGGGTGAGGGTAAGGAAGAAAAAACCACACTAATCATCTGGAACTCAGAAATTCTTTTGTTTGTTTGAGACAGGATCTCACTCTGTTGCCCAGGCTGGACTACAGTGGCACGATCTCGGCTCACTGCAGCCTCCACCTCTGCGGCTCAGGCAATTCTTCTGCGTCAGCCTCCCTAGTAGCCAGGATTACAGACATGCACCACCATGCCCTGCTAATTTAGCATTTTTTTTTAGTGGGGTTTCGCCATGTTGGCCAGGCTGGTCTCCAACTCCTGACCTCAGGTGATCTACCCATCTCGGCCTCCCAAAGTGCTGGGATTATACTTGCGAGCCACCATGCCTGGGCCTTTTATTAAAAAAAAAAAAAAAAAAAATTATTTCAATAGTTTTGGGGGAACAAGTGGTGTTTTGTTGCATGGAAAAATTCTTTAGTGGTGATTTTGGAGTTCACCAGAGCAGTGTACCCTGTACCCAATATGTAGTCTTTTATGCCTCACTCCCTCCCAGCCTTCCTCCTTGAGTCCCCAAAGTCCATTGTATCATTCTTATGCCGTTGCATCCTCATAGCTTAGCTCCCACTTATAAGTGAAAACATGTGATGTTTGGTTTTCCATTCCTGAGTTACTTCTCTTAGAATAATGGTCTCCAGTTCCATCCAGGTTGCTGCAAATGCCATTATTTTGTTCCCTTTTATGGCTTAGTAGTATTCCATGGTGTACATATATGTATATATATATATTACGTTTTCTGTATCCACTTGTTGGTTGATGGGCATTTGGGCTGGTTCCATATTTTCGCAATTGCAAAATGTGCTGCTATAAACATGTGTGCGCAAGTGTCTTTCATATACTGACTTCTTTTCCTCTGACCCAGTAGTGGGATTGCTAGATCAAACCATAGTTCTACTTTTAGTTCTTTAAGCAATCTCTGTACTGTTTTCTTTAGTGGTTATACTAGTGTACATTCCCACCAGCAGTGTATGAGTGTTTGCTTTTCACCATATCCATGCCAACATCTATTATTTTTTGATTTTTTAAATATAGCTATTCTTGCAGGAGTAAGGTGGTATCTCATTGTGATTTTGATTTGCATTTCACTGATAATTAGTGATGTTGAGCATTTTTCGTATGTCTTTTGGCAATTTGTGTATCTGCTTTTGAGAATTGTCTATTCATGGCCTTTGCCCACTTTTTGATGGGATTGTTTTTTTCTTGCTGATTTGAGTTCCTTGTAGATTCTGGATATTAGTCCTTTGTCAGATGCATAGTTTGCGAAGATTTTCTCCCACTCTCTGGGTTGTCTGCTGATTATTTCTTTTGCTGTGCAGAAGGTTTTTAGTTTAATTAGGTCCCATCTATTTATTTTTGTCTTTGTCATATTTGCTTTTGGGTTCTTGATCATGAACCCTTTGTCTAAGCCAATGTCTAGAAGAGTTTTTCCAGTGTTCTAGAATTTTTGTGATTTCAGGTCTTATATTTAAGTCTTTGATTCATCTTGAATTGATTTTTGTGTAAGATGAGAAATGAGGATCCAGTTTCTTTCTTCTACATGTGGCTTGCCTATTATGCCAGCACCATTTGCTGAATAGGGTGTCTTTTCCCTACTTTATGTTTTTGTTTGCTTTGTTGAAGATCAGTTGGCTGTAAGTATTTGGCTTTACTTCTGGGTTTTCTATTCTGTTCCATTGGTCTGTGTGCCTGTATTTATGCCAGTACCTTGCTTTTCTGGTAACTATAGTCTTGTAGTATAGTTTGAAATGGAAATAATGTGATGCCTCCAGATTTGTTCTTTTTGCTTAGTCTTGCTTTGGCTATGCAGGCTCTTTTGGTTCCATAGGAATTTTAGGATTTTTTTCCCCCCTAGTTCTGTGAAGAATGATGGTGGTATTTTGATGGGAATTGCATTGAATTTGTAGATTGCTTTTGGCAGTATGGCCATTTTCACAATATTTATTCTACCCATCCGTGAGCATGAGATGTGTTTCCATTTGTTTGTGTCATCTGTGATTTCTTTCAGCAGTGGTTCATAGTTTTCCTTGTAGAAATTTTTCACCTCCTTGGTTAGTTATGTTCCTAAGTATTTTTTTTTTTTGCACCTGTTGCAAAAAGCGTTGAGTTCTTGATTTGATTCTCAGCTTGGTCATTG
Organism: Homo sapiens; assembly: GCF_000001405.40. Taxonomy (NCBI): domain Eukaryota; kingdom Metazoa; phylum Chordata; class Mammalia; order Primates; family Hominidae; genus Homo; species Homo sapiens. The sequence continues at coordinate 99,685,503 of NC_000015.10, forward strand.
TTGGTGTATAGCAGTGCTGTTGATTTTGTGTCCTGAAACTTTACTGAATCCAGTAAAGATGTCATAGATGGCTTTTATTACTTTAAGATATGCCCCTTCTGTGCCAGTTTTGCTTATTGACTTGTGTATGTTAAACCATCCCTGCATCCCTAGTATGAAACCCACTTGATCATGGTGTATTATCTTTTGATATGCTGTTGGATTCGGTCACCTGTTATTTTGTTGAGGATTTCTGCACCTGTGCTCATCATGGGTATTGGTCTGTAGTTTACTTTTGTTATATCCTTTCCTGGTTTTGGTATTAGGGTGATACTGGCTTCATAGAATGATTTAGGAAGGATTCTTTCTTACTCTGTCATTTGGAATGGTAAAATAAGATTGGTACTAGTTCTTCTTTGAATGCTTGATAGAATTCGGCTCTGAATTCATCTGGTCTTGGACTTTTTTTTTATTAGCAGTTTTTAAAATTACTGTTTCAGTCTCGCTGCTTGTTATTGGTCCATGCAGAGTTTTTATTTCTTCCTCATTTAACCTAGGCGGGTTGTATATTTCCAGGAATTTATCCATCTCCTCTAGATTTTCTAGTATATTTTTCCACCCCTTTACTTTATGTGAGTCCTTACATGTTAGGTGAGTGTGTTGAAGACAGCAGATACTTGGTGGATTTTTAACCATTCTGCCATTCTGTATATTTTAAGTGGAACATTTAGGCCATTTATATTCAACGTTAATATTGAGATGTGAGGTACTATTTTATTAATCATTGTGTTAGTTGTTGCCTGAATACTTTTTTTTTCATTGTGCTGTTGTTTTATGGGCCCTGTGAGATTTATGATTTAAGGAGGGTGTATTTTCAGGTTTTGTTTCAAGATTTAGAACTCCTTTTAGCATTTCTTGGTTGTGCTGGCTTAGTAGTGGTGAATTCTCTCAGCATTTGTTTGTCTGAAAAAGACTCTCTCTTCTTCATTCATGAAGGTTAGTTTTGCTGGGTACAGAACTCTTGACCGGCAATTATTTTGTTTGAGGAAGCTAAAGATAGGACCCCAATCTCTTCTGGCTTGTAGGGTTTCTGGAGAGAAATCTGCTGTTAATCTGTTAAGTTTTCCTTTGTTGGTTACCTGATGCTTTTGCCTCTCAGCTCTTAAGATTCTTCCCTTTGTCTTCACTTTAGATAATCTGATTACTGTGTGCCTGGGTGACAATCTTTTTGCAATGAATTTCCCAGGTCTTTGAGCTTTTTGTATTTGGATTTCTAGATCTCTAGTGAGGCCAGGGAAGTTTTCCTCAATTATTTTCTCAAATATGTTTTCCAGACTTTTAGATTTCTCTTCTTCCTCAAGAACACCACTTATTCTTAGGTTTGGCTGTTTAGCGTAATCTCAAATTTTTTGGAGGCTTTGTTCATTTTTGTTTTTTGATTTTTTTTTTAATTTGTCTTTGTTCGATTGGATTAATTCTGTCACCTAGGCTGGAATGTGGTGGCGTGGTCTTGGCTCACTGCAACCTCTGCCTCCTGGGCTCACCTCAGCCTCCTTAGTTTCTGGGACTACAGGTGCACACCACCATGTCCTATTAATTTTTCTTTTTTTTTTTTTTTTTTTTTTTTTGTAGAGACGGGGTTTCACCATGTTGCCCAGGCTGGTTTTGAACTGGGCTCAAGCGATCTGCCCACCTCAGCCTCCCAAAGTTCTGGGATTACAGGCATCAGCTACCACATCTGACCCAGAGGCAAACCATTTTACGTCTCAGAATGCAGTCTTGTCAGGATGAGATTATTAGGACGAATTTTAGACCAGTGTTAAGCACACAGCAGACACTCAGTTTTTGTTAGTCCTTGCACGTGTATTAATACAGGGGTGTGTGGGTGTGTGTGTGTATTTGTAACACCTAGTGTCTGCTTATTTTTCGTGAATTCTGAAGTTTTCTTTTTGGCTTTATACTAGAATGAAAGGAGCAGAACAAATACAGCTACTTTTTCCTTCTGATGGTCCCTGAAGCTGTGGATTATCCAGGCTTATCTGCTCTGCCATTCCTCACTCACACCTTGTTCATTCGTGCTTTAACGTGTTTTTCTCACATTTATCCATAATGCCTGCCTTCTCTTTTCTTCTGTTCTTCTCTCATTTCAGACTGCTCAGTAGTTAATCCCACAAAGGCTTTCCTAATTAAGCTGATAGATTTGTTATCAGTGCTTTCTATTTCATTGTAAATTTTGTGTGGTTACCTCTAGTTTGCCCATATTGTGAGTATAATTTTGGTATATTCATGCCTATGTGATATGCCTGCTCTTGCTAACTAGATGAAAAGCTACTTGAAGACCTGTAGGCTTTTTATGGTTTCTCTACATATACCCTCCCAGGGGCACAGTACTGTATACATAATAGATATTTGAATTTTTTTAATTTCCAAATAGTAAAGGTACTTCTATGATTTCCAATTTTAGGCAGTTGCTAGTCTTAATGACATGTGAATGCTGAGTCCTCCCCAGAGAACTTAAGAGGCCTGTTTGGCTCATCAGGAACCTCTGGTTCACTATTCTGAATATTTTGTTCTTTGCCAGCTTTGTAATAAACACTTATCTTTTATTCTTCTCTGCTTTATTTGTGATTTACTTTGAAATTGAAATACCACACTGTAATCTCTGTTTTATAAATGCACATTATATGTTTCTGTACACTGGTTACTTATCTACTTTTTACTTGTCATTATCTCTGCTGTTGGACTGCAAGCTGGTGAATAATAGCTGTTTCTATTAGGATAGTATCAGTTGCAACTAACAGAAAACTACCTCAGGCTTAAATTGTATAGGGGATGTATTAACTTACATGTAACCGAAAGATCCAGAAGTGGTACAGACTACAAGCATGGTTTAATCAGGGATTTTACATCATTTGTTTGCTGTTCTCCTTTTTGTATCAGCTTTTTCCTCATTCTGGCCTTCTTCTGAGTCTCAAAATGACTTAATAAAATGCTGGCCGGACACGTTGGCTCATGCCTGTAATCCCAGCACTTTGGGAGGCCGAGGCGGGCAGATCATGAGGTCAGGAGATCAAGACCATCCTGGCTAACACGGTGAAACCCTGTCTCTGGTAATACCACAAAAAATTAGCCGGGCGTGGTGGCGGGCGCCTGTAGTCCCAGCTACTCAGGAGGCTGAGGCAGGAGAATGGCGTGAACCCAGGAGGTGGAGCTTGCAGTGAGCCGAGATCGCGCTGCTGCACTCCAGCCTGGGCAACAGGGCAAGTCTCCGTCTGAAAAGTAAATAAATAAATAAATAAAAATAAAATGCTTCCTCAGGCACAGTTTAGGGAATGTGAGAGCCTCCTGATAATCATGGAAGAGTTGTTTTACCCGGGTTCTGATTGGTCATTACCACATCCAGTCACTGTGGTGAGCGAGAATGACCTGAGTCAAATGCCTATCACTAAGTTCATCTGGGGGCTGGAGGGAGGGTTGCAGAGAGTCAGCCCCACCCAGTCCACGTGGTTGCTATACATGGGAAGAAGTAGAATGACTGACTACAGTATTCATGAAAACAGGATGGTTTCATACGTATTTTATATCTCAACTAGTACCCAAAAGTATTATATACATAGAGCATATATCACAATGTGCATTTTTCCTCATTTCATTAAGGGAGATGGAAGGTTCTGTTAGGGAAAGTTTAGGAATAAGATGATTAAAGTGAGATAAATCAGAAATATTTAATAAGGACCTCAGTGAAGCTGAAGAAACAGACTCAGTAGAAGTAGAGCCATAAGGAAGAAGTACGTGGTGAAAACGGGGCATTAGAAATGAGTGCTGAATAAGCTGCAGTTAAGAAGCTGCTCTGATACCTAGTTCACTACTCAGAACTTAGTGGTAGCAGTGCCTTTGCTCTCACAAGAGTGAATGAATAGGCTGGTCTCAGACATTTTTCTATAATACCTCCATTATTTTAGTCCCCAGTATGAGATGCCCTCTTAGAAATGTGGTCTTTTGCTTGTTTGTTTCTTTGAGACACAGTTTCACTCTGTCACCCACGCTGTAGTGCAGGGGCATGATCTCAGCTCACGGCAACCTCCGTCTCCCGGGTTCAAGTGATTCTCCTGCCTCAGCCTCCTGAGTAGCTGGGATCACAGGCGGGCGCCACCACATCCAGCTAATTTTTGTATTATTAGTAGAGACGGGGTTTCAACATGTTGGCCAAGCTGGTCTCAAACACCTGACCTCAAGTGATTCACCCTCCTCGGCATACCGAAGTGCTGGGATTACAGGCGTGAGCCACTGCACCTGGCCAGAAATGTGTTGTGTGTTAAATCTCTTTCAGCAGGTCCAAGGAGTAATGCTGTACAAGTATCATTAGTCTTAAGCTTTATATGTATTTCAGACTTTGCTTGTCTTCCTTTGCTTATTTTTAAGATATCCCAAGGTACTTCATTAGTTACCACAGGTTGAGTATCCCAAATACAAAATGCTCTAAAATCTGAAACATTTTGAGCACTGACGTGATTCTCAGAAGTGTCAATTGGAGGATTTTGGATTTTCAGGTTTAGGGATGCTCAGCCAATAAGTATACAAGTATTCCAAAATCAGAAACACTTCTGGTCCCAAGCATTTCGGACAAGGGATACTCAAACCTGTAGTGAGTTTTGTTATAAAATTTATTTGCAACTCAGACTGGGGAAAACTTGATTTGTTTGTGCCAAAGTATTTTAATAACTCTTCTCACTTTATTGAATGATATTTTTCCCCCCAGGGAATGGATTTGTAAACTCAAGAGCTTCTCCAAATTTGATTGGAGCTACTGGTGCAAATAGCTTAGGCAAAGTCATGCCTACAAAGTCTCCCCCTCCACCAGGTGGTGGTAATCTTGGAATGAACAGTAGGAAACCAGATCTTCGAGTTGTCATCCCCCCTTCAAGCAAGGGCATGATGCCTCCACTAGTAAGTTGAACCTTTCTTCAACTTCATTCTTTAAAACACATATTTTATACATAGTCAATCTGTAGCTTCCTTTGGAATTTTCTGTGCCACCGTAGAATCTACACCTATTCCTAATAAATATTTCCATTCAAAATTAGTATTTGAAGAGACAAGTCTATTTCAAATACACAAAAATCAGATTATGGAAATTTGCTTAACAGTTACTTAAAATTAAAGCTAAATACGAACGTGGTTGGAACTGGAGGTTATTGTGTTAAGTGAAATAAGCCAGGCATAGAAAGATAGATACTGCAAGGTCTCACTCATGTGGGACCTAAAAAAATTGGTCTTGTGGAGATAGAGAATAGAATGATAGCAGAGGCTGGGAAGGGTGTGTGGGTGGGAGACGGGATGAAGAGCGGTTGATTCGTGGGTAAAAACATACACTTAGATACAATAAATATACCCCTGTATTTGATAGGAGAGAAGGGTGACTATAGTTAGCAACATTGCAGATGGAGTATATTTCAGAGTAGCTAGAAAAGAGGACTTGAAATGTTCCCAACAAATAGAAAGGATAAATACTCAAGGTAATAGATGCCCCAAACACCCTGACCTGGATCATTACGCATTCTATGAATGTAACAAATATTCACATGTACCCCATTAATATGTAACACCTTTCGAATCAGGTTTTTTTTTTTTTTTTTGAGTCGTTTTAAGGAGTGAAATTTAGTAGCCAAGAAAGAAGGAAGGAAGGAAGGAGAAAACAGCTCCCTCCAACAGAGACAGAGGGAGGGGGGATTCAAACAAAGAGGAAACCCCTCGAATGAGTTTTTAAAAAGTAAAATACAGAGAGATTATTATGTTTAATTTTAATTTTACCAGGCTAGAAGCATTAACCATGACTTATTTATTCTCTGTACTTTGTATACTTTCATTAATCAATTAAACATGCTTTTCTGTGAGAGAAGCACTAAACTATTTGTTAGAAAATTCTACATACCAGGCAGGGTACAGTGGCTCACACCTGTAATCCCAGCACTTTGGGATGCCAGGGCGGGCGGATCACCTGAGGTCAGGAGTTCAAGACCAGCCTGGCCAACATGGTGAAACCCCATCTCTACTAAAAATACGAAAATTAGCCGGGCGTGGTGGCGCGTGCCTGTAATCCCAGCTACTCAGGAGGCTGAGGCAGGAGAATCGTTTGAACCCAAGAGGTGGAGGTTGCAGTGAGCCGAGATCACACCACTGCACTCCAGCCTGGGTGACAGAGCAAGACTCTGTCTCAAGAAAAAAAAAAGAAAAAATTCTGCATACCACAGAACTATTGTAGGATAGGGAAGAAAGCACACAAACTTGAGTGAGTTATTCTCCAATTAATTTTATTTGCTTATTCCTTCTCAAATAACCTATTTAACTGTATAAAGAATGCAGGTAGCCTCTATTCCACTCCTTGATGACGGCTTTAGGGTTCTAGTCTCATTTGTTTTTGAGTCTTAAGTCTGTTTGTAAAGAACAGGAGAATCTATTTATCGCCCTTAGCTTCCTGTAGAAAAAAAACTAGAATATATAATCAAGTTTTAAAACTTCTTAGTTTAGCAACTGTTTGACTACTACCATACTAAATGATATGCCAGGTGTTCTCTCTGCTGAGCAGTTGCTAAACTCACCATTAGAGTTTTTGCTAAGTGAAAGTGATGCTGTCAGGCTTAGATAATAATTCCACTTTGGTATAATGCTTTATAGATTCCATAGCACCTTCATGTGTATATTGTCTCATTTAATTCTCAATTAGCCTGTGTCATTGCAAGGTAGAGATGTGGAAACTGAGTTAAAGGTTATTACTTGTCCAAGATAGTTCAAAATAGAGCTAGGACCAAATCTCTAAGTCTTACAGTCCAGGTCAAAAAACAAGTACTTTTTTATCTGGTTATACAGAAATCTGGAAACAGTCACTCCCAGCCTCACAATTAAAAAAACTTGGATATACAGAAAGTTCATAGTTTTCCTTGAACTCATTATAGTGCTGAGATTTCACGGCAACCAACTGGCCCAGATACTCCAGAGTCAAAGACACTGTAAGGAGAGTTGACATTTGAGCATTAGACAAGACACAGATGGTAAGAGTTAAGCTAGGGTGATTGGTGAATTGCTGGAGGCCAGGTGTACACTGACAGAACTGTGTGAAACTCCTGGGGGCCGCAGTATAACACAGGGTGAGTCTGTGTTCTCTTGTATACTTTTTTACTCCGTGAATCCCATGGGGTGCTCAGAAGCTCCTGAAAAGGTCTCGCTGTGGTACACAACTGGGAGAGGGGAAGAGTAGCCACTACACTAGGGGCAAAAAGTTTTGCCAGGATCTTTTTGTCTTCTTTCTCTAATATGAAACAAAAGCTTTAATCTCTGAGAAGACGAACAACAAACATTATCACTCTTAGGGCACTGTTGAAATCCTGTTTAATGGAAAAGGCAAAATATCTCAACCAGTGGTGAAGGAACAGGAAGACATGCTCGGTATGGAGCGATGCCAGGAGAGTGGCAGGATGACTGAGAAGGCCACAGCCTGAGGCACAACAAGAGAGGGGATGACTTAAAGCTGAGAGTGGAGCAGGCACTAGGGGAAAACCTGGCATGCAGATCCCCACCCCCAGAGGGATATGAAGCTTGTGGTAGGTGCCCTGATGGTAACCAGAGCAACAGTAAGGCTCAAACCCAGTCCAGCTTCTAATGAAATTAACTCGATTCTTGCACTAATAGCTTAGCAGGAGGGAAAAACCTGTAGGTCTATTAGTAGGAATTACCCATGCTGAAATACAAAGAGAAAGAAGAGTGAAAACAAGACAAAATAAACAGAATTAAGTATCCAAGAGCTATGCACCATTATCAAATGGTATAACATATTTATAATTGGACTTCCAAAAAGAGAAGAGAGAACAGATTAGGAGTAATATTTTAAATAATAACCAGTACCAAGTAGGATAATTACTACTGCCAACACACACATGCACGCATGCACACACACACACAGATGTATGCACGCACACACACTCTCACTCCTAGACTGCTAAAAGCAAAAGATCAAGAGAAAAATCTTAGAGATACATTACAGAAAAACAAAGATAAGGATTAGTAACATACTTTTTTCTTCACAAACTAAACTATTCAAGCGAGAAAAAGGGAGTAACATTATTTAATGTGCTGAAATTTTTTAAAAATTCCTCACCCCAAAATTCTCTACCCACCAAAAATATCTTTGAGAAATGAAGATTTCCTCAAACAAAAGTCATGGGAATTTATTGCCAGCAGACCTGCTCTACAAGAAATGTTAAAGGAAGCCCTTCAGCAGGACTGTGATCCCAGCAAAAACTCGAGTCTACACAAAGAAATGAACAGTGGAAATGGAATAAATGAAGATAAAATAAGTAAACTCTGGTTTTCCCTGCATTTTATAAACGTTTTATTTTTAGAACAATTTTAGATTTATAGAAAGATTGCAAACATAGTACAGGAAGTTTTCATACACCCCACACATCATTTTTTCTATTAACATTAGTATGGTGTATTTGTCACAACTATTGAACCACTACTGATACGTTATTATTAACTGAAATTCGCAATTTATTCAGATTTACTTATTTTTAACCTTGTGTCTTTTTCTATTCTAGGATCCAATCCAGGATACCACATTATATTTAGCAATCATGTCTCTTTAGCCTCCTCTTGACTGTGAGAGTTTCTAAGACTTTCCTTGCTTTAATGACCTTGACAGTTTTGAGGAGTACTAGTCAGGTATTTTTATAGAATGTCTCTAGTTAAGATTTGTCTGATGTTTTTCTCATGCTTATACTGTGGTTGTTGGTTTGACTGAGGTAGGCCATAGAATTAAGATGCCGTTTTCATCACATCATATCAAGAGTGCCTACTACATTTATTATCCCTTATCTGATACTCAGGACCAGAAGTATTCCAGATTTCAGATTTTTTCAAGTTTTGGAATATTTCCCTTATACTAATAAGTAGAACATCCCAAATCCAAAAATCTGAAATCCAAAATGATCCAATGAGTACTACATGCGAGTGTCATGTTGGTGCTCAACAGGTTTTAGATCTTGGAGCATTTCAGATTTCAGATTTTCAGATTTGGGATGACCAACCTGTATCGTCATAACTATTGCTGATGTTCATTTGGTCACCTGGCTGATGTTTAACAGGTATTTACCAGGTTTCTTTTCTGTGAAGTTACTCTTTCTCCCGCTTTTCATACTGTAGCCTTTGGGTAGGAAATTACCATGTTCAGCCCACACTTTTAAGGAGTGGGGAGTTAAGGCTTCACTTTCTTAAGAGAAGGATATCTACATAAATTATTTGGAATTCTTCTGCACGGGAGATTTATCTCTTCTCTCTCATTTATTCAACCATTTATTTCTATCAATATGGACTCGTGGGCATTTATTTTAATACTTTGGTTTATAATACAATACCACGTTTTTCTGTTGCTTTGTTCTAGCTTCAGCTTTTGAGGGCTATCTACTTGATTCCTATGTCCCTTTGATATATCCTTATTTTTGTGGGTTTTTTTTTTTTCAGGGGGAGCAGGCGCTTTTTTATTTTCCGGCACTATAATATATTCTAGGCTTATCTTGTGTATTTTCTGCCCCAGTCCTAGAATCAGGCATTTCTCCAAGGAACATTATTTTTATGGAGAATGAAAGAAACCAAGATCCGAGTGCTTTCCCTCTTTTTAATTGCTCCAAAAGGTATCTGACTATGTAAGGCAAAAATAGTAACTGTATTTTGTTTCTGTAGCACATGTAAAAATAAAATATATGACAACAAAAGATGGGAGGGAGGAATTGACTCTACACATGATGTAAATATTATTTGAAGATGAACTCAAGGTAACTAAAGGTGTATATTATAAACCCTAGTGCAACTACAGAAGAAAATTTTAAAGAAGTATAAATAAGTCAGTAGAAGAGATAAAATAGAAATATAAAAAATGCTCTACTAAGTAGCCCAAGAAATGGGAGAAAAGAAGACAAAAAGCAAGATAATGGTAGCTTTTAATCCAGTCATATAAGTAATCACATTGAATGTGGTGAGAAAGCGTCAGTTAAAAGATTGTCAGATTTGTGTGTGTGTGTGTGTGTGTGTGTGTGTTTCTTAAAAAGCAATGTGGTGGCTCATGCCTGTAATCCCAGCACTTTGGGAGGCTGAGACAGGCAGATCACCTGAGGTCGAGAGTTCGAGACCAGCCTGACCAACATGGAGAAACCCTGTCTCTACTAAAAATACAGAATTAGCTGGGCATGGTAGCACACGTCTGTAATCCCAGCTACTTGGTAGGCTGAGGCAGGAGAATCACTTGAACCCGGGAGGCGGAGGTTGCAGTGAGCCAAGATCATGCTATTGCGCTCCAGCCTGGGCAACAAGAGTGAAACTCCGTCTCAAAAAAAAAAAAAAGAAAAATGCTGCTTACAAGAAATCCACTTTAAATATAAAGACATAGATAAAAGAAGGGAGAAAATTTACCATTGCAAACACCAAAAAGAAAGCTAAAGCAGACCTATTAATTTCAGACAATATAAGCTTCACAACAAGGAAGAGTATCAGCGATAAGGAGGGACGTGACATAGTCCACTTTCCAAGAAATAACTGTCTTTAATGTGTATGCACCTAACAGCAACCTTCAAAATACATAAAGTGAAGACTGATAGAACTAAAAGGTGAGTAGAAAAATCCACAATTGTAGTTGGAGACTTCTATATCCCTCTCAGTAACTGATAGAACAAGTAGGCAGAAAAATCAGTAAGGATCTAGATGATTTGAGCAACACTCGACCAACATGACCTAAGAGACATTTATAGAACACATCACTCGACAACAGCAGAACACACACTTTTCACAAGTGCACATGGAACATTCACCAAGATCACATCCTGTGCCAGGAAACAAACTGGCAAATTTCAGTGAATTGAAATCAGGCATATTATATTCTCTGGCCATAAGGAAATCAAACTAGAAATCAGTAACAGAAAGGTAGTAGGAAAATGGCCATATATTTAGACATTAAACAACATATTTTAACCCAAGGACCAGAGAAGAAATCTCAAAGGAAATTTAAAAATACATATAGCCAAATGAAAATGGAAATACAGCATCAAAATTTTGAGGCCCAACTAGAGTAGTGATGAGGTGAGATTTATAGCAACAAATGCCTATATTTGAAAAGAGGGATCCCAAATCAGTAATCTAAGCTCTTACCTTAAGAAACTCAAAAAAGAAGAGCAAACTTAACCCCAATCAAGCAGAAGAAAGGAAAATGTAAAGTGATACCAATTCTACACAGTCTCTTTCAGAAAAAATTAGGAGAGAACACTTTCCAACTTATTTTTTTAGGTCAGCATTACCCCGCTGCAAAACCAAAGTAAGCCAACACAAGAAAAAAAGTCTACAAATCCATATTCCTCATGAACTCTAGACACAAAAATCCTCAGTAAAAAGTAAGTAAATTGAGCAATATATAAAAAGGATAATACATCAAGACCAAGTTGGTTTTATCCCAGGAATGCAAGGCTGAGTCTACATTTGAAAATTCATTAGTATAATCAGTATATTAACAATTGAACATCTATTCATCATTTAAAAAAAAAAATCTCAATGAACTAGTAATAGAAAGGAACTTAATAAAGAGCATCTACAAAAAATATACAGCTAAAATACTTCATAAGGGGAAAGCATTCAGTCTTCTAGCATTTGGAGCTAGGTAATGATATTTTTTTTTCTCACCAGTCATATTTACCATGGTAGTAAAAGTCCTAGCCAGTACAGTTAGGCAAAAATAAATGAATAAAATGCATATATATCGGGAAGAGAGAAATTAAACTTCCTCTATTCATAGGAGATAGATTCTTTCATGTAGAAAAGTGTAAAGAAATTACAAAAAAAACTCCTCGGACCAATCAGTGAGTTTAGCAAGGTTGCAGGGTACAAAGTTAATATATAAAAATCGATTATATGCCAGCAGTGAACAATTGGAGTTTGAAATTTAAAAAAAAAAATGATAACACCCCAAATAAAGGAAGGAAAAGAAACATCTAGGTAAAATTCTGACAAAATATGTACAGTCTGTATGTTGAAGACTGCAAAACACTGATGAAAGAAATGAAAGAAGACCTAGATGAATAGATAGATACATCATGTTAATGGATTTCAAGACTCAGTATTGTCAAGATGTCATTTCTTCCCAGATTGATCTGTAGATTAAACACAATTTCAAAATCCCAGCAAGCTCTTTTGTAGTTACTAACAAGCTGATTCTAAAATATATAGGTAAAGACGAACTACAATAGCTAGAATGATTTTAAGAAGGAACAAAATTTTAAAAAAATACTACTACTACCCGATTTCAAGACCTACTACAAAGCTATAGTAATCCAGAAAGTGTGATATTGACAAAAGGATGGGCACATAGATCAGTGGACAAAACGGCTCAGAAAATTTACACCTATACGTATATATTCAGCTGGGTTTTTGGCAGAGGTAGTAAGGCAATTCAACAGAGAAAGGATGGTGGTTACAACGAATGGTGTTGAAACAATTCTACATCCATACACAAAACAAAAACAACCCAAAGTCTGAAAATAACTCAAACTTTATTAAAAAATTAACTAAAATTGGATTATAGACCCAAATTTAAAACAGGAAACTGAAATTTAGAGGAGAAAATCCAACACAAAAAGCAGGATCCATAAAGAAAAAACTGATGTATTGGAGGTTGAACTTAAGTTTTGCTCTGTGAAAGGCACTGTTCAGAGAGTATAGGACAACCTACAGATTAGAAGAAGGTATTTGCAAGTCACATATCCAATAAAGAGTTTGTATCCAGAATATTTTAAGAATTCTTAAAACCCAACAGTAAGAAAACATTTTTAAAAGGGCACAAGATCTGAACACATACTTCAAAAAGAAGATACATGGATGGCAAATAAGTGTATGAAAATATGCTCAATATTATCAGGCTTAGGGAATTGAAAATTAAAACCTAATGAGATATAACTGCACATCTAGTAAAATGGCTAAAATTTAAGAAAACGCAACGGCTGGGCGCGGTGGCTCACACCTGTAATCCCAGCACTTTGGGAGGCTGAGGCAGGCAGATAACCTGAGGTTGGGAGTTCGAGACCAGCCTGATCAACATGGAGAAACCCCATCTCTACTAAAAATACAAAATTAGCCAGGGGTGGTGGCGCATGCCTGTAATCCCAGCTACTCAGGAGGCTGAGGCAGGAGAATCGCTTGAACCCAGGAGGCAAAGGTTGCAGTGAGCCAAGATCATACCATTGCACTCCAGCCTGGGCAACAAGAGTGAAACTCTGTCTCAAAAAAAAAAACAAAAACGCAAAAACTAGAAATGCTGGTGAGGATGCAAAGCAGAAAATCTCTCCCATATCTTTGGAATGCAAAATGGTACAGCCACTTTGAAGAGTTGGTCAGTTCTTATGAATTTAAATATACACTTGCTGGCCAGGCAGGGTGGCTCATGCCTATAATCCCTGCACTTTGGGAGGCCAAGGCAGGAAGACTGCTTGAGCCCAGGAGTTCAAGACCAGCCTGGGCAACACAGCAAGACCCTGTCTTAAAAATTAAAAAAAAAAAAACAAAAAAAACTTGCTGTACAATCCGGTAATGCCACTCTTTGAGTATTTACGCACATGAATTGAAAACTATACTTATAAGAAACCCGTATCTTTCATAATTGTGAAACACTGAAACTAGCCTAGATGTCCTTCAACAGATGAATGGATAAACACACTGTACATCCATATAAAGAAATGCTACTCAGCAATAAACTGTTTATTCACCCAGCAATACAGATGAATCCTAAGTGAATTTTGCTAAGTAAAAGAAGCAGTAGTGTATGATTCCATTTATATTTCATTCTGGAAAATGCAAAACTCACTGGCTGCCATGGGTTGGGAGTGGAGAGAGGAGTTGACTATAAAGGGTTAATAGGGAATTTTTGAGGTGATGGAACTAATCTGTGTGATGCTGTTTTGTTAGATGCATGGGTCTGTGTTTGTTGAAACTCATGAAACTGTACCTACAAAGAGTGACTTTTACTAAATGCAATTTAGTAAAAAAAGATTCCGGGGGAGCCCAAGATGGAATGCATATTGTCACACATGAATATAACTTTATTACAGATAAGTAACATGATATTGAAGGGGTGAGGAAGCAAGAACCTGGTCTAAGTAACTTTGGAAACTTTTGACTGGATACTGTAAGGTTAGAGACCAACGAAATTGTAGCAAATCACTGTGCTCTAGATGGTAAATTCATCCCTCACATACACAAACACAAAGGGTTGAACATATAAATAAATATAAAATGTAAATAAACAAATGGACATTGTAGATAAAGGCAGCCAGGTTTCTCATGGTTGGAGGAGAAAGTTGCAGATAACCCAGGGGGTTGGGGGTGGGGTCTAGAATGAGCCTGTGTTTCAGGGTTATAGTTGAAGGATTCAGTAAGAGTTTATATGTGTGTGTGTGTGTGTGTGTGTGTGTGTGTGTATATATATATATATAATTTTTGTATTTTTAGTGGAGACTAATTTTTGTATTTTTAGTAGAGACGGGGTTTCGCCATGTTGGCCAGGCTGGTCTCAAACTCCTGAGCTCAACATCTGCCCGCCTCAGCCTCCCGAAGTGCTGGGATTACAGGCATGAGCCACTGTGCCCAGCCAGACACATACGTATATATGTGTGTATATATACACACACACACACACACACACACACATATGTACGTATGTGTCTGGCTGGGCACAGTGGCTCGTGCCTGTAATCCCAGCACTTCGGGAGGCTGAGGCGGGCAGATGTTGAGCTCAGGAGTTTGAGACCAGCCTGGCCAACATGGCGAAACCCCGTCTCTACTAAAAATACAAAAATTAGTCGAGTGTGGTAGGATGCCCCCATAGTCCCAGCTACTTGGGAGGCTGAGGTGAGAGGATCGCTTGAGCCCAGGAAGTCGAGGCTGCAGTGGCCTATGATTGTACCACTGCACTCCAGCCTGGCTGACACAGCGAGACCCTGTCACACACACACAAAAAAGGTACAGTTGTGTGTACATATGAATTAGTATACATCATATATTTCCTAGCTCTGTTTGCTGAGAGGTCTGTGAGGCAATAGCATCCAGTAACTGAACATACCTGGTGCTCAGATTTTAGTTTCAGAACACCATTTTCTAATACAAGGACTCAGGGCTGCTTGGAAAAAAATGGTTTGTTGTAGAGCTGGGGCAGGGAAACGGGATGAGCCGGGGTTGTCAGAGGTTAAGAAAGTGCGTATCAAAAGTCACGGGAGCTGGCCTTTCAAAAGAGTTTCCAGTGGCCAAAACTAGAACAATTTGAGTAACAAAATAACAATAGTATTGGATTATAGCCCAGGGAATAAAAAACATTGAGTCCATTACTGATATAAATAAATGATAGAATAAATAAGGGGAAAAAGGGACAACTCTTCCTTAGAAAATAACTAATTAATAAATGTAGAAAGAATGAGAGAGAGTAAATCAGCATTAGAACACCACAGTACAATGGTAATTGTTGCAGGCAAAGTCAGTGGATAAATGCTAACATAAGTGGGCAAAAAGTTTAAGTAAAAAGCTATTTTGCTTTGTCTCAGAATGTCTCTTCCCCAATATTCATTTCTTACAAAGGGAAAAATTAGAGAATTAGAAATAAGAGAATCCTGGAAAACACTGCCTTAACCGGAGGATCAAGGTTAACATCACCAGTAATGGGACATAAAGACAACATGTGCCTTCCAATATGACATGCTAAGAAAGCCATGTCTCTTTGTGGTATTCTTGCAAAAATCCATGCCCTTCTATCTGATTATGAATGAAAATCAGACCCAAATTGAGAGACATTCTATAAGATAACTGATCAGCACTCTTTCAAAACAAGTTGTCAAGGTCATGCAAAACAAGTTGTCAAGGTCATGAAAAGGAAAGACTGAGGAACTGTCACAGAGCAGAGGAGACGAAGGAGATGTGAGAACTAAAGGCTTGTGGGATCCAGGATCTGATCCTGGGTCAGGAAAAAGGACATCAGTTGAAAGACTGGTGAAATCCAAGTAAAGTCCAAAGCTTTAATTGGTGCTGTATTATTTTTATTAGTTTCGACAACTGCATTGTATTTCCTTGTGATGTTAACAATGTGGAAAGCTGAGTGAGATGTGAGGGAGCTCTCTTTGTAAATGCTGTCTAAAATTATTTCAGAATAAATAGTTTAAAATATATACATACATACATAACAAAGAAATACACCCCAAAAGGGAGCCAAGAAAAAATGGCATTTAGGATGGTCCCATAGCTCACCTTTCAGGTACTGGATATGCAATACTTGCTACTGTCTTTCAGAAATAAACTCTACAAAATGTCATGTAGGGTACAGAAATGTTTACAAGAATTGTTAGTAAACTGCCAATTTAGAGACAAACTCCATTTAAGCATTTTAGCAATTGCTTAATAAAGTTATGTCTGATTGTTAGGAGAGCATGAAGGATCTCCATGGAAAACTCAAAATGTGTCGTATGAACTATTTACACGCTTATTCCTGTATATTAAAGTGAAAACCATATGTTTTACACATACACAGCTATAATGTTAGACAGTATATTTTGGTGTGTACCTTGTGTTTGGAGATATGTAAAGATATCTATAACAAAACAGTTGAATAGCATCTTGCCCACATTGGAGATAGCAGTTGTAGATCAAGTGATTGTTTTTCAGAGTAAGTAATCGGTCCCACCTACTTTACACACACCATTTACAGAGAAACCTTCTTCCAGATTAGGGCTTCATGTATCAGTGGCACTTACAATGACACTTTTCACAGACTGACAGAGAAGCTTAACTTACTCAAGTAAAACAAGTAAAAACTGATTAGACTGTTTCTAGCATGTTAATATTTTCTAAATGTTATGGAGAAAAGGAGCAAAAATGTTTCTTTTTTTTTTTTTTTTTGGACGGAGTCTCACTCTGTCACCCAGGCTGGAGTGCAGTGGCGTGATCTCAGCTCACTGTAACCTCTGCCGCCCGGGTTCAAGCAATTCTCCTGCCTCAGTCTCCTGAGTAGCTGGGATTATAGGCACCTGCCACCGCACCTGGCTAATTTTTGTAGTTTTAGTAGAGACAAGGTTTCACCATCTTGGCCAGGCTGGTCTTGAACTCCTGACGTGAGCCACCGTGCCCAGCCTTATTTCTTTTCTTTACATGACTTATGAATTCATTTCTCCTTCAGTCTCATTTTCTTCAAATATGTGGTTTTTCTCCATTGAAGTCATTTTATTCACATGAAAATATATTTGCAAATGATAAACATATATAAAACTGGTATTTAAAACTCATGTATTTATTAACAAATGTTTGTGTTCCTGTTGTTTTATAACTGCTAGCTCCTGCGGGAAATAAAACATACAGCAGTTTCTTTCTGCCAAGAAGCAGAATTCAGTAGGAGATAGATAACATGTATCACCAGGTGGGGTAATAGTAGGGTGATTAAGATACAGAGTTACAAGTACAGAGTTGATATTCTCACAGTTCCAAATACAGATCGATAGCATGATGAGGAACCCCTTTTAAATACTGTTGCAGTAGCATGACTATGTATAAGAGGCCAGCATGAGAGCAGACCAAGTTGGGGTAGGAGGGTGTCTTTGAATACTGGCCCTAGAGAATTTAAAATAATTTTTCTAGTCTTTTGAAAACTCAACAAGTAGAGACAAGTAATTTATATTTCTATCTGTTGTGTATATAATCGTCTCTTTAGAGTTCCAGACAGCTGCTAGTGTCCAAATATGTTTTTTCTAAAGAAATATTTTGTTTGTGAGTACCAACAGTCTTAGTAACTCTCTTATCCCTCTTATGTGCTGAGTACAGTCGGAGGAAGAGGAATTGGAGTTGGTGAGTGTGGGTTTCTGCTTGAAGGAAGTTGAAAAAGATGTAGAAAGTACTAATTCTCTTACGTGTTGTTATCTAACCAATGTTCCCTTTGTTACACAAATTTTTTTAAACACTATTCAAACACTTTGAATAAAGCAATCTACTGGTACTACAGACTCTAGTTTTTCTATTTATAATTGTATGTGTTGACCCATTTTATTTGTTGGAGGGAACATTGGAATAGAGCCTTTAAAAACAGTAGCTGTCCATGAGCATAGGATACTTGTTAATTTTTTTTTTAAGGAAAGATACAAAATACCTTATATAGCTCTCCAAATTATTGAAATATTTTTAGAAAATGACTTCACCCTCGAAGTTCCTCAGATTGTAACACACGATGTTGTGTTGTTTCTCTTTCAAAAAGATTACATCATTTTTGGTGAGGTCACCTTTTTCAGCGTTGGAATTATTTCATCCTGCATGATACAGCCTGAACCACAAGGGGGTTCCCTGTTTACTAAAAGGAATGTCTGTAATTGAATGTGTATATAAGTTTACTTTTCTATCAGAAGGCGCTCTTTTCTTAAAAGCAACTATTGCCCTTTTTCCAAAACAAACGTTTTCTGTTGGCTTTTCCTCTAGAAAATAAACTTGACTAAAAGCAGCTTGCAGTTGATCTATTTCTTCTTTAGGAACTAAAACCAAAACCTCACAGGAGTCATCATATAATTTCAAAGTCAGCTGCTAATTAAAGGACTTTAAGGGGAATAAAAACTTGAAAATGTTTCTTAGCATGGACAAAGGTTAAGAGTGCATGAAAGCATGGGGGAGGAAGGCATCCGTTGGTTTTAATATTCCATGTTTATGCATGCTGGTGTGTTTTGCACAGTTTGTTTTCTTTTCAAAGAAGGTTATCTGTTCCCCTTAAAATACGAGATTGTTCTTTATTTAGCTTTGTGATCACTCACAGTTTTGGGTGTAGTTTTGTATTGGCCAACTGAAATATTCTAGTCAGCTGTAAATGTTTTGAATTATATTATGAATATCTTTTGGAGAAACACTTTACTTAATGATACCATAATGATCAGTAAATGAGAGTTTATAATTCAAGCTAAAATAATTCACCTTAGGTTAGACCTCACTGTTCAAGGAGTTGTGAATGCGTCCATGAATTATCTAGCACTATACTGCCCTCTTGTGGTTCTGAAAATCACTCACTCTTGTAGAACTCAGTGCCGTTGAGATGAGGAGCTTAGATGAGTGGAACTAGTGTTTGAAGTCTTCACTGCTTTTGAAGACATGCCAGGAGATTGCATGAAGATGATGCCATGGAGTAGGTAGGGTCCAGGCCAAACTATGTCATACTGTATTCTTTCACCTAGTGATTGGACTTATGAAGTTCCAGACTAAATATTAAAGAAGAAATTAAGTCCAAAGTAGATCTCTATCTCGAAAAGTCATTAAATTTATAAACTTGATGCTGAGACTAAAATATATTCCGAACTGGCATACATTGATTTTCCACATTCCTCAGAGTACATCTGTAATTACAGAACCTCAGAGATAAATATATTAGGTCCTTGAAGACTTTAAAATACATACCTAAAAACTTATAAACAGCCATTTATATTATTTAAAACTTAATCAATTAAAAATGCAGAACTTTATGTGCCAGAACCAAAATATAATCAGAAGCACAGTCCGTTACAACTTAGAAAGTTGTTCAGCTTGCCTTGAGCTCTAAAGTATAATTGTGGATGACTCTGATCCGAAGTGCAGAAGGACAGGTGCCCTGGGGCCTGCACTAAAGACTGTACTGTTAAGACCAGCGACAGATTCCTTTAGAAGCCGAGCAATACTAGAACAACTTGACTTCATGAAAGCTGCAGTAGACTAGGCTATGGATTAGAAGGAATAAAAATATGTATCTTTTTTCCCACCAGTTATATAGAAATTTGGGACAGAGGGTTTCTTAGGACAATAAGGATATTATCTTATATTTGTGTAGTACTTCAGTTATGAAAGCACTTCTGACATAGTAACCTCATTTGATTCTCACAGTAGCTGTGCAAGGCAGCCAGGACAAAGATTGCTATATCTTCTTTATTTGACAATGAAGAAGTTCAGAGAGGTCAAATTATTTTCCCAATGCCTAGGAAATGGTGAATCTGGGACAGAAACTCAGGCAATACATCCACATCCACATGATCTTTCTCACATCTTCTAACCTAGGTTAGAAAGTAGAAATTAAAAAGAAATAAACTGAGATCAGGATCCTCATCGAATGTTTGTAAGTGTCTACATCTAGCCAAAGGCCTTTTTGTCTGATGTACCCTTTTGAAAATTGTGATAGAGAAAATGGAATCACATTCTAACTCTTCATAATCTCAAAGGCACTGAATTATACTTTACTGATTTGGCTCAGACCCCCGAATGTCAGTTATCAGGCTGTAACATAATTTATAAAAAACAAATAGAGTTGTGCTGTGGCTTTCTTATGTGCTAGTGACACAGAGTCTGTTGTGTTCCTCTGATCTTTGATTTTCAAAAACCGTTACCTTAAGCCAGTTTGGCGAGAAACTGCTTCTGTCGTACTCCTACACGTTAAGGACAATGACTGTCTTAGACTAACTGGATTATTTAATAGTTGAATTTTTTTTATCCATTCCCAGCATGGATAGGATGCTACACAGATGCATCCAGTTGGCAAAAAGCATTTAATATTGCTCTTCCACTGCCCTGTCGGCAGTACTTGATTCAAAATTCTCTACTCAAAGCCTCTGCTACAGAAGGCCAGGGGACTATGAAGGGATACATGTCCGAATCTGTTGTTAAAAAATAGGTCAACTGCATGATTGGAGAGAAAGAAATAAGAATACAAGCTGCACCCAATAAGCCATGACTTCAAACCGTGTTAACACGTAAATAATACCGCAAAGAAAAGTAGTTTTGATTCCTATACTCATAGACGTACAATCCCTATATATACAGATGACCTTTGCCATCATCAGGTATTTAAAACCTACACATACTTCATTTAGGGGAGTCTGACAGTATTTGTAGTGGCATCAAGTCCTCATTTTGTGCAACAAATAGAAGTGCTAATGCCTGTAACAGAAGTTCCTATTTTAACGTGGGGTGTCTGACACTAATCAACTATTTTAAAAGAATTAATGTAAAAATAGGACCCTTCAAATTAAATATTTAGTTATTCTCACTAGTATTTTTGAAGTTTTCACATCATCAGTGCTTCAGAAAATGACATTCATATGAAACTGTGAAAAATGTCACTTAAATTGAAAGTGATTTTTAAGTCAACATAAATACCACATCAGAACACATTTTCTCTTTTTTGATCTCACAGAATACCCAGAGGATCAGTAGTTCTCAAGCCACTCAACCTCTTGCTACCCCAGTCGTGTCTGTGACAACCCCAAGCTTGCCTCCGCAAGGACTTGTGTACTCAGCAATGCCGACTGCCTACAACACTGGTGAGCCTGCTCTGGTGCCTTCCGTAGGTTTTACCGCTCTCTGTTTTGTGATCAACGTGTGCTTCTGTGATTTTTTTTAAGTATATTTATTGAAATAAACTATTTCCAGTTTTTTAGATTTAAATTAGGATGTATTTTTCAATGTGCTAGCCTTGAAAAAATTACAAACAAAATGGATAGTGTGGATAGTGCGATGAGTAAGTTATTCCGGCTTCTCCAGTGTGAACTTTCACTTAACCCCTGACACAAAGCCACGTGGATGATAGCAAAATGGTGACATGCATCAAGCCAAGAGGGGAGCAGCCTGTTGCTTGAGTATTGCTGATGTAGTTTCTCTTCATACAGTATCACGCTTTTCCAGGCTTTTAAAATAAGATGTTTGTCTTTATGCTGTGTTAACCTGCTTTGGGAAAGACATGAATCCCTTTGGACCTGAGACTTCAGGAGGTGGCCGACGTTTGGCTGTGTCGAACAGGCTGTTTTCCTCCCTGTAACCACTAGCTTGGTCCATGTCATGTGCACCTGAGGGGCAAAACAAGGGCTGTTCTGATTTCTCCTCGGAGCCAGTCACTCTGCCTTTGAGGGGAGCTTTTCCTTCATTTATGTTTATTTAGGCATTTCATCTTAAAATGCCCTAATTTGGGGTTGTATTAGGAAAGTTTAAGAATATTACAGTGATCGTAGGAGTGCTTTTAGCCAAGCAGACTGTATGGAGAATCGAGGGCAGCTGGTTTCATTTAAATTTACCAATCTAAGAAGGAGTGGAAAACACATGTGGTTTCGCTTTCTCATCAGCTGAGCCAAACACCTGATGCTTCAGAGGAAGACGGCAGTAGTTCAATTCTCCCTTGCCCATTACTCAGAGACTGCAATGCAGAGAAGTTATTATGATTCTCCTGAGTGTCATAAGTAGACTGTGGTAAAGATGGTCTGATTTTAGCCTTCAGGGTAAATGCTTTGGCACAGAACTTTGAAACTGCTGTCCGCAGCTACGTGAGGGGACAGAGCGTTGATAACATTTGATTGCCACTTGAATTCTAAGAAGTTCTTTTAAAACAGAATCAACAATAAAAGGTTTTATTGAAAAAAAAAAAGTCTCTTAGGAAATATCCATTACTTTTCCAACCGTTAGTATGAAAAATAATGCCCAAATTTGTCAACTGCATACTATCTTAGGGATTGTGAATCATAGCCTGTTATTAGTGCCTTGCACAGAACAAGGTTCCAGAGTAAAGCCAGGGATGAAGCATTCATAGAAATTCTGTTTCGACGCATTGATCACCTGCTCTGTGAGAGACTGTACTAGGGACATAGCTTTCTCCAAGTTTATTCCAAGTGAGGAGGCAGGACATACCTAAGTGGGTAACCGTGGAGGGGAAGTCCTGAATTGTTGTGATTGTGAATTTATACTCTGAGAATTGAGAAGGGAGGGCAAAGCTATACTGTTCAAAGGTGTATTGGCTGAGAAGAGGGAGCTTGAACTGGGTGTCAGATTATGGTTTACTGACCGTTTCATTACAGGTTTTTCAGTATACTTAGAAATTCCACTATACTTATTTTTAGAAATGCCATTGAATTGGGAATTTATTTTTTAAAAGTATAAAAGAAATTACCAAAGCATATAAAAATGGAGGCAGGCTCTCAAAATCATCAGTCGCTTAGCGTCAGTCTCATGCCACCTTTTGACCGACTTTATCTTTCTTCTCTTTCTCGTAACACTTACTCTGTTTGAAGTTTACCATGTTGTTTTTAACTTATTTCCACATCTATTCAGCAAATATTTATCAGGCAGCTGCTGTGTGGCAGGCACTGTGCCAGGCACTGGAAATGCAGGAGTGCAGTCAGCAGTGAAGCCTGGGGGGAAGGCACAAGACACACAGCTCTAGGGATAAGCTGCTGCAGTTGTGTCAAGGGCTGTGTCTCAGCTCGGACAGGAAGGAACATGCGTGACTCAGCCAGGCAGAGGAGGCAGAGTGCTCTTGGGAGAGGGTGTGCCTGTACAAAGGCTAGGAGTTTGCGGGCGGGACGGGGCTGAAGGAATGGGGACAGAGCGTGGGTGGTTAGAATTGAGACTAGAGAGGTAAGTAATGATTTGTAGACTATGTCAAGGATTTTGGAAACTGTCCGGAGAGCATTGGGGAGCCATAAAAAACTTTTGAAGTAGAGGAGTGCCATGACCATATTTGTTATTTTAAAAAGATGTCTTTGCTGTATATAGGGTTAAAAGGCAATGCCAGGAAGCCACATCAGAGGCTACTGTAGTGGTCCAAGCAATGGGTGCTGATAGCATAGACTAGAGAGGTGGCAGTAGAGATGGTGAGACCTGGGCAGGCTTGAGAGAGAGCAGATAGAATTGCTCAGACCTGGAAATTGATGTTGGGAGTGAGAGGGAAGGGAAGTAGCAAGGATAACACCCATGGGCTTCTGCACGAGCTGCTGGGTGCATGTTGGTGCCATGTACTAAGAGTACTTAAGGAGGAACAGGTTTGCAGGAAAGGATGGGCCATGTCAGATGTGTGGCGTTTGGAGTGGCGTCCAAATGGACATGGCACTAGGTCGTTTAAAAGATCTAGAGGTCGAAGGAGACTGTGGGCCGGAGGGAGCACTGGGGAAGGCGTCAGTGTGACGGGTCCTTGCCCCAGCCCATGGGAGTGTATAGAATGACAAGGGCAGAGTCAGGACAGCCCTGAGCACCAGCTGTGTCGCTTCAACTCCGTTCCTTTTTTAAAATGTTAATTCACTAGGAAGACCAATTTCTTTAAACACCTCTCTTGAGACATGAGAAAGAAGATAAAAGTAGAAGAGTTTTGCCACCTCTCTTTGGAACCAAGTGAGAAAGACAAGTGTTAATGATGAGCTGAAATAACTCCCCGTGTGAGTGATAACTAACGTCCTAAATCTTGGTCCCAGTGATTACGACTGAAGCATTCATATGATATGAGCTGGGTATACTCTAGGACACCGAGTTTTTTCATGAAGTTGAAACTCTTGCATGCTGTCAGGGAGTTTGCGACAGTCTAGGTACTTTAAACAAATGCGCTTACTAATTGTGTAATGATGTCACTGAGCTTGGCACCCCATGTAGGGATTCTGTCTTTCCTGTCCCCTATTCCCTGTCCCCCAACCCCTTGCTTCATTAAGACTTGCTGATTCAAACTCACTCTGGTTGAGGTTGAGTGTTTCTCTTTGTTCCAAAGGGTAGTGGCAGGCATATTTAAAGTAACAATTGTACAGAACACTCTTTAATGATGGCCTCTTATTTGAATCATCCCAGACAAAGAAATATTGCTAGATCCTGTAAATCTTCCAAGAAAAGATTTTGCGGATTTTAGACCCACATGTATGTTGTTTTGTTGTGAAGTATCTGGCTTCTCTCAATGTAGGAACTTTTTATTTTATTTTTTTTTGAGAGGAAGTCTGTTGCCCAGGCTGGATGGAGTGCAGTGGTGCTACCTCGGCTCACTGCAGCCTCTGCCTCCCGGGTTCAAGCAGTTCTCCTGCCTCAGCCTCCCAAGTAGCTGGGACTACAGGCATGCGCCACCACGCCTGGATAATTTTTGTATTTTTAGCAGATACGGGGTTTCACCATGTTGTCCAGGCTGGTCTCAAACTCCTGACCTCAAGTGATCCGCCCATCTTGGCCTCCCAAAGTGCTGGGATTACTGGCATGAGCCAGCATGGCTGGCCTCAATGTAGGAACTTTTGCAGTAGCTACGTAAAAAATAGATTCCGTATGGACCTTCCATCATATGCAGAGCCCTCTTGTCTTCCTTTGTAGATTATTCACTGACCAGCGCTGACCTGTCAGCCCTTCAAGGCTTCAACTCGCCAGGAATGCTGTCGCTGGGACAGGTGTCGGCCTGGCAGCAGCACCACCTAGGACAAGCAGCCCTCAGCTCTCTTGTGTGAGTAACTAGAAGTTTTCCCTGCATCTTTACTCCTGGCCTACACACTCTCTTTTCCTATCAGTGACAGCCTTTTGCTCTGTTGAGTTTCGTGTGAGGAATCCTGTAATGATTCCTTTTCAGGTAGATACAAGTGTCGGGAGAAAATATTTTCTTACATGGCTCTAGACAGTAGCTTGGATACTGACAAACTAGGCATTCCTTGAAGGGATTTGGGGAGCAAGGCTTCTCCCATAGGGACATCCTGAGGTAGAGAGACTCAACCAGGATCTGAAGGGGTCTGAAGGCACAGATACCACCCGCATGCACCATCCTTCTGCCCTCTGACCAGTGATGAAGCTGCCTACTGCACCCCTGCTCCCAAGCACCTGCCTCTGGCTGCACTGCTTGAAAGGCAGCCTGTAGGCATTCAGGCCTCCCTGCCACCCTTGCCATTGACTGCTTTGGTGAGTATCTGTAGACAAGAATAGGAAGACAAGCTGGAGCTTTTGCTTTCTCCCTGGGCCACAGGGAAGGAAAACTGGGGACAGGGTGTCTTATATATCAGTCAGGCTCCATAGGATTTGTGTGACTGATCCCAGCCCAATGCACACACCAAACCTCATTCACAAAGAGAATGTTCCGTATGGGCAGGGTGTAAGGATATAAGCAAAGAGGATTTACAGTGGCGCCCAGATGAGGCCAGACATCCCTGACAGCCGGGAGAAAGAACAGGGCTTTTGTGGAACCAGGATGACAGCAGACCCATGGAGCAGTTGGAGGAGAGTGTCCCAAGAGAGGGGACAACATAGCAGACCCAGCTGGCCTCCATGAAGACTGGCTGCCTTGCCTGTGCTCTGGGCAGTAGGAATACCCCAGGCCCCTAGCCTCTGCCCAGGAAGTCCCCAGAGAGCCTGAGCTCAGCAGTCCCTTTCCCTCATCCATTCTGAAGTAACTGCACAGTGAGGATTGTTGTCAGTGGTCTTCTTAGGAATTATGTCATGGAAAAAGCAGCAGAGTATCTCAGGGAAATTTGCCTACACAGGATTTGGCCCTCAGGCCTGTCCTGAGCATCCTAAATGAATGCACTAAAAATAGTCCTGGAAAAGCAAGTGGAAAGGGCTCAGAGCCCAGGCCCGGGGAACAGCCTGTTTGCGTCCTCCTCTACTGCTCTCAGCCAGCCCCTCATTTCCTCATCTGGAAAATGGGGATGGTGCGACTTGCACCTTAGAGGTGTTGCGAGGATGAGCGATGTTGTGCCCTGTCACAGGGCCAGAGCAGATGGGGAGCAGATGCTGAGGAAGAAGAGGCGGTGAGCAGATGAGGCTGCTGTTCCTCTGTCTTTCTGGTCCCTGCACAGCATTAAGACACTGACATTGTTTTGTATACTTTAGCTGCAAAAGTACCAACGTTGTGGGTAACAGAACCAAGTAACGTAAGGGCTCAACGGTACTGTTTTCTTTCCTCCTAGGAAGATGGGATTTCCTTTTGTGCCAAGCACTGAAGGAAACGACCCAAACCAGTCTTGGGGAACTCTGATAAGATTTCAGACTCTGGGCCCTTTTCCATCAGGCAGTGTCTCTACTGTATCATCCCAGTTTTGCAGAGGTACTTGCAAGCCATCTGACCTCTCTCTTTTTTTTCCTTCAGTGCTGGAGGGCAGTTATCTCAGGGTTCCAATTTATCCATTAATACCAACCAAAACATCAGCATCAAGTCCGAACCGATTTCACCTCCTCGGGATCGTATGACCCCATCGGGCTTCCAGCAGCAGCAGCAGCAGCAGCAGCAGCAGCAGCCGCCGCCACCACCGCAGCCCCAGCCACAACCCCCGCAGCCCCAGCCCCGACAGGAAATGGGGCGCTCCCCTGTGGACAGTCTGAGCAGCTCTAGTAGCTCCTATGATGGCAGTGATCGGGAGGATCCACGGGGCGACTTCCATTCTCCAATTGTGCTTGGCCGACCCCCAAACACTGAGGACAGAGAAAGCCCTTCTGTAAAGCGAATGAGGATGGACGCGTGGGTGACCTAAGGCTTCCAAGCTGATGTTTGTACTTTTGTGTTACTGCAGTGACCTGCCCTACATATCTAAATCGGTAAATAAGGACATGAGTTAAATATATTTATATGTACATACATATATATATCCCTTTACATATATATGTATGTGGGTGTGAGTGTGTATGTGTGGGTGTGTGTTACATACACAGAATCAGGCACTTACCTGCAAACTCCTTGTAGGTCTGCAGATGTGTGTCCCATGGCAGACAAAGCACCCTGTAGGCACAGACAAGTCTGGCACTTCCTTGGACTACTTGTTTCGTAAAGATAACCAGTTTTTGCAGAGAAACGTGTACCCATATATAATTCTCCCACACTAGCTTGCAGAAACCTAGAGGGCCCCCTACTTGTTTTATTTAACTGTGCAGTGACTGTAGTTACTTAAGAGAAAATGCTTTGTAGAACAGAGCAGTAGAAAAGCAGGAACCAAGAAAGCAATACTGTACATAAAATGTCATTTATATTTTCCAACCTGGCATGGGTGTCTGTTGCAAAGGGGTGCATGGGAAAGGGCTGTTGATATTAAAAACAAACAAAACAAAAAAGCCCCACACATAACTGTTTTGCACGTGCAAAAATGTATTGGGTCAAGAAGTGATCTTTAGCTAATAAAGAAAGAGAATAGAAAACACGCATGAGATATTCAGAAAATACTAGCCTAGAAATATAGAGCATTAACAAAGTAAAATTAATATATTAAGTTATAATTGGAATATGTCAGAAGTTTCTTTTTACATTCATATCTTAAAAATTAAAGAAACTGATTTTAGCTCATGTATATTTTATATGAAAGAAAACACCCTTATGAATTGATGACTATATATAAAATTATATTCACTACTTTTGAACACATTCTGCTATGAATTATTTATATAAGCCAAAGCTATATGTTGTAACTTTTTTTTAGAGAATAGCTTTATCTTGGTTTAACTCTTTAGTTTTATTTTAAGAGGGGAAAACAAAAATATCTTGCAAGCAGAACCTTGGAAAAAAAAAGCCATGAACACTTATTCTAAATGTAAATTAAAAGTTGAGCCAAACTCTTTGTGTATATAGCATCTTAAATATATTATCACCTTTGATGTAAGTACCTATGTATTGTATGGTCACCAGATTAAAAAGTATATTTTTGTGGATTGCCGCCAATCTGGGGGGAAAAGGCGAGGTCCTTTATTAAGTATTCACTGTTTAATATTTACTATTTTGTTAAATATACTGTACTTTGGATTTTAATTATTAGCCCAGTTTTTTCAGAGGATTGTATAAAGGGGTTTCTCCCCTCACTGGTGGTGAATGTGTGATGTTACATTGTAATCTTTGTGCTGTATGGGTTGAGCATCATTATATATTTTGTATGTGTACATAAATAGCAAAGTGGCAAAAAAAATTGGTGTTAAGTTCATCCTGCATAAGTATAAAATGTGTTGTAACAGATTTTGTAAGGCATTATTTAAAACTTGCCTTTTGTGAGGAAAAAATGTAGTAGAAAAAGCTGACCTAATTTAATTAATATTAGAGAAAATGGCAAAATAGTAGATGAGCACAAAGGTTTTATAAGTGGTAAATGATTAGGGGAAAATAATCATGGGGAAAGGGATCTTTTTTCCTTGACCCTCTGAAAACAGAACGATGCAGCTGGTTACAAAATCCTACCGTTATCAGCTCTTCTGCACATTGCAGTGATGCTTTGGTATGCGGGGAGAAACACTCTTAGGGTGCTGGTCCTTGGCATGACTCTTGCCATTCTAATTGGAATTAGTGCCACCCTCAGCTTGGATTTTGAACAAGGCCTTATTCTTTCAGGAAGACAACTAATGGATGATAGCAAGTTCATCCACTTACTGGGCTTGTGCCATGAGCAAAATTCAAAGTCCTGTATATCTTTCATTGTAGATTTTTAAATACTCCTTTTCCTAAAAAACTCAAGGGTTTAAAAATTGCTATTTTATATTTTAAATGATATTGAGCAGCTACCTACAATTTCTATGTACATTTTGTTCCCCCCCCCCCACCCCCCCCCCAAATTACGTTCCTTTTGACATTTTCCTCATCTGCTGTTTGTGACAAGTCATCAGCCAGATTTCCTGACTGACACATAGGTATGATCAGTGCAGGAGAGACCTGCGCACCACAGGCTGCAAACTGGAGGTTCTGTTCTCATGGCAGTTTGGGCAGTAACTTTTGAGAGAGGCCAAAAAAAGGAGGATGACATGCTGTCTCCTCTCTTCAGTATAGACATTAGGCTCTTATTCAGAAAGGATTTTTCTTTAAAAATGTACTTACTTTACTGAACTACTTACAGGCACATTTCTTCATAAGGCCACACCTAATCCAAACAAGACAGTCTCCCAACACTGAAGTTCCAAAATAATCCTTACCACTTTGTAAACCATTTATAGCTTTGAAAGTGTTAAGTGATTCCTTCGTTATTATTTATGCATGTTCATGAACTTCTGCTGTACATTGGAATAGGAGTTAACACATTCACATTTACTGTCTATTTTCTTGTGTGCCTTATGAGATGGCTTTTCTGACTGTATCTCAATAGTCTTTCTTTCTATGCAGGTTTATAATCAGTACAACTACTGTTTTCTAAAATACTACTACTCAAGGCTCGGAGTTTGTATTTAAATTACACTGACCAAGTAACAATGTATTCCATTTCAGGAACTGAATATTTGACTGTTAACCTTTTTCCCATACGTCCAGTGTGGCATGGAGCATATGGACTTGACAGACATCTCTCACCCAGACGCCCACGTGTGAACACACCCACATCCACATCTCTGGGTGGAAACCAGCCTAGAGAGGGGACGACGCTAATGGTGTTGCTTTAGAACCGTCTTTTCTTACCCTTTTAGACTCGTGTTTTGTATGAGACACCATTGCAAGAAAATTTTATCCCTCCAGAAGTATTTTATTACTAAAGAACAAAAGCAAAAAAAGCTTAAATTGCACTGGTTAAAGTACAGTTTCCAACAGCTGTCCTTCCTCAGTACTCTAATGGCCACTCCACCGCGAGTGGAAGTCACTGTTGTGTGTACACAGGTGGTCCCAATCAAAACTCCATCTTTTGAGCCCAATTATGTCCATTTTGTTATAGACTAAATCAGGGGTTTGTTCTACAAGAACAATACATGTTTTACCCTTTCCTTTAACTAGAAGGATAACTAGTAATGCATCAACATAATTTCTGTATTAACCATCATGCGCACAAGAAATACATAGTAAATAAGGAAGCTGAAAACTCCTGGCATTGGATCTTAAGCTAGATGATTAGAATGTGAAAAAGATTTTACAAATGTAAAACTTCTATTTCTCTGTAGAAACTTTCTTCACTTTGCTGTGCAAGAAGACACTGCTTTGCTATATTTAAAATGGCTTTTTTAAAAGAGATTTATGTATTTGGTAAATGTTTGTAGTCAACAGTTCACACAAGAAGCTGTACACGGTTTGATCATGTAAAACCGTTTGGCGGCACAAGCTGGACTTTGTTGCCATCCTTGAGATGAACCTTTTAAGAAAAATAAGTTAATCTCAATTTTTCCCTGAATGTGTTGTTTTTCTTCATTATACAATAAATATAATAGTGAACTTTTTATCAAATGGTGAAGACAATGCTAAAGGTTGTTGTAAACTGTTTGTCTCCCGCACTCACTCCAGTAAAGACGGACTGGCTCTTCCTGTGCGTCGAGACTCTGTCATGTTTGCCTGGGGACACAAGGCGCTGGCTTTGCCACCAGGCAGCCCCTTCCCCTAAAGCCCTCTCCTTTTTCATTCCTTTCACGAAGACCTTTTTCACCTGCAGGCTTCTTTCTCTGGGTTGAGACAGGGTCAAGGAAACCGTCCCAACGCCCCCACTGGCCTCCCCCTTGTCGGCTCCCGGGTCATCCCTGCTGGGCAGCCCTGGAGCCCATAGGAAGCAGTGGGCCACGCAGTCCCACCGGGGCCTAATCTGGCTGTTGCATGCACAGTGCTGTGGATGAGTGGAATCCATTCGGCCTCCAGTAACTGCTTCTCACAGGAAATACGCCAAAGCCTGTTAGAGGGGGTGGGTATGTTAGCTATCATTAGATTCTGGGTCTCTTTAAAGTCTAGGGTGTGAAATGATTAGTTTTGCCCAAAATACATACATGATGCTGAGCTAGATGCAGCAGAAGACAGATGTGCTGGCATGAATTGAGTTTTCAGAGTGTTAGGTGTACGTCCCAGTATGCTGGCAGGCACTTAATGGTCATCTCCCTTTGTCATAATTCAGCTAGAAAATGAAAAATCTTCAACTTTCAGTAGAAGATGTTCTCTCCTGATGTGCCTTCTAAGCCAGCTCCTAGCTAAGCAGATTCCTGGTGTTAAACTGAAAACTAAATTTTTGCGCTGGCTACGGTGGGGCTCTTATTAGCAGGTTTTGAAAGCTGGTTGAGTCCTGTGGCTAAAAATACTCTAATCACAGCTGCAGCTACTTAAAGTCAATTCATTACATTTTCCTGCTTGGCTCCCCTGGGTGCCTTGCTCTAGGCAGTATCCTGTTTTCAGGCCGATTCTGTGGCACCAGCCAAGATGATTTTCAGTCGGAGCCCTGTGCCAGCTGATTGGCTGCAGCCTGCTCGGTCGGTCGTCCGGTGCTCACAAGCAGCCCGAGGACCACTCGGTTGTAAAACTGAGAGGAAGAGGAGTGTTTCTTCCCATCTTCCACGGGGCCAGGAGGTTTCAGACGTTCCAGGTCAAGTGGGCTTGTGTCCTCATCCCGCAGAAAGTTGCTGAGCCCCGTCTGTGAGAGGTAAGCCCTGATCCCAGCTGTTGCAGGCTTTGGGCTGAGGACGAGCTCTTCCCAGGCAGCCCCAGCCCCAAATGCACATAGCTGGGGTGTAAAGCTTTGGTGCTCCTCATTTCATCAGTCTTGCTTCCCAGAGGACCCAGATTGACAGGGCATCTTACTCGGCTTAGACGCCAGGGCCTACACTCCAGTCACTTTCTTACAGATGCATGATGGGCCTGCTTTCTAGCTAACCAAAGCAAACGCAGCTGTGGAAGAAAGAAAGCAGTTGTACTGACTGGTTTCACTACACAGTCCCCCCTTTTTTTACTCTTAGTGTATACACTTCATTTTGAACTCACTTTTGACTTACAGAAAAGTTGGGAAAATAATGTGGTTTCCACATATCCCTCAGCGGGCTTTCCCTAATGCTAACATTTACATAACCATAGTACAAGTACGAGAACCCAGAAATTAATATTGACACAGCATTTTTAACTAAATACCTTACTTGAATCTCCCCATTTTTTCCACTCATGCCTGTTCTAGGATCCAATCCAGGATCCCACATTCCCTTTGTCACTTGTTACAGCTTTTCTTATATAACCTTTGACACTTTTGAATACTGATCGGTTATTTTGTCTAATACCGCTCGGTGTGGATGTGTCTAATGTGATGATTGGAAGGAAGTTGTGCATTTTGGCGGGAAAACCACAGAAATGGTATGTCCCTAATGCATCATGGGGTCCATGTTGGTGTCTTATTCCAGGCGATACTGACTTTGATCACTTGGTTCAGTGGTTTTTACAGGGTTTCTTCAATGTAAAAAGTTTCTCTCCCTTTGTAATTGATACATATATTGGGGGAGATACCTTGAGACTGCAGGGTTATATTTTCACCCACTAATTGTGCAGCGTCTATAGCTGTGGTAGCTGCCTGTTTTCTTCCACATTTATTCATTGGAATTCTGCTGCGAGGAACAGCTGTCCCTTCTCATTTCGTTACTCATTATGTCATTGTGGACTCGGATTTTATTTCTCCTGTGGGCTATAATCCTGTCATTATTTTGCTCCTCCACTTGTTCCAGCTTTGGCCATGAGGAGCTTGATCAGGTGGCCTTCCATGTGAAATCTGAGTCTGTCCACACCCTTAGCATGTCCTTTCTGGCACCACAGGTGCTCCACACTCATCTTGTGGTGTTGGGTCAACCACTTTTTCCACTATTCCTGGTTCCCTTTATTGGAGAATGGTATTTGGAAACCAGATCTGGGCAATAGATGTGCTTATTGTTACCAGGGTATCACCTCTTTCGGACTCTTTCTGCAGACACAACAAGGAAATACATGTAGTTATGCGCACACACACACACACACACACACACACACACATCCATCCATATTCCTAATTACCTAAACATGTCAAAAGCCATGGTTTACGCGAATGCTTTGGATTCATTTGTAACTTCTTTCTCCTGTGGTGGGGAACCCAGCTCTTATTATCTACAGTCCTTTTACTTATTGTTCAGTTCCAGTGTACACTTATTTTCAGAACTGCCCATACCCGTGTAGGGAACACACATTGACTGACTAGATGAGAGCATTTATGTGGTTTTGTGGTTTTTGCCTTTGGCCTTACACTATCCAGTCAAGACAGTGGTTTCCAGTTACTTGTAGTTCCCAGTCCCTTCAGTGTGGTTATCTTACTATTTGTAACATGGTTAGCTTCATCTGTTCGTGTTTTATTTCACTTTCGGCACCCTCCCCATCCTAGTTGGTTTTAATGATTTATTTTGAGGGGTGTATGAATAGTATCTGAAACATTACTGTGTTTCTAAGCTATACAAAAAGATGCTCAGAAAAGCATTCTCTCTTCACCCCTGCTAGCCTCTTCCTATCCCCGCCTCTCTCACCCGCCCCTAGAGACAACTAGTCTCTTTAGTTTCTGGTTTAAGCCTTCCTGTACTTGCACAAATAGGCAGCTTTGCTTTTTCCACTTAATAGTCTAGCTGGAAATCACTCCATAGAGTGATTAGTTCATAGACGTTTTCATCCATGGTGTGGATGTACCATGGTGCTAGGCATTTAGGCTGTTCCCAATATTCTGCAGTCGTCAATGAATAGCCCTACACATGCGTATATTTGTATTTTTAAAGATGTATCTTCAGGGTAGATTCCTAGAAGTGGGATTGCTGAGGGAGTTCACCTGTAGTTTTGCAAGGTATCGCCAAATTTGCCTCCAGAGATGTATCAATTTGCATTTCCTCCAGCGGTGTAGGAGGACATCCTTGCCAACAGAGTGCAGTCCTATTTTTTATTTTTACCAGTCTGAGAAGTGTATCTCAATGTTGTAATTTGCCTTTCTCTATTATGAGTGAGATTGAGCATTTTTTTCATATGTTTGAGAACATTTTAATATCTTTCAAGTGTGTGAATTTCTGTTCTTTTTCTCATTTTTCTATTAGATTTTTTATTTTCATCCTCCAACTTGTAAGGGTTACTTTTATATTAGGGATATTGACCCTTTGGTGTGTGTGCTATGAATAACTTTTTTGTGGTACTTTAGTCACGCAAAATTTTATTTTTATGGAGTCAAATTTATCAATCTCATTGCTTAAAGATTTTGAGTTACATTTGGAAATATTTTCCGTACACCAAGGTTAGAGAGGAAGTCACCCACGTACTCTTGTTCTAGTATGGTTTCATCTTTTACTTTTAGATTGCTGATGCATTTGGAGTTTGTTCTTGTATGTGGATCTAATTTTATGTGTTTACCAAAGGCTCTCTATGGCCAGGTGTGGTGGCTCACATCCATAATCCCAGCACTTTGGGAGGCTGAGGTGGGAGGATCACTTGAGCCCAGGAATTCGAGACCAGCCGGGCAGCACAGCAAGACCTCCTCTCTACAAAAAGAAAAATACACAAGTTTCAAGGCTCTCAACTTGTCCCAGTACCATTTATTAGAAAGATCATCTTTACTTCACTGAGTAAAGGGGCTAATTCTGGACTGTTTTCATTCCTCATGACCGTAAATTGTAAATGGCTCTCAACACTGCCCAGAGATGCAGCTGCAGCTTCCTGGCATGCCGGCTTCCTCCCTTTGAGACGTAACTATTTTACTGCATCTCCTCTCCTTTCACACCTCCAAGACCACTTCCTTCTCTTCTCAGCTGGTTACTTCCTCTCACATTTTCCATTGAGAAAATAGATGGAATCTGATGAGACCGACCTCACCTTCTCACGTGATATCCAGGAATCTTCCCTCCAGGCACTGTCGAGGGACCTTGGTGCCCTTATCTAAGTCCAAGCCTTCTGTGTTGCATCCTGGGTCTCATCATCTCCTTCTCAAGGTCTTCGCTTCTGTAACTGTCCCCTCTTTCTGGCAGCATCAATTTCTCCCTCTCTCCTAGATCTTTCCTGTCAGCACAAAAGCATGCTTTTCTATCACCCGTTTCAAAAACAAACCAAAATAGAACAAAACTACCACTGCCCCCTTTGTCTAAGACACTAAGGTTCATGTGAAGATCATGAGATCCCCTCTGGTTTACCTCGGGGTGCTAGACATATTTGATTCTTTTCTATATGTGATACAACCTGAAAAAGATGGGGAAGCATTGACCTGCAGGGGTATCAAGGATGAAGACAGGTGCTAAAGTCATCAGTGGAGGAAAGGAAGCGACCAGAAGATCTGTAGATGATGCAACAAGGAAATGGGGCAGGAACTGTGTTCTGACAATACGTGCTTCAAAGAAGCAGGAGGATTTAGGGAGGAGGGAGGAGCACTGATCTCAAAGTGCCCATAAGGAGCCAGGGTGACACTGCCACTGCCTGGATGACTGGTACATGGGCTATCCTTCCTTTCTAACTACTCAGCTGAGCTAAGACTCTCAGAAACAGGGAGCCTGGCACTTGACAGGGGGAATGCAGTCATGTTGATTGAACTAAGTCAACAACACACCTCCAGAGCAGCTGTTTCACAGTGCATGGAATTTAGTGGACTCCTTCCTAAGCCTTTCTAAGAAAAATCTGCCCCTTTTGGCTTCCTGTCCCATGATCCAGTCCAGGCTCACAAATCAGAGTCCACTGACAGGCCTGCTCCCCTGGCCCTGCCTCAGAACCAGTCTTGCCCCGTCATGCCACCATTTTGGCTGCCCCTCCCCTGACCCTGGCCTATGATATTCTGTTTCTGGCCATATTAGAATAACAGCAACCAGGTGTATTCTTTCACTTTAAAGAATCCAAGAAAATATGAGGCCTTGGACAACGGGCAGTGCAGGACAGTGATCTCTGAGAGACCAGAAATAAACCAGGTGAAACTGATGAGTGCCCCAGCTCACCGCCTGCAGGGTTTGCAAACCATAGGACAGAGCCAGGTGGTCTTGCCAAGTAGAGGAGATGGAGTTTGGAGTTCAGGGAGTCTGAGGCATCTAGAATTTGTGGGGGCACAGTACTGGGGAGGGGGAAGCTGGACAGAGATTCCCCCAAGTCTTTGGCTGGGTACTGGCCTGTACATGCATGTGAGAAAACCGCAGAGTCAAGGAAAAGAGCCAACAGAAAAAAGTAGGCGGGACAATTCCCAGAGCTTACCCAGGGCCAGGAATCATCTGTGTTCCCACCAGATAGATTATGAGGTGATTATTACCTAGTTTATTAATGCTGTGTGTGTTCGGTGGTGAGACCTCCTAAAGCACACAGCATTCGGAGAATCTTAAAAAGGCATCACCACAGGAGCAGGACTGAAAAAATCCTCAGAAGGCCTTGCCCCGGGAGCAGGGCCGAATGAGTGCTCACTACATGCTGCTCTACACCTGCCCTAACATAGCAGAAGAGTGAGCCTCAGAAGGACTGAACTCATTCCAAGTAACCATGCCCCAGGACAAAGCACAAACTATTTAAAGGAAGACAACAAAATCCAGCATCCAACAACATAAAATTCACCATGTCTAGCATCCAACAAAAAATTACCACACATGTAGAAAAACAAGAACATACAATCTATAATGGGAGGCAGATGGAGGGAGAGATCAACAAATGGACCCAGAATGACATAAATGACGGAATTAGCAGATAAGGATGTGAAACAGCTATTACAAATATCCTCCATGTGTCAGAATATACAAACACAATGATGAAATAGAAGATATTTAAAAGACTCCAACAGAACCTTTAGAGATTAAAAAGACCTGTAGTAAAAGATGCGTTGGGCCAGGCCCAACGGCTCATGCCTCTAATGCCAGCACTTTGGGAGGCTGGGGCGGGCGGATCACTTGAGGTCAGTTTGAGACCAGCCTGCGCAACATGACAAAAACCCGTCTCTATTAAAACACAGAAATCAGCCAGGCATGCTGGTGCACGCCTGTAATCCCAGCTGCTTGGAAAACTGAGGCAGGAGATTCGCTTGAGCCTGGGAGGCGGAGGTTGCAATGAGCCAAGATCACGCCAGTACACTCCAGCCTGGGTGACAGAGCAAGACTCTGTTTTGTTTTGTTTTTTTTTTAAAAAAAGGACGCACTGAATGGAATTACTATAGATTAGACAGATACTACAGAGGAAAACAGCAATAGAAACTATCCAAAATAAAACAGGAGACAATAAAAAAATGAATAAAATATAAATGAGCTATATAATTGGAGGGAAATAATGAGGAAAAAGTTTTCAAAGAAACAATGGCTAAAATTTGTCCAAATTAGATGAAACTATACAAACCCACAGATCCAAGAAACAATGAGCCCCAAACAGAAATATGAAGAAAGCCACACCGAGGCCCCTCAGAATCACACAGCCAGTTCTGCACCGCCTCCTGTTCTGGGCTTTCTTAGATTCTGCATTTGTCTGTTGAGCATCCCTTCATCACAGGGCCAATTGTATTAACTCTTTCTTATTGTGGTAACTGCTTCTTATCTTCTGTATTCTTGATGCTCTGGCTTTGTGGGCCTTGCTGACTGAGGAGAGACTGCTGTTCCCAGGACTAGCCTGTTTGCCTTGCCCTGCCTTCCCTTTCCCCCAGAAACACGACGAAGCCTCTGGCCTGAGCGTGCCCCTGGCTCCCTTCTGCCTCCTGACCAACACTGGTGCATCCCTATGGCCCTGTGGGGCCTGGTGTGCTCCCTTCTCTTGGGAATTACAAGTAGTAAAGCTTCTTGCGATGACACCAGGAAGAAGCAATGTCTCCATGCTGTCATGCATCGCCTGTATCAATTAAAATCCCATGAGTAAAAATCGAGACATCTCTTAAGGTCTCCACTCCTCCAACCAAGCCTCTCCAAAACTGTGACCAGCATTCTTCACTTCAGTGCTCATCAACTCGCTATTGCTCCAAGACTTTCCGTAGCTTCCCACTGTCCATCAAATCATGTCCAGATCACTTAAATGTGGAATTCAGCGTTGCCTAGAACCTAGCCTCAAACTAGTACTGCAGCATTTTCCCACAGCTCCGTTTACATTTCCTTCACGCCAGGCCACCAGACTATTCATAGTTCCCTGTCTACATAGTCCCCCGTTTCCAGCCTCTAGGCCTTCGCTCACACTGGACAGTCCTCTTTGAAAAGAACCATCCACTGCCATATTACTAAATCCCAGCCTTCTTTCAGATGTCGACTAAGGAAATGTCATCTCCTCCAGATGTTTTATTAGCCACTTGTCATATATTTCCCTCTGTGGGCCATCGTGTGTTCTACCGTATCTCTACTCTGGCATAGGTCTTTTTTAAAAATTATCATTATTTCTCCTGAGACAGGGTTTGGCTCCGATGCCCAGGCTGGAGTGCAGCAACACAATCTCAGCTCACTGTAACCTCCACCTCCCAGGCTCAAGCCATTCTCCCACCTCAGCCTCCCAAGTAGCCGGGACTACAGGCGCATGCTACTGTGCCTGGCTAATTTTTGTAATTTTTCATTACAGATGGGGTTTCACCATGTTCAGCCTAGGCTGGTCTCGAACTCCTGGGCTCAAGCAATCTGCCCACCTCAGCCTTCCAAAGTGCTGGGATTACAGGCGTGAGCCACTGCGCCCAGCCCTGGCATAGGTCATATCCCATTAGGTTATAAGCACCTTGAGGACAGGGGCCATGTCATGTTATCCCATCACCTCTTGGTATATAATTGGTGTTCTGGCAGGTTATGGATGAATAGATGGAAAGTAGCCCATGTTCCTTATTCAGGATAGTGAAATGGTGATGTACAACAACCCAGTGTTTTCCAAAGGTGTGAGAAAGTCTCCCCCAGGTGTGGTAAGGACTCCCTGCCTCCTCACTGGCACTGTGGTGGCAGTCTCTGTGCAAGTTTTGAGCAGGCATGGGAAGGGGTACAGGTCACAGGTTGGAGCTGCACTTCATCACCACACTGGTCCTTCCAGGGGCAGTGGGGTGTGACTGGCGGTGCAGGAGCAAGGAGGCTGCCCTTCCTCACAGCAGCTCCACTGCACCAGACTTGGAGAACAGGCAAGTTGGATGCTATCCACACTCTCCGAGCCCTGTTCCCCCGCCTGGCCTGAGACCAGCCATAACCTGTCTCTGGAAATAAGCTTGGAAGACCTGTCCCAAGGCCTTAAGTGCCGGGAAGGAAGCAGGTAAGGGAGGCTCCTTTCCTGACGGTCTCTGTTACTCAAAGGCAAGGTGTTGGGAAGAAAGCTGAGGCAGTGCTTGCATGTGCGACATAATGTCCTCTAGAATGTGTCTAGACTTCCTGGCTCCTTACTTCTAGCCCTCCTAGGCTCCTAGATCAATTGTATTTCCATTATCTCAAGTAGCAGAACATGTTCCTTGTAAATGCTAAACCATAACAGCTATAGATCATGTGTCTGCCCTTTTGACCTCCACATTCTCACCACCTGTTTCTTTGTTGGATTACCAATAAATAGCATGGGTTCCCAAAGCTCGGAGCCTTTGCGGCCTCCACGATCGCGATGGCCCCCTAGTCCCACTTTACTTCTCAAACTGTCTTTTTCTCAATCCTTTGACTCTGCTGGACTTCGTGGCCCCCACAACCTGGTGTTGGGTCTGATCACCCCAACACAAGGGGCCTGGTTCACTGGCTCAGAGGCTAAATCCAGTTGATTCTCCACCAAGAAAATGGGCAGGTAAATGCTGATTCTACAGTTACTGCGATTCAGGCAATGGATCTAACTTTTCTTATTGTGAGGCCAGTACCCCAAGTGGGCCAGTAGAAATTTTCTCTGCTGTCCCCTCCTGAAGTCCTGCCTTGGGAGACCTTAAGCATCCCCCATGTTCTGTGAGCCTGGATCATGCCACAGGTGCCCTACCCCAAGCCCACAGTGGACTGTCAA
This sequence comes from Homo sapiens, assembly GCF_000001405.40. Classification (NCBI taxonomy): domain Eukaryota; kingdom Metazoa; phylum Chordata; class Mammalia; order Primates; family Hominidae; genus Homo; species Homo sapiens. The sequence goes on from NC_000015.10 coordinate 99,725,833, forward strand.
GCAGGTGGCAGAGCAGAAACGGATTAAGAGCACAGGCTCCCAAACACCCCCATTTACCAGCTGTGTGGTCGTAAGCAGCTTGCTTTTTCCATCTGTAAACTGGGGATAGAAGTGCCTGCGTCGTAGGGAGGTAGTGAGGGTAAAGTGGGTGAGCATATAAAGCTCTTAGAGCACTGTGGCATCCAGGAAGCACCATGGCTTATATGATTGTTGTTGCTCCTGGGGCTGCAGCCCAGTCTTCCCCAAAGAGGAAATGGTCATGGCTCGTTGGGCCTTTCCCACAGCTGAGCCCAGGCTTCCGCTGTCTCAAGTGGTTTTTTTTTTTTTTTTTTTTTTCCCGCCTGAGTCTCGCTTTATCTCCCAGATCTCGGCCCGATCTCGGCTCACTGCAACCTCTGCCTCCTGGGCTCAAGCCATTCCCGTGCCACAGCCTCCCAAGTAACCAGGACTACAGGCCCACATCACCAGGCCCAGCTAATTTTTGTATTTTTAGTAGAGAGGGGATTCCACCATATTGGCCAGGCTGGTCTCGAACTCCTAACCTCAAGTGATCCATCCGCCTCGGCCTTCCAAAGTGCTGGGACTACAGGCATGAGCCACTGTGCCTGGCCCCAAGTGGCTTTTAATTCCATGACTTCAGGCACATCTCCTCCCACCCCTCCCCTCCACACTCCCCCTACTGCAGCGCAGAAGGCCTTGCATGGCGGGGCCTTGACTGTCCTCCCAACATGCTCCTAGGCCGGGCCACACCTTCCTCACCTCTGCTGGGCAGTGGCGGTTCTGGGTGACCCTGAGGTGTCTGCCTAGTCCCTGCAGCTTTGTCTCTCCAGAGTAAAATTAAAGCATCATTTGCTTGACAATGGAGATTCCTTGGGCTTCAACATTCAGCACTATAGTTCAACCAAAAAGACTGGAGACTAGATAGCAAACCTATTTCTCTAAAATATTCCCTCCCCAAAGACACTGAAAACATAGCAAAATGTGGAATAGGAAGTATCGTGGTTATTTCTTATATACACCTAATAAAGCAATATTAAAGCCTGTATACAGATCAATCAGTGATCAATCATCCCTAGAGCACTGGTCACCACTTTGTCCTGCACCTGTCTGAGTAACCTCGGGCACAGTACAAGCCCCAAGTTGGTGGCCAGGTGCAGGGAACAGGCACAGTCCTCACTCCTGACAGACACCTCCATCTTCTCCAGCAGCATCCCACATCTTTTAACGCTAAATTATCAATCCCCAAATTTTAAAAGGTTGAGGCAGGTGCAGTGGCTCACGTCTGTAATCCTAGCACTTAGGGAGGCTGAGGTGGGCAGATTATCTGAGGTCAGGAGTTCGAAATCAGCCTGGCCAACATGGCTAAACCCCATCTCTACTAAAAATGCAAAAATCAGCCAGGCATGGTGATGTGTGATAGCAATCCCAGCTACTCAGGAGGCTGAGGCAGGAGAATCGCTTGAACCCGGGAGGTGGAGGTTGCAGTGAGCCCAGATCGCACCACTGCACTCCAGCCTGGGGGAAGGAGTGAGACTGTCTCCAAAAAAAAATTAAATAAAAAGGGGGAATCAATTTTCCTCCACAGAAGAAATAATTTTATTCCATTTGAGAAAAGTAAAGGATACATTCTTTGTCTGACAAAAGTGATTTTGTCATGGAACTCCAAGGCCTGCCTGGTGAAGTGACAGTGACAGATGTTAGAGGAACCTGTGGCCCTCAGTGACACAGAGAGCACAGACATTTGGCTGGGAAAGCACTTGCATGATCGAAACATTTCCTATTGCAGAGATTCAGAAGTTCTTTTTATCCTGAAGATCATTCTGGTTTCTAATTTAAGATTGAAGATGATTTAATTTGCTAATGGAACCCAGGCCAGCTGTTTTTTCACACAACTGAAAGGAGAGAAATCGGAAATCACTCTTACATGGTGAGACCTTTGATACTTTTCTCCAGGCCTCATGAGTCAAAGGCCATCACTGTCCCTCCACCGAGCATCTGGGCAGTGTCTGCCTCCTGTCCAGAACTCTTGGAGGCCGGGCCAGCAGCCATCTCAGCCCCTCCCACCCCTCCATGCCACAGGGCAGCACCAACTCCCAAGTAGTAGCAGGCTCTGTCCCGCAGTCCCCAGCCCATCCACAGCACCACTGCTGCCTTGGCAGCGAGAAGGGCTGGGAAAACTGCAAGCCCCTTCCTCCCTCAGGTGTTCTGATCGCCTTTTACAACAAGGGTCGCCTCTAGCCCCTCCATCAAGTCTTTGGTCCTGGAACATTGTGAGTTACATTGCATATAGTGTTATTCTAAGGGCATCACCCAGAGAAAAAGGACGAAGCGGCCTTCTCACTCTGGAGCTCCGAAGAACTGAGCCAGGGAAGCAGCAGGGGGAGCGCCCTGTGTTAGGTGTGCACAGGGGCTGCGGCTCTCAGCACAGGCCTGACGACCGCCCAGCTTCAGACGCCAACCATAGTGAGGCCTCAGTGACAGGCACTCATCCTCCCCTCCAAACACTGGCCAGCAAGAGCTCCTTCCAAGGAGGACAAGTGGGAGAATCCAGAGAGCCACGCTGTGGGACGGCTCCTGCGGAACTGGGCGCAGCCTGTGTGTGCTTGGCCTGGGAGATGCCTGTGTGTCACACTAAGCCACTCTAAAAGGACAGGAGTAGGACTGCCCTTTATTCAACAGTGCCGCAGTTTGGGTCCAGGGCTTTTTCAACTCTAGAAATGGCATTGCCTCAAAAAGGCTAACTGAGGGGGCCAATATGAAGTAGGCTTGTTACAACTGTAACTGTCACTCTCTAAAACAGGGTGGCATGCCAAGCCTATTCCACAGCACCTTTGCCAGGCAGACAGAGAACACTCCTTCTCAGAGCCAATCCCCGCTCCACAGGAAGTGAGGATACAGCAAGAGCCAGGCAAGCCGCGCAGATGCCACTGGCTCTCACGCTGCAGGTCCCTCGACAGAGGCCATAAATCTTTCCCTCCGAGCACGTCCAACTTGGGGGTCCTCACAGTGCTGCTATGAACTGGCCAGTCCACTAAATGTCACAGGGAAATGGCTCTCTTGCTGCACCTCTCTGGATAGGGGCCGAGGTCGCTGCTGTTTTAGATCCTGCCAGCTTAGACTGGGTAAGGCCATGCCCAGGGCCAGTGCAATTGGGAATACTGCAGTGACTTCTGAAAAGTGTCCATCCTTCCCCGGAAGCAAAATGCAGCACCCCTAGGACATCGCCAGTGACAGCTGAGGCACATCAACAGCCAATTGCTAAAGCTGGGCCTAGTCTTTAAAAACAAAGCTTAGCTCCCCGCTTGGGTGGTCTGACTGAACTGGCTGTCTGCAGAAGTGACGGCTGGCACTGCAACTGCTAGTCTGGGGGCTTGCCCTGGAACTGTACCCATTGCCATCGAGCCATTGGGGATGACAGTTGTGTTCAAGCTATTAGGGGTCTCACCACTAGCTTGTATTTTAAAGTAGACCAAATAAAAGACAGGCAAGACAATACCAATCAGCAGCATGATGAAAACAGCATTCCACCACTGAATGCCACAATCTGCACCATCCATAGGCGTCTTCGGAGGTGCCGGGAGCAGTGGCTGATGGGAGGTGTCCATGCAGTAACTTTCATGTAGAAAGATTTCTGACTGCACTGCACGCTCAATATCCTGGTCAATCCCCTTAAAGAAGCCCATCAGTTGGCCGGCCTGGGCACCGGTGCCCGCGCCTGCTCTGTCTGCCTCTGGCAGTTCCACGGTCACTGTGGTCTCGGAAGACGGGCTCAGAAGGGGTTTCAGTTCTTTGTGGGTCTCCATCAGGATCCCATGGTTTCTCACTGGAATCTTAACAGATTTCAAAGCATATAAGTCTTGTTCTCTGATGAAGTTGTTGACTTTCTTGATATCTGCAACCTAGGAAGGCACGAAGATAAACATCATAAAATATGCGGAGCTCCTTAAAAATAACTTTCCAAAAAGTGGCTCTTAATCTTTCTGGGTGATGATTCAAGCCCACTTCACTGACGAATCTGATGAAGACTGGAAAACTGCAGCTGTACACAAAGTTAGTTTAGGCTGAAATTTTGTTTTTTTGGCTTTCACTCAACCTCAATATATAGTTTAGTAATCAGATATTCCTAAAGATTTACAGGTTTGAACAATTTAAGATCAGTTTTGAAAAACAGATCTTTCTTAAACTGTTTAAAGTGTGACTGCAACAAATCGCTTTGGGCGAAACCACCATGGCACTGAAAGGAATGTTGCAGCCTTTTCCACCTTTCACTTTTGAGGCAATAGTGCCCCCATCTGCCTGCCTTCCCCCTCATGCCAGAACTCAGTGGCTGCCAGATGTTAGCATTCACCAAACACACAGCCTCAGCCAGCTCTGCAGACACACTCAAAATCCAGTTTACCTGTAATAAAGTTGACAGATATGCCCTCGGCATTTTCTTTCCCAGAAACACTGTGGGGCATGTAAACTTATTAAATAAAAGTGACTTACAGTTACTGTACTTAACTGTCAGGAAAAAGGAATAATGCTGTGAGTTTTATCAAGTAACAAAGTTCATGACAAACTCCTCTCATAATCAAACACGAAGATTTAAGAAGCAGGGAGAATGTAAGTCAAAGGGTAACCCCTCCCTCAAACTAATGTTTGAAAACTTTCCAAAAGCATCAGAGATGAACTCCAAACTTTTAACACTTAAGTCCACTTAAACTAGAAAGTGAATACAGCCAACAGATCTCAATCAAATCAATCATTTCCATTATTATTCAGCAACTGCTGTTATTGTAACTGATTTGGGGTAGGGGACATTTTTAATTCACTATGTCCTGAATCTAATGCATGAGACCCTTGAGATCTTTCTGTCTCTGCCTTCAATAAATTAAGAGCAAATTTATTTACTTCAAATAGGAAAACTGATCACTTATCAAAGGCTTTATATATTCTTTACGGATTTAGACATCACCATACCAAGAAGCCTACTCCATCTATTCCGGTCTTTGTAGGACAGGCTTCATTTTTCAGCCCATGTTCTGTAAGCCACACAGTATGCCTGCAGAAGCTGCTTATCGGAGCCAAATATAATTGTCAGTACAATTTAAAGACCACTATGTGTCCCCGGAGACCAACCTGTTTATTTCCCTGAAAGACCGCAACACCCCACACAACATGTTTCAGACATTTGGACCTTGTTAGATAAGACACTTGTAGGAGAAAGAGATTTCTTAAATTAAGTAGCTTATATACCCCTAGAGAAGGCCATACAAATCTGTAGCACAGTGTTAGCAAAGTGAAACAGTTGCAATCTAGGAGAAAATGCAGCAATTCTAGAAATACTTTCCTACTTACTTTGCCATTGTTAATCACTCTGAATGCTGAAAACATAATTAGAGAAAAACAGGGTTATATAGATACACAGCATACAAAAGACCATGCAGTTCTAAACGAGAGAAGGTAAAACTTTACCAAAAGTCAAGTAAGCTACCACCAAGAAAGGTTCAGAAAAATAAGAGCAGCGAGAAAAGCAAGCATACCATAGAAATCCGGAATTAAATTCTGCCTGGTATCTCCAGCCCCATTAGGTCTAAAATAAAATGTGCTCGAAAGAAGAAAAAAGGTTTCAGAATTTCAGTGTGGAGAAAACAGGAAAAGGAGAAGTTCCCTGCAGAGAAAGAAATGCGCTAACCCTCCCTCTTTGGGGGCCAGGGTTGGGAACTAAAGGTACTCCCACCTGCATTCCAATTCTGGCTAAATAGGGGAGTCCTTGGCTGCTACAGCAGGCCTCTCCTGACGGCCTGGCAGGGTTAAGAAGGGCGGCAAGGGCACCCACCCTGCAGTGAGTTCCCCGTGTTCCTTGAAACGGAGCGGGGCAGGGCCCCTGAGGGGTGTCTTACTTTGCAGCCATACTGCAGCGCCAGCTTGTTGAGGCTGTCCTCCTGGGCCAGCTCCCGCTGCAGCAGCACCACGTCACCTGCTCCCGCCTGGGGAGGCTGGTGGACACCGCTCTTGTGGCGCTCCTTGCCCCGGGGCCGCAAAACCACACGGTGAGACTCTTCTTCAGAAGAGTCCCCCGAGTCCCCACTGCCATTCTTAAACATGTATACGTGGCTGGTCGGAGTCCCACACACAACAGCTGGGCCTTGGAAGGTCTTGGTTAACAATTCCTCGTGCCTCATTTTCTTCACTGAAAATCAAGCCGGAGGGTTAATTCCACAGAAGACATAATCATCCCTCCACCGCCTCGTTTAAAGAGAAGTGTCTTGTTAGAGAGTATTCCTTTTCCTAATCGCTGCAAATACTCAGCATACATCATCAACAGAAAAAAAAGAATGTGCTTATGCTGGCTGAGATGGAAGAAGATAGGCAGAATAAAAACCCTTTGTTTTTTCTAATCGCATACGTTTTGTGCAGAAAACGAACCCCGCCCCTGTTCCTCATCCATAGCTGTCTCCCCTAAACCCACATCTGTAAAGAAACAACTACTTTTGCTCTCAGAGTAGTAAGTTGAGATCCTTGCAATGGCAAGTAAGGGCTGCCGCCAGCCTCCGCGCACTCAGAATCTTCAACTCAGAAGCTTTGCACAATAATTTTGTATTCAATATTTTACACATTGCAAAGTATCTTCACTAAGAAGGTCAGCGCTAAGGACTCTTGCTCAGAACTGTGGGGCTAAACTGCTCTTACTTTGACACAGTTTAACTCACAGTATGTGGGGCAAGCTACGGGGAGAACTCATGCCTGTCAGCCGGAGAAAAGCGTCCAGTTTGCTCACGGGTCACTTTGCATTCATTACATCCCCATTGTCTGGTTTTTATTTTCCCCTTGAGTCAACAGCCAAAGCCGCAAGACCCCTGTTCCTCTCTCCAGATTGTTCGCGTGAGATTCCAGAAACGAAATCTCAAACACGCGGGCTGACAACTTCAGAAAAAGGTGGCTTCGGAGCCACAGGGGAGCAGCCCGTACGGGGACAGCCTGCGGCCCCAGCTCGACCCCCTACTCCCCGCCCACGCCTTCGAGGGTCACAGGCCCACACCCCGCTCCGCGCGCTCCTGAGCCTGCCCGGAGGCGGGAGGCGGCCGGCGGTCCTCGGGGGGTTGAGGGTCACCTGCAGGACCACGGCGGCAGCCCGGGGACGGGGCCAGCCTTCGCGTCCGAGCTCAGGGGCGGCGGCAGCAGCTCCAGGCCCGCTTCCCTCCAAGTCCCTTCTGCGAAAAGATGGGGCACCTCAACAAGAGCTGACAGGAAAATGGGGAGCGGCCCGGCCCCAGGGCTCCACGGCTCCACGGGCGGGGCCCTAACATTCCAGAGGGCAGAACCTCTGACCTCTGACCCCCAACCCTAGCCACCTGGGGCCAGCCCACGACAGTCGCGGTCACCGCCCCTCCAGCTGGAGCGTCCCCCTAGGAGCCCGGGGAGGGGCGGCCCGCCCGCGAACCCTCGAGCGAGGCCAGGTCGCCGTACCGCCATGAGCCCGCGCGGCTCCCTAGCCAGACCGCGGCCCCCTCGTCCAGGCCCCGGTACCTCAGCGCCCAGGCTCCGCCGCGACCGGCGACCGGCGACTCGCGACCCGCGACCCGCGACCCGCAGCTGCCACCGCGCCTGCGGATTGGCTACGAACATCAGCAGGGCCCCCCTGGGGGCGGGACTGGGGAGGCAGCCAATGAAGTCAGCGCTGGGCGGGCACTGGAGCGAGCCTGGCTGCGCGGAGAGCTCATCCCGGGACCACAGGGCCCGGGGCGGGGCTCGGGGCGGGGCTCGGGGCGGGGCTCGACAGGGTTCCACACCCCGGAAGTGGCCCTCGCCCCGCCCACCCGCCTACCAGGTCTACCCGCGCGGGCCCTGGCTTGTTTTCGCGTCTGTTCGGAGTAATAAGGCACCTCAGCTCCTCCCTCCCAAAGTGCTTGGCTTTCTGCTGAGCCGCAGCTTTCTCGCCCGTAAAGAGGCCTTTGACCCCACTTGTGGGTAATGATCTGTAGCTGTGACTCGGGGTGGATTCCAGTAGCGTGGGGTCCCCTGAGCCCTCCTGCGGGGAAGGGCTGGGCGCAGATGGGCGAGGGGTCTTTCTGCGGCGGGATCTGCGCTCCTGGGCCTTTGAGGGCCGCACCAGGGGAGGCATTGCCCCACCCCGAGAAGAAAACAGAAATCCACGAGTGTAAAACATGGATGCGGACAACAGGGACCAAGAAAACTTAAGTCGTGTTTATCAAATGTCAGGTGGCCGAGGATTTCTTAAGATGAAAAGTGGTGGAAGAATTCTCACACACTGGCCGGGCGCGGTGGCTCACGCCCGTAATCCCAGCACTTTGGGAGGCCGAGGCTGGTGGATCACGAGGTCAGGAGTTCGAGACCAGCCTGGCCAAGATGGTGAAACCCCGTCTCTACTAAAAAAATAAAAATAAAAAAAAATAAAAAAGTTAGCCGGGCATGGTGGCGGGCGCCTGTAATCCCAGCTACTCAGGAGGCTGAGACAGAGGATTGCTTGAACCCGGAGGCGGAGGTTGCAGTGAGCCGAGATCGTGCCACTGCACTCCAGCCTGGGCAACAGAGGGAGACTCCATCTCAAAAAAAAACAAAAACAAAAACCTCACACACTAAGGCACAAAGTTCAGAGCTTCTACTTAAAAAGGAAAACCAAAATTAAAAAGCAGATAACCTAGGGAAAATAAACTGAACACAACAAAGGATTAAAATCCTTCGCTGAGAGAGACTTCATATGAATAGGAAAGATGCTAAGACCTCAGCAGGTCTGAGGGAGACCTCAGAGAGACAGGAGCAGATAATTCAGCAAACAATGCAAATGGTCAACAGGTTGAAAATGTTTTTAACCCTCACTTGCAATCAGATTAAACAACAAAGCAAACATTAAAACAAGATCTCACAAACCTTTTCCCACTAATAGGATTTGACTGTGTCCACACCCAAAACTCATCTTGAATTGTAGCTCCCACAGTTTCCACCTGTTGTGGGAGGGACCTGGTGGGAGGTGATTGAATCATGGGAGCAGGTGTTTTCTGTGCTGTTCTCCAGATAGCGAATGAGTCTCACTAGATTTGATGGTTTTATAAAGGGAAGTTGCCCTGCACAAGTTCTTTTCTTCTATCTGCTGCCATGTGAGATGCACCTTTCACCTTCAGCCATTATTGTGAGGCCTCCCCAGCCAGGTGGAACTGTGAGTCCATTAAACCTCTTTCTTTTGCCCAGTCTCGGGTATGTGTTTATCAGCAGGATGAAAACGGACTAATACACCCACTTAAACTAAAAGTCAAATTGTTAATCTTCGTGGACAAAGCCCAAAATGGTCTGGACTCCAGGACTTACCCTCCCCTAACCCCCAGGGTTCTCAAGACTCTGGCCTTGGAATGAGAGTGACATCATCAGCTTCCCTGGTTCTGATGTTTTTGGACCTGCACTGAACCATATTATCTGCATCCCAGGGTCTCCAGCTTGCAGACCCACCTGTCCCGGGACTTTCAGTCTCCTTAATTGTGTGAGCCAAGTCTAATCTCCTCTCTCTCACTCACTCACTTTGTGTCTCTCTCTATAGGTAGAAATAGATATATAGATAGATAGACAGATATCTCCTATTGGTAGGTAGGTAGGTAGATAGATAGATAGATAGATAGATAGATAGATAGATAGATAGATTAGATAGCTCCTATCAGTTCTGTCTCTCTGGAGGACTTGACTCTGTATCTGTAGATAGGTAGATATCTCCTATCGGTTCTGTCTCTCTGGAGGACCTGACTCTGTATCTGTAGATAGATAGGTATCTCCTATTGGTTCTGTCTCTCTGGAGAACCTAATACAGGCTTCAAGGCTCCTTCTCTCAAGCTGCTTGCATTACTGGACTGTCTGAGCCTCAGGCCTCAAAGTAAGTCATCTTCTCAGTGAGTTCTCCCCTGTCCAGCGGGTATATGTAGGTGCTCCCTTAGTGCTCTGTGAGAACACGGTTTCTTCATAGTACTTCCTAGTTCATTTACTTGTCATTTATTGCCAGAATACTACTGTCCCCATACAACTTCCAAGGCCCAGCTGAGTGGCGGCGTCTAGAGGTGCTCATTCAATGTGGGCTCATTAGGAGAGCTGTTCTGATGACCTGACCCAGGATACGGGAAGGCAAACTAAAATTAAAAAGCATATTATCTGGGGAAAATAAATGCATCCCGACAAAGGATTAAAATCCTGAGTTGAGAGCACCAAAATCCAAATCCTAGTGTGTCTATTCCAGAGGCCTGGCTCTCAGCCACCAGCTGTACTTCGGGCCCAAGGCACCTGGCCATGGCCCGGTGGGTTTGGCAAATCCAGGAGTCAGAATTTCAAAGTGTGACTAATGGCAAGAAAAGTCACAACAGAATTTGTAAAGCTGGATTAGTATTGCTGCTTTCTGATCAGTTATGGTTGTTTCATTCATTCAGTGTGTCCAGTACAAAATAAATCCAGACTTAGGATAAAGTTTATTCCAAAAGATTATTGCAAGGTGGTGGGAGGGACTATTGCAATGGGGAGAACTTCTGACCATAAGCTCTGTAACATCTCAAGAGTTAGACAGAAAGTTCTCCTTTCACAGCGAAGTAACAAAGCTAGAAAGAGCACGGTATGGGGAAGCGGGATGAAAGGGTGGTGGGATCTGGTAGTAGATCAGAGAATGTTCTACCCTGGGGTCAGCCAAGTCTCAGGAAGAGCTTATGCTGGCTCAGGTTGTGGTGGAGTCAAGGTTTATTCAGTGGGCTAGGGGAAGAGAGAAGCCTAATCAAAGTTTGGTTAGCAAGCATTTTGTTCCAATTGATTACTGGGGTCAAGCAGTTTCACTAATTATTTATGAGATAAAAGGAATTTGGAGGGTCTGGGGCTGGCCTTGTCATAGGTAAACCAGGGTGGCATTTGTGGGTCTTACCTAAGTCATATGGAGAAGGGAGTTCTTTGTAGTAGGTGTTTTCCAGAAGACAAAGGGTGGAGGAATTTCTTAAACCCCACTGTTTTCCAGGAGCACAAGGTTTGGGTAGAGTTCAGCACTGTCAAGCTTATGTCTGTGGCACTCCTTCCGTGTGCTGGGGCACAGTGGCGGACAAAGCTATAAGGTCAACTTTGATTGGCTGTATAAGGCTGATAAGGCCTCATAGCCTTACAATTGCCAGAAGGAAGATGGAAAATCAAAGACATACACAGAAAAGGTCATTACAGATGGTGCAAGATCTTCCAAAGAAACAAGGTCATGCATGTGAGCAAAAATTATATAAACTTTGTAAAGGCAAAAGAATGGCTGTGTCCTTTCAAGGTCATATGAGGACTTGGCCGGCTGGACTGCCCAGGAATTAAGTGATTGTCAAGGCAGCAGTTCTCCAAGTGTGTTCTAGGGATCCCGGAGTCTGTGATGTCCAAACGATGTTCATAGTAATGCCAACATTATTTGCCTTTTGCATTTCACTTTCTCCTGATGTACAATAATTTAGCTAATGTTTATTGAGTCCTTACTGAGTACAACACCCGTGTGAGGTGGGAACTATTATAATCCTCAACTTACAGTTGGAAAAACTCACTAGGGGAGAAATTGCAAGTTTGCCACCTAATATCAATTCTCATCTTTTCCTTTAGAAAGAGAACCCCAACATTATTGGGGGCATCAGCATGCCAAGCCAAGACCACATATCAGCCCTCCTTGCAGTGGGTTGTACGCATGTGAATAAGTTCTAGACAATGAGGTCAAAGAAGAAAATGTGAGCGGGACTACTGAAGAAGTCCTTAAAAGGGGGAGATCTGGAAAAGCTCTGAAATGTGAGTGCCTTTTTTTTATTCTCCCTGCCTCTCTGCTGCCTGGAATAAAGATGTGATGGCCAGAGCACATGCAGTCATCTTGGACCATGAGGTGGAATCCATGTACTAAGTAAGGATGGCAGAGCAGAATGGTGGATGGGGTGTAAAAGAGAAATAAATGTCCTCATGTTTAAGATGCTGTTAGGATCTCTATCACTAGCAGCTGAATAAATTCCTAATTTATATGCTTATGCACAAAGATGAAGTTACTTGCTCAAGATGTCATAGCTAGTAAGTACAGGAGACAGGATAAAACCCCAGACTGTGGCTCCATAGCCCCAATCTTGTGAAAACTTCTGAGCAGAGCCCATTTTTGCTTTCACTGCTGACTCAGCCCCACCCAGGAAGCCTGTTCACCTGGTCAACATTTTCCCCAGAAACATCCCCAAGTTCTCTCCCCAGGCCTTGGCTTGACTGGCTGAGTTATAGTATCTCTGGCCTGAGTTTCCTGAGGCCAGATGAGAAGTGTTAAGAGTGACATGACTTGTCTACTGAAGTGTGCCAAGGTCATGTCCACCAAGGACTCCACTACTGTGGCCCCAAGAAAGCTGGGACTAAACCTGCACAAGCAGACATGCCGCCCAGGTGCCAAAGCTGTGTCACCTCATGCCTGTGCCCGACCTCCCTTGGAGCCCTAGCAAGGGTAGGGAGAGAAGAAAAGTAGCAGGTGCTCACTGAGTGGCTGGCTTTCACAAAATGTGTCAAAAATCCAGTGGGTGGAGAGCAGAGAACTGTGTTATCAAAGTCATTAGAATTTCTTAAGCTACAACTGCTCATTTTATAGAGAGGAATTTAAGACCCAGAGACGTGAGGGGACCTGCCTGAGGCTGCACAGCAGGTTAGCACGTTGGGAGATGAGGTGAGTCCAAAGCCAGCTCTGCATTCAGTGGCTGTGTGACCTTGACTGAGTCCTGTAAGCCTTCTGGACTTTGGTTTTCCACTGCCACTGTGTTGTTCCCTATGCTTGGGGTGACCATACATTCTTTCTGTCCAAAACAATCCCAGAGCATGCCTATCGTCACAGCACAATTATTAGAAACACTCCTTCCCTCCTCGTAGTGTCTGGACACACCCTACACCTCTCTGTGTGACAGTGATATGGTTTGGCTCTGTGTCCCCACCAAAATATCTTGTTGAATTGTCATTCCCAGTGTTGGGGAAGGGATCTGTTAGGAGGTGATTGGATCATGGGGGCGGATTTCCCCCATGCTCTTTTCATGATAGTGAGTGAGTTGTCATGAGATCTGGTGGTTTAAATGTGTGTGTGATGTTTTAAATATTCCCCTCACTCTCTCTCTCCTGCTGCCATATGAAGAAGGTGCTTGCTTCACCTTCTGCCATGTTTGTAAGTTTCCTGAGGCCTCCCAGTCATGCTTCCTGTTAAGCCTTCAGAACTGTGAGTCAATTATACCTCTTTTCTTCATAAATTACCCAGTCGAAGGTAGCTCTTTATAGCAGTGTAAGAACGGACTAATAGACAATTTGCCCATGGACTGTGTACCTGGCACCTGCTCCCCACGGACCCCCCAGCAGACTTTGCCAGTTCATTGCAGAGGCCCAGATGGCCGTCAGTATCCAAGACAGCCATGACCAATCAAGCAATATTGTCAGGGGAGGGGAAACTGATTTGCCATCCCTGCTCTGCAGTATCTAGTAGTCTGGATTTGGTTCCTTAAGTTGTGGGTTCTCTAATGACTCAGGAAAATCCACTGGTTATTGCCAGTGTGGAATTTGCATTTCCATGAAATAGAAAGAAGAAAACTTCCTGACTTCTGCTTGTTGTCAAGTGACTGTGAGAAGTGAAGCCCTTGGAAGAAACATGGCTATGAGTGTGAGAGCTCATAGCTCCAGAGATATTGCCAACTTCAGGAATTCATGAGAAAGTAGTAGAAAGAAGAAAACAGGAAATGTATTGCATTTGGTACGGCAAAAACAATTATTGAAAGTTTAACAGGCTTATGACAAATGGGGTAAAAATGTTTGCCATCTTTGATACATTGATATCCTTAATATATAAAAGGCATACAGATCTCAATAAAAAAGCACTTTATAGAAAAATAACCAAATGATGCAAAAATTCACTAAAGAAATACATATAGGAAAAAACTGTTAACTTTACAGATAGTCAAGTAAATGGAAATTCAAAAAACTACAAGATATTCATTGTCACCTACAGACTTGGAAAAAGTCGAACCTAAAAGGATGATAGCGAACTTGGCTGTGCACGTGGGGAAAGGAGTGTACTTACTCCTGGGCAGTCTCGTGGGAATGTAAATTTGGGATGTTTGTAGCATTATATAGTAGTAATTTTTTAAATGTTCATATTGTTTGATTCTGATCTCCTACATTTAGGAGTTTACCAAGGAAGCAATTTGGACATGTAAAAAGATTTAGCTACAGGACTGTTCTTAATGGTGAGAAATGGTGGAAAAACTAAAAATGTCCAAGAGTGGGTGATTAGGTTGAGTTCATTAAACTCATTTATTAAATGGAATCAAGTATGCTTATTTAAAATAATCTTGTAAAAATATAGTTATTGACATGGAAAGATTTTTAGGAACAAGAAATACTGTTTTAAAAATCTCTAGGTGATGGTTCATGCCTATAATCCCAGCACTTTGAGAGGCCAAGGTGGGCAGATGACAAGGTCAGGAGATTGAGACCATCCTGGCCAACGTAGTGAAACCCCATCTTTACTACAAATATAAAAATTAGCTGGGTGTGGTGGCCCGCACCTGTAATCCCAGCTACTCAGGAGGCTGAGGCAGGAGAATTGCTTGAACCTGGGAGGCAGAGGTTGCAGTGAGCCGAGATCACACCACTGCACTCCAGCAGAGTGACAGAGCGAGACTCCATCTTAAAAAAAAAAAAAAAAAATCTCTAAGTGGATTGAACCTATAATCCCAGCACTTTGAGAGGCCTAGGCAGGAGTTCGAGACCAGCCTGGGCAATATAATGAGAACTTATCTCTACCAAAAAAAAAAAAAAATTACAAAAACTAGTAAGGCATAGTGGTGTGCACCTGTAGTCCCAGCTGCTTGGGAGGTTGAGGTGAGAGGATTGCTTGAGCCCAGGAGGTTGAGGCTGCAGTGAGCTGTGATCAAGCCACTGCACTCTAGCCTGTGACGCCCTGTCTCAAAAAGAAAAAAAGAAATAAAAAAAATTTTAAATGAAAATAAAAATCTCTAGAAAAAAAGTGAGGAAGATAAATCCCACAGCATCACCTCACAGACATCCAGAGGGTTGTCAAGCTCATAATGTCTAGTCCCAGGTGACTTTCATTGCCTTATGTCTGTTCATTTGCATTGTTTAAATTGTCTCTATGGCACACGTTTACTCTTATTATAAAGAGGTGGCATACCATACCGTGGTTAAAACCACAGTTTCTGAAATCAGGCATTCAACATTCAACTTTGAATCCAGAGTCATCCTTTAGTACCTATGAGAAAATTCTGTGGTCCCTGCAAGCCCGAATTTTCTCATCTATGAAATGGGATCTGAGATGGTTGCTGCTTTGTGACAATGAAATGGGGTGATGCCTGTTGAGTGTCTGACAGGCCCCTAGCATACAGTAAGAACTCTGGGAATGTTAGCTATCATTATTATCAAGGGGAAACAATAAAAGCATAAAAGTTAATTTTTCATTAAACAAATGCATTCCTGCCTGCAATGAGCTGCACGTTCGTTTCCTCCTCAAATTCGTATGTTGAAATCCCAGCTCCCACAGTGATGATATTAAGTGGGGCCTCTGTGCTTGTGGTCTATGCTACTCAGAAGGCTGAGTCAGGAGGATCCCTGGAGCCCAGGAGTTGGAGGCTGCAGTGAGCTATGATGGCACCACTGCGCTCCAGCCTGGGTGACAGAGTAAGACCCTGTCTCAAAACAAAAAAAAAGTGGGGCCTTTGTGAGGTGATTAGGTTATAGGGGCAGACCCCTCAAGAATGGGATTAGTACCATTGTGAAAGGGACTCGAAAAAGCCCTCTAACCCTCTCTCTGCCTTGTGAGGATACAGTGAGAAGGTGGCTATCTGTTTGCACCCTGGAAGAGGGCCTAGCCGTGCTGGTACCCTGGTCTCAGACTGCCAGCCTCCAGAACTGAGAAACCAATGTCTGTTGCTTCTAAGCTACCCGGTCTATGGTACTTTGTTAGAGCAGCCTGGACTAAGGCACTGCCCCAACTTACCTGGCTGGAGGTAGTTTGCGAGGCTCTTCTGGGGCCCATATCTGCTCTGATCTGAAAACAGGTTTGTGGGGGTGAGTTTTAAGTCTGTCTACAGCTTTATTTGTGTCAGACTCAATGGTCCCCAGGGCCAGGGTGTGGGGAGGTGCCTGCAAACAGGAGGTTGATGAACTGGGCAAGCTGTCCTAGGCAGATGTCAGCTGGGGCCACCCTTCAAACCTATGTGAGACTCCACTTGGGAAGTCCAGAGCCCCACCCAAGCATCCTGGACTCCCCACGGGGCTCACCTTCCTGGGCTGACTTCCTCCTGACACCTTCCCTTCCTCAGAGCCTGGGCTGCTTGGTCACCTCCACCTTGTTGGGGAACTGAGTCTCCTTTATTGGTTTCACCAGAAAGACACAGCCACCAGACCTTTGTGTATACAGCAGGGTGTTTAGAGTTTTCATACTCACATCTTAATACCACCTCTCTTTTCCTCTCAGGAGCAAAAACTCAATTCCTAATCCTCCCCACTCCTCTACCTCCATTTTCCAATCCCCTTGGCTCTTTTTTTTTTCTTTTTTTTTGTGATGGGGTCTCACTCTGTCACCCAGGATGGAGTGTGGTGGTGCAATTTTGGCTCACTGCAACCTCTGCCTCCCGGGTTCAAGTGATTCTTGTGCCTCAGCCTCCCTAGTATCTGGGATTACAGGCACCTGCCACCATGCCCGGCTAATCTTTGTATTTTTAGTAGAGACGGGGTTTCACCATGATGACCAGGCTGGTCTCGAGCTCCTGACCTCAAGTGATCCTCCTGCCTTGGCTTCCCAAAGTGCTGGGATTACAGGTGTGAGCCACCACAACGGGCCCCCCTTGGCTCTTTCTATTGCCAACTTTTAAATTCGTCTCTGGCCTTCCTGGGCATACCTGGGAATTATGCCCAGCTCTGGAGGGCCTAACTCAACACTTCCATGGTCTCCATCTCTTCCCAGTCCCTCAGGATAGGGACAGGGGACATGCTTCTAATTACAGTGAGCCCTCTGAATCCAGGGGTCCCACATCTGTGGATCGAAAATGTAATTAGGCTGCGATGGTTGAATCTGTACTGAACACATCCAGACCTTTTTGGGGGGTCATTATTCCCTAAACAATACAGTCTAACAACTATTTACATAGCATTTACATTGTAGCAGGTATTCAAAATAATCTAGAGATGATTTAAAGTATATGGAAGGATGGGCATAGGTTATATGCAAATACTACACCATTTTATATCAGGTATTCATTTTGGTATTCGTGAGAGGCCCTAGAATCGATCTTCTGAGGCATAACTATACCCTTTGAAAAGCTGCCACTGGCTGATCGTGGTGGCTCACACCTGTAATCCCAGCACTTTGGGAGGCCGAGGTGGGCGGATCACGAGGTCAAGAGATCAAGACCATCCTGACAAACATGGTGAAACCCCCGTCTCTACTAAAAATACAAAAATTAGCCGGGCATGGTGGCATGCACCTGTAGTCCCAGCTACTCGGGAGGCTGAGGCAGGAGAATCACTTGAATCCAGGAGGCAGAGGTTGCAGTGAGCTGAGATTGCACCACTGCACTCCAGCCTGGCAACAGAGAGAGATTCTCTCTATCTCAAAAAAAAAAAAAAAAAAGAAAAGAAAAAAGAAAAAGAAAAGCTGCCACTCTTGGAGGAAATGTACAGCCTAACTGTTAAGGGCTGATATATGTCTCTCCCAAATTCATATGTGGAAGTACCAACCCCCAGTGCCTCAAAAGTGGAAGTAAGGTCTTTAAAGAGGTGATTAAATTAAAATGAGGCCTGTAAGGTGGGGACATAATCCAATCTGACTGTTGTCCTTATAAGAAGAGGAAATTTGGATCAGGCATGGTGGCTTCTGCCCATAATCCCACTGCTTTGGAAGGCCAAGGTTGGGGATCACTTGAGGCCAGGGGTTCGAGACCAACCTGGGCAGCTTAGCAAGACCCCTAACTACAAAAAAATTAAAAAAAATTTATCCAGGCATGATGGTGCACATCTGTAGTCCCAGGTATTTGGGAGGCTGAGATGGGAGGATCACTTGAGCCCAGGAGTTCCAGGCTGCAGGGACCTATGATCACACCACTGCCCTCCAGCCTGGGTGAAAGACTGAGACCCCATCCCTAAAAAAATTTTAAGTAAAAGAGAACATTTTGCCATGCAGTGAGACAGCAGGCATGTGAGCACATAGAGGGAAGGCTCTGTGAGGACACAGGAAGAAGGCAGCCACCTGCAAGCCAGAGAGAGAGGCCTCACCAGAAACCAACCCTGCTGACATGATCTTAGACTTCCAGCTGCCAGAACTGTGAGAAACTAAATTTCTGTTGTTTAAGACGCTCAATCCATGGTATTTGTTATGGCAGCCCAAGCAGACTAATAACACTGCCCAAGACTCTGTTGCTGGTGGAGTCAGAATTCGGAAAAATCCAACCCACTGATGGCAGCACAAAAATGCCACCCAGATGCCGAAAGGCGTCCCCTCCACCTCTCCCAGATGCGCCCCTGCTGGCCAGGATGGCAGATGTGACAGAGAGAAGGCTGTGTGCCAATGTCCTTCATGATCTCTCTCTGTAACACACACACACACACACACACACTACTTGCGTGAGATGGGCACGGAGGTCCCTGACCTATCTCCTTCAGACTTTACCAGCCTTGCCACAGTTGCTGTGCCATCTACTTTCAGGACAGTCTGGCTGGCTTTGTCAGGACTTTTCAGACGTGGTGACAAACACTGAAATCACGGGGCAGTGCTCAGTTCAGACTGTCCTACCAGTGCTAGTGAGAAGGTCTCTGTGCCTGGGTCTTCCTGAAGAGTGGCCTCTTGGGAACCGGCCCAGGGACCTTCCATATCACCTGCACATGGCTCAGGGGTCCTGGGTTTATTTTTAGGGTTTATACTTAAGGGCTCCCGTCTTTGAAATTGGAAATCATCTCCCCAGTTTGTGTGAATACAAATAGTGTAATTCCTAAATCACTCCATCGACATTCACTTTTTTTTTGTGGCTTTATTGAGATACATTTCACATACCATAAAATTCACTGTTCACATTCCCTTAGGAAAATTTTCTTCAGATTCACTTTTGAGCGAACTACACGTAGTGATTAATAATGGGGGCGAGGGGACACCATCCTAGTCTCTGGGCCAGGTGAGTTGGAGACCGGAACAGAGGGAAGCCACCGGGCCCTGTGCATCCAAATCTTGTCCCACAGGAGGGAAGTGGCAGGACATTGATGAATGAGTTTTCGGCTGTAGTCGTGTTAAGGGAAACACTTGGAACACGGATATTTTCTAGGCTTCGTTTAGATTTGATGTGTCCAGTCGATGCAGCTTTTGTCTCCTCCATGTGTGAATGCCTCAGTGGCACTGAGCAGCTAGCTTTGGGGTCGGAAAGCTAGGGTTTCCACTGGAATTCAGGGCAGGGAAAGCAACACCCCTTCCCCTCTCCCTTGGCAATGCTTACGACTGAGGGGGATGTCCTCAACGTAGTCAACGCTTTCATATTTTAAAATGAGAAATAAGGGACACACTTCCCGATTTCTTGAGCCATCTTAAGGACAAGTGCCCATGTTGGGGTTTGCCGTATGATTTAGCTGCTCCCAGCCAAGATACTTAGAGGTTTCGTCTCCATCTTTCCTTGTTGCAAGGCATCATCACTGTATGATCAGAACCTGAGCCAGAACAGATTAGATCCTAATGCATGCTGGGGAGCGGCCCATATACTGTCGGAGGGAGGTCCAACATCTCAGATTACTGACTCACATGAAAGCAGAAAGAGTGGAGAACTAGCCTTGGCTAGTTTTTAAAAGAGAGTATCTATACTGAAAAGAGAAGGAAGGGAGGGTGCGGCTAAGGGCCATTCTAAGGAAAAGACATGAAGATACTGACATCTGGGATTCCCTAATGATTGGCCCAGCCAGGTCACTTTAGAGCAGTGGTTCCTAACGGGGATGATTTTGCTCACAAAGGGACATTTGGGGATGTCTGAAGACACAGACTGGAGAGTGTGTGTGTGCAGTGTGTGTATGTGTGTGTTTGCGTGTGTGTGTGTGTAGTGTGTGTTTGTGTGTGTGTGTGTAGTGTGTGTAGTGTATGTGTGTTTGCATGTGTGTGTGTGTGTGTGTGTGTGTGCATGTGCTGCTGCTATCTGTGGATGCTGCTAAACATCCTACATTGCACAGGAATATCCCCATTCCCACCCCAAAAAACAATTGTCCACGCCACAATGTCAACAGAGCTAAGGCTGAGAAACCTGCCCTTCAGTGAACTTCAGCGTCTATAAGCCTGCCATGCACTTGACTATCCGAGCAGGCTTTTAATCATTTACCCTTGAACATGAGCAGACAATGATCAATTAGCAGACAATTGAAGAAAGCCCCTAACACGAATGATAGTGATCAGAACACACAGAAAAAAGGTAACTTGAGTGAAATAGATTATACAGGGAGAATAAAACGTGAGAGATAGATAGAGACAGAAAAAACAAACCTAAATACGTGAAATAAGAACAAGATGCTATTTAAAAAGTAGCAAAAAGTGGCTGGGGGCTGGGTGTGGTGGCTCACACCTGTAATCTCAGCACTTTGGGAGGCCAAGATGGGAGGATTGCTTGAAGCGAGGAGTTTGAGATCAGCCTGGTCAACCAGCCTGGTCTTTTCAAGATGCCATCTCAAGAAAAAAAGTAGCAAAAAAATAAGCAGACAAATAAGAACTTTTAAAAATGAAAAATATGATAGTAGAAATAACAAACACTAAACAGCTTAGAATATAAAGTTGAGAAAAATCTTCCAAAAAGTAAGGCAAAAAATCAGAGTGAAGACAGAAGAGAAGGTATGAGAAAATTAGGGGACCAGCCTAAGAAAATAGTAGGAGTTTTACAAAAAGAGGACAGGGAAAATGCAGGAGGAGAAATCATTGATAAGTATTTCAAGAGGCCGGGTGCAGTGGCTCATTCCTGTAATCTCAGTACTTTGGGAGGTGGGTGGATCACGAGGTCAGGAGTTCGAGACCAGGCTGACCAACATGGTGAAATCCCGGCTCTACTAAAAATACAAAAAAAATTAGCCAGGCGTGGTGGCGCATGCCTGTAATCCCAGCTACTCAGGAGGCTGAGGCAGGAGAATTGCTTGAATCCAGGAGGCGGAGGTTGCAGTGAGCCGAGATCGCGCCACTGCACTGCAGCCTGGGCGACAAAGCAAGACTCCATCTCAAAAAAAAAAAAAAAAAAAAAGTCAAGAAAATCCCCACAACAAGAACATGAGTATTCATTCTGAAGGGGTGAAGTAGACCCACACGCAGGCATATCATGGGGAAATTTTCAAGTACTGGTGACAAAGAGACTATTTCATAAGCTTCAGGAGAGCAATTAAAAAACCAGGCCACATTCAAATAATTGGAAATAAGAATGACTTCAGATTTCTCATGATCACACCAGAAGCCAGAAGACAATTGTCCCAGAAGACAATTGGGACATTGCCTTCGAACTTCAGAAAATTGGTTTTCAATCTGGAATTTTTATATCCAGACACACTGTCAATGAAATGAGAAGATGGAATAAAGGCATTTTTAGATATGCAGAATCCCCTAGAATTTGCCTTCCATATGCCTTTTCTTAGGATGCTACTGAAGGACGTGCTTCTTCAAAACAAAGGAATACAGCAAAAGGCATCCAGGACACAGAGTCCCACACAGGAAAAACAGTGGTGGTGAAGGGCGTGCACGAGGTGTGGGGGCACCCTGTCCAGACTGAGGCAAGTCAGGTAAAGTGTGTCTGAATATATTCAGATAGATTGACGGAGAGTTTAGAATTCAATTAGTTTGTTTATTTTATTTTATTTTATTTTATTTTATTTTATTTTATTTTATTTTTGAGACAGAGTCTCGCTCTGTCACCCAGGCTGGAGTGCGGTGGTGCGATCTCGGCTCACTGCAAGCTCCGCCTTCCGGGTTCACGCCATTCTCCTGCCTCAGCCTCCCGAGTAGCTGGGACTACAGGTGCCTGCCACCACGCCTGGCTAATTATTTGTATTTTTAGTGGAGACGGGGTTTCACCATGTTAGCCAGGATGGTCTTGATCTCCTGACCTCGTGATCTGCCCACCTCGGCCTCCCAAAGTGCTGGGATTACAGGTGTGAGCCACCGCGCCCGGCCAAGTAGCTCAATTATTGACAAAAACTGAAAACTACAAGTTTTTAGAAATCCAACAATTATGACTCCAGGAAAAGTAAAACGTAGTGTAGAATCTAAACTTAAGAGTGTTATACTACATGACTTGGTTGTAAAGAGTGCGCTGACCTAACCCAGTCTGAACACTACTTGAGGAGTGGGAAGGAGGGGTGTCTATGGTGTGGTGGGGTATGCAAGACCCTGCATTGCACACCTGGTACCCCAACTGCCTTATGTGGCAGCCAGTGGGCATGATATTTTATGAATTAAATTGTGTCCTCCTCGGAAAAGATACGTTGGAGTCCTAACCCCCAATACCTTAGACGTGACCTAATTTGGAGATAAGGTCTTTGTAGAGGTAACCACGTTGAGATCACTAGAGCAGGCCCTGACTCAGTGTGGCTGGTGTCCTTATAAGATCTGGACACAAAGACAGATACACAGGGAAGATGACAGAGAAGACGGCCATCTACAAGCCAAGGAGAGGGGCTGGAACAGATCTTTCTCTCACAGCCTTAGAAAGAACCAGTCCTGCCACCACCTTCATCTTGAACGTCCAGTATCCAGAACAGTGGGACAATACATTTCTGTTTAACCTGTCCAGTTTATGGTACTTTGTTATGGCAGCCCCAGAAAATTAATGCATGACTTGAGGGGGCAAAACCGAGCAGTTTTGTGTGTATGTACGTGTGTGTTTGTGTGTATGTGTGTGTGTAGGTGTGTGTGTGCACGCATGCGCTGCTGGTATCTGTGGATGCTGCTAAGCATCCCGCATTGCACAGGACCATGCCCATTCCTGCTAAACTGCTCACCTGCTAAACTGAGAAATCCGCAGGTGGTATCTGACGCTAGAAAATCAAGAGGAGCAGCAGAGGCAGTGACTGAGAGATAGAAAGGAAAATACGGAATAATTCGGATGAAAGAGTTGAATGGATTTTCCCCTAGGGGGAGGGAAATGGGACGACAGATGATTGCTATTGTTTTTAAAAAGCCTTATAGAATGTTTTAACTCCAAAACAGATGCTTGTATGCCTTTGATAAAAATGGAAATTTAAAAAAATTAAGGGAAGGATAGTAGGGAGGTGGGAGGAAGGGAGATGTGCTTTTTACAGCTGGTGCTTCCTGACTAGTAACTAGGGGGAAATGCTTGGGCTGAAGTGTACCCTTCTGAATGCTGAGCTCCTTAACAGAACCCAGGAGGGAGAAGCCTGGGAAAGCGTCAGGCCCCGGCCCAGGAGGACACTTCATTCTCGCAGGTCATAAAGGTTTCAAATGTTCAACCCCAGAACTGATATTGTCATGAAGGAATGAAGCCAAAGAGGTAGGTTTCTATTAGGGCAATCTGACCCAGCAAAGGGGGCTTGATGGAGGTTTCTGGTGCTAAGACAGAGGGAACTGTTTAACATCCCCTCCCCGGTAGCCCGCACCCTGGCACACTCTAAGTTGATGAACTTGGTCCCACCCACGGGCACACGGCCATGACTGTCTGGACAGAGGACAGTGCTTTCATTTGGGTGGTTCACTTCCAGGAAGTGTTTGTATTTGATCTCATGATAACCTAGAGAGGCCGGCTAGATGAGTTTTCTTCTCATTTTCAGACAAGGGAAGCAGGAGACAATGATGTCATAGAATAAACTTTGGGATGACACAGGTTGGGGTTCTTGGCTGCTGCCTACTTCCTTTGTGGCCTTGGCAAGTTGCTTAGCCTCTCTGAGCCTCAGTGTTCTCTGTTCCTCTTCTATGTCAAGTGATTCCCACTTCATAGACTGGTGGCCGGGATTACCTAAGACAAAGTATGTAAAGCCTGAAATCCAGTACGTCATAAGCACCAGTGGGTGTTCTCACTCCTCTTCTAGCAATAAGATGCTTATTTTATATGCAAAATAATGTATCTGTTGTCCTGACTCAGAGCATGATACCCCTAGGTGAAGTATGGCATCTTGACAAGCTAGGTACTTCGAACTGAAGGACATTGGAAGGGCCTCAGAAGTGAGACCTCCCTGACCTCCTTCTACCCTCCCATCTCTCCCAAAGCAGGTCGTAGAAACCAGAATTCCTCTTCCCCAAGGTGGGTCATAGAAACTGGAATCCTTCTCCCCCAAAGCAAGCCACAGAACCTAGAAAGGTCACTCTCTCCCTTCTCCCGTGAAGACCCTCATTCCAGAGGGGTCCTGGAATATATATCTGGGAGGACGCAATGCTACCCAGAGAGGCCAAGATGAATCTGGACAGACAGGCCTTGCAGGGTTCCCCCTTCAGCCTGTCACCATTAGATCACACTCTGTCCATTCTTCATCGAATCCAAGCATATAGACAGTTCTCCCTGGGTTTTGGGGTTGTGAAAGGAAAATAAAATCTCAGGACCCCAGTTCACTATGTCAAAGGGAAAAATGAAGCTGGAAGCTGAGTCAGGCAAGAAGCTGCCTTTCCTTTTGTTGCCCAGCAGACAGCGAAAGATGAAAAGGCCAGGCAGAGGCCAGCCATCTCCACAGGTGGCTGCCGTGTTTATCTTGTGTAAAGTGCCGACTTGCCGAGCGTTTGATGAATATATAATCAACTATGCCTATATCCCCTCCTCTTCACATGTAACATGTGGATTCAGTGACGTGACCGCACCCTCCCTCCTTCCCCTCCAACATGTGGATTCAGTGACGTGACCGCACCCTCCCTCCTTCCCCTCCAACATGTGGATTCAGTGACGTGACCGCACCCTCCCTCCTTCCCCTCCAACATGTGGATTCAGTGATGTGACCGAACCCTCCCTCCTTCCCCTCCTGCCTGCTTTTCCCATTTAAATACGGAAGCCCTCAAAATTCTCTTGGGGAAAAGTAGGGATCGCAGATTTTTTCCTGCGGTTTTGTGTTTCTTTTTCCCTGGTGCGTCCTTAACCTTCGCTAAATAAACCTCTAAATTGCTTGAGGCCTGTTTCAGAGACCTTTTGGTTTATAGACTCATTGCTGAGGCCTCCTGTATTACATAACACTATGAGTAAATACATTTGATAGGCATTTCTCTTGTTAACCTCTCTTTTGTTAGGAGTGCCAGCCATGACCATTGTGATGGTATCACATCTTTCTTCCCCTACACTGTGCTCCATTTCTTTTTACATTTTAATTTGAAAAACTATTTTATAATTTCTAAAAATAATAGAGATGGAGTCTTACTATATTGCCCAGGCTGGTCTTGAATTCCTGGGCTCAAGTGATCTTCCTGCCTTGGCCTCCCAAAGTGCTGGGATTATAGGTGTGAGCCACTGCACCCGACCCATTTCTTTTCTTTCTTTTTTTTCTTTTGATACAGAGTCTTGCTCTGTCGCCCAGGCTGGAGTGCAGTGGTGCAATCTCAGCTCACTGCAACCTCTGCTTCCCAGGTTCAAGCAATTCTCCTGCCTCAGTCTTCCCAGTAGCTGCGACTACAGGTGTGTGCCACTATGCCTGGCTAATTTTTGTATTTTTAGTAGAGGTCAGGTTTCACCATGTTAGCCAGGTTGGTCTTGAATTCCTGACCTCATGATCTGTCCGCCTCGGCCTCCCAAAGTGCTGGGATTACAGGCGTGAGCCACTGCACCCAGCCCATTTCTTATTTTTAAAATGTCTTCTAAGTTGCTTATCACTTTAAATAGCTTATCTAGGCTCTGGGATACAGCAGCCATTAAGACAGGCACAAAACACTTCTGCAGCTCATATTCCGGTATAGAGAAGACAGGGTTAAAAACTATTAGGTTGGTGCAAAAGTAGTTGAGGTTTTTGTAATTAAAAGTAATGGCAAAAACCACAACTACTTTTGCACCAAACTAAATAAGTAAGCAAAACAGTTGACATGGTAAAGTGATTCAGAATAATCCAATAGGGAGATAAGCAGATTTCTAAGGAGTGGGGTGATCGCTATTTATTATAAAATAGGAGAGTGAGGAAAGGATTTGTTCAGGCGACACTGGAATAAAAGGAAGTAAATATATGATGTCAATGGCAACGAATGCTATGCAGGAAGATAAAGCTGGTGGAGGGAGGAAGACTGCTGTATTCTAGAAGTCTGGGGAGAGATGGCATCTTACTATATTGCCCAGGCTGGTCTTGAACTCTTGGGCTCAAGCCATCCTCCTGCCTTGGCCTCCCAAAGTGTCAGGATTACAGGCGTGAGTGATAAGTGGCATTTGAATAAAGTGTTAGGATTACAGGCGTTACCAATGAGTGACATTTGAACAAAGATGGTGGGAATTAGTGGAGTGAGGCACATAGATTTCTTGTGGAAGGAAGTCCCGGCAGAGGAAGAAGGGGCTGAGGCTGTGAGCAAGTGCCTGGCCTGCAGAATGGCAGGGCCAGGGAGGTGCTGTCGTGGGGTCAGATGGCCAGCAGTGGGAGGTTGCGTGTGTACATATGTATGTGACAGACACAGGCACACCAGGACCTTTTGGGTTTTTCTGTCTTGCTTTTCTCACCCAACAGCTCTGCATGTCAATTCCTCTGTCTCATTCATGTTACAGCCACCTAATTGTAGTGGATGCTGGGGTGTGCCACACAGATCACCCCCTTAGAGAAGGAACTTGTTCCCCCAGTGCCAAGAGGGGCTCGACACACCCCAGTCCTTCCCTTGGGATTTCCCTCGGCCCAGGAAGCTGCCTTGCCTGTGGTGACTGTCCCGCCTGAGGACAGCCTGGATTCAATGCCTGCTCAGTACAGGGCTACATAGACACAAAGGGGCTCCTTTTGCCTCAGTTAGGGACACTTGAAGGCCATTCCAGCTCCAACTCTGCCTGGGGCTGAGCCTTTGATGCAAATGTCTAAACCTGCCTCCCTTATCCCAAGAGCATTCCCCTGTAAATGTCTTGCCAGAAGTCTCTATCTGAAGCCTGTCACCAGGAACCTGCCCTAGGGCAGTGGGTGCCAGGGGGTGTCTCAGGAAGCTGAGTCCAAAGTAAGAGTTTGGAGCTGGATGCGCTGCTGCCCAGCAATGCAAAGCCACTTCCTGGCAGGAGGTGGAACACCTGTCACCTCTGTGGTGCCCCTGGGATGCAATGGGCAACTCTCATGGGTCTTGGCTCTGGCTGTCATAACAAAACACTAGAGACCTGTGGCTTAAACAACAGATCTTTATTTCTGACAGTTCCAAAGCCTGAGAGTCCAAGATCAAGGTGCTGGATGATCTGGTGTCTAGTGAAAGCAAGCTTCCTAGTGAAGGCTTGCAGATGGCTGCCTTCCTGCTGTGTCCTCACCTTATGGAGAGAAACCATCTCTTTTGTGTCTTTTCTGATAAGGACGCTAATCCCAGCATGAGGCTCCACCCTCGTGACCTAATCACCTCCCAAAGGCCCCACCGCCTAACACCATCCCACTGGGCGTTAGGCTTCAACATATGCACTTAGAGAGGACACAGACATTCTGTCCATAGCAGGTGGGGTATTGGTGGAAAGAAATTCAGCAGCTGGTGCAGTATTTCAGGATCTGGGGAGCTGCAGATAAACTCGTAATTATAAGGATCGTAGAATCAAATGGCTATTTCAGAGGGCAAATGATGCATTAAAAAAGACAAAAGGTGAGGGTGATTACTCAGCTATAGAAGGCTCAGTGTGGAAGCCCGAGGGCCTCCTTGACAGCGCAGGCAGAGAATCTCATTTCACGCAGCTGATGGGAAGAAAAAATGGAGAATCAGGCCCTAGACTTAGTTACAGGAGAAGCAGAGCTGCCGAGAAGGTTGAATGCTCTTGGTCAACCTTAGTAAGCTTCCACCCTGAGTCATGGGGTGGGGAGAACTGGGTTGATACACCTGGAAACCCTAAAACCTCAGAACCTCCTGAGCCTCTGGGCCTGCAGTGGGCTAGCACTGACCCCTTGCTTGAAGACAATTGCAGATGCTTCTGCCTTGTGATTCTGTATGCACCTCCCTCACTCCTGGGGATCTGCCTCCTTCTCCTTGGACCACCTGACTAGTAACTAGGGTCCAGACTCAACATACCTCAGCTGGGGGAGTGTGAAGCCAATTAATTGACCCTCACAGAGAGGAGGTGGACGCTGCTGGTAAACCGTGGGGCAGGGAACAATGCCTTTGGTCCCCAGGTTATCCACAGAGGTGTCATTTGCCACTTCCCTAGCAGAGGCAGGCCTGGGCAGGGCATGATGACCAGGGGCTCAGACCCCTTTGCCATCTGCCTAGTGGAGGAGTTATTGAGGCCAAGGGGGAAACCAGAATGGGCTATAGAGGAGGAAAACCATATGCATCCACTGGGGCCTCGTGACCAGTGGCAGCTGTGGGGATTGGAGTTTGTCCCACTGGACTTCCCCTGTGAGTTTCTCCAGGACCGGAGACCAACCAGAATCTTAAAGGAGCTGTTCTCAGATCAGGCAAACTGGCCACAGGAATCACGTGGACCCTATTAACGTGATGGGTGGACAGTAGTGGAAGCTGCAGTGCCCTACACAGATCCCCCCAGCTCTAGGATTGCTGGTCACTGTGGCTCATAGCTGAGTCTCTCTTTGGGAATCACTGCCTGCTGCAGGGGCCACTTCACTCAAGGTTAAGACTCATCCTGGGGGCATCCACAGCCAATGACTGGCTAATGTATACATCCCAATGCCTGGCTCTTGAGCTCCACTCAGGACCACTCTGAAAGCCTGCTCAGCTCCAGTTCTCCATGGGTTGGTAACGCCTGTCTCAGAGGAGTGATGCCCAAAGCAGTTCCCAATAACCTCACTAGTCTCAATCTTAGAGTCTGTTTCTAGTGGAATTGAACCAGAGATGCTATTATTCAGGGTATGAATGAAACATAATTCATCCAACCATTTCCCCATCAGCAGCATTCACTTTGTTTCCTATTTTTTCCAATGTAAACATTGCTATAGTTAGCATCCATGCAGATATAGCCTGCTGTATTAGCCCATTCTCGCATTGCTGTAACGAAATACCTGAGACTGGGTAATTTATAAAAAGAGGTTTAATTGGCTCATGGTCCTGCAGGCTGTACAGGAAGCGTAGTGGCTTCTGCTTTGGGGGAGGCTTGGGAAGCTTCCAAACATGGCGGAAGGCAAAGAGGGAGCAGGCGTCTTGCATGGCAGGGACAGGACCAAGAGTCGGGGTAGGGGGAGGTGCCAAATTTTTACTGACCACATCTCATGAGAACTCATTCACTATCAGGAGGCCAGTACCAAGGAGATGGTGCTATAGACATGTAGTATTTTAAACAAGAGAAGCTTTATTATGAAGAATTATTGGCCGGGCGCAGTGGCTCATGCCTGTAGTCCCAGCACTTTGGGAGTCGGAAGCAGGTGGATCACCTGAGGTCAGGGGTTCGAAATCATCCCGGCCAACATGGTGAAACCCCATCTCTACTAAAAATACAAAATTAGCCGGGCATGGTGGCACATGTCTGTAATCCCAGCTGCTTGGGAGGCTGAGGCAGGAGAATCACTTGAACCTGGGAGGTGGAGGTTGCACTGAGCCGAAAGCATGCCATTGCACTCCAGCCTGGGCAACAAAAGCAAAACTCTGTCTCGAAAAAAAAAAATTATTAAGCAATGAGAAGAACATAACTACAAGGTACAATGGAAAGCTAAAAGGTATCTTAGGCCTGAGGAAGAGTGATTTAGGAAAGACAAACTTGGATACCTCCCCAGGGCTTGGGTTCAGGCCTTGGAGGTTGGAGAAGGTGCGATTGCTGTTCACTGGATGACACAGAAGGTCGTTGGTTTGCCCAGACCAGATGTGATGCACATTCACTAGGCCAGCAAGAAGTCCCTCTTCAGGGGGCAGTTGGACTGCAACTGGGCAGGTGTACAGAAGGCATTGGTGTGCTGCTGATGACAACTGGAATATGCATGTCCACATTGGGAGGGCTCTAGGAAGGGGGTTGCTAGGCTGGACTGGGATGGCAAGGTTGCCGAGGGCGCACACATTTTAGCCACATGGTAGGAACTATCACCAGTTGTCTTCACACATGCTCTGCTGACCAAGGGTGCAGCCTCCGGAACCAGCAGAAGCCCTCTTCCTCCTGCAATGTCACTCTATCGCCCTCTACCGATAAATTTTAACAATGTAGTCACTGTTCCGGAGAAATGCTTAAAGGAATCCCATTCATTAGCACAGAGCAAATATTGAAGAATGAATTTAAAGCTGAGAGGCAAGAAATTGATAAATATAACAGAATCTAGGAAATCATATTGGAAAAAGATTGTATAATTGAAAGTCATCTGCCTTCTTGTCCCTGGAGTAGTACAATGAGGCAGTAAATGTTCAGCACTACTGTTTAAATTTTAATTCTGTCATAACTGGACTGCTAATAGCTAACAGTTTAGTGCCAGTTACCTTTAAAAATGGTTTATAGGCATGAACCTATCAAATGCTCACTATAAGCTTTTGAGTTAAATACCGTTATTATGCACACCTGAGGAAACTGACACATACATTTTATTTACCATAAATTCCCATCAGACCAATAGCAACAATCTTTAAAACCACCTGCTAGTGAAGGTTTGAGGGAGAGATAGTGGTCTACCTGGATTAATGTCATGATAGTTTTGATAAAATTCAACCTCTGTACACTTATAAAAAATCTCAAAACTTAAGCATTGGTCCAGGGAGCAGTTATTGGTAAAGTTAAATTCATCACATCAAAGCCAATTAATTTTTTATTTTTTATTTTGAAAAATGAAAAGTAACTTGAGAGATTATTTGTACTTTATCGTCTCAAAGAAGTCGATATCTAAAAATCTAATCTTTCTGTGATAGTTATAATAGGGAAGTACCATTTTGTTTTTTGTTCGTTTTGGGAAGAGCTACGGGAACAGAGAACTGCAATCCCCATAGTAGAATGGTTGAGTTTTTGTTGGTATTTTGCTAACAGATATTTCTTGCTTTCAGTTCTATACAGAATAATAAATCATGAAGCTAGACTTTTTGTGTCATATGGTGAGGTAATACATTGAGGAAGAACACCTTGGGAAAAAAGGTTAATGTAAAAAAGAATTCTTTTTTCATTGTCTTTTATTCCTAAAGGATTATTAGAGCTTCATTCTTAGCATTGATCAGGGTATAAAGAAACCCTAATGTCATTTTATTTTCAAAAAGAAACCCCTCTTTTTGCCTAATGAGCCCAACCATATCTAACAGAAATGCTTCTGTGACATCAGTGGGCCTTCCTTGTCAAGAGGCCAGGGTCACCACAGCAGTGTCCATCTTCCTTGCCGAAAATGGAACAAAGAACGCGAGAAAGAATGATGGTATTCAGCTGATGGAGAAAGGCCAAAATGTCCCAACAAAGGTGATACCATTAAAAAACGGACAACAATGCTTGAACACTCAGAAAACTTCCTGACAAAGAAGGTCCTTTGGGAAAATTGTCTCTTTTTAGCATAGTATTTTTGCTATGAAAATGAAGAGATGACAGCTCTATTATTTAATCAACTTGGCCCAGATATTTAATTCTGAAGAAAAATCAATATTATACAAAAACAAATGTATTTTCAAATATGCACATGCTTATTTTCAAATATCTCAATCAAAAAAATAAAAGTTTATCAATAATCTTATTTAACCTAGATGAAGTAGATTTATAGCCTGAGAAGATTTCACATGGCTTATTAAGAGCTTACTTTTTTTTCTTTTTTCTTTTTTTTTCTTTTCCAGACAGGGGTTCACTCTGTTGTCCAGGCTGGAGCGCAGAGTTGGGATCATGGCTCACTGCAGCCTTGACCTCCTGGGCTCAGGTGATCCTTCCACCTCAGCCTCCTGAGTAGCTGGGACCACAGGCACCACCAAACTCATTTAATTTTTCTAGTTTTTGTAGAGATGGGACCTCGTCATGTTGCCCAGGCTGGTCTTGAACTCCTGGTCTCAAGCAATCCACTCACCTTGGCCTCCCAAAGTGCTGGCAAGCTCACATTTTTGTAATAATAAAAGTAATTCTGATAAAGATGCCTTGAAATAATGGATGTTCCAAAATGAATTTGCCTTATTTGGATTTGGAATGCAGTTTCATATTTATATTTTAAATTTGGATTCATCTGGTTACTGGAATTAAATATACAATTAAAAGGATCACAAAGCGCACTGATACCAGAAAGGCACTTTAATAACACCAGGGTGCATGGCCTGCCTCCTCCTTTCACTTACTGCTTGTGTCATCCTGTTCAAGTCATTTAACCCCAAGTGGTAAGCCTCAATTTGCTCTCTTATGAAATGCACGAAGTCGCTGTCTCTCTATACTTCAGGATTACCGTGAGAATAGAACCGGAACCATGTATGTGGCAGCAGTTTATGAACTGTGAGATATTAGTCTAATCATTCTCAGAGTCCTCGCCTCGGCTGTTTGTATGCCCCTCCCAAGTTTTCAGGAATGGACAAAACTAGCCCCCTCTCAAATCATGTGTGCAACAACCGATTGCATATTTCCCCAAGGGAACATTTAGCGCTGGGGATGTCTCCGAAACTATGTTAGACATGAGAGTCAACAGAGATGGCAGTAAGTCTTGGTGAGAAGGGCCTGGAACTTAGAATCAAAAGAAGGAGGAGAGAAACATGGAGCAGTCACTCACCAGCTACGTGGCTTTGGGCAATTTGCTTATTGCGCAGAGCGTCGGTTTCCATATTGGTAAAATTAAGATGATATTTGAACTCAGCACTTCATGTGGCTGTCGTGAGGATCCACTCTAGCAATGCAGGTAAAGGTGCCATCACATAGATATCAATTATAAAAATAATATTAACAGGCATAATTGTAGTTAAATTTCAATTCAGACATACTTTCTTTTGAATGTCTGGTAGGTCTGCTGTGTTGGTTGTATGTGGGTTTTCCTCCATATCCACTTTTTTGGACTTAATCTCACCATTTTTTACATGTAAACATATCACAATATTAATAACATTAATTAATTGAAGGTTAATTATATAAACTAAGTGAAATAAATCTTTAACCAGAAATAAGAAAATTTATTTGTATTTGAGTTACAGAACAATATCTGCTAAAAGGTTTAAATTAAATAATCTTTACTTATATGTTACTAAAATGTTTTGGAGGAAGCAAACTAAATTCTGCATGGCCAGGGAAATTATTTAAAAACCCTTTTAGTAAACTGAAAATAAAAAATTATCTCAAATCATAATTGACTTGATCAGAATAATTTTTTAAATGTTAATCTAAATTTTTTAAAATGTTAATCACAGATCATGACCTGTGATGAATTTTTTCTTTTCAGTTTGGGAACTAATATCTTCAAATTGTACTTGAATTGACTTAGAAATTATAGAAAATGCACTGATATTAACTCTTGGGATTTCAAACATATTTTTAGGATTTTCATTTTTCCTTGCAATTTTACAGCTGACTCTGATTTTGCTCTTCTTTTATGATTTTCAAGTATTACCTACAGCAAGCATGTAAAAACATTGTCTTTCTTTAAGCACATATGGTGAAAATCATTCAAGCAGATGGCTGTATACAGTCATTAGTAATAGAGGATTGAGTGTCAGCTCAGTTACTGCTGAAATGGAGTCCAGTTTAATAGCTCAAATGAGGACAAGAATTAAATTGGAAATTGCAGACTGAAATATTCTGCATTTGATCATAAAGTGATTATAGGAAGGAAAGAACACAGTGTAACTGTCTATATTTTAAAAGGAGCCAGGCTCCTGATAGTTCTGTGCTATATCAGTTCATAATCAAAGTAAGCAATATAAATCCATTTTTAAAACACTAATGTGTCTTAGATTTTTTTTAAGGAAAAGGCCAATTTCTTGCAGGTGTACAGTGGCATTAAAATTCTATTTCCTGACGTTTATAATCCTGGTGCACTGGACTTGCAAAACAGAGTTTAGTTTTGCTTTGTTAGGGGAGAGGGTAATATTGTCTCTGTCCTGGTCCCTGTTCATTCTAGCCAGGTGTTCGGGTGTGTTTGATGACATCCTCTGCTGTTCCCAAGACCCACATTTAGTGGCTGCAATTTTATTTCTCACCATCAAGACTTCTAAGATGAGGCAAAGGTTGGGTTGCTCATGAGCTCCTCTTTGAATAACCATATTAGGTTCTAGCTGTGTAACTAGTACAGTTAGATCCTGGCGTGCCGTTAGAATAATGTAACATAGAACACAAGGGCTTATTTGGTGGAATAAAATATGGTGGAACACAGTGATTAGAGCAAGTCACTTCGCCTCTTGAAGCCTCAATTTCCTCCTTTGCAAAGGAGTTAACAGTAGCACCTACAGGAGGACACTGTGAGCATTCATTGAAACAATGCGTATGAGACGTGTAGTATAGAATATGCCTGACCTAGAGGGAGAGCAGAGACAGTACATACCTTCCTGGTCCCACCACTTGCTTGCTGCTGGATGTTGGGCAAATAACCTCTCTCTGCCTTGATTTTCCTAGTTCTAAAGTGGGATTAATAGTAACATTGTGTTCACTGATTTCCTACGAGGACGAAATGAACTAATGTTTATAAAGCACTTAGTACAGGGCCAGCCCTTAGTGATATTATCATGAACGCACAGTCGTAAGCACACAAATGCATGTTATCATCAGTATCATCATATATTTATTCAAAACAAATGAAGTGTTGTCAGTAAAATAAAAATTGTTGTATTAAGACATTGTGAAACTTAGAGACCTAAATGGGAATGTTACAACAAACTAAATATTCTGTTGGTACAAATATATTTTAAACAAACCAAGCTGGAAATATCCTTGTCATAAATTGACACTGGACAAAAAAAAAAGTATTCTGCCATGCTGAGCAATACTAAATCTAATTGTCTTTTTTACTTATAGTTTTAAATTTGTTTTTTTTTTCTTTTAGTTTTGTGCAAAGAATATTCCATTTTCAGTTCAGTACGGTGAACTGTCAAGCAGGCATACTTAGAATTTTCTCATGGTATTTTGAAATTAGTTTGAACAGATTGGTTAACACATTGTTTTTTCCAATTTCAATTTTAATAGGCAAAATATTATTTGCATTGGTAATAAATATTAGTCGTAACTTGAACATTTATTTCTTCTTTTTTAGAGATGGAGTCTCACTACATGGCTCAGGCTGGTCTCAAACTTCTGGCCTCGTGCGATTCTCCTGCCTCAGCCTTTCAGAGTGCTGGGATATGAGCGTGAGCCACTGTGCTCAGCCAATATTATAACAAACTAAACTAAACACTCTGTTAGTCTCCATTGCTCAGCCAATAACTTGAATATTTCTTTTTCCATTTCTAGGCTTTTTCTTCCTTTCATTATCATTCCTTTAAATCATTTGGGCTGAATTAAGAAATGCCAAGAAACCAGTGTATTAGTTTTATAGGGCTGCCATGCCACAAACTTAGTGGCTTAAACAATAACAATTTTAATACCTTACAGCTCTGTAGATCACGAGGCCGACACAGGCCTCACTGGACTAAAAGCAAAACACCAACAGTGCTGTGTTTCCCCTGGAAGCTCTACGGGAAAATTCATGTTCTTGTCTTTTCAGCTTCTAGAGGCTGACCCCTTTCCTTGGCTGCTGGGCGCCTTCTTCTAGTATCTGAGAGTCCTGTATTTCACACATCTCATCACTATGATACTGACTTCTTACTTTTTGACTTTTAATGCTCCTTTCGGTTACATTAGGCCCATTCAATTAATCCAGGATAATCTCCCCATTCTACCATCAGTTGATCCACAGCATTAATGCCATTTACAACCTGAATTCCACTTGATCATGTAACTGAACATATTCATAGTTTCTAGGATTAGAATATGGACATCTTTGGGGAGGAGGCATTATTCTGTCCACCACAGCCAGCAATCATATTATCAGCCTGTGAAATCTCGTGTCTAACTGGGTCATTACAGTACCAATTATGTGATAAAAGTGATAAATTCCCCTTTGCCTACAAATGCTGAAGAACAGGGTAAAGATCATGGGTTTTCTATGCACAAGTTGAAGCAGACAATGCCAAAAGTATTTTATATATCATCAAATCTTTAGGAAATTTTGACCTCGAGAAATTTATTTCATTTTATTTTTGTTTTATTTTTTGAGACGGAGTCTTGCTCTGTCCCCAGGCTGGAGTGCAGTGGCACGATCTCGGCTCCCTGCAAGTTCCGCCTCCTGGGTTCACGCCATTCTCCTGCCTCAGCCTCCCGAGTAGCTGGGACTACAGGCGCCCCCCACCACGCCCGGCTAATTTTTGTATTTTTAGTAGAGACGGGGTTTCACCGCGTTAGCCAGGATGGTCTCAGTCTCCTGACCTCGTGATCCACCCGCCTCGGCCTACCAACGTGCTGGGATGACAGGTGTGAGCCACCGCGCCAGCCGGCCTCGGGAAATTTTTAGCACTGGGAACAAAACTGAAAGAGTGGATTTTCACATGGCCTTTAAGGAAATAAGCGTCCATTTGGTGTGAATACTTGATGTGGGTAAAGACCTCCTCATCCTTTCAAACAAGAAGCAGCCAAGTGTCAAGATTTATCAGCTTCTATGACAGCTGTATTTGTGGATGGCATCAAACACTCCCTGAAAGTTTTGCTAATATACTAGATCTTAAAGTTCAGTCATGAAGAATTTTAATGTGTCATCAAATATTTGTTATATGTTATCATCCTCTAGGTCAACAATAGCAAAAAAGCAAAAAACCTAAACTCAGAATGAAATAGAATAAGTTTGACAAATTTGGTAATCTCTTCAACATTCTTATTTACATATTTACATTTTTGGCATTGTGATATTTAGCTCTTGCAGTTTGGCTTTTCTGATTGGGAATTGGAAGGTGGGATCAAAATGCAGCAATACAACTGAAGAACAAATTCTTACCTTCCAGGTGAGGACACAGAATACACTGGAGCATTGGTGGATTTGTTATTTAGTCTGTTACTGCAGAAGACCAAACCATAACACTAGAGCCAGATTATCATGAAAATCAAGAAAAAGCTAAAATATGTTTAAGGAAAATTCCATTTATTTGCTAATGGCTGGACTGACTTAAAATCCATTAGCCTTTTCAAGGGCCAGGATCAATACTTTTGAAACTTTCAACTCTCTTGGGGCCCTGAAAACCCGTGGGCCATGATGTAATGAATTGGCTGCATCAGCTTATTTTCAATATTCCTCTATTCAATCTCCTTGTCTTCATGTGATTCCTTTAGCTTTAAAAATATTAAAA
The DNA here is from genome assembly GCF_000001405.40 of Homo sapiens. Classification (NCBI taxonomy): domain Eukaryota; kingdom Metazoa; phylum Chordata; class Mammalia; order Primates; family Hominidae; genus Homo; species Homo sapiens. The sequence continues at coordinate 99,763,112 of NC_000015.10, forward strand.
GGTAATTTGAGATATTGGAAACAATATTCTCTTAAATCAAGTTGTGTATATCTCCAAACATTTTGATGTTTACTCATGAGAAGATGATGGGTGCCGATTTCTAAGTTGATAGCTACTCAACAATTTCTGAGCATAGCATCATCTTCCCGCTGAACTGTCAATAAATTCTACTTGGAAAATCAGTATTTCAATAGTGTATAGGACGTTTAGTGATGTGAGACACGCCTCTTGAGATTAAATGATAATATGTTCTAAACTGAAGAAGACCTCTGATCCCATTAGTTGAATTATAGTTATTTCCTAATCAGTTTGTATTTTATATTGTGATTATATAATTTAATTTATTAAAATGACTTGACAAAAACAAATTTGACTTCATAAACAATGTATAGAATACATTGTAATATCTACTAAATGTTGATCACTAAAAAGTTCATGTCAAATTAGGAATGAGAAACACAATTCTAAATAGAAGGGTAAAAAAATGTGGACTCATTGCTTTAAAAAATCTTTAAAAAAAAGAACTTGAAAGAGAAATGTATTTCCTTTATATAAAACAAAAAATGAAGTGAAACTTCAATCAATAGGCCCATTCTAAAAAAAACAAAAAAATCACTTGCTTTAGTCATAAGTGTGGCAAATGAATGTAAATTTCTACATATTTAATTGCAGTAAAATGTAAATATATACTGTTATGATTTTTTTTTTTTACAACTGTGCTCTAAGTTTCTTAATTAATGGAAAAATCTTGTGGTCTTAGTCTGAGAGATAGGGCAACTTTACTGAAAGTTTTTAACTCTTTATTTTGACTGTAACTGCAAAGCCCTAAGAACCCTTGCTCACCACACTTTATAGCACTGAAAAAAAGCTATATATGAGACAGTGTCATCCAAGGGGAAGAACTATGGCCTTGAGGTTAGGTTGGCAGGTTTTTATTTGCATGACCCTGGACGGAGATTGTAACCACTTTGATTCAGTTCCTTTGTTTAACAAGATAGAACTTAGAAAACTAATCTTTAAGAGAAGAAATAAAGAAACCAAGGTGAAAGTGCCTGGAGTGGTGTAATCACGCAATAAATGTTCATTTCTTTTTCCTTCAGTAGAATAATATATAACCTGTTTTGGAAAACTTATGTAGAAATGTATTGATTTCCTTCAAAATTTATTTTCCATTAAAATATTTACGTATTCCTTTAAAGCTTGCTATTTCAGGCAAAATTATGCTTAGTTTACAAATACTTTCTCCAGAATGGCTTATGAGTCTTAAAAAGGAAATGAGTGCATATTTTACCTTACAGAAAAATCCTGCTTTTCTTGCCTAAAAGTGAATACAAGAGGAGTAGAAGAGGTGTCACACCTTTTACATCTGGGTGTTTAATGCAGTTCTCCCTTTGATTTGCCAGTTGTAAAATTTATCTGATTATTTCCTAAAATTTTCTGATTAGGATAAGAAAAGAATAACATCTTTTATTTGGATTTAAACCAATTCTATCTGAAGTAAGTTAGCCTCAAAATAATAGTGCTAGCTGGAGGCCATTATCCTAAGCAAATTAATGCAGGAACAGAGAAACAAATACCACGTGTTCTCACTTGCCAGTGTGAGCTAAGCCTTAAGTACACATAACCATAAAGATGGGAACAATAGACAGTGGGGTCTGCTAGAGGGAGGAGAGAAGAAGGGGAACAAGGACTGAAAAACTACCCATTGGGTACTCTGCTCACTACCTGGGTGACGGTAACATTTGTATCCCCAACTTCAATGTCCTACAATATACCCACGTAACAAACCTGTATATGTATCCCCTGAATTTAAAATAGAAATTGAAATTTTAAAGTAATTAATTAATGAAACAGCAAAAAATAAAATGAAGCAGGAAAAATAGACACAAAAATAATAACAGTGGGGCTAGCCATATTGCATTAAAACATCCACACAAAGCACATGGACAACTGTCTTTAATATCTCCATCTTCATTAGGCTAGTGAATAAAGCAATAGAAAAACTCCAAGTGTGTAATTTCATTATCTAGGACACTGATGACTTAGAATCTCTTGTTTCACAGACGGATCCAGGCAAATCCTATTGACACAGGGAAAAATTGGTTGCTTTGGGTTCCATTTACCTGCAGAAATGGGAATTATTACTTGCTAAGTGATCATTTGAACTACTAGCCCTGGAAGGCATATGTCGGCTCACATGTTTAAAGCATATTTTATCTGATGACCGCTTTTATTTTAAAGATATAGAATAATGTTTTACGTCTTGAATTATTTCTTTCTATATACTTGGCAATAGCACAGTAAAAATCCAAGACTTTTTTCTATAACTGGGATGTATCTTAATTCCTCTTTTTTTTTAAAAAAATAATTAAGTGCATAGTAGTTGGAAATAATGAAACGTTGATGAGTAATTGATGGATGATGACGAAGCCCACCCCAGACTGTTTTCTTCGGAGTTAAATTTCTAGATCCACAAGCGATATGTTGCATAAATGAATGAAAGTGCTTAGGATGTAGCAAGACTGTAATAACAATACTTTAATTAACTGAAATTAAACGGTGATGTCAGAGAAAAACTTATGTCAGATCACCACAATCAATTAAACACAGTGATAAATGTAACATTCTTCTAATAAAATAACTTAATCCTATTTGCCACTTCAGATTGAATAATCAGTTTTTCACTCACTAAAATGGAACCCAGAATACATCTTCTATCTTACTTTGTCGTTTGATAAAATGTTAGTTTTTCTATATTTGTTAACACAGACCAGTATATGTTATTAAAACACTGGCCGTAAACAGTGTAGGTAGTCTAGCATATATTCATAATTTCTTTGTACAAGCTAAGAAAGAACACATTGATCAAGTCCTTTTCAACATAAATTGTATTTCATGCAAGTTAAAATTAAACAGAAAACTGCATTTAAATAAATGTGAAAGATTCAAATAGAAAATGGCCTTTGGAACTCTTCTTATATTTAGTCATCTATTATGTTTCTTTTAAAAACTATTAGATAAAAAGCTTAGATAGAACAATTAACATAAAATGCTTTTTGGGGAGAGGGGCTCTTTTTTAAACCCTGTTTAGTATCATGATATCCTATTTTATTTTACGTGAGACATTTGCATGGACATATTAATTCCAAAAAGCTAAGTGATCTTATAGACTTTATAGATGAAATACAGCAAGAAACAGAAAGCAAATAATTGCATGACTGTTACTGGCTATATTCCGGGTCTTTAAGAATTTAAGACCGCTATAGATAAATGATATTGCTTGGTACCTGCCCGTCACCAGATTGGAGTGGAGGAATTTAGTATTTAGAAATCTTTTATTTTCTTCTTGCTATTATACAGTGTTATTGAGTTGGTAATCAGTGAACCATCTTGGGCTTTGAAGCTTCCCTTGTGTTATGCTACCCTGCTAGGGTACATAATATGATGGTTTACCGTTCAGCAAAATCTTTTGTTTTCACTCAAAAAAAGCAGTCCCCAGATATATTTAAACTCATAGTATAAATGCCATGGTTTTAATGTACGGTGCCATTTTGTAGGCATAAAAGACAAACAAGGTGTGTTACTGTTTTTGATAACTTTACTCACTTTTATAAAACCTAAGAATAGTTATCTGAAAATATGTCATTCCCTTGGACTGGAATCTAGCCCCCAGACCTGTGACGAAATAAGGATGATTTCAGCACACTGAAGAAACAACGAAGTGAAAGGAAGAGGAGCCCACATAGGGTCCTCTTCATTGTGTTTTAGAAGGTCAAATTCTCTGGTTATTAACAGACAGAGTATTTCAGAGTTTGAAGAGACATTAAGAAACCAGGAATCTACCTCCTCCCTTTTACAGAAAATGATACAAAAGATAATTCTTTGCCATCTCAGTGCCCACGAACGGCTTCCACTTCACCATTCAACCTTGTAGGTGGTAGAGCTGGAGGGCCTGTGTGAGGTGAACAGGCACGAAAAGGACTGAGAGTGGAGAGAATATGGTGGAAGGAGAACACAAACTTCCTGGCAAGAGCCGACTTATTGAGGGAATGACACAAGAAGGAAGTGGTGTACCTGGGTGAAAAATGCACAGGGTAAGGGTGACATTCATAAGAGATTTTCCGAGGCTTGTGGAATTGCTGAGAGCTGGAGAGCTGGTGAGGAGGTGAGAACCAATCTTGATAACTCTTGCTGTGTTATACGTCTGGACCTTATTTTAAATGTTCTTTGAAGGCACAGTGAAGAATTATAGTTATTTCTGAATTCCTATTGGAGGCTAAAACTGCCTTCTTAAACTGGGCAACACATCAGCTACTGTATAAAGTGGGTCTCTAAAATGATAGTTTATAGTCATATAAAGAAACAGATATCAGGAAAGAGAAGATATTTATCTAATGAGTTGATCTCTTCAGTCACAACAGTCAGTTTGGATAATGTTATTCACCAGTGCATTCTTCTTTCCTTTCTAATCATCCCCAAGTTTATCTCCTCTGAGGCTCACGCTCAGCAGCACAGATTGATTTACTGAACTATATAAAAGTAGCTGCTCTCCTACCACAAAAACTCCAAACCTTCTTTCTTTTAAACTTTCTTTCATAATAAAATAATGTAAGGCAACCTTTCTAATGTGAAGACAACTTTACTAAGTCAGTTGTAGAGACAGAAGAGAAGCTTGGCTGGTAATAGTGATAACACTGCACAGTTACACATTTTACAGAAATCTAGGAGTTTATTTATGAGCATGTGTGGAAATGAATAAATGACATTTGTATAGTGCTTACTATATGCCAGGTATTTTTTTAACTGTATCATACAGTTAACCATTCGATATTTACAGTATGTTCAGGAGACAGGTTCTGTTGGGATCATTTCATTTTACGTAGAAGAAACTAAGGCATCGAGCGTTTAAGTGACTTGTTCAAGTTCACTTCTTTGGCAAATGGCGGAGAGGGGATGTTGAGCCAGAGACCACCTGCTCAACCACTGCCTACATTGCTTTTATTGACTTAAAATTACAAAATGTTTAATTAAAATACCTGTTAGGTATTCTTCATATTTACATTATCTTGGCAAGTAATATAATGATCATAGCTAAATAAATGCTGCATAACTTACTGAAATGAGAAAATTGCTTTGAGTATGTTGAAAAATACAGTAGATCGTGCATATTATGTTACACTATTACTTCACTAACGAAGGACTTCACTATGGCTAGTCCCATGGATAACCAGCCAAGGTCATGTCTCGAAAGCAATGCTCTTTCCACAAATGTGGTCTGAATCACAAAGCTTTACCTGCATAAATTATATTGTATTTTATTTTGAATGTACTTCAGAAATTTGGAATTGTACTTTGGTACCGTAGACATTGCCTACTCTCGTATCCTTTATGACATGGCTGTGAGGATGGGATGTATATATATAATATATATACACATACACTATATATGTAGTATATATAATATATATACATATGCTGTATATGTAGTATATATTATATATACATATACTGTATATGTAGTATATATAATATATACACATACTGTATATATAGTATATGTACTTATATATACTAATATAGTGTATATATAGTAAATATACTATATATACTATATATACTCTATATACACTATACTATATATATACTATACATATACTCTCTATATAGTATATTTTTTATATATATACTATACATATACTCTCTATATAGTATATATATTTTTTATATATACATATATGTGTGTATATATATGTAGTCTTTACTTCTCTAACATTTATACTCATTGAGGAGAGTTGGCCTTTTCCTGTCTAAAGGTTCACTATAAAATGGACACATCAGCTGGGCACGGTGGCTCATGCCTGTAATCCCAGCACTTTGGGAGGCCGAGGCGTGCGGATCACGAGGTCGAGACCATCCTGGCTAACTTGGTGAAACCCCGTCTCTACTAAGAATACAAAAAATTAGCCGGGCGTGGTGGTGGGCGCCTGTAGTCCCAGCTACTCGGGAGGCTGAGGCAGGAGAAGGGCGTGAACCTGGGAGGCGGAGCTTGCAGTGAGCCGAGATCGCGCCACCGCACTCCAGCCTGAGTGACAGAGTGAGACTCAGTCTCAGAAAAAAAAAAACAGAACAAAAAAACGGACACATCTTTCCTTTGCCTTGTTTAAGAGTGGCATTTCCCAGCAGCCAGGGAAATCATTTTAATTCTCTGAGGCAGAAGGAAGATTTCATGTGTAAAATAAGGTGAGACTGTTTCTAAACTGGGATCTTTCCACCTTTTGCCTGGTATGGAGTCTCCTCTATGAGTGATGTTGCCAGTGTATATGCCAGTGATACAGAGAACCATTATGTTCTAGACTCGTTCCATTTACCCATCTCCTTCTCTCACTACTTCCACTGCCAACATTAATGTGACAGAGAATCACAAATCTTAACTCTTTCTGCTTCGGCCCATTCAGAGACTCTCTGGTTTATCTGCTTATTAAAAAGAGTGGGACCTGGAAATATGTGTGAGGTAGGGGCCATATTGATTTGCAGTATTGGTGTTGGCAGAAATCATGCAGCAGACCTTGTAGGCCAAAAACCACAATTGTTGTATAAGGTTCTGTGACGTTGTCACCAGTAGAAATCCAATATTCTCATATCATAGTTATTTGCAGTTATCTCAGTATATCATATACACATCAATATTTTGTAATCAAAGTAGTTCTGACACTTACTAATAGATTTTATCATTTCATATGTTGAAAAAATAAATATAGGTTATATCACGATTTGTTTATATTTTGCTAACAATATTTAAGATAATTGGTTTACTTAATAATTGTCCTTCATTTATGCCAGTAAGGTCACATTCTGGGTAACAAACAAAAAGGTCAGGAATCCCTGCTATAAAGTGATATACTGTGGAAAAAGGCAGTAGAAAAATAAATGGATCCAGAGCCTTTTCCGCTTGCATTTTTGAAATTAATGCTGAACTCTTGGGTGCCTGAAGAAAGGGGACAGAGAGTGTTTCATGTTCTTTCGTGTGATAGTCAGATGTGGTTATATGAGGAGGCCGTGGAGAGGCTCCAGAAACAAACTTTACTGTGCTCACAGGCCCTGTAGACAGTAGACATGAGATACCACATGGGACCATGTGGAAAAAAACACCAGGTTAGTCAGAAGACAAAAGACAAGAGCAAGGGGAAAGTTTAGGCCGAACCTTTGTTTGAGTTTCTCCCTGACAAGGTAAGGCAGGGTGATCAGCTTAGGATTAGCTAGTTTGAATAATTTTAGTGGGCTCTAAGCAACAGGGTGGTCCTTAGTCACCTGGTACCTGGACCTGAATGATTCAGGCAAAAGAATATTGCCTGTTGGAGTGTAAGAGCCAGATAGGGGAGGGCTGGCTCTGGATTGGTTCACTTGCAAATGAAAGGTGTGCTCCTGGCTGGCTAGGCCCTTCTATCTCTAAGAATTGAGTAGCTGCAGAAGGGACAGTCTCTCCTTAGCTAGAAAGGATTTTTAAGATGTCAGAACATCATAGTATGCAGAAAATAGTACACTTGCCCCAACCCCCCCGCCCCCCGCCCCGCCAACACACAGACATACACACACACACACACACACACACACACACACACACACACACTACAAAGAGCATCTGACAGAAGTCAGGGTAGCTGTCCAGAGGCTGATGTACCGTTACTTATACATGTATTTTTAGCTCACCTCTTTCATCATTGCATTGTATGCTTTTCTATTAAATCTAAAGAGTTTCCACTTCCTTAAAGACATCGTGTTAAAGTTGTCCCTTTCACTTTCTTCTGTTGCCGGGTAATGTATGCTCCTGTAGTTCTGAGGGGAAATAAGCCAAGCACCAAGGGTAAGCCTTGTTCTCTTGCTGGCTGAGCAGGAGTTGAAAGAGGAGGTCCTAGTCTTTTAGACAGAATGTCCAATGGACCAGAATACTGTTACTGTAAGAGTATTTTTTGATGCTTGCTCCCTGCTGATCATGCCTGAAAAACACTTTCTAGAAATCTGATGTGTCAGAAGGGAACTCTGCCATGCGGACTTCACAGCACCAGGATCACAAGAAGCTCTAAGACTTTCCGGGGGTTTAGTATACCGCTGCCTGCATGTGGTGAGAAGATATCAATATTTATTCAGGTATTTGTTTTATGTTTTTTTCTATTACTATGTGTGCTAAATAATAATGTTGTTCTATGTTCCAAGGGTTAGCAACAGAGTTTTCTTTGTTTTCTAAGTCTTATATCTACAATCTTAAGAAGTGTACAGAAGAATCACCTGTAACACTTAAATATATATATATATATCTTCCCTGCTTACATATATATATATATATATATATATATATATATATATATATATATCTTCCCTGCTTACCCCAGTGATATTCTGATTTCAGAGACATCGAAGGTTTTCAAGAAACCATGTTTTTACAATGGTGCATATATAACAAACATAACCCCAACTGAGAAAACTACCTTACTGAATTCATGAATAAATAAACCCTTGTATCATTTTGACTAGGATAATAACTGCACAAACACATATAATACTTGGATGGCATTGGTTAATATTTTATGCAGTTATGTGCACTTTTGTGTAACTTTTTTTGAAAAAGATTAAAAAATAACCAACCCTGAGATATGTCATTTGCATATGTTAATTTCTTTTATTAGAAAATGCATAAATTAACTTTAAAGAATGAAGAACATTGAGATATTGTAATTTATGTATTGCATTTATAGACCAAGTCTATATAAAAGTATAGCTTCCTTTAATTGAAAGGATTATCTTTATCAGCTTTCCTGAAGTCCTGTGTGCTTGATTTACTACCAATTATGCCACAGATCTCTAAATAGCAGTTATCTTTTCTCAAATATTTCCATTGCTGGTGTTAATCTTCTCTTGATTTTCCAGTTACCTGTTTCTTGATGATGTACGTAAATCTTCTTTCTTTATTTTATTTATTTATTTTTTTGAGACAGAGTCTCTCTCTCTCGCCCAGGCTGGAGTGCAGTGATGCCATCTCAGCTCACTGCGAGCTCCGCCTCCAGGTTCACGCCATTCTCCTGCCTCAGCCTCGCAAGTAGCTGGGACTACAGGCACCCGCCACCACGCCCGGCTAATTTTCTGTATTTTTAGTAGAGATGGGGTTTCACTGTGTTAGCCAGGAGGGTCTGGATCTCCTGACCTCGTGATCCGCCCACCTTGGCCTCCCAAAGTGCTGGGATTACAGGTGTGAGCCACTGCTCCCGGCCTTAAATCTTCTTTTAGTACCTTGGATCCCATCTTGTTGCTCTCATGAACTCCAAACTCTTTATATTTATCATTTCCTTTTTCATCTGGATATAGTATGTAATTTTATTTCTCAAATACAGTCTCTATTAAATGTCAAGGAACATTTTCTGATATTCCAGGCACTGTTCCAGACCCTGGAGATGTGGAGTCCCAGTCCTCTGAGAGCAAACAAGCATAGTACCATGTGACGATTGCCATAATCCAGGTGAGCCTAAGTGCTGATTGAGGGTGACTCTGTGCAGGCTTGCCCCAGGATGTGATTCCTGAGCCAGTTTACAATCATTAGTGGAAGTTAGGCATTCAGAACTATGACTTATGCACCTGTACATTACCAGCCCCTTATATGGTACTTGTCTCTGACACAGAGTAGCTGTTCAATAAATGTTAGATTTGACTGAAGGATGAGGAAAACAGAGTTGTTAGCAACTGAAAATAATTATCTGGGTTTGAGGATTGACTGCAATTCATGAAAAAGTTTAAAAATGTGTTTGAAACTATGCCAGGGGCTTTAAAATGTATTTCTATGCTATACAAGGTGTTTACATTTTATTTTAAGACAATGAAATTCCAATTAGGGTAAAGTATTATCTAATTTACTTTCTATAATGTGCATTTGGGCTTCTTATAGAAAGTTTGGTCTTGTAAAAAGGCCTACCAGTGCCCTTCCCAAACCCCTACTAAAGAATCTACATAGCTTTTCAAAAAATCAAACTTTAACCACATCAACATGGTAAGACAGAAAAACAAATTTTTCAAAATCTGCAAAAATTTTGACGCTGTCACTGATTGAGCTGGATTGAGAGAAACAATTGGTCGTCTATTTAGACTTACATGACAAAAAAGACAGACTTGGTTCATCAAAAGGGGCTAGGAAAGCACTATATCCCTCCACAAGATCGCCCCCGTCCTTTTTTTTTCCTCTCAGAGATCTTAAAATTGTGCTAAGAACAAAAAAACAAACATCGAGAGTAGTCAGTCCTGTTATCTGATCTCTGATGACTGTTGCAAAGATTAAAACATTCCCTGTGTCTCTCCTTTCCTTCTCTCTTGTTTTAGAGCTGGCAATGAGAAACTCTTTTCCTCTCCTGTTTATAGGTGATACTCTTTAAAAAACGCTTATATACCAGACTATGATACATAGACTATCTCAGCACATTCAAAAGAGCAGAAATTGTACAGATGACATTTCAGACCACAGTGCAATACAATGAAAGATGATTAACACCGTTGTAAGAATACGTGATGATCTATAACAAAAGGTTAGTACATATTTAATTACTCTCTGGATGGGCAATGGCTTTCTAAGAAGGTAATTTTAGAAAGAAAGAAAAAATACTACATTAAAAAATGTGGTTAAACGCTTGTCTTTGCTCTCTGGCAGCTTTCGCTTGTTATGAAAGAGCACCTACCACATTAATATTAAGACTGGATGTTTTCATGTGTGCATTAACTGACATTCTGTAAGTTTATTGAAGATTGCAACTGTGTACCTTAGGTCTCTATATCCTGCCTGTTACATAATGGATATTAATAAATCTCTCATCAAAGACTTTTTCTAAAATTACACTTAAAAATAAAGAAAATGTCGACAAATATAAAAATAATATTTGCAAGTCAAAAGGAAAAGACTAGTACTCTAGTAGAAAAATATTTTTAAAAGTCCAGACTATTCAGATATCTGAATTATTAATAAACTATTTCTAAATGTTTAGTCTCCTGCATTTAAAACAAAGTTAAAACTAGATCACACAAATTTTGTTTAATAAGTTGGCAGATGTATACATTGCTTTACAGGGTGATAGTGTGAATGTAGATTCATTACAATCTTCCTCGAATACTTGCAAAAAGCAAAAGCAGGAGATACTTTACCACCATTAGAAAACAAAAACAAAACAGATACCCAATCATATTATTTATTGCCCCATATAAATTCCAAATACTCAATTTACAGGAAATAAAGAGGAGTATAAAAGTATCTATGCATTCACAAAATCAAATAAAGTTACTGAAAGTGATTCAGTCACAGCCCAGGAAGATTACTTATATTATTCTTCATGTTCTCCACTATAGTATACACTTGTATATGAAATACATTTCCTACTTGTAAGGTTACAGACTTAATACTCTCCTTCTTCTTGGCTGCACTCTAATTTATTACTCTAATAGATTTCACTAAGTCAAGGATGCAACCCATGTAGCAGATGTATTTTGCTAGTATATGGAATATATATGTAATATATATATTTAACATTTATTAAATATATGTATTGTATTAATGTATAAGTTTATATATTCATATATTGTTTATGTTTTATCCAATATGTGCTTTCATTCTAAAAGCCCATATTCTTATATGTCTAATTTTAAATTAAAATTAAAAATAAATTATATGCATTTACTTTATCTTACATTATACAATTAATTATATACGGTAAGATATATATTTATATCTTTATTAATTATATATCTTACAGTATATATGTATTATTATATATAATCTTATAAACATATGCAACAAAAACCTACTTAAAGGACAAATTTTAATAAAGTTGGAAATGAAGAATTGGTTTACTGTTACCATTGAAAATGTTCTCTGTTTATACAAATAAAATTATATAATGTATAATTATATAATGTAAGATATATAATTACATTATATATATAATGTAAGATTACATTATATATGTAATGTAAGATATAGTTACATTATATATGTAATGTAAGATATAGTTACATTATATATGTAATGTAAGATATATAATTACATTATATAATTGTATTTGTATAAACAGAGGACATTTTCAATGGTAATGGTAAATCATTTCTTCATTTCTGACTTTATTAAAATTTGTCCTTTTTTTAATTAAGTAGGTTTTTGCTGCATATGTTTATAAGATTAAGTCATTTCCTTTTATTCTAAATTGAGTTAAATGTTTCATTATCAAATAAAGAATGGACATTTACATTTGCTTTTGCTAAGTAATTTTAGATATCTTTCAGAATATCATTTAAATATTGTTTTAAGTATATTTCCATGAGGATTTCTAAAGTTCATCATTGCTTGCTTTCCTGAGATAAACTCTATTTAGTCAGGATGTCTTATTCTATCAATAAATTGCTGCTGTTGAGTTGGTAGTACTATCTAGTATTTACATATATGTTCATAGTGAGAATTTGGTAGAGACAGATAATGTGTATGTATCTTCTTTCAGTTTTATTGGGATATAATTTACATTCCATGATGTTCACATGTTTAGTGTACCATTTCATGTTTTTAGTATGTTAATACAGTTGTGCAAATACCACCATAATCTATTTTTAGAATATTTTTATAGTCTTAAAAAATAAACCTTGTACCAATTAGCAGTAACTCCCTATTTCCCACTTCTGGATTTTAAACAGTGCCAGAACATAGAGAAAAAATAAACTTTCTAAAAACTTACAGGAGGTTATGAAGTTGTAAAGAAAACAAAAAATTATCCATTAATTGTAGATTTAACAGATCTCATCTATTCAAATTACTTTGCCTTGTAACTTCATATACACATATACATTAATTTTATTGACTTATCAAATATATATAATCTATCAAATTTTCAAATGTATATGAATAAAATTTTATTTAACATTTTATATAATGTTTTATCTATTTTATCTTTAGTTGTATCATTTTCCTCTTTCCTCATAGTAATAGCATCTCCTTTATTTCTGTCTTGTTTATATTTGAAAAACAATTTATTATTTATTTACTAGTGTTTTTCAAGTAAATAGTTTTGGGGATGAATTTTTGTTTCACTAAGTTTGTTTCTTTGTTTGCTTGTTTGTTTTTGAGACGGAGTCTCGCTCTGTCGCCCAGGCTGGAGTGCGGTGGTGCGATCTCGGCTCACTGCGAGCTCCGCCTCCCGGGTTCACGCCCTTCTCCTGCCTCAGCCTCCCGAGTAGCTGGGACTACAGGTGCCCGCCACCACGCCTGGCTAATTTTTTGTATTTTTTAGTAGAGACAGGGTTTCACCGTGTTAGCCAGGATGGTCTCGATCTCCTGACCTTGTGATCCGCCCGCCTCGGCCTCCCGAGTAGCGGGGATTACAGGCGTCCCCACCACGCCCGGCTAATGTTTTTTTTTTTAAAGACGTGGCCTGGTGCGGGGGCTCACGCCTGTAATCCCAGCACTTTGAGAGGCCGAGGCGGGCAGATCACGAGGTCAGGAGATCCAGACCATCCTGGCTAACACGGTGAAACCCCGTCTCTACTAAAAACACAAAAACAAAAAAATTAGCCGGGCGTGGTGGTGGGCGCCTGTGGTCCCAGCTACTCTGGAGGCTGAGGCAGGAAAACTGCATGAACTCGGGAGGCGGAGCTTGCGGTGAGCCGAGAACGTGCCACTGCCATCCAGCCTCGGCAACAGAGAGACTCCACCTCAAAAAAAAAAAAAGTAGATAAAAGCTTATAGAATAAGAATATAACAACAAAAAAATCGTGTATAACAGTACAATGTGTTTTAAGCTACATTTATTATAGAAGAGTCAAAATGTTTAAAAAAACAAAATTATAAAGTAAAAAGTTACAGTAAGCTAAGGTAAATTTATTATTAAAGAAAAAGAAATATTTTCAATAATTGTAGGGTATTCTAAGTGTACAGTATTTATAAAGTCTGCAGTAGTATACAATAGTGTTCTAGGCCTTCACGTTCACTCACCACTCACTGACTCACCCACAGCAACTTTTTGGCCTGAAAACTCCATTCATGGTAATTTCCCTATAAGGTACCATTTTTTATCTTTTACACTGTATTTTTGCAGTATCTTCTCTATATTTAGAGACACAAATACTTACCATTGTGTTACAGTTGCCTACACTATTCAGTACAGTAACCTGCCATACAGGTTTGTAGCCTGAGGACAAAAGGCTCCACCATGGAGCCTTAGGTGGGGAGCGGCCTGTATATCATCTAGGTTGGTGTAAGTCTGCCCATGATGTTCACACAATTATGAAATCACAGAAACATGCATTTCTCACAATGTGTCTGGTATGGTTGGGCTGTGTCCTCACCCAAATCTCACCTTGAATTGTAATAATCCCCACAAGCCAAAGGCAGGGCCAGGTGGAGATAATGGAATCATGAGGGAGGTTTCCCCCATACTATTCTTGTGATAGTAAATAAGTCTCAGGAGATCTGGTGGTTTTGTAAATGGGAGTTCCCCTGCAAAAGCTTCTCTTGCCTGCTGCCATGTAAGATGTGCCTTTGCCTTCTGCCATGATTGTGAGGCCTCCCCAAACATGTGGAACTATGAGTCCATTAAACCTCTTTCCTTTATAAATTACCCAGTCTCAGATATATCTTTATTAGCAGCGTGAGAACAGACTAATACAGTATCCCCATCATTAAGCTAGGCACAACTGTAGTTACTCATTCTTTCTTCCTACTGAATTAGAATGTTCTTGAGGATGAGAACTGTTTGCTCTTGTTTTATTGATTAATTTTTCACTCACTCAGCAGCAGTTCTAGTTTAAGTGCAATACAATAGTGGGTAAAAGTGTACCTGACTTCCGCTCTAATGGAAGTTATAATTTAGAAGTAGAGACATTTATCAAGTATTCATTCAAATTGGTGCATAAACTGAATTTTAATTATATAAAAAGTGGTACTTCAGGGGGAAAAAAAACCTGGCCAAAACTGGAAAGAAGAATGTTGTTAAGGAACCTTTTACTCTTCCAGCAATGTTGGAAAAGAGGTAATTCACTTAAGGATTTTGAGCTTAATCCTAACTTCAACAAGAAGTGGTTAGGTAATATAAAAAGCAGAGAATGGATAAGTTAATTTTTTAGGAGTTTCTTCTGGCTGCCTAATGGAAAAAAATAAGATAAGGGTGAGTGGGAAGCAAAACAGTTTCTAGGAGGTGAATTAACTGGTCATTTAAGTAATTCAAAAGAGGGATGTTGTTAGATTAAAAGAGAATGGTGGTTGTGGACATGTGGATATAAGACAAATTTGAAATGTATTTTTGAAAGAAAACAATGAGACTTGTTAGTGGAAAGAATATGGGGCAGTGTGTCAGGCACAATCTGCTACACACCCAACATCAGAATATCTTTTTATACTTAGCCTCCCAACATCAGCTAGGTATTAAAAATCCACTTGTCTTCAACCCCCTTCTTCTATTCCAGTAGGATTTGATTTTTTTTCCAGCTAATGAGAGTTCAGTAGATCTTAGAAAGGAAATGATACCCTGTCTCAGCTCCAAGGGGTGAACTGTGATTGTCTAATTGAACAGTGCCATGACAATTGAATTCTTTTTGTTTGTGGTTGGTTCAGAGTGGTCATGCAGCCTAATTCTGGAAAGGGGGATATAAGCAAGTGAAAGCTCAGTAGGGTTTCTCTGAAGGTTTTTGCTTTCCAGATAGAAAGTGACAAACTCAACTGGCACGATTCTTTTCCCCTTTTTGCCCATACATGTTTGTTAGTTTCCCATTGCTGCTATTACAAATTACTACAAGCTTGGTGTCTTAAAATAATACAAAAATTAGTGACCTTACAGTTCTGGAGGTCAGAAGCCTGAAGTAGAACCCAGTGAGTGAAATCATCTGGATGTTCCAGCGGAGAACCTGTTCCTTTGCCTTTTCCAACTTCAAGAGGCCACTCACGTGTCTTGGCTCGTGATACCCTTCCATCTTTATAACGAGCAATCGCTAGGTGAGTCTTTCTCACTCCACATCATTCTGCTTCCATGGTCACACCTCCCTATCTGAATCTCCTGGCTCACTCGACTCTTATGATTCCATTGAACTCAACCAGATAAGACAGGTTAATCCCTTCATGTCGAGCTCCTTAATTTAATCACATCTGCGGAGTACATCTGCAATGTAAGGCAACACAGTCACAGGTCTGGGAATGAGGGCTTGGGAGTCATCTCTGTGGGGGGGCATTTCCTACTCACCACAGTGGTTTTTAGTCTTCGAATGTAAACGTGAGGCCTGGGATAATCGGTCATCTTGTGACCATGAGACAACAAACGGGAGAGAAAGACCGTTCCAAAATGCAAATACTAGCATGTACCTGGCCATGGAGCTATTACTAGTGGATGTATAACTGGGACTTCTTATATGACATAGGTAAACTCTCTATTGGTGAGCCTGCTTAAACTTGGGTTTTCTTTTTCTTGGAGCCATCCACAATAAGACACGTATTTTATGTTATGACCCAATAGTGAGCCATAATCCTTATTTGAAAAACATTGTCCTAAGAATAAAGATTATTTAAGCTTTTTACTGTTTTTTTTTGTTTTCTGCACATTATACTGCATTTTATTTGAGCTATGTAAACAAGGCAATATTCCCATTTAAATCACTTGTTAAAAAGACTTCTCAGCACTGAACTCCATACAAATCTTAGCACCATCTAAGTCAGCTACTCTTTGCTAAAATCCCCCTACTGTTTGTATTGAAGATTCTGTTTCACTCTGCTTTTTCTACTCTGTAGTCTTTTTTTAATTATTATTTTTGTAGAGATGGGGGTCTAGGTTGCCCAGGCTGGTCTCAAACTCCTGACTTCAAGTGATCCTCCCAACAACACCTCCTAAAGCTCTGGGTTTACAGGCATGAACCACCATGCCTGGCCCACTTTGTATTCTTTCTGATGATTATCCTTCATCCTGCTGTCCTCTAACTGTAGCTCCCTCAAGGTATTTTACTTTTAAAATTTATGACCAGGACCTTTATTGAGAAATGCATTTTACATCACAAGTTACCACACACATAGGGGTAATGTTTGGTTTTCAGCTATATTTTCACAATTAGATTTTTCTCTAAAAAAATAACTGTTATGTGGATAAAACAACTACATTCCTATCAGATGTCAGCCCCTTTGTGTGCTAGAGCCCACTGCCTTGCATCGTCTGAGGACTTATTTATTTTGGACACTTATCCAGTCTCTTTCCTGCATCATTAATTTCTTACCTTCTACAGGATTATGCCCTAAATTTCATTCTGTTACACTCATGGAAAGAAGAAGAAACTGGAGATGGAGGAGAGGGAGGAGGGGGAACTATGTCTGCAGCTCTACTCTAGTTCTCTGCTACCCTTAAAAGTAAAACTTCTAGAGAGAGCCATCTATAGTCGCATTCTCTACGTCATCACCTGGATTCTCTCCTAAGACCACCCTAACCGAGCTTCCGTTTTCACTGCCTTTATGAACGTTTGTTAAGCTATGTGCAGTGAAATCCAAAGGTCGCTCTTCTATTCTTGTCCGAAATGTCTTAGAAGTGTTCAGTGAAGTTTATCACTTGCTTCTATGATGAAGGCTTTCTTCTCCTGGTTTCAGAAACCCCATCGTCTCCTTGCATCTCCTTTGTCACTGAAACTCTCTTACTGTCTCCTCGGCTCAATCATGGTATGCCCCTGGGCCCTTTCCTGGTCCTGTACTCCTTTCTATATAGAGGTAAAGCATTTTAAACCCATCTAATCCCTGGGCTTTAACCAGTATCTGTATAAATAGGACTTTCAATTCTATGTGTCTCATTCTGAACTCTTTTGGAACTAGGATTTGTGTAATCACATACGGACTTGATATCTCCACATAATACAGAATATTGGAGGTACATATTGCCTAATGATGATCTTCTTTGTCCACTTCATTTCCTGAAACTGAAATGTAGAGAGGTTGAATAACTTAACCGGTTTCCTATTGCTAGTCAGAGGCAGAGTAGATATGCCTTCGAAACAGCGCTATCAGCTACTCTTTAGTAGGACCAAAAAATTAAAAAGCACATAATGCAGGTATTAAATACCAACAAGCAAGAGTATAAGATTTCTTTCTGTTTGTTAGGAAGCTTCAGTGTCGGATAAAGCTGTGCTGGACAGACTCCTGTAAATTCAAGCCCTGTGGTGGGGCTCTTTATGTCCCATGCTGAGTATGGCAGCAGAGGCATAACTGCATTTCTTGTCAGCTTTCCCCCAAAATTCAATCTGATTTTTACATTTTTATCTTTTCTCTCCCTGCTGGTAGGTTTCACTGGACTGATATAGATTTACATATTCCCCAATCTGATTATATTCCAGTTTATTGATTAGAAATTACCACTGTGATATTAAGTTATTACAAAGTGAGACATAAGTTTTTAGTGAGTTATCACTTTTGCAGATAGTGATCACTGTGATGGGAGGCTCTCTTTCAATTATCCCATCAAATAGTTATGGTTTATTTAGAGCTTGCTGGGAGTCAGATCGTTTTCGTAAATTTCTAAATCCCCAAGACTCAAAGCTGATTTCCAAAAATATTTGACTTTAACAGTATAGTTTCTTCAACTGAACTGTCTTTATTTACAAGCCTTTTAAGGATCAAGAGGAATTGCAGGTTTTGACACTCAGCATGTGAAGGCTTATATTAACTATTAAAGAATGAATTTCCTACAGAATATTTTTTCTCAACTGGGTCTTCATGCAATAATGTTAATTATCAAGATAAACGATCCAAAATGAGATGAAAGCTAAACATCAAAATACTGAACAAATTCTCCATGATCATGGGGATGACTCCATTAAAGCAAATTGCAGCTAAATGCAGGGCAGCAAGAAGGGAAACAGGGCAACAAGGAGATACATTATCTGTATCAACAACAAAGCTCTAAAGCCAAAATATTTAAGAGAAGTACGAATGGTCCGGCTTTGGGAAATAAACCAAATGTCAACAGTTTGCTATCACAATGATCATGAATGCCAGGTACTTTGAATACTTAGCATTTTGCATGCCAGATAGTTTACTGGGCAACACCGGTTACAGCAATGTAGGCTGTACAGTGAATGGCTGCTGGTTTTCTTTTCCCCTGTAACAACATACCGCTACAGTAACTCTGCATGCTTTCATTTCAGTAACCTCTAGAGGTCCTTTATTACAAGGTATCAGAGCACTAAAAAGATTTCTGGGACTTCATTGAGTTTAAAAAACAGATGCATATGCCTATTTTTGTAATTGTTAACAGATACTTTTTTACATGGGGCAGGTTTTGGCTAGAGCTACTTTTATTATAAAAACACAAGATTTTCAAGGAAGAAACCTAATGCCCTCATTTTATGTTATGAATTTTAGAAAGAAATAACAATTAAGCATCAGTCAATTACCTTCACTTAGGAGAGGAGAAAGAAAGCATAGCCCTCAGACAGACTGGGGAGGCAGGAGAGAATTATGCAAAACAGGAGGTTTACTAAGGTCCTATAGATACATGCCTGGGTTCTTCCAAAAATACCTTCACCCACTCTCAGATATTGGGCTTAGGATTCTAAAGTATTGAGCTCAGTTCTTGTGGCAACAGGACGTAAGATTCTAAACAGTCTTGGTTTGAAATGGAATAAGATTATGTGGAATTGCTTTAACAAGGCATGTGAACAAGTTGTTCTTCACTGCCAACCCTTTCCCTCCACTTTTGCTTCCTAAGATGTAAAGCCGTGGTTTCCTGAAATGATTTTTTGCATAGGTGTGCCTAAATATTGTGGAACACAACAGCATTTGCTCGTTATTAAATGTGTCAGATTCACTATCTTCTACTGTTTATTTTCAATGCTACATTTGTTCCTGTGTCCTTGCCTCCACAGTTTGTGAGTATACTTCCTGGTTACAATTTACTAGTTAAAAATAAAGTTGGCCTGGCATGGTGGCTCACACCTGTAATCCTAGCACTTTGGGAGGTCGAGGTGGGCAGATCACGAGATCAGGAGATTGAGACGATCCTGGCTAACACGGTGAAACCCCGTCTCTACTAAAAATGCAAAAAACTAGCAGGGCATGGTGGCAGTTGCCTGTAGTCCCAGCTACTCGGGAGGCTGAGGCAGGAGAATGGCGTGAACCCGGGAGGCGGAGCTTGCAGTGAGCCGAGATCGCGCCACTGCACTCCAGCCTGGGCAACACAGCAAGACTCCATCTCAAAAAAAAAAAAAAAAAAAGAGAAGCACTAATGGTACTATTTTTACTACAATTAGAAAGACAGGTACTCATTTCCTTCACACTCATAAAGAACATTGGTTTGATGATTTTGTGGCAAGGCTTGATCTACGGACGGAACATAACTTTTCTGTAATCACTGTATAGTAGTCTTCCAACCTCAGCAGATATTTTTTCTGAATATATTTGAATAATTTCTCATACTCTTCCTGTCTTCTTCACTTTGTTGAAACAGATCAAGCCCAAGTATTTTTGGGTTGTCTACCAATTCCAAAAGAGAGTCTTGATTTGGGATTAGGTTACTCTGAAATATTTTCCAAAGTAACTCAATTTTACAGAATCAAAGTGTACTTGTAGTTCATTTTATAGCTATGGAGAATATGTATTTCTAATTTCCACTTTAGAGGGTTTTTTTTTAACCATCACAACTAGGAATTTTAATTCTTTGTCTGAAAAATTATACCATACATATTTCCCTCAAAAACATTTGGTATGAAGTACTGCCCATTAGAAGCAAGCTGAACATTTTGAATATATATTATTCATCTCATACGGGATGACCTTGCTCAGTAGGTCATAATTTGAAGATCTATTATGACTGTGATTAATAGGACTTCTCCCGACCAGTATCTGAAATAAATGCAAATGGCCACTGTAACACAATTACTTGGTTTCCATTTTAAAGTCTTTCCACTTAGAAACTAAGTTATACATAGAGGTTACACATCTCAGTCTGGCTGACAGACTCTCAGGTGGGTGGGCCTATTACAATCTATGCAAACAGGAAGACCAGGTCACTCATTAAACCATGGTCAATATAAATGGTGCAACGGGTTTTGTCCCAAGGACCGATGGCTAGATAATTTGACAAAAGGACAGGGAAAGATTGTGGAAAAAAAACAAAAAAACAAAAAAAAACAGATCAGTGGCTATTAATTTGAAAGCAACACATATCCTAGAAAGAAACAGTTTGTGCTGTTATTTAGAATAATTACCATTTTCAATTAGCTGACATTTCACATAGCTTTGGGACTATAGCAAGGCAATGACCCTCAACATCTAATCTCAGCCCTGCCTTTTGTCAATGATCTCCTGATACCGCTTCAAAGGCAAACCCAATACTTTGTGAGCAATGGCTTTCTTTGTCATAAATAGCAAGTAGTGCACAGAGTTCAAAGGAAGTTCAAGTGATATACACACTAAGGCAAAATATCTCATGTTAAAATTTCCCTGAATAGGTGAATACTTTTTTCCTGGCCATTTCCTTAATGAGCATATACTTCCAATGCAATAGAGCAGTAATTTTATTGTATTATGATGACACTATAAAAACATAAAGGAATTAAAAGTTCCATTGTAGATTTCTATCCCGTCAGTGTCAATATACAATTTACATAAGTTTTTAAAGCTAAATTATAAACTTAATTATTCATATCATTTTAAGACACTGTTTGGAATTTGAAACTGTGATACATAGTTTAAAATAAATTAGCCATTTCCTATTTGAAAAATAAAATCCTCAATCTGTTAAGAGAACACATCATGATACTGATGAGAATCACTTGTTTTGAAATGCTTATTTGGTCAGCACACCAGACCATTAGTCCAAAAGCACAGGACTAAGTCTTGTCTATTCTGTGGCCCATGCCATACATACTTAGTCACCCAGTCCTCTACCTGGTAGAAGGCTTCAATCACTACACTGGAGCTGAAGAGAAACAGTGTCACCGAGTATAAATAAAACATTGCAACCCATAACTTCTGAAACACAAAACTCAAAGTCTGTATCTTATTGGTTATTGGTTAGTTGTATCATCTCTATTGGGCATTGAGGTACTAGCAATAATTAAAAATATAAACTTGCAAAAATATTATAAATGCATTAGACCTAATAAAGATCTAGACAATGGATGAAAATATGTGGTTTGTGCTGTCCAGACCACAATCGTTGGAATCTAGTTGTGAAATGCTGCTCTATTCTCCTTAATAATTTTTAGAAATATCATCAATATCTGTTTTTGACAATTTTTATTAAAGTGGCAAATGGTCGTTAATCATTTTTAGATCAGTTTTTCCATTAGATACCAGACAGAATTATCTAGGTATGAAAAGCCAATCATAAATAAGGTACTATTCAGTTAAACTGCTTTGTTCACACAAAGAATCATGCTATTAGTTTGCATACTTCCTAAGATTTTAATTTCACACTCTTCAGTGTCACAATTATATTGTCAATTAAGTGTGTCATTAGCAAAACTGGGAACCCTCAGACATAACATTTCCATTCAAGTCAAACTTTATACTGAGTTGATGTCTAAAATGCTTACACTTACAAGATCTATCTTATTATAGCTCGGATAGTGCATTCCACTTTTTTGTCACTCTATATAGTCATCTACAAATAAGCAACAAAATAAAGTCATTTAAAGACCAGAATTAAGTGTCAAACTTCTTAGGTGTTGTAAAGTATTCATCTATTGACCCTGCTCTCCTAGGCTCTGAACAAGTTGTTCTATTTGGGCAACTGGCAAGAGGTATTTGGATCTTCTGAATAGAATGCCCTAAGAGATTCATAAACCTTTCAGAAGAAGAAAGGGTCTCAATACTTATTGAAACACTGCACATGAACTAACTTACGTATGCTATCTTATTTAATCTTCATAACAACCTTACTAGCCTGAAATTTCCAGCAGACCAGGAGTAGCACTGGTTTTACTCAACTTGTATCTTAAAGCAGCCAGCAAAGTGGAAAGAGAACAAACTTCCAATAAATATTCCTAGAAAGAGAAGGGGATAGAAGTGAAAGGAAAGATTAAGATGATATTATCGTACTCATTTTAAGGTTGAAAAATCTAAAATAAATACAGAAGGAGTAATATGTCCAGGATCACACAGGAGGAAGTTATGGGCCTAGCATTTCATTCCTGATCTTTCAGAATCCCAAACCGATGGTTTCTGTGCAAAATATGCTTCCATTCATATATGTACCTCCGTTCGCATTTTTACAACAATACTTCATTCATGCTAGCCACCAGCTAAGAGGGTCCCAATTATCTGGAATCTAAGTCCAAAGGAACACAATGATTGAACAAATGAGCTGTCAAAATATTTCTGCATCACTCACTTTCTGTAAAAACAGAACCACCTATTGTGGCAAGTCTGGGAACAGGTGAGAGCTTCTTTCACCCTCCAGCTCCACATTTGGAGTCTCCTTGTGAGTCAAGCATGCAAATGCCTGAGCTTCTTCACTGTGATCTAACACATAGACATTCACAGAAATCTTCACAAAAGTAAGTTTTTGAAGAAATAAATTTTTTTAATGAAGTGTTATTTGAGCATTCTGGAGCATCATACAAATATAGGACAGACTGAAGGAATACATGCAGCTTAATTTGAGTTAACATTTTTTGAAATTTTATATTGCAAAAGTATACGTATTTACCGTTGTGAAATTAGAAAGGATAGGCAAAGAGGGCGGTCTACAAAGCACTCCCTAGATCCACCATACTGAGACAACACTTAATGCTTTGATGGATTTATTTATTTTATACTTTCTACGCATATGCATGTATTGTATACATACATGTTCATGGTTAAATATAAACAGTTATCCTTGGTGTTCTGTTTATCCATTTATTGTTATGAAGTAAATCCCCAAAGAGTACATTTCCTTTGCCCGAGGGAGTCTTTT
Source organism: Homo sapiens (assembly GCF_000001405.40). NCBI lineage: Eukaryota > Metazoa > Chordata > Mammalia > Primates > Hominidae > Homo > Homo sapiens. The sequence goes on from NC_000015.10 coordinate 99,787,036, forward strand.
GCTACATACTGCAGTACATAATGAAAACTAAAAAAGGGGCTAACTTTTCAGCCTTGTGACATTATGGTGATTCAAACAGAGGCTTCATCAAAGGCAGATTCAGCAATGAACTTGGTGTGTATAGGTGGTTATGCTTGGCATTACTGCCTGTAATAGTATGATAGGGATGATTTCAGTGTCTGCCAAATGGGAACTGGTTAAGTAAACTGTGGTACATCCAAATGATGCATACTGTGTAGCTGAAAAGAATGAGAAAGACTCTGTACTCACGTAGAACTCGGATATATTCTGTGTGTTTTTTAAAAGGGAGAAGGAATGGTATCGTATGTGTGGTATGCTACTTTTTGTGTTGAGAGAGAAGGGTAGAATAAGAATATACATGTGTATTTGCAAAGATAAATTCTGAAATGATATATAAGAAATGAATTAAAAGTGTTTGGCTGTGGAAGGAGAATAAGACTGTGAATGGGATTTTGCCACATACTTTTATAGACAGTTATATTTAAAAATTTTCTGGACTATATATTTGTACATATGACGCTTTTAAAAATGAGTGAATGAAGGAATGAAGTAGGATTATGAGAAAGAGATAAGAAAAAAGGATCTAAGGGGCTGCCCATCTTCTTAGTACCCAGTGAATATTAATACATAACAATAGCAGCAAAAATTGGAAGAGTAGCCCCAGGAGGGTGGTAGGGAGTCAGCCTTTCCTTTGTCTTTTCCTCAATTCCATATATTAAAAACATATATATATATGTATATATTCTGAGAACAATAAAACAATTTGAAACAAAAATGTTTCCAGATCTCTTCAAAGGAAGATGGGCAGCTTTATGTAGTGCACTTCCCAAAAATGGGCTGGTTTCCCTCAAGAGGCGGGGATTCTAGCCTACATGGGATACACATGGGAGAAAAAATAAGAAAAAGAAAAGAGATATAAATATAAATAAATGAAAACACTTCTCCCTGATTATAATAATTTGGATGACAAATATTAAGAAAAATCTTTAACTTGCCATTCAAAACATTCTGGTTTGTTGCTTTTTATACTTTTTTATGCATATAAACATTTTAAAAAGTAGAATCATAATAGATAGCCTTTTGTCACTTACTATATTTTGGGCATATTTCTGTTGCAGTAAATATTTTCTGGCGTCATCATTTTTAATGGTTGGATGTATATTAATTCCTTTCCTTTTTTTCTTTACTTTCTTTTCCTTTCCTTTTTCTTTCCTTTGTTTCCTTCCTTTCCTTCGTTTCCTTCCTTTCTTTCCTTTTCCTTCCTTCCTTTTCCTTTTCTGCTTCCTTCCTTCTTTGCTTCTTTCCTTTCCTCCTTCCCTCCCTCTGTCCCTCCCCTCCCTCCATTTCTTCTTCCTTCCTTCTTCCTTTCCTTTCTTTTCCTTTTCCTTTTCTCCTTCTTTCCTTCCTTTCTTCCTTCCTTCCTTTCTTCCCTCCCTCCCTTTCTTCCTTCCTTCTTTCTTTCTCCTTCCAAACTCCAAAGTCACATTTCACTTAACTTTTATCCTGCCAAATTTCAAAGCATTTTAGCTTAGTGATTTTAGTGTAAACAGGAGGAGGAGAGAATGTAATTATCTAGGTCTTGCTCTGTCACCCAGGCTGGGAGTGCAGTGCCATAATCATAGCTACTGCAACCTCAAATTCCTGGGCAGAAGCAATTTTCCCACCTCAGCCTGCCGAGTAGCTAGGACTACAGGTGTGTGCCACCCTGCCCAGCTATTTTTTAAAATTTTTTGTGGAGATGTGAATTTGCTATGCTGCCTAGGCTTGTCTTGAACTCCTGACTTCAAGTAATCCTCCCGCCTTGGCTTGTCAAAGTGCTGGGATTACAGGTGCGAACTACTGCTCCTGACCGAGAGTTTAGTTTTGTTTGCTAGCGGTGTTCTTGGTATCTTTTCCTATTTGAGGCTTTGGTGCTAGTGCTGAAGTATTAAACTCACCACCCAAGGTTTACAGGACTTTTGTTTTAATATGGAACAGATGGAACTGTTTAGTTCTGCATCTCTGCAGGTATACAAAATGCCTACCAGGACTCTGCTTTATATCCATTGAAAGCAAGAAGTAATACAGTAAAACTTTGCCTGGCTAGAGGCTTTGAAGGAATGGAGTGTTCTGGTTGAATTCTATTAACTTGGAAGTATGAAGGTGAATAAATTTGGAACTTAAATTTCCTTTGAATGCAATTTGAAAATATAGCCAATGATTCCACTTTTCTTCTCTAGTAAGTTTGGACATTCCAATCTACTTGGTGTTTTATTATAGAACTCCTAGTGTGCCTGAGTCTTACATTGTGAAGATACTTTTTTAAAACTTTAGCAGTAAGAGGATGTAAATGGTTTTGTATGAGATCAGGCTGGATGAGAACTGATACTTGTAAACATACTTTTTAGAGTAAACCTCTGATTGCTGCTTGTTTTCTTATGGAACTCATAAAAATAAAACATATTGGATGGAGGGTGGGAGTAGGTAGGAGAGTTACGTGTTATGTGTTTTAATTGCATGTCATTGTTTCGTATCAAGACAGAACATATGGTATCCCTGGCTTTGGACCTAGAGAAGGAAACACATTTTTCTACCTGCTGTATGGCAGAGGTTCTTAAACAGCTGGAGGGATTACTGCAGCAAAGATTGCTGAGCCCTACTCCAGAGTTTCTGATTCGCCAGGTCCAGGGTAGGGCCTGGGAATTTGCACTTATAAAGAGTTCTCAGGTGCTGCTGGTGCTGCTAGTCCAGAGACTACATTACTCTTCTCTACTAACTGTAAATTGCAGAACTCTAGACAAAAACTTGGTTTGGTCTGGGATAAGAAGCATACAGGTTATGGAGCTAATCTGAAAGATTCAACCCTTGAGCCCAGCCTAGTGTGGAATTCAGGTAACAAGCAGTACACAGTGACATAACACAATTCTTGGTTTTCATGATTGCAAGTCACAGGCAAGTATCAAGTGAGAAATTCAGTTTCATTTGCAAGGCTTAGAGAGGCCAGGTGATTCTAGAAAAATGAGCCTTGTATTTGTTTTAAACCAGTAAAGAGCTTTGAGTGCTTATTAAATTGAAAGCTCTTTAAATTTATTTTGTATTTTATTTTATTTTATTTCTTTTGAGATGGAGTTTCGCTCTGTCACCCAGGCTGGACTGCAGTGGTGTGAGCTTGGCTCACTGCAAACTCCGTCTCCCGGGTTCAAGTGATTCTACTGCCTCAGCCTCCTGAATAGCTGGGATTACAGGCACCCACTACCTCACCTGGCTAGTTTTTGTATTATTAGTAGAGATGGGGTTTCACCATGTTGGCCAGGCTGGTCTCGAACTCCTGACTTCAGGTGATCCACCCGCCTCGGGCTCCCAAAGTGCTGGGATTACAGGCGCAAGCCACCGCATCTGGCCCAAAAGCTTTGTGTTGTTACAGATATTAGACATGTTTCTTGTTTAAGAAAAAATTTTTTAACAATAACATAGGAGAATAAGAGAAACCTTTTTCCAAAAAAAAGAAACTTGTGATTATTTTATCTTATTGGAATGTTGGATAATATAGTCTGCTTCGTTAATCATCAAGCATGCTATGGATTTTCCATTTTTATAGGATCTTTATCTCAGTTATGGTAATACTGGTAATTTTTGTACTGTGTTTGAAGATGAAAAATATAGGCCAAAATCGTAGACCTTGCATAGAAGCTGGATAATGAAGACAGCTCTGGAGGAACACATAGATACACACACACACACATATACATAAAGTATACACACATATATTTTTTAAAGTTTTAAAGCTTTTAAAGCAAAAGCCGGCCCCTCCCCTCTCCCAGAGGGGGCGGCCCCTCCCCTCAGAGTAGGCGGGGACAGCAGTTGCATGGACAGCTTTCCTTGTGAGCCACAGGTCCCTCTGGACATACTGCTGCCTGGCCACACCCCCTTTCCCTTTCATCTTTGTCATTGACCAATGGGCTTGGAGCATTAAGGCCACGCCCCTGTTCTGCATTCTATGGGGGCCCTAGTTGTGCCTCCTCGGGCTCAGTCACACAGCTGCCTGGTAGGCAAGTGGAGGTGTTCATCAGTGCTCACTGGGATTTTGCTCACGTGGCCCCAACCCCGCCTCCCTCCCCACCCCGCAATGGCAGAAGAAACTCAACAGAGCAAATTGGCCGCAGCAAAGAAAAAGGCAAAGGTTGGAAGAGACCTTTAGAACAGCTGGTCCCTATGCCGACCGGGTGCCCGCACTAAGTTTGGCATCAATATGATGTCCTCCTGGGAGCGGGGGGCCACCAAGTTGCCTAAGGATGGCTGAACTGGCCCAGGTCAGAAAGGGAGCGGGTCAGAACTCCCACATCGACTGGTAGTGGGACTATGCCTGATCTTGGTTCTTAAAAGTAAAAATAAAGAACAGCAGCTGCTCTCTGGGTAGTGGCTGGCTCAGTGTTACACAGTGAGGGTGGAGGCAGAGGTGGGCCCACAGTACCTCCCTTATTGGGCTGTCTGAGGACCCTTCTGGCCACCCCCCACAGGAGATAGAGGAGGACATCTGGACAGTGAGGAGGAGGCACCTCGGCCCATGCCAAGCAACCCAGAGGACCTGGAGAGCTGGGAGGCCACGGTGAGCCTGACTCCCCCTGTACCCATTTTGCCACCTTCCTCTGTGGTCCCTCCAAGACCCCTTTATGCTCTTGGTTTCCCTGCCTTCTGATTTCTCTGGACCCTCATCCCTTCCAGGAGCCAGTGGTCAGACACCATTTCACCTGTGACCAACAGATGCACTCTCTGAGGCCCCAAGGGAAGAGGCTGCACTCCACCTCTCTGCCCCGTTCGTTCTGTGTATGCCCCTACAAGAATGCTCACCTCTTGCCCTCAGGTTGCATTTTTCAACTCCGCTGGAGCCAATGCCCAGGAGGAGCAGGCACGGTTATGAGAGCAGGTGAAAGAGCAGAGGGTGTGCTGCCAGCGCATGGCTCACCTGGTGGCCTCGGCCCAGCAGAAGCCAGAGGCAGCGGTCCCAGCCCCAGTGACTAGGGGCCAGTCTGTGAGTGGGGAGACCCACCGGGCCATGCAGGAGGTCATGGAGAAGCTGGAGGTGACTGAGTCCTGGCATGGGCCAAGAAGGGCAGGGGTGGGTGTTGCTGCCGAGATGTGACCCCATTATTTTGGCTCCAGAGTGGCCTTATGGACCTCCTGGAGGAGAAGGTGGACCTGAGGGAGCGAGCGGAGAAACTAGAACTTCGATTCATCCAGTACTGGAAAGACAGAAGTCATCAGTTAGTGGGAGGCCAGGGCACGGCAGGGGGAGCTGCAGGGCCGTCGGAGGGACCTCAGCGTCTGAGCCCTGTCCTCCTGCAGGAAAGTTCATCACCCTAGAACACAGCCAGGGGGCAGTGCCAAAGATGCGGCAACTGGAGGAGGACATCATCAGGCTGGCCCAGGACATGGAGGAGATGAAGGTAGGGTGTGCAACATCTCTGCAGGGGTGGGGGTGGGCGTGAGGGTGGGCGCCGGTAGATGCATAACAGCTGAGCACCCCTCCCTCCAGGTGAAGCTGCTGGAGCTGCTGGAGAAGATGTTGCGGCTTGTGGTGACTACAACGAGGGACACAGCAAATTCCCGGCCACTGCCCTGAAGCTTGCTGATGAGCCTGGTCCAGGAGCCCCAGCCCCCCAGGAGCTTGTGGGTGCTGATAAGCATGGTGGTGAGTAGAGTCCTCAGGCAGGGTGGGCAGGCAGGGGCAGGGGAGGCTCTCACTGCACTCGGATCCCCACCTCCTTCTCTCCAAAGATCTTTGTGAGGTGAGCCTCACTGACAGCGTGGAGCACCCAGGCTTGTGCAGCAACTCCCGTATGCCATTCTTTTGCTGGGCTTGGCTGCTGAGAAGAAGGAGATAAACATCACCATCATCAAAGAGCTGCTCAAGAAATTTTAAAAAAGGAAACAAAGTTATGGGGTTCATCTCCTACCCAATTCATTTACTTCATTTGAATGTTAGAGCCACTCATGATTATTTGTAATTTATAGTTTATTTGTAAAAAGTTAAAGGAGAGTGGGTCTCTGTGGCTTTCACTGATGTTTACTCTGGCATCCTTCAGCATTTTTCTTTTTTAGTTTCATAGTTGTAGGTCATTAGCATGCATATCGAGTTTGCCCTTACGTGGTGGGAGTTCAAATACACAAAGACCCACTATTTGCACAAAATTATTATTGCTGGTTTGGAATAGGCTGCCATGCTTTTTTAATGTTATCGCAGCATGTATGTTCATTACGGAATTCAGATAAAATTTGCTTATGTTCTGCTATTGTTTGATCTAATCTTAATCACAGTGAGCTCTTCATTAGCTCAATATGTGGTTTGCCCCCAGGTGTGCACTGTTTATTACTTTGTAATATGCCACTATGAGTACTGACATTTAGAGTTGTTTAAAGGCCGAGAACTGGAAACAGCCTTTCCCCTATTTTCTGTGTATTGGTGATGGGAGTAATAACATTTTGGGGGAGCTTTTAAAATCTCACAGAAGAGGAAAGTGGCCTGCTGTGGCAGGTTTGTGCAGGATAGAGTGTGTTTCATTTGTTCCGGTGCCAACAATTAGCGCTGTACTATGGTAGTTCCCTTCGGATTTGTATGTGCTCTGGGCTCATGAAGATATTGCATCATGAGCTGCAGCAGTTGTACTCTTTCTCGATGACCTAAAAACTGATCATTTCTGAGGAACGAAAGGCTCCCTTCATTGACTGTAGATGTGGAAAACCTTTCCTAGCTTAGAGCATTTGTGTCTATAATACATTTTAAAGTCAGAGTTGATGTTACCTGTTTTAATCACATGACCACATGTCCCAGTACACAAAAGAGTGCTGGCTGGCATTCTTCTTATTTAGTAAAGATCATAAGAAATCCTTTAGGAGTTTAAATGTCCCTGGAACAGGCATACAGGCTCTAGTCAAGAATGAATTAGAGTGAAGGAAAGCTTGTGACACCTGGCATTCCTCTCTGTTCATGGAGCTTCTTTGAGGCTTGAAGATTGATTTTTACCATCTACACCTCTCTGGCTAATACCTATTCTTCAACCACCTTGGTTACTCTGACATAGGAATTTACTTCTTTTCCTTGAATGGAAAACACTTTAAAAAATAATAACAAACATTATTATAAACTAATATATGTGAGAGTACTTAGTTGAAACAAAAAGGAGTTTTAGTAGACAGTATTATACTATATTTGATAATCAAGGAGATGTTTATGCAATTTAAAATGTTTATAAACTGCAGTGCAGTCTACTGTTTGTGAATGTCAATGTATTATCAGGAAATGTGTCTATACAATCACAGAGTTATATTTCCTCACAAACTTGTTTACTAAGAGTGAAATATGTTTTTGTACCTCTCAGTTTCAGTTAGGGACATATTTTGTGCAATATTTATGTGATTGTGCCTATGCATGATGAACAAATGATTTCAGTCATACATTGCCTAAATCATAACTTGATGATGCTTGGGAAAGACTCAACAGTTCAAACTTCATGAAGTTCTAATGTCTGTGTTCCAAAACACATCACATTATTAGGATGTAGGGAGATGTGTATATGCGCTCCCTGGGGTGGGGATTTCTAGTTACTAGACCATCTCCATTTTTAGCATTTGGCGTCCTCATGATACTTTTCTAAATATGACATTAACAGGAGAGCAACAATACGATTTTACCGATGGAATAACAGATTTGCCTGCATTCACTGAAAGAGCGCAAATATTGGGTCCTTGTGACTTCAACTGACTCTTCCAAATTGTATGAATGTATCAATGTATTAGATAAACCCAGTTTCAGAATGATAAAGAAAAAATGTTAGACCAAATAACACAGCTAATTAACAGTGGTACGATTTCTAGCCCGTGGGTTTAAAATGGACCTAAAGTCCTGTTCTTGCCTTTTATTTTCTGAACTTGCTGCTTTTGCATTCTTTGAGTTCAATTTAAAGACAGTTACTTTAAGTCCATTTTAAACCCTCAGGCTAGAAATCATACCACTGTTAATTAGCCACATCTATTTGGTCTAACGTTTTTTCTTTATCATTCTGAAACTGGGTTTATCTAATACATTGGTAAATTATTTCAAAGGTACTTTTATTGTTGAAATCACTTCACTTTTACCCTGATAAATATCAATGACTAGGAATGACCTTCAGATAGCATTTAGCATCTGTAACCAATCTGACAATAATGTGTTCATCAGGTGCCTATGGATTAAATCACATATTGGCATATTTAAGCTGAATGTCAGTCTGGAAATAAATTTACTATATTAACTGAAATACCACTCTTTGTGTAGGTATTTGTCATATATTTAAGAGAAAGCTAAAAAGAATGGAAATCGTATGACTAACTTGTCTTTCTTCAAAGTGCATACAGTCTTTTGCGATACCTCATTGAGCCAAGGAATTTCAAAATGCTAGTTCAGCTGAATAAATTTGAATTTCTGCAGGAAGAATCAAAACACCTATTTAAAGATTGCAATATATAATAATTATTTTTAAAGAAGTATTTGATTAAACCTGATAGGTTTTCCAGAAATGAAAAAAAAATCAGTTCTAAAACCAAAGCTGATTTTTAGAAAATTTGAAAAGGTAAATCAGCCCTATCCATAATATAGTTTCTCTAAAACATTATCTTAAAGAGTCATTTAAAAATAATGTAACTACTAAAAAATGTAACTGCTATCTTAAAGTTCTGAAATAAAACATTTTAAAATATGAATACTATAGTTTAAAAGAAAGAAACGGTGGGAAGGAAAAGTAGAGAAAGAAATGCCAATTCCAGTCCAAAGCTTTATTTGCCAAGTTTTCTTAGAATGAATTTTACCAATTTATGAATTCTTGTAAACAGAAGGTATAATGGAAATACTGAAAAACTTTTGCCTAAAGTGGCATTATTGACTGCTAGTGTGATGCTACTGTAATGTAATAAATTATTAAATTGTTACAAAGTGCTGTTTTTGCCTTAAAATTTTGTTTTGCATGTCTTGGAAAACTATAGTATTAAAGGTGTTGATACTGTGCGAATGCTGGGCATGCTTGGCATGAGATAATCTGTTTCATTTTTACAAAATTGTAATATAGCTATGCAAGTGTTTGTTAAAAGAACACAAAATAAAGTTACAGGATTAAAAAATGTTATGGAGTGAAAAAGTTATGGGATTAAAAAAATGTAAAAAAGTTGTGGCAAAAAAGTAGAAAAAAATTTTATGAAAAGTTACAAAAAAAGTTATGAAAAAGAAGTTACGGGATTTTAAAAAAAGTCATGGGATAAAAACAAAAATTAAAAGCAGGCCTCTGTCAGCAAAGCCTGGAGAAGTAGGGCTGGAGTCTCCACTGCCACCATGACCCTACCACCCCTTCCCAGGCACCCCTTTACAATTAGGGTAGCCACACAAGACCTCTGTCTAATGGGGAAAGACAGACCCTTTGCCGCCTTGACCAGGGCTGAGTCCTTAAATTTCTGGATGATGATGATTGTTATTTAAGAGCCAGAGGCTGGCAGAGGTGGTTTGTTTGGAGGAGGTCTGATGGCCTCCTTACTCTCACCATAGTAACTTTTCCCTCGGGGGGGCTCCCATCTTCTTATTCAGAGAGGCAGCTGAGGCGGGACAGTGGGGCTAACTGTGGACCAGGTGAGGGCACGGGCTGCTGGGGTGGCCCCCCTTCCCCGGTGTACATATTGTATCTATGTAACGTTTTGTATATTCCAGAGGGTAGGGCCGCCCCTGTATCGTACCTAGAGGAGGTTGGAGCTGGCACATGGGGAGGAGGGTCTGATCATTATTTGTGGCTGGGAAACTTATGTATTGCTAGCATAGGACAAAGAAAGGAGGCGGGGATGGGGTCATGGCTCCTGGTGATGCGACTCCTGTTTATTTTGCTTTTTATTTTGGAATAAACGGATTTAGCCATACTGCTCAGCCTGGTGTGTTCCCATTTCCCTCACTGGGTCCTGGTGTTTGTGCCACTGAACGAGAAGCCCTGGAGTGTCTGAGCGTGTCCAGCTGGGCTGTTGGGGACCTTCCAGGCCTGTTACCTGTATGCTGCCTGGTGACGCCTGGGGGAGTCCACGGGGACTGCCATGGCACCTATGGGGCGCAGCCCGGCCCTGACAGCCAACAGGCTCAGAAGCGTGATCTAGCCATGGCCGGGAAGACAGGCACCAGCACCTAACGGCACTGACTTCCACCCACCCCAGGTGTCTTCCGTTCCATCCCCTTGCCTCCCTCTCCTGTCTGCACCTGGTGGCCTGTTATGTCTGTGTCCCTCCAGAGTGCCGGCTGCCCCTCAGGCTCCCTCCAGGCTGAGTTCACGGCCCTGCCCCCTGGTGGCCAGAGCCGGCTTCACAGGATAAGAGCCAGCTAAGCTCCAGGGGCTTTCCAGGAAAAGTGTCCCTTGGAAAGGGTGTGACCTTTTCACAGCTCCCAACAGCACCCTAGAAATGGCTTGGCCTTTCCCGTCCTCTGAGCTCCACACAGAACACAGCCAGCAGAGGACACACTTCCCTGCCATCCAGAAATGGGTTTGATTCTCAGCCAAGGGACAGCAGGACTGGTAGAGACTGTCAGGCCACACAGAGGCCTGCACAGCACCCCCATGCTTGGTGGGGGGTGGGAGGGATGGCGGGGCTGGCTGTCCACAGGCTGGGCATGACAGGGAGGCTCACTGGAGGTGGCGCACTTTGGAGGAGCAATGTCAGGGGACAGCTTTCTCTTGTTGGGCCACAAGACTCCAAAAGGACAGCAGGGTGACTGATTCCCAGCGCTAGAGACGAGGCGGTCGGCCAGGTGTTGCTGCATGTGTGTGTGTGTGTGTGTGTGTGTGTGTGTGTGTGTATATATATATATATATATGTATTTATAGATATTTATAGAGCAGGACGGGGCATATCACAAAGGGGGCACAAGTTTTCAGCAGTGGTCACACCTGGATGTGTCAGCTCACCACAACAGACTAAGTCACAGATGTAGGGGGCTGGCTTTGAGGCTGGGGGAGCCACTGTCAAGTCACAGAACAGCCGCTCAGGCAGGCTTGGAAAGGGAGGTCTCTGAGAAGAGGAGGGATCTGTTTAGAGGTCGAAGTGGGGGCTGGGGCTCTGAGGATGGGATGGTCTTGCCTGACCCAATCAGCTGGCAGTTGGAGAGAAAGCAGAGAGAAGCAGGAGAGAGAAAAGCGAGCAGAGAGCTGATGAGGCAAGGCAGAGACAGGCGTGCCACAGCAGCTGTGGGAGGGCTGGGGCGGGGAGGGCGCAGGTGCGGGTATGGCAAGGCTCCTGGGAAAGTGGGGCTGGAAAGGAAAGGGGAGGAAGAAGGAGGGAGGAGAGCTCCACAGTTAGTCCTGGGGGCTGCGGCGGCCTCCCCACCCCACACACGCTGGCCTCTTTCAGGGCACCCAGGGCAGTGCACCCACCGTTCAGAGCAATGCTCCACAGTTAGTGCCTGGGGGCTGCGGCGGCCCTCCCCACCCCACACACGCTGGCATCTTTCAGGGCACCCAGGGCAGTGCACCCACCGTTCAGAGCAATGCTCAGCCCCCTCCAGTGTCCCTCTTCTCTGGTCACCCTGTCTTTGAACCCACTGGCCCGGGGCCACCTCTTGCTTTTGGGAACCCAAAACAACAGCCACCAGGCCTGATACAGAAGGAACACTGCTTGAACCAGGATGATGAAGCTAAAAGGGATGGATGGCTGGAGTGATTGCCGGAGCCCCTTTTGGGCAGTCAGAAAGCCCAGGACCCTCTGAGGGGACCCTGGGGGAGGTAGGGAGGATAGGCAGCTGGATGCCACTGGCTATAGACTTATAAGTCTAAGAGGGGAGCCTCAGCTTGTTGGGGGTTGCAGGTCACAAAGGTGAGGCTGGGCCCTTCCTGCTGGGAAAAGCAGAAGAGGGAGAGTCCATGGCAAGGGAGGTGGGTGGGCTTGCTGGGTGGAGCTCAGCCGGGCCAGCATGCACTATGGTCCCCTCGGCTGAATAGCAGAGGCAACCTCTAGAAGCAACAGGCCAAGGTGCGTGAGTCTGCTGGCTGGCGGTAGTGCTTCAGTGGGGGCCAGGGACCCTGCCTTCAGCCACACGCTATCAGCTATGATGGTACCTGGGAGGGAGGGAAGGGGACTGTGTGTCCCTGCCTGGCCTGTGAGGTGTGTTGTGGGTTGACCGTGTGTATGGGACTCTCAAGTTTTTATCTTAGATCACCACTGGATTGTCAACAGATAGAGGAGGTGGGACCCTGACTATCACCCCTGCTCTGCAGTAGATTTGGCTCTCAGCACTCCCAGGCTGGGAGCTGGATGCCCGCCCTGGCAGCATGACTCGGACTTCACAACAGCTACAGCGTGCCCAGGATGACATTCCTAGGCCTCTGGCCGCCTCAGAGTACAGCCCTGCACACAACCCCCTCCAAGCTCTCAGCCCTTACACCATAAACCACGAGCTCTCTGACAGCTCCAGAGAGAGCCCATGTCTGCCAGCTTGGGCACAGAGCCTGTTCCAAGAGCCCACAAGCTCAGCCATGGAGGCTAGGGGGCTTTGGGGCTAGTGGGGGCCAGCCCTGGTACCTGGGTCCAGCCGGGACGCTCTGTACCTGCAGCTAGGCGTCGTCCACGGGCCCCCGTAGCTGTGCTGACGGTGTTCGTGTTGATGTTGCCGATGATGCTGAGAGCCTCTTTCAGCACGTGGTGCATGCGCAGCATCTCGTCGCGCCGCTGTGCCTGCTCCGCCGACTCCTCCAGGAGTGTCTTCTCGTTCCCACGCGAGTGCAGGTTGGACAGCAGCTCTGAGAAGATGAACTCCTTGGTCTGCCTGCTCCGCCGACTCCTGCAGGAGTGTCTTCTTGTCCCTACGCGAGTGCAGGTTGGACAGCAGCTCCGAGAAGATGAACTCCTTGGTCTGCCTGCTCTGCCGACTCCTCCAGGAGTGTCTTCTCGTTCCCACGCGAGTCTCGTCGCGCCGCTGTGCCTGCTCTGCCGACTCCTCCAGGAGTGTCTATTTCTTCCCACGCGAGTCTCGTCGCGCCGCTGTGCCTGCTCTGCCGACTCCTCCACGAGTGTCTTCTGGTTCCCAAGCGAGTGCAGGTTGGACAGCAGCTCTGAGAAGCAGCATCTCGTCGCGCCGCTGTGCCTACTCTGCCGACTCCTCCATGAGTGTCTTCTCGTTCCCACGCGAGCGCAGGTTGGACAGCAGCTCCGAGAAGATGAACTCCTTGGTCTGAGAGTGGGCAAAGAAGGAAGGAGTTTGGGTCCTGATGCCCGTGCTGCCCTGGCCTCCCGCTGGCCCCTGCTGGGACTGTGTGCTGGAGTTGAAGCCCTGAGTATGGCTTTTCACATGCGGCTTCTACACAGCTTAAACTCAAAGATCTGCCTCCCCATTGCCCTTTTCTCACTCAGATAGGGACACTGAGGTCCAGAGGAAAGGTCGCCTGTGCAAGTCACAGATCTGGGAGGGCACCCTGGACCTATCATGCTACCAGGACAACTGTCTACTCAGGTTTTTCAAATTTTTTTTGGAGATAGGATCTTACTCTGTCGCTAGGCTGGAGTATAGAGGGCAAGATCACTGCTCACTGCATCCTCAACCTCTTGGGCTCAAAGTGATCCTCTAATGTCAGCCTGTCGAGTAGCTAGGACTATAGGCACGTGCCACCACCAAGCCCAGCTATTTTTAAAATTTTTGTGTAGAGGCCAGGTCTCACTATGTTGCCCAGGCTGGTCTCAAACTCCTGGGTTCAAGCTATCCTCCCGCCTTGGCCTCCCAAAGTGCTGGGATTACAGGCATGGACCACTGTCCTCAGTCCCATGTTATATTTCTATGAGACAGCTCTGGTCTGGACCATGCCTCCCTCCCTGGACCTGGTCCCATAGGGCTGGTCAGCATCTCCCCCAGGCCAACATGGCCACCTGCATCCTCAGTGCCACAGGAGCCGCCTACCCCCATGAGGCGGTGCATGCACATTGTAGATCATGATATGCATGGTGGTCTTGGGCTTCGCACCAACCATGAGGTCCCACACGGTCTTGTTGACAATGGCCATGTAGGAGTCCACCAGGTTCTGGGTGGTTTCCATTTGCCGCTCCAGCTGTGGGTCCATGGAGTGCATGAAGCTGTGGGAGCCATTCTCCTCAGCCTTGCTGTCCTGTCACGGAGAACGCAAGGGCATCAGGGTGGCCAGGCCATGCAGCCAGGCTCCAGCAATCCCTAGGATCTCAGTCCCTCCAAGGGTACCTGGAACATTGAAGCACAGAGAAAGGCAACTGGCCTGAACACACACCCAGCTCCCCACATGCTCTAGATGGTTTCAGGCCTCTGCCTCTCAGGACCCCAGACTCCCCTGATTCATGTCTCGTCTTAGTTCTGATTCTAGTGCCCAGAATTTGCCTCAAGTTACCAATCCAGAAATTGGAAAAGAACATCTCCAGGTACCTTGCTTGAAGACCTGGCCAGAGCTTGCGCCAGGCTGCAGATGCCTGGCAGGAGGCAAAAAAAGGGCATACTCACTTTCCCCTTGTCCTGGGAGGCCCATGCACCAACACTGCCACCGCCGCTGCCACCAGGGAACAGAGCAAAGTAGACACACACAGACAAGAAAACGGGAAGGGTTGAGTGAACCTGGGACACTGCACCCCAACTTTAATGTGTTGTTGAATTCAATTAGCTAATATTTTGTTGAGGATTTTTGCATCAATATTCATCAGTGATACTGGCCTGTAGTTTTCTTTTTTGGATGTATCTTTAGTTTTGGTATCAGGGTAATATTAGCCTTGTAGAATGAGTTTGGAAGTATTCTCTCCTTCTCTATTTTTGGAATCGTTTGGGTAAGGTTGGTATTAGTTCTTCTTTAAATGTTTGCTAGAATTCAGCAGTGAATCATCAGGTCCCAGGCTTTTCTTTGCTGAGAGACTTTTCATTACCACTTCGATCCCATTATTTGTTATTGGTCTGTTCTGGTTTTGGATTTCATCCTGGTTCAGTCTTGGTAGTCTGGATGTGTCTGGAAATTCATCCATTTTTAGTAGGTTTTCCTATTTGTTTGCATATAGTTGCTGATAATAGCCACTAGTGATCCTTTGAGTTTTTGTGGTATCAGTTGTCATGTTTCCTTTTGTTTGTCAATGTTGTTTATCTTTTTAAAAAAATAATTTTTTTTTTTGAGATGGAATCTTGCTTTGTCACCCAGGCTGGAGTGCAATGGCACAATCCTGGCTCACTGCAACCTCTGCCTCCCAGGTTCAAGTGATTCTCCTGCCTCAGCCTCCTGAGTAGCTGGGATTACAGGTGCGTACCACCACCCTGGGTAATTTTTCTATTTTTAGTAGAGACATGGTTTCACCATGTTGATCAGGCTGGTATTGAACTCCTGACCTCATAAGGTACCCACTTCGGCCCTGCAAAGTGCTGGGGTTACAGGCTTGAGAATCCGTGCCCAGCCCACATTTTGTTTTTAAATTTTACTTAATTTACTTGTTTTTTTCTTTTGCAAACAGGGTCTCATTCTGTTGCCCAGGCTGGAGTGCAGTGGTGCAATCATGGGCTCACTGTAACCTTGAACACCTAAACTCAAGAGATCCTCCCATCTCAGCCTCATGAGTAGCTAGGACTACATGCCTGCACCACCACACCTGGCTAATTTTTCTAGTTTTTGTAGAGAAAGGGTTTTGCTATGTTGCCCAGGCTGGTCTTGAACTCCTGGCCTCAAGCAATCCTCCTGCCTTGGCCTCCCAAAGTGCCAGGATTACAGGCATGAGCCACCATGCTGGGTCTATATATACATTTTCTTTTCCATGTTATATAAAGTATTCTGTATGCATCCTCCTGGAATTTGTTTTTCTCACAATATTATATTGCTAAAGTTCTTATTGTTGTTTATTGCTGGCCTTCATTCTTTTTGACTGCTTGTGAAATCACCAGAAGATAGACATCCTGAGATCTCTTAAGAACTGCTGCTGGGAGTATACACTGGTATGACCACTTTGGAAAACAGTTTGGCTCCATCTCATAAGGTTCAATATTCACACTCCTCCCAGCCCAGTAATTCTACTCTACATGGAAGAGAAATTCTTGCCTATATAAAACAGGTGATGTGGACAAGGAATGTTCCTAACAGCTCTGTTCAAAATAGCAAAAACCTATTGCCCATCAACTGGAGAGTAGGTGACTAAATTGTGCTTTTTATTCCCTTTGATTTCCTGTAGTCTTACGATGCAAGTGGCTTTCCCATGGCTAGCTTGGGGAGGGGGATACTCTTGGCAACTGAGTCTGTGGTGGCAGTCCTGCTTAGCCCTAGGGCAATCGGTGCTGACCAAAACAAGAGTAAACAGAACAAGGTGCCCCATTGAGCCAATGCCTTGAGTCCCTGGAGGTACAGTCTTGTATCTGTAGGAAATAGCCATCATACAAATCAGTCTTTTCAAATGCTCTGTCACTGGGCTGAGTCCAAAGGACATTCTCCTTTAAAACATTATAAAGTTTACTGAGGCTACCATTTATCGAGCAGTTATCATGTGCCTGATCACGTACTAGTGTACTAATTGCATGCATTATTTTATTATTTTATTTATTTACTTATTCATTTATTTGAGATAGGGTCTCTCTCTGTTTCCTGGGCGGGAGTGCAGTGGTGCAATCACAGCTCACTGCAGCCTCAAGCTCCTGGGCTCAAGTGGTCTCACCTCAGCCTCTCGAGTAGCTGGACTGTAGGCCTAAGCCACCAAGTCCAGCTAATTTTTTAAAAAAACATTTTCATAGAAATGTGGTCTGGCTTTGTTGCCCAGGCTAGTCTCAAACTCCTGGCTTCAAGCGATCCTCCTCCTTCAGCCTTATTATTGCATTTAATCGTCACCATCACCCTGTGAGAGTGGCTGGGGGTAGGTGCTCCACTCAGTAGCAACGTAGCAACCTCCACTCATAGGTGACAATGAGACTCAGTGTAGTCAAGCAACTTCTCAAAGGTCACACAGCTGGAGGGTGGCTGAGCCAGGATGAAGACCTAGGACTCGAAAGCTGGTGCACCAGTAAATGAGAAAATCTCTGGGGGTTCAGGATCGCTTCCTCCCAAGAAATCTTTCTCCAAAGGTTCTAAAAACAATAACAACAGATCCATCTTTCATAAAGCAAACAAAACTAGCAGCCCCTTCATTTTAGAGGGGGGAGGGGGGATAAAGGTTAGCTAAGCTCCAGGGCATCCCATTTTAATCCTACACATTTATCAGGCAACTGCCAGCACAGCACCCCAAACCTAAAGAACCATGCACAGCTGTCTCTGTGGGGCATGGCGTGTCCACGGACGTAAAGATTTTCCAATGTGTGTTTACAGGCCGGTGGCATCACCCTCAGTCACAGGTTAAACGGCAGCTAGGCCTGGCCTGCTAGGCACCACCGTGAGAATCTGCTGAGTTTTCCAACTAGTTTATCTGCTGTTTGCAATGAAAGACGCCCTGAAAAGAAGGGGTGTGGGTGGGAAGAGTTCTGATTTGAGGTGCCCTGATCCGGCACGATCTCCTTCCCCAGTCACAGGAATCAGAGGACTCCATCTGTAAACACAGCCTCAAGCTCTGTCCCCCAACCCCCTCTTTCAACCAGGTGCCACCCTCTGCTTCTCTTCCATAGACAGCCTAGGCTGCCAGCATTCCCTTAGGATCTGTGCCCTCGGGCCTAGCTTAATTTTTTCCTCTCCAAAGAGCCATCTGTAGGGCCAGAAGCCAGCAAAGCCTAACTCATTACTGGACGGCAGTTCCTCTGCCTTTCACTGATTCCTACCTTACCCTGGGGTTTTACGTTTCTTGTCTCAACACTAACATTTCTCACTCCTCCACAAGTTGAATTGCTCACTCCAGCCAACTGAAGCATGCTCTTCTTGACACAGTTAGCTCTCGGCACATGGTCGGTGCTAAAAAAAAAATGATCATTATGTCAATTTCATTGATCAACAAAAGTGATGCCTCCACTGCAAAGTCAAGTTGATAGTGCCTGGGCCTCTGAGTTCAAGAGCCTTCTAGACAAAGCGCTCTGAGCTGAAACATGAGCATGCACACATATGCATCTCTCTCGGTCTCATGAGATAATCTGGATACTTGGTTGTTATCCTTGAGCATTTTCCTACCTCATTAATGCACGTGTAGCCAACACAATAATTATCATAGCTAATAACGGCTAAAGCTGAGGACTTTCCTGAGCCAGGCAGTGGCTTTAAAAACTTTAATGTTTTCACATAGACTCTCATTGAATAATTTCTGTTTTTCAGATCAAGAAACTGAGACTTACTATCACATTTGGGATTAAGTTTAAAAAAAAAAAAAAGAAACTGAGGCTTAAAGTTGTCTAGTATTTCACAGCCAGCAAATGGCAAAGTTGGAAATTGAACCAGGCAGTAGAGCCCCAGGATCCTGTGCCTTTACCCATTACCTAGTGTTGGCTACACAAAACTAGTGTGTACACAACTTCAACTATAGTTTAAGCTATAGTTTAAGTGGGTGACATATTTTTCACTACATTTTATGTAGGTGACTTTCAGTTTGGGGGTATTCTACTTATGCAATCTATTGAGGTGGATATTAACTGAGAACAAATAGAAACTAATGAACTCTGAAAAACATAAAACATGAGCAACATGATGTCACCGCAAAACACAAAACAGCCCACAGCCTTCTTGTGACTGCATTTTGCTGACAGTCCACGACCTAATAATCAACCTGAACTCAGCAGTGCTCTGTTCCCTTGGGAGACACACACACACACACTCGGGAGAAACACACACACTACAGTTGGTGGTTGTGCCGCCCTGAGCCTCCAGTAGGCGAGTGTGAGGAATGTAGGGACTAGATGGGTCGGGCAGAAAGGTGCTGGGTCAAGGGGAGGAGGGGGCAGCCGGGAGCGCGCGCACGCTCTGGACTCGTGCAACCGCCAAAACGGGTGCGCGCCGGGTTGAGGGGTGACAGGGAAGGTGGCAGGGTTGGGGCAGCCCTTTCCCAGGCGGTAGCGGGGACGGTGGTGCTGTTGTCCTTTTTCTTTTTCTTTTTTTTTTTTTTTTGAGACGGAGTCTCGCTCTGTCCCCCAGGCTGGAGTGCGGTGGCGCGATCTCGGCTCACTGCAAGCTCCGCCTCCCGGGTTCACGCCATTCTCCTGCCTCAGCCTCCCGAGTAGCTGGGACCACAGGCGCCCGCCACCGCGCCCGGCTCATTTTTTGTATTTTTAGTAGAGATGGGGTTTCCCCGTGTTAGCCGGGATGGTCTCGATCTCCTGACCTCGTGATCCGCCCGCCTCGGCCTCCCAAAGTGCTGGGATGACAGGCGGGAGCCCCCGCGCCCGGCTAATTTTTTGTATTTTTAGTGGGGACGGGGTTTCCCCGTGTTAGCCGGGATGGTCTCGATCTCCTGACCTCGTGATCCGCCCGCCTCGGCCTCCCAAAGTGCTGGGATGACAGGCGGGAGCCCCCGCGCCCGGCCGCTGTTGCCCTTTTAAGCTGAGGCTTGACAGGAGCCGCCCCTCCTATCGGTGGCGTCGGTCGCAAAGGGAGCAGCCCCCGAGGCCGCCGCGCAGCTCCCCGCCGAGGCCTCGGTGCCCCTTCCCATTTTCCATCCGCGCTCCCACGAAGGTTGAGGCGGCGGGGAGAGGCGAAGCCGCGAGCGCTCGGCCGGGCGGTCCCGCCGGGTGGTCGCAGCCATGACAGCGGCTCCCCTTCCGCGCCCCTCCCGCCGGAGATGAGGGAAGATGTCCCTGTCAGGGTTAAGGCCAAGCTGAAGTTGCTGGCGTCTACCTTCCACAAGAACCAGGAGCCGCAGCCGCGGCTCACGCTCCACTGCAACAGACGGTGGGGCGCGCGGCGGCGGCCTCGCAGGGCAGGGCGGGGGCGCAGATGGGGGAGTCTCGGGACCAACGGCAGCCTAACGGGTAGAGGCCCCGGGTCCCCGCCCCTTCCTCCCTCAGCTGGCCCCGCCCCGCCCCCGGGACTGCGCGAGGCTTGGGTGGGAGGAGGCGGAGGGCGCGTCTCTCCGGCTCCTGGCGCGGGGCTGACTCGGGGGCCGCTGGCCCCTCTTGGCCGCCGTCGCCACGCACCGAGGTGGGAGCCCGCGGCGGCCGGAGCCCTCTTGGGACCCATGGTCGCCCTCAGTCAGCGGGACTGCTCCCGGGACCGCGACGGGGCGGGGCGGGGCGCTCCAGCGTTGTTTGAGCCCAGGCGCGGAAGGGAAAAGGCCTCTGAGATGCTCGCGTGTTTTGCCTGGGCGCGGTGGCGCACGCCTGTAATCCCAGCACTTTGGGAGGCCGAGGCGGGCGGATCTCCTGAGGTCAGGAGTTCGAGACCAGCGTGGCCAACATGGTCAAACCGCGTTTCTACTAAAAACTACAAAAATTAGCCGGGCGTGGTGGCAGGCGCCTTAGTCCCAGCTACTTGGGAGGCAGAGGCAGGAGAATCGTTTGAACCCGGGAGGCGGAGGTTGCAGTGAGCCCAGATTAAGCCATTGCACTCAAACCTGGGGGACAAGAGCGAGACTTCTCTCAAAAAAAAAAAAAAAGTTTTTTTTTCTTTTCTTTTTTTTTTTTTTTTGAGACAGTCTCACTCTGTCGCCCAGGCTGGAGTGCAGTGGCGGGATCTCGGCTCACTGCAGCCTATGTCCCTTGACAGTCCACGGGTTAAAGAGATTCTCCTGCCTCAGCCTCCCCAGTAGCTGGATTACAGGCCCCGCCACCAAGGCTGGCTAACTTTTGTGTTTTTAGTAGAGAGGGGGTTTCACCGTGTTGGCCAGGCTGGTCTCGAACTCCTGACCTCAAATGACCCACCTCTGCCTCCCAAAGTGCTGGGATTCCAGGCGTGAGCCACCGCGCCGGGACCCAAGGCCCTTAAGTTTTAAGGCCTCATTCTTCAGTCAGGTTTTCCCTGTTCCCGCGTGTTCGGCCAATTTTTTGTTGTTGTTGTTTTGTTTTTGTTTTTGTTTTTGAGTCAATTTTCCAGACATCTTTAATTAGCAATATGTTTAAGTAGTTACAAGCCTTTCCTTCTTTTCTTGTGACAGTTTGGGTTGAATTTCTATCGTTTGCAGCCTGTCACTGTAAGGCACAAACATGATCACGCAAGATGCGATAGTAGATTTAAGCCAGTTGTTTTTAAGTTTGTGTTTAAGGAGAAACTAACAATGAAAACGGCCTCGTTGACGGAGGAAAAGTTGGAATGCAGCCTCTGGTGCTGTTTGAGCGATCCCTCTCCCCGGGGCCTGGCCGCGCGCTGCTGTGTTCTGGAAGGGCTCATTGTACAGTCAAGGCGGCAGGTAAGAGTCCCGTACAGGTGTCTTCGCGCTTTTCCTTTCAGGCTTCTGTGTGAGCTGTTTTTCCCCTGTAGGATGCGTCCCTGACCTCCACCCCTTCACCCTACCCAATTTGTCTTTACATGTCTGACCATCAAGGCTCTCCTGGGTCGTATTCAGTTCATGCTGATATTTTCCCTTCCTCCCCTCTTTGGTCCTCACTGTTTTTGCTTTGGTCATGTTATGCTATATTCTGTAGGCCTTTTTAATTTTTTTTTTATGGTGGCAGGGGAAAATATTTTATAATTATGCTTTGTGCTTTTTATCTTCCAGTCAGTAAATGCTTGGTAAATATTTGTTTTATTGAGTATATGACCCTATTCTAGCTATATCGTGCTTGAACAGAAATCTTAACTGCCTTGAAAGTTAACTGCTAAGAATTTGTCAAAAGTGCAGAGCTACATCAAGAACTTGTCATGGATAGTACAAAAAGGTCTCTAAGGGCTTGAAGGAAGTCTGTAAATTGATTTCATATGAAAGAGAGCGTAAGAAGTGAAAATGTAAAGCATGACTGGAGAGCCAGAGAGATAAAGCAAGGGTCCCTTTCTCCAGATCCTTTGTAACAGTATTATGTGATCTCTTTTAGAAATCACTCTGAAAGATAATGCCAACTCGGAACCTAGGAAACCATCCAGTGGGTTTCTGCAGGTTAGGTGGTTCAATTCCTCATCAGCACCGTTGTTTTCTCTGCCTCAGTTTGCTTACAGTGATGTTCTCAGTAGCTGTAATTACTGTCTGTCTTTGAAAGCATTTTTTTTAGCTCACAGGGGTATATGTGCATTTTTATTTAACCAAGTGTTAGAATTTCTACTCTGCTGTTGTGGGCTCTGGGTTAGCTACTTTGGTTGTTTAGTTGTAAAATGATTAGCAGGGAAAACCGTGTGTGTGTGTGTGTGTGTGTGTGTGTGTGTGTGTGTTTTAAGTTTCTTTTGTTGTCAGAGCACTTAGAATTTTATTTTATATGGTAATTCTGTCAGTTTACTTTATTCTCCACCCCACATTTATTGAACAGCAAAGTATGAAAGTAGTGTCCCATAACTAGCTTTCAGAAGAATTACAATTGCTGTATATCTGAAGTTCTTTTCTTTTCTTTTCTTTTCGACGGATTCTCACTCTGTCACCCAGGCTGGAGTGCAGTGGCACGATCTGGTCTCACTGCAACCTCCGCCACCCAGGTTCAAGCGATTCTCCTGCCTCAGCCTCCCGAGTAGCTGGGATTACAGGCACCTGCCACCCCACCTGGCTAAGTTTTGTGGTTTTAGTAGAGACGGGGTTCACCATCTTGGCCAGGCTGGTTTTGAACTCCTGACCTCGTGATCCACCTGCCTCGGCCTCCTAAAATCCTGGGATTACAGGTGTGAGCCACTGTGCCTGGCTGAACTTTCAAGAAGAAGTTTGTGTATCAATTTTCAAAAAACTATCATATCAAAAGAGAGCTGTGTCCTACATTTGGAAAGATACAAAAACTGAACCTTCTGGCAGGCAGTTTTGCTTGCTGGAGCTTGAGATAGAGCCACACATTGGCCTCAGTGGATTTATGGAGAAAAATAGATACAGAAAGTTATTTATAAATAAGACCAAAAAATCCTTTTCTTGAGCAGTGACAGGTAAAGAGGTTGTCTTGGTTAACCTTGAAATGTGTTGCCCTTGATCAAGACAGTTTTATGGTGGGGATGGTAGTGGAGATAAACTTGTTTGACATTTGTCCACTTATGGTAACCTTTGTGGTGGCTGTCACAGACAACTTCATCCTCACAGACCTTAAAATTACTGTAAAACTAATAGAATGGAGGAGAAACAAGGGACCTGAATAATTAGATGCTTAGATAATTGTAATGTGTTTTCATAACTGGTGAAAAACAGCAGTGTTAGAAGCACTTAAACATTCTATGTAAGGAACACTGCCTGAATTTATATTGTGATTTTTGAGCACCATTCACTGTTTAAAAACTGGCATATTGTAGGTCATATTTTAAAGACAAATAGAAAACTTATCTTTTCAAGATTGATATAAAGCTTAACCTTATCAAAATTACAAAATTTAAAAAATATGATTGAAAAATATTAATGCATAGGTTTAAATATTGGTCATCATTTTAGATGTCTTTCAAAATAGATTGTCTTTTAAATATTAAACTGAACAAACTTTGAACATGTTGTAGAGTTTGTGCTGAAGGTTAAGTTTCCTGTGGTGGTGGTGGTGGATATTTTATAATATGGATAACAAAACCTTCTTATTTTAAGAAATTTAGAAAATTTTTAGGCAAAACTAGAAAATATTACTGATAATTCTACCACTCAGAAGGTACCACTATCAGAATTTTGTATTTTTTCAGTCATCTGCGCATCTCTTTTCTCCTGTGTTTGTATATGTTCCCTCTCCCTTGAAAAATCAGATTTTTCTTGTAATCTGCTTTTTCACTCAACAATATTGTAGATCCGTGTCATAACTTACTCCTCTGCAGTGGCTTCAGTTATTGTACACTTTCTGTTAGATGATTATACCATCTAGTCAGTCATGTTTCCTGGTACTGAATACATAGGCTGTATGTGTGTGTGTGTGTGTGTGTTTCTACCTTAACTAATGCTTTAGACATCAATAGGTAGAGCTGAATACTTGAAACCTTCCAAGTGGTGGCTTTCAGTTCTCATTGCTGAATTGGTTTCTAGAGATGGAACAAATTATATTGTATGGAAAGTTTTTTTTGTTTTTTTTTTTGAGACTTAGTCTTGCTCTTGTCACCCAGGCTGGAGTGCAATGGCATGATCTCAGCTCACTGCAACATCTGCCTCCTGGGTTCAAGCGATTCTCCTGCCTCAGCCTCCCAAGTAGCTGGGATTACAGGTGCCTGCCACCACGCCGGCTAATTTTTCTAGTTTTAGTAGAGATGGGGTTTCACCATGTTGGCCAGGCTGATCTCGAACTCCTGACCTCAGGTGATCCACCTGCTTTGGCCTCCCAAAATGCTGGGATTACAGGTGTGAGCCACCATGCCCGGCCTTTTTTTCTTCTAGGTACCAGCTTGTATTTATCAGTTTGGTAAGAATGTTAGAAAGTGTGCAATAAAATGGGCAGTCTCACAGTCATGGCACAAAGTATAATTATCTTTGACTTTCTAGAAAGCAGTTTGGCTTTCTAGAAACTTGCCTAACCTCTCCGCATTTAGGCAAGATGAATTCTGACTACCCCAAGGTGGCCAACCTTGTCCCTGTGATTCCAGATCTCCCAGAAAGAGAGGTTTAGTCTCAGGGAAAACCCACATT
The DNA here is from genome assembly GCF_000001405.40 of Homo sapiens. Classification (NCBI taxonomy): domain Eukaryota; kingdom Metazoa; phylum Chordata; class Mammalia; order Primates; family Hominidae; genus Homo; species Homo sapiens. The sequence continues at coordinate 99,811,603 of NC_000015.10, forward strand.
TTCTTGGCTTAGCCCACCTTGACAGCTAATCACTGGAAATCGGGTGGGCTGGTCAGATTTTGTGTCAAGAGAGGGAGGTGGAAAGATGGGAGGGAGGTAGCAAAACCGGCCTCAGTGGAACTCTGTAAGTTAATATGGAATGGCAAAGGGATGTTTCTTCCAAGGAAGAAGTTCTAGGGAAGGAAGGTAAGTGGAGGGGAAGGCAGCAGTTCTCAAAGTTTTGGAATCAGGACTCCTTTATACTCTTAAAAATATATTGAGGGCCCAAGGAGCTTTGGTTTATGTAGGTTATATCTATTGGTATTTATCACTAGAAATTAAATCAGAAATATTTAAACTATTCTTTAAAAGCTCATCACATATTGTTATAAATGCTTTTATGAAAACATTTCTAAACCCAAAGTAGCACAGTCTTACGTTTTTTGCAAATTTCTTTGATGTTTGGTATGTCGTTTTCATCTGCATTCAATTTATTGTGTGATATTTGCTTGAAAAAATGTGAACAATGTCCAATCTCATACAGATAGCCATTTTAGATTATTGTGGAGATATATATATATATATATATATAAAATAATATATATATATTTTTTAGATGGGGTCTTGCTCTGTTGCCCAGGCTGGAATGCAGTGGTGTAATCACAGCTCACTGCAGTCTCAGTCTCTGGGGACTCAGGTGATTCTCCCACCTCAGCCTCCAGAGTAGTTGGGACTACAGGTGTGTATCACCACACCTGGCTAATTTTTTCTATCTTTTTATAGAGACAAGGTTTTGCCATGTTGCCTAGGCTTCTTTTTTGATACTCCATCAAAACTTGGTTTTTCTTGAACTTTGGATCTTTTACCCTTGCATGATATTATAACATCGTGCATTGGTCATTTAGAAAATAATGGTTCACCAAGATCTTCTACGTGTTGATACATTTGATTATATAATATCAAAATACATTCATCAATATCACCATCAATCTCATCAGAATACTTTTGGAAAGCTATGGTGTATATAAGTTTTCTAAAATTCTAATTTTTTGTTCAAAAGCTTGAATTTTATTATTGAATTTTATTATGGCCTGTCTGTTGTTTTTCTTGAATTGACAAAATCTCATTTTTTGAGAAAATGTCTCCCAAAAACCCAAGTTGAAATAACATTGTTTGTCAGTCATCCTTTCAAGTAAAAATGGTATTCCATTAAAGTGGTTAATTCACTTCACAACTTAGTCACATGAGGGTTTTTTCTCAGGCAGTCTGTAGAAATGCTCATGTGTACTTCCAATTTCATCACTTGAAATATTAAAAAGATATATTCAAGGATGAAGATGTAGTACAATTTTCACTGCTTCATCATAGACATTCTTTTTATTTTCCAACAGGGCCTTCTTCTGTCACCCATGCTGGAGTGCAGTAGCATGATCACAGCTCACGGTAGCCTCCACCTTCTGGGCTCAATCCTCCTACCTCAGCCTTCCAAGTAGCTGGGACTACAGGTATGCAACCACCATGTCCAGCTAAATTTTGTACTTTTTGTAGAGATGGAGTTTCACCATGTTGGCCAGACTGGTCTCAAACTCCTGACCTCAAGTGATCCACCTGCCTCGGCTTCCCAAAGTGCTGGGGTCACAGGCGTGAGACACCATGCCCAGCCTGCCCTTCCTTTTTAAACCTTTCCTGTGCATAGTGAAGAATACCATGACTAGTTTGGTGTTACTGCCTTTGTTTGTGCTGAAGTACCAGCATTTTTACCCACTATTGTATTTGCACCGTTACAGCAAATGTCACCATGTTAGTATTCACGTTAAAATAGTTTGGACCTGGGCGTCTGAGGGCCCCACTTTGGGAACCGTTGAAATAGGTACTTAAACCTACTATATATCATATCTTGTCATCTACAAGATTTTTAAAAACATGATTTCAGTTAATTTTTTTTGTAATTTTTACAATATGGTTTTGAGGGGTTTCAGTCCAGAGCAACAACATGTATTTTATTTAGCTTATGCTGAAGTTTACTAGATAAATACTAACCTAATAGAATGAGGTCCTAAATCTTTTTTTGCAGTTTCTTTAGCCAAAAAAAAAAAAAAACCCAAAACTAAAAGCATAAAAATGGTCCATAGGGTGTATTCCCAATGTATGCTGAAGAATTTGAAGAAGAAAATGCAATACTCAGTAAGTGGTGTTCTTTATGAATAGGATTAATTCTGAAGAGTTTCTTTTAGCCTGTGAAGGGATTTGGGACATAGTAAGAGAGGAATGAGAAGAATGAGAATAGTAAAATAAACCATTATTGAAGAGATATACTGTTAATGATGTCCTCCTTCCATACAACTTGTTTTTTTCTTTTTTTTTTTTTGAGACAAAGTCTTGCTCTGTCACCAGGCTGGAGTGCAGTGGTGCAGTCTCAGCTCACTGCAACCTCCGCCTCCCTGGTTCAAGCCATTCCCCTGCGTCAGCCTCCTGAGTAGCTGGGACTACAGGCTCGTGCCACCATGCCCGGCTAATTTTTATATTTTATTTTAGTAGAGACAGGGTTTCACCATGTTGGCCAGGGTGGTCTCAATCTCCTGACCTCGTGATCCACCCACCCTGGCCTCCCAAAGTGCTGGGATTATAGGCGTGAGCCACCGTGCCCGGCCAACTTGTTTTTCTTAAAAGAACCTTTAGTAAATATTTGGCTTCTGTGGCTTCAGGTATAATTCAGATTACTGTTTTCAAAGCAGTGTTTCCTAAAGTTGTTTGTGCGAAATTGTTTTTGTGACTTGAATCTAGTTGTTCTGAAGCTAATATATAATAATAATGGCTTCCCCCCAATTTATAATAGCAAACAGTACAAAGTAACAGACTATTAGATGAGGGATGGAAGGAGAAGGACAAGGGTTGAAAAAGTATTGCATGCTATGTTCACCATCTGGTTAATCGATACATTTGTACTCCAAATCTGAGCATCAAGCAGTATCCCATATGCAGTAACAAACCTGCATATGTACCCACTAAATCTAAAATAGATTCTGAAAAAAAAGTTCATCCATATCAGCAATAATTGAATTGAAGGTGTAAAACTGTAATAAAAATTCAGACACTACAAAGTATCTTGTAGTTAAGCTACAAAAAAAAAACCCTAAAACCATCTATATAGAAAATTTTAGGAATTGATCTTAAAGGAAATCCAAATAAGTAGAAAATTATCATGTTCATGAATGTGATAACTTAATATTAAATTACATTATTTTTCCAATAAATCTAATATGATCATTGATTTTAATAAAATATTTGATTCTAAAACGTGCATAGAATATTTTTAATAAATAACTTGATTAATTTTTAAAAATGCAGAGGGTTGGACTTGCCTTATCAGACATTGGAACTTATTACAAATATATGGGGAAAAATGTGGTAACTGGTGAAGTTTTAGTTTCCATTAAGAAATACTGGATATGGCCGGGTGCGGTGGCTCATGCCTGTAATCCCAGCACTTTGGGAGGCTGAGGAGGGCAGATCATCTGAGGTTAGGAGTTCAAGACCAGCCCTGCCAACATGGCGAAAGCCCCTCTCTATTAAAAAAAAAAAAAAAAAAAAAATTAGCCAGGCGTGGTGGCGGGTGCCTACAATCCTAGCTACTCAGGAGGCTGAGGCAGGGAGAATCACTTGAACCTGGGAGGTGGAGGTTGCAGTGAGCTGAGATTGCACCACTACACTCCAGCATGGGTGACAGAGTGAGACTGTGTCTCAAAAAAAAAAAAAAGTGCTGGATCTCAGCGGCAATGGAAAGGGAAAGGAAAGTTACTGATGGCAACATATTACTAATGGTAAATAAGCACATGAAAAGATGCTCAATATCATATGTCATTAGAAAATTGCAAACTCAAACAATGAGATGCCACTGCATAGCTATTATAATGGCCAAAATCCAAAATACCAACACTACTGAGAGCTGGTAAAAACAATGAGCAGAAATAACTTACTCATTGCTAGTGGGGATGCGAAATGGAACATCCACTTTGGAAGACAGCTTAGCAGTTTCTTATGAAACAAAGCACACTCTTAGCCTATGATTCCATAATTGTGCTCCTTGGTATTTGCCAAATGAGTTGAAAACTTATGCCCACATAAAACATGCACACAAATGTTTGTAGCAGTGTTATTCATAATTACCAAAACAAACAACCAAGATACCTTTCAACAGGCAAATGGACCAATACTCTATGGTGTAGCCATACAATGGAATATTAATCAGTTCTGTATAGAAAAAGAGCTATCAAGCCACAAAAAGGCATGGAAGAACCTTAAATGCATATTACTGAGTGAAAGAAGCCAATATGAAAGCCTACACACTATGTGGTTTCAAGTATATGACATTTTGAAAAAGGCAAAACTGTGGAGACGGTAAAAAGATCAGTCATTTCCAGGGGTTCCTGGGGAGGAAAGAAAGGAGGAATAACTAGGTAGAGCCCAGGGGATTTTTAAGGCAGTGAAACTATTATTCTGTGTAACATTGTCATGGTGGGTACATCTTATTACACCCTGTTAAAATCCATAAAATGGACACCACAAAGAGTGAACCCTAATATAATTATGAACTTTAGATAAAAATAATTTATCAACATTGGCTTATCACTTGTAACAAATGTAACATGCTAATGTTAAAAATACCATAAGATGTTAAAAATAGGAGAAATGGGGGTGGGGTGAGAGAGTCTATGGACACGCACTTTAATTTTCACTAATACCGTCTGTAAACCTAAAACAGCTCAAAAAGTAATGTCTATTAATTTATATATATATATAATATATATGTGGTTATTGCAATGTCTTATTGCAATTAATACACAGTGAGAGATTGTGTCTAAGAACTCACATGGTCTTTAATTTGAATAACAACATTGAAATACTATATTAGCGTATTTATAAATTAAGAAAAAGTAAATTTTTCATATATGAATTGTTTGTAACACTTTATTGAAATAACACCCACATCAATCCTCATCAGTTCTGATGCCCACATAATAATTAAAAGCCTCCAGCAGGTCCAATTTCATTCATTCCTAGAACCAATGAGTTTCACTCTAGCAGGCCATGAGTAGCAGTTCTTCAACTGACAATGATATCTAGAAAGGGAAAGGTATGTTCTATTTCTTTGTGACTAGTGTCCTAAGTCATGGAGACAGAATCATGGGCTTGGAAGTAACATCATCTTCCAGGCTGCTGTGTAACTCACATTCCCAAGGAACAGACTGTCTGGGAAACCCTTTGGTCTCCATCCTTGGGATTTCTTCTTCTCCTCTACATTTGGTTTCTCTTTCTCTCTTTTTCTAAGTCATTTTTTCTTTTTCCGACCAATGATGTTTGTCCTTTTGTCCTAGGACTGGATCTCATTTATCTTTCTGGGAATAGCGCCATCTCTAAAGACTCCAAGTTAACCCACTTCATAGCTAATCATTCCAGTCTAGACACTAAATATTGCAGTGTCAGTCAACATTCCCAGGGCCAGATCTTACCTCACACCTCAGGGTCATAACTCTCTTGACTACATTGGGTTCTGTCCTACTTTTCTCATTCTTGGCCATGTGTATTTTGTCCTATCCTGGGAACAAGGAGAGGAGGCAAGAGCTTTCTCTTGCATTTCCATGTTAACCTTACTACCACATTCTTCCCAGAAAGCCAGGAAATACAATGCCAATGTTTTCCATTCAGTTTATATTTCATGTATAATTAACTTTTGTGTTGAACATGAATAAACTGAAAATTTCTTGAAATAGAAACAATTTGATAGAATTTTGTGGGTACAGTACATACAATCCATGTCCAATAAATTACTGACATCTAAACTTGTTATAGATCTTTTGTTCCATCATGTACTAATTCAGTAATTCTATTGCAATAAAACTAACATTTGTTTGTTATAATTTGTTCTCGGTAAGCCTTTTTCTGTGTTTTGCTTGTGGTTCCATTAGCTTCTAGATGAGCGCTTTTGTATATCTAATTTAGAAGCTTTACATTAAGAACAGTAAGAGAAAATCCTTTAAACTGTATTTCCACTTAAAGTAAGATTATAATAACATATGCTCCACCACATATAGATGTTCACAAAACATAAGCAAGTATGAATATTTTTTCATAACCACTTATGAAGAAATAGCAGGGCTCCTATTACATGTACTGTAACGAATGATAAAGTCATAAACACATACTATGCAAAGTAGCAATAGGCAAATCAGAGAGAGAGAGAGAAAGAGAGCACAATGTTGCTTCCAGAAGACACTGAATTTATTGCTACCACTGAAGAAATTTTTGGAAAGGATGAAGCTTTTTGCTAACGTATACGATAACAACAGCAAAAGGAATAGGACCTGGAATCTTCAGTTGAATCAGTCTATTTATAATCTCGTGTAAGAGGTAGAGAGAAAACATAGGTCATTGCTTTCTCATCATTCATTAATTCACTCACTCATTCAAAACACAAATAGATGCATGCTCTGCTAGACACTGTAGATACAAATGGTTACAACAATCTCTCAAGTTTCTCAAAGCCAGTGGGGGAAATAGGCATATAAACAACAAATATCATGCACTGTCATATTGGACACTTGAAGACTGCCTATTGGACTGTGGGACTACAATATAAGATACTGTCAATTTGTCCTAAGAAGGTCACTCACGGGGGAGTGAAAACTGAATTCCGCCACAAAGGAATAGTCAAATTTTCCAGGCCAGTAGGGAAAATGCTATTCCAGATGGCAGGAACATTGTGAGCAAAGTTAAGGATCAAGGAAAAAATATAAGTATGAAGAGATGAAAGTAGAGGCACGTTGTTCAGTACAAGGGTGGAGTATTTGGTGGAGAGAAATGAGAATTAGGGAGAGACAGACAGGGTCAGATAAAAAATGGTCATGGTCCACATAAAACTAAAGAGTTTAGAATTTATCATGAGACAAATAGGTGTCATTCAAAGATATTATAAGGTACAACATGATGAGATTTGCACTTCAGAACCGCAGCCCTGATAGTGGTTTAGAGGCTGGATTACAGGTGGGGATGGAGGAGCTGTGGTGGAGGCCAGGGTAGGAGAGAAAGGAGTGTGAGGAGTGGTGGGGTGAGTGGGGTGGGGATGGATTTCCTAAAAAGGTGATAGAGGAAGAGAGATTGGGTTGGGACATTCAGAGGTGAGAACAGAAGGAAAAAAAAAAAAAACAGATCTAAAAGGAAAGAGAAGTGATAGGCCTGTGTACCAGTTTGAATAACAATACTACAACTGTTTATCGAGAGCTCATGATGTACCAAACATGATATTTTAATCCTCACTACAATTAATTTTGTAAATTTTTTTATTTTTACTTTTATCAGTTGATATTCAGAGGAGTTAAATCGCTTACTGAAGGCCATGCCAATTTTAAGTGAAGGGATGAGGTTAAAACTAAATGCTACTAGATACAGAGCTGATGTCCTCTCAACTACATTCTTTGGCCCTCTTAACTGGATCAGCAACAGGGGAGAGGGCGGAGACTAGAATAGCTCTTCACAGTTCTCTGGATCTGCTTGGATACTGTCCAGTTTGGAGGAAGAAGATGAATTAAATGGAGATATCTGAGGGATATTCAGGTGCAAAAGATAAATACGCAGTTGGATACATGGGTCTGAAGAAGGTTCCTGGTGACACTGGTTGGTAGATAGACTGAGAGCTGAAATTCACCTGCAGTAATTGTTACTCTGTGTCTTCCTGTTGAATTTATGAGTCAGATCAATATATATTTTCCTCTACCTTTTAAAGTTAGAATTTACAATACCTACCTAATAGTTACTTCCTGCAGAGTAAAAATATTTTGTATTAGTTTTTCATTGGTTGTATTATTTATTAATGATATCCTCAACAAATATGTGTTCATTAACCATTGGGTGCATTGTGCAAATTACACCACACTATTTGATGGAAAGAATGAGGTCTCTTCTTGCTAAATAGTTCTAGTCATCTCCCTTTTATAGTTTCCTTTACTTTGTCTTTAGAGCAATTTATTTTTCTATTCATTATTCATCTTATTACATGTTCTTTTTGGTTCACTTTCTCTAATCCTGTTTTGCAGGAGAAATATTATAAATAAAAACATCTGTATATAACTATAAAGCTTACACTCTCATAGCTCGCACAGAGTTTTTGCAAAAGCAAAAAGATAAAACTTTAGCTCTTTGTAGGTATGATTTTTGAGTTGAGATGGCAGGAAAATTTAGTGAGATTTTGATATAAGAGTAACAAAAGGGAGCCTCTAGGGACAAAGCAGATAATACATTGAGAGTGAACAGAAATTATTTCTCAGCCTGGCTCTGCCATGGCAGTTCTTGTCCCTTCCCTATAATTAATTATTTTCTGGTTTAACTGAGAAAACATGAGACAATCTCAAATTTCCTCAGAGCTAGATTACAATATTCCATTTTATCAGCCCTAGAACAACATGAACAGAAGCTTTAGTGGTAGTGTTATAGTCTATGCTGAGGTTTGTTAGCAGTGCATCATTACCTAAGAGATCGCTGCTTAGTTCAGCCAGTTAACTGGAGCTCACCAAAATGTTCTGCTCTTGAAAGAGAAAGCGGGGGAGAAAGGGTGGGCAGAGAGAGAGAGCAAGACAGAGCTCCTTCACAGAGCAATTCATGTAAATGCATTGTCCAATGGCCCTGAGATCCATTAATTAAATTAATTAGACTTCATAGCATTTGCTGATGAAACATGATGAAAAAAGTTGGAAGAGAATAGGAAACACATACACTGCAGCATCTGGTTTTGCCAGAGTTGGGCCCTTGAGAATTATTAAGTGATAGTTTGACATAATTCAGAATTAATAAAATCTGTCTGCCCCCTGAAAGTGTGCATTTTCATAATTTAAGTAATGCATGCTAATTAGCTTAGATCAAAATGTGAGCTCCATTGTTGCCTACAAGTTAGCATGACTTCATGACTGGTGATATAATAGTATCATCACCCCAGGGAAGGATATTTCTGTGAAATTAAGTAGTATAGTTCTATCTGAAAAATCCTGCTAATAAATACAGGCCTTATTTTGATATTTTGGAATTTTATAGGGAATTAAATACAATACAATAATGCATCCTACTGAGGTCAGACAGCTGAGAAAAACAGGTCAGTCAAATCCTCATTCCTGTGAAATTTACCAGTGGGCTTTTAAAATGGCCAAACGTTAAAGTATCTAGCATGATGCTTGAAATATAATCTGTGGAAATACACTAAACTAAAATGATCTTGTCCAGTCTCATGGTTTCAAATACTAGCCCCATGCTAACGATCAAATTTTGTATGCATTCAAAACTCCTGAACTCAGATTTAGATATCTAACATCCCGACTGGTTTCTTCACCTTACTGTTTCCCATGCCAAACTTCTTTCTTTTCTTAATCCATTTCCCCCACCTTTTCCATTATATTAAACGTAATTAAATAGGGATGTTTGGCTGAGGCTATGAAATTTGACTCACATCACATGCCAAATTCATCACCAAATCCTGTCAACTCTACTTTAAAAATATTTTCAAAGTATGACCACCTCTTACTACTACCACTCTAGTTCAAATCATCCTAGCTCTTTCCTAGGTGACTGCAGTAACATCTCACTACCTAGATCTACCCTTTGTCCTATAGTCAATTCTTATCTCAGCAGACAGCAGACTATTAAAGCTGTGAACCATATCAGCCTCCATTTCAAGTGCCTTCAGTGGCTTCCATTTCACCTCCAGCAAAATGGAAATCTCCACAATGACATCTAAGACTCTCCATGGTTGGTCCCCCTTCTTGCCTTACAACTAAAAACTCTTCTACCATTTCCACTGTATTTACTCTGCTGTAGCAGGGAGACCTATTTGCTGTCCCTTAAGTAAAGCAGTCTTTCTCCTCTGGTCTTTGCATTTGCTGGTCCTGTTACTGGGAGTGTTCTTTTTCCCATCCACTTGATGACTTCCCTCATCTCCTTCAAGTCTTTGTTGGAATGTTCTTACACAGTGAGGACTTCCCTGGCCACCATATTTAAAACAGAATCTTCAGTCCCATGTCCAGCACTCTTTATGCACCTTCCCTGTTTTATAATAGTTTGAGAAAATGAGTAAGTGTTTTGGGGACACAGTACTTACTATCACCTGATATAATTAGGCATAAAACTGTATTTCTGAATTATTTTCTTTCTTATGTATTTGTTTGCCTCCTGTCATAACTAAGCATTTAGTGAAGATTGTCTATTTTATCCACAATGGTATTCCTAATTCCTTAAAAAGTGTTTGGTATAAAACAAACATACATTGAACATTTGCTGAATAAAAGAATTATATGTAAAATTATGGTCAGGCATTATTTGAGGGGAAAACTCTTAGTCTCTAAACAAATTTATTTGGATACCTGGTAAATTATACTATAATTAATTTGGGAAATAAACTTGTTCCTCTTATGTCAATTGAGGAAAGCTTTGGCAGGAGCATTCTGCTTCATCTCCAAGTCTTTTTCTTCAAAGCCTATTGTTATTTTTTTCAAATCTGACCACCCTATGAGACCCACCCAGCTGAAGATTAGCTGGGATGCCCAGTTCCTGTTCTCACTGTGGGGTGCCCGATTTTCTGGGCAATCTGTGAGTAGATAAAGCAATGGGATGGGGTGAGGTTACAGGCATCAGCCCATTCTAAGCTTTGCTCTTCAACACATACTGTCCTCCTGAGCCAGAATGCAGACCGTGGCTACTTTTGCCCCTGCATGTCTGTTCTGATTCCTTTCTTCACATGTGATGCCTCACTATTCTTCTGCTTTTAATATGGAGCTTCATTCTCTAAGCTAAAAGGCCAAGCACAGATTCACCTGCCAATGAAGCTCTTTAAATTATCTCTTCTTTCTCAGGACTCACTGGCTGTAAAGTCCATGGAGCAAAAACAGAATTTGCTACTTTTCATTGACATTGTTGTAGTTGAGTTGTGTTTAACTAATTTGTTAAATGAACTGACACTGTACATTCTCCCTATAAAATAACAGTGTGTTTTCTATTATGTCTATTGCCTCAACTTAGCATTATGTTAACTTATTTACAAGCCAGTTTATTTAGGTTGTATTCAAGTTAGTCTTTGGTGACATAAATAAAATCAGTGATGTGGTCATAATGGAGTGGTGCTATTTATGTAAAAATATGTTGGGTCTTGAAAAGATTAGAAAAAGCTAAGTTGATTAATGTGAGGGCTAAGCAATGTAAAAATTTTAAGAAAAAATTATAAAATTAGAATAATAACAATTTTAATAAGCTAAAAGGTTTTTGCACTTCTGTTACTTTAAATTTTTGTTCTACTTTAAACAAATAAAAATTTGGAATTCTAATTGACTTGTTATGATAATAATTTATACAAAGAAGACAATGTATAGAAACTCCAGTTAATAAAGTGATAATCAAAGGGTCCTGGGCTTATATCAAAATATTGGCCAATTAATTTACATTTGTGGTTTTTTTTTAACCCTGTGATCCTCCTCCTTAACTCATTTTTTAGATTAACTATCAAAAAACTGGTCTCAATTATATTTGAATAGAAGGTTTCTACTGTATTGTTCTCTAACTTGACCATGTTCGGTACCCTTAATTAAAATATATAATTCTTTAGTAGTTTTCATAGATGTTTTCTTTCTAACTGGTTATATGAAAGCTACCCAAATAATGGGCAGGTTGAATAGTCGTGGGGTAGGCTCAATGTTGATCTGTGGAATGCTACCATAGGTATCCACAAACCTAAGACACAAAAACGCACCCTTAGAATTATTATCTGCTTATCAGTAGAACTGTGACTGAACCTGAGGCTTGCCCGACTCCGTACTTCTTGGTGTTATTCACAGCACCACAGCCTAATCTTGCTTGTTTCTTTATTTGAAGAAATCTTGAAAAAGAATTGCATTCTTTGATTTTTCTAGTTAATTAAAAATTTCACCTGAATCAGCAATATCTTACTGTGATGGCAATTGCATCTTCTAAAAAAGCACAGTGGAGATATATTTGGAATAAATATATCCAGATATTTAAGTAGTACATTCTCAAATATCGGAGTAGTATATTCTACGAATTATGTCTGCAGGCTTAGAAATAACCTTCATATAATGTTAATAAAAACCAAACTAAGTAGCTATTCAAAGTATACTCACGGCATTGGACATTTGGGGGTAATTTTCACCAACCAACAATGTCTGTATTAGTATCTTTATATGATGGTATTGTTATTTCTATAGTCTTGGTCAACAAAATTTACTCATGTTTGATATAATTTCCACATACCCATAGCATGTCTTTGGAAGTAATGCAGTGCTTGAAATTTAAGGAAAAAATATCTGGTTAGGATTCCAAAATATAAACTATTAAATAAAATAGTGCTATTTACTTTTAAGATGAGGACAGTATTTTGATGGTACAGATTATTTCATCATCCAGGTATTGAGTCTAGCACCCATTAGTTATTTTTCCTGATGATCTCCCATCTCCCTGTCTCCACTCTCTGAAAGTCCCCAGTGTGTGTTGTTCCCCTCTATGCGTCCATGTGAGTTCTCATCATTTAGCTCCTACTTATAAGTGAGAACATGTGGTGTTTGGTTTTCTGTTCCTGTGTTAGTTTGCTAAGGATAATGGCCTCTAGCTCCGTCCATGTCCCTGCAAAAGACATGATCTCTGTTCTTTTTCATGGCTTCATAGTATTCCATGGTGTATATGTACCACATTTTCTTGATCCAGTGTGTCACTGATCGCCATTTTGGTTGGTTCTATGTCTTTGCTATTGTGAATAGTGCTGCAGTGAACATATGCATGCATGTGTCTTTATAATAGAATGATTTATATTCCTTTGAGTATATACCCAGTAATGGGATTGCTGGGTCAAATGCTATTTCTGTCTTTAGGTTTTTGAAGAATTGCCACACTGTCTTCCACAATGGATGAACTAATTTACACTCCCACCAACAGTGTATAAGCATTCCTTTTTCTTCACAACTTTGCCAGCATCTGTTATTTTTTTGACTTTTTAGTAATAGCCATTCTGCCTGGTGTAAGATTGCATCTCATTGTGGTCTTGATTTGTATTTCTCTAATTATCATGAATAGACAGTTTTGAAAATTTTACAATCTTATGAAGACAAATTAATACAGAATTTTCTGAGCTAGGGTGTAAACGGCTTTTCTGGGGCAAGATTATAGAGATTAAGAAAATGAGGTAGGGAGAAATTGAGCTACATTATTGTCAAGTTTAGCTTGCTGGGAGTTAAAACAAAACAAAAAAACAAAACTGAAGTCTTGGACTTATTAATAACTATTCCTGGCTTCCTTCCCTCTGCTAAACATGGATTGTCAGATTTCTCTCTGTGAGTTGTCCTCATCCACTACTAGAGTCAGTCCCTGCACTGTATTCCCTGGCAATGATTTTGCAATGAGTTTCATTCAGGTTCTTAACACTTTAGGATAATGTGAACGTTCTCCTTTAGCTTCTCTCTGCTTCCAATGTCTTCCATTTCTATCTTCCCTGCACACAGAACAGTTTATTTATCTTTCTTAAATACGGCAACTACTCTCAATTGTCTAGAGGATAAAGCACAACACTTTTAAACTTTACCCAACTAGCCTAGAAAAAAATTTCTCATATTTGTTATCTCACAGATACTAGAATATATTGATTTATACCTACTTCTTTTTCCCACACAAATTAGCCCACTATGAATAACCTCCACAGTCTCTTTTTTGTTGTTGTTGTTATCTATCTGAATTCTGCCCATTTAAGGTAAACTGATGTCTACAATTACTCCTGCTCAAGTACTTCTAGAGCCTTCTAACATCTGGTATCCAATTCCGTCTTTAAAGTACCTACCTACTACCATGGTTTCAGTTTTCTTGACTGTATCCTAACAGAAAAAGTAGTACAAAGGGATCACAAATGCAGAATAAAAGCTAGAAACATAGAATGATTAATACTCACAAATTTTAGAGGAATGGATGGATAGTTTCATTGTAATTGAAAGTGCGGAGGATTTCTAAGAATTAGTAGACTTTAAAGCATTATTTCAGTGAATCCGTGGCTGAGCACCTACTCTAATCTGCCATCAGCCATAACGAGAAAAGGAGAATAAACCACGGATTACAAGGCCTTCCCTTCAAGGCTGGTCTTGTTTATTTCTGAATGTCTTCACAGAGAACTCAGTTCTAATTTTGCAGAGTTTTATGTTACATGCATAGGACAGAAAATAGTGACTAGGGAAGCTCTGAGATTTCTAGCATGCCTGTTGAATAAATAATACTATTTTTTCAACTTTCTTACTGCTTTCATCTTAGGATCTACAGCACTCTAAAATACTAGTCAAACTTCAGAATACTCCTGTACTAAGCTTATGGGTGATCTTTTTCTGAGATTTACTAAGGGGAAAATTTGATGGATCGCAGGCTGCCAAGCAAGTTCCCTGGAAGATGCAGATCAGACCAAGGAGCAGCCTTTTTGCCACAACAGGTAGTCATGTTACTGCTTCAGGACTGCAAGATGGAATAGATGAAAATGTGTTCATGTAGGTGGCCTTAAGAATGTCACACAGAATTTGAAAAGTGAGAGCTTATCCTTAGAAAAAGAAAAAGGCTAAAGGCTGGTAGACATAAGAGATAGGACTGGAGACTTGGAGAACAGGCTGATATCTTCTTAAATGCTGGGCAGACTTTAAAAAAAATTCTGTGGTCTGTTTTTGCTAACTAGACCCTATATACTCTTCTTAGTAACATCCTTACATGGAAATAACCATCTTTGTGCCATTAGTTCAGTCTCAGATGGAAAGAATGAGAAATCATCTAAATAGAGATGCAGAAAAGATTTAGCAGGATGAAAAGAACTGAACAGCACCGAGAGATGGGTGATATATAGTTCTGGAATCATACATTCAAAACACAAGCTGGTGAGACATTTAGAGAAAACACTTTGCATGCACTTGTCTTCAGCCCTCTAGCCCACGAATCAAAGCAGTGTTTCAGGACAACCAAGGGTTCTTTGAATCATCTCTCGTATTCCTGTGGGACTTCCCTAGTCTTTGGATCCCTCACATTGCTCACTGCTCTGTGTCTCAAGCCTCGTCTCCTTGACATCCATATGGATTAGCTTTCTGGCTGCCAGTTTAGCACCATTTCCTTGATTCTGAGAACTTTACACATAGGTATCCTGCCATTTACATTCCACATGGCTCCTCACACATGCGTACAACATCCATCAATTCATTTCTTTATAAATCTGAAATTCAGTGAGTTCCAACCATATGCTAAGGACTGTGCTAGGTGCTGGATATCAGTAGTGAGCAACACACTGATTTTTAGGAGTTTATGTGTTAAGAGGAGAGGGACTAAAATATTAAAAATTATTTAAACAAAAAGTATTTGTATAAACGTCATGTAGAAAAACATAGAATGTTTGATGGCAAATAAAACTCCTTATCTAGGGCTTCAGGTGCATTGTCCCAGAGGTGTCACCTCTAGACTAAGACCTATGGCTATTGAATTTGAAGGGACATGGGGCGGAATAGAGTGGCGAGGACTCCTGGGTAGGTGCCTTTTGTGAAATTCTGAGTTAGGAAGGATCTGTTCTCTTTGAGGAATGAGTGTAGGCTAATGCCACTGGAGCAGATTAAGCATGAGGGAGGAAGGCTTCGTCTTGCTCTCCAAGAGGACAAATGCCTGGGTAGCAGAAAGGAAAATGAAGGAAAGGAAATGGATTCAACTGCTGATTTGGACCTGGGGACAATTCAGTTGAGGGTGTGAGGAAAGTGAGGTGGCCAGTATGGCTCCATGTTTCTAGATGAAGAAAGGACATCTGGGCAGCATCTGCCTGATGTTGGCCAAGCCTATGATATACAGCAAACAGGTGCCCAGTTTCATCTGTCAAGAATAATATAAAATGTAGCAATACTTGTTCCCCTATTCACATATTTCTGAAAATAAGAGTGTGTGTGTGTGCCTGTGTGTGTAAGGTGTGGAAGTCAAGAAAAGGCTGCTGTCATGATCTCTGGGTAGTTTTTGAGAAAGGAGGAAAGGCCCAGGAAATAAAATGTAAATGAGATGCATAGTAATGGTGAAATTAAAAAATGGAGTCGGAAGTAACCATGAATTAGATCATTAAGGCAGAATGTTCTGGAAGAACATGGAGAGGATAAACAGCTTAGCTGAGTTCTTGATTACATACAGAAGTGAAACCCTTGCATATGCACAAAATTATATTAATATAAGAAGTCTTTGATGTGATTAAAGTCAAGACATTAAACTTACTGAGCATATATGAGTCATTATTTGAAATTTTTGTATATTCAAATTAAGTTGTATTATTTTTCTGGATACAATTTTTTTATATATATATTTTTATTATACTTTAACTTTAGGGTACATGTGCACAATGTGCAGGTTTCTTACATAAGTATACATGTGCCATGTTGGTGTGCTGCACCCATTAACTCGTCATTTACATTAGGTGTATCTCCTAATGCTATCCCTCCCCCCTCCCCCCACCCCACAACAGGCCCCGGTGTGTGATGTTCCCCTTCCTGTGTCCAAGTGTTCTCATTGTTCAATTCCCACCTATGAGTGAGAATATGTGGTGTTTGGTTTTTTGTCCTTGCGATAGTTTGCTGAGAATGATGGTTTCCAGCTTCATCCATGTCCCTACAAAGGACATGAACTCATCCTTTTTTATGGCTGCATAGTATTCCATGGTGTATATGTGCCACATTTTCTCAATCCATTCTATCATTGATGGACATTTGGGTTGGTTCCTAGTCTTTGCTATTGTGAGTAGTGCCGCAATAAATATACGTGTCCATGTGTCTTTATAGCAGCATGATTTATATTCCTTTGGGTATATACCCAGTAATGGGATTGCTGGGTCAAATGTTATTTCTAGTTCTGGATCCCTGAGGAATCGCCACAGTGTCCTCCACAATGGTTGAACTAGTTTACGGTCCCACCAACAGTGTAAAAGTGTTCCTATTTCTCCACATTCTCTCCAGCACCTGTTGTTTCCTGACTTTTTAATGATTGCCATTCTAACTGGTGTGAGATGGTATCTCATTGTGGTTTTGATTTGCATTTCTCTGATGGCCAGTGATGATGAGCATTTTTTTCATGTGTCTGTTGGCTGCATAAATGTCTTCTTTTGAGAAGTGTCTGTTCATATCCTTCGCCCACTTTTTGATAGGGTTGTTTGTTTTTTCTCTTGTAAATTTGTTTAAGTTCTTTGTAGATTCTGGATATTAGCCCTTTGTCAGATGAGTAGATTGCAAAAATTTTCTCCCATTCTGTAGGTTGCCTGTTCACTCTGATGGTAGTTTCTTTTGCTGTGCAGAAGTTCTTTAGTTTAATTAGATCCCATTTGTCAATTTTGGCTTTTGTTGCCATTGCTTTTGGTGTTTTAGACATGAAGTCCTTGCCCATGCCTATGTCCTGAATGGTATTGCCTAGGTTTTCTTCTAGGGTTTTTATGGTTTTAGGTCTAACATTTAAGTCTTCAATCCATCTTGAATTAATTTTTGTATAAGGTGTAAGGAAGGGATCCAGTTTCAGCTTTCTCCATATGGCAAGCCAGTTTTCCGAGCACCATTTGTTAAATAGGTAATCCTTTCCCCATTTCTTGTTTTTGTCAGGTTTGTCAAAGATCAGATAGTTGTAGATGTGTGGTATTATTTCTGAGGGCTCTGTTCTATTCCATTGGTCTATATCTCTGTTTTGGTACCAGTACCATGCTGTTTCGGTTACTGTAGCCTTGTAGTATAGTTTGAAGTCAGGTAGCGTGATGCCTCCAGCTTTGTTCTTTTGGCTTAGGATTGACTTGGCAATGCGGGCTCTTTTTTGGTTCCATATGAACTTTAAAGTAGTTTTTTCCAATTCTGTGAAGAAAGTCATTGGTAGCTTGATGGGGGTGGCATTGAATCTACAAATTACCTTGGGCAGTATGGCCATTTTCACGATATTGATTCTTCCTATCCATGAGCATGGAATGTTCTTTCGTTTGCTTGTGTCCTGTTTTATTTTGTTGAGCAGTGGTTTGTAGTTCTCCTTGAGGAGGTCCTTCACATCCCTTGTAAGTTGGATTCCTAGGTATTTTATTCTCTTTGAAGCAATTGTGAATGGGAGTTCACTCATGATTTGACTGTTTGTCTGTTATTGGTATATAAGAATGCTTGTGATTTTTGCACATTGATTTTGTATCCTAAGGCTTTGCTGAAGTTATTTATCAGCTTAAGGAGATTTTGGGCTGAGACGATGGGGTTTTCTGGATATACAATCATGTCATCTGCAAACAGGGACAATTTGACTTCCTCTTTTCCTAATTGAATACCCTTTATTTCTTTCTCCTGCCTAATTGCCCTGGCCAGAACTTCCAACACTATGTTGAATAGGAGTGGTGAGAGAGGGCATCCCTGTCTTGTGCCAGTTTTCAAAGGGAATGCTTCCAGTTTTTGCCCATTCAGTATGATATTGGCTGTGGGTTTGTCATAAATAGCTCTTATTATTTTGAGATACGTCCCATCAATACCTAATTTATTGAGAGTTTTTTGCATGAAGGGCTGTTGAATTTTGCCGAAGGCGTTTTCTGCATCTATTGAGATAATCATGTGGTTTTTGTCTTTGGTTCTGTTTATATGCTGGATTACGTTTATTGATTTGTGTATGTTGAACCAGCCTTGCGTCCCAGGGATGAAGCCCACTTGATCATGGTGGATAAGCTTTTGATGTGCTGCTGTATTTGGTTTGCCAGTATTTTATTGAGGATTTTTGCGTTGATGTTCTTCAGGGATATTGGTCTAAAATTCTCTTTTTTTGTTGTGTCTCTGCCAGGCTTTGGTATCAGGATGATGCTGGCTTCATAAAGTGAGTTAGGGAGGATTCCCTCTTTTTCTATTGATTGGAATAGTTTCAGAAGGAATGGTACCAGCTCCTCCTTGTACCTCTGGTAGAATTCGGCTGTGAATCCATCTGGTCCTGGACTTTTCTAGGTTGGTAAGCTATTAATTATTGCCTCAATTTCAGAGCCTGTTATTGGTCTATTCAGAGATTCAGCTTCTTCCTGGTTTAGTCTTGGGAGGGTGTATGTGTCGAGGAATTTATCCATTTCTTCTGTATTTTCTAGTTTATTTGCATAGAGGTGTTTATAGTATTCTCTGATGGTAGTTTGTATTTCTGTGGGATTGGTGGTGATATTCCCTTTATCATTTTGTATTGCATCTATTTGATTCTTCTCTCTTTTCTTCTTTATTACTCTTGCAAGCAGTCGATCAATTTTGATGATCTTTTCAAAAAACCAGCTCCTGGATTCATTGATTTTTTGAAGGGTTTTTTGTATCTCTATCTGCTTCAGTTCTGCTCTGATCTTAGTTATTTCTTGCCTTCTGCTAGCTTTTGAATGTGTTTGCTCTTGCTTCTCTGGTTCTTTTAATTGTGATGTTAGGGTGTCAATTTTAGATCTTTGCTGCTTTCTCTTGTGGGCATTTAGTGCTATAAATTTCCCTCTACACACTGCTTTAAATGTGTCCCAGAGATTCTAGTATGTTGTGTCTTTGTTCTCATTGGTTTCAAAGAACATCTTTATTTCTGCCTTCATTTCGTTATGTACCCAGTAGTCATTCAGGAGCAGGTTGTTCAGTTTCCATGTAGTTGAGCAGTTTTAAGTGAGTTTCTTAATCCTGAGTTCTAGTTTGATTGCACTGTGGTCTCAGAGACAGTTTGTCATAATTTCTATTCTTTTACATTTGCTGAGGAGTGCTTTACTTCCAACTATGTGGTCAATTTTGGAATAGGTGTGGTGTAGTGCTGAGAAGAATGTATATTCTGTTGATTTGGGGTGGAGAGTTCTGTAGATGTCTATTGGGTCTGCTTGGTGCAGAGCTGAATTCAATTCCTGGATATCCTTGTTAACTTTCTGTCTCGTTGATCTGTCTAATGTTGACAGTGGGGTGTTAAAGTCTCCCATTATTATTGTGTGGGAGTCTAAGTCTCTTTGTAGGTCTCTAAGGAGTTGCTTTATGAATCTGGGTGCTCCTGTATTGGATGCATATATATTTAGGATAGTTAGCTCTTCTTGTTGAATTGATCCCTTTACCATTATGTAATGGCCTTCTTTGTCTCTTTTGATCTTTGTTGGTTTAAAGTCTGTTTTATCAGAGACTAGGATTGCAACCTCTGCCTTTTTTTTGTTTTCCATTTGCTTGGTAGATCTTCCTCCATCCCTTTATTTTGAGCCTATGTGTGTCTCTGCATGTGGGACGGGTCTCCTGAATACAGCACACTGATGTGTCCTGACTCTTTCTCCAATTTGCCAGTCTGTGTCTTTTAATTGGAGCATTTAGCCCATTTACATTTAAGGTTAATATTGTTATGTGTGGATTTGATCCTGTCATTATGATGTTAGCTGGTTATTTTGCTTGTTAGTTGATGCAGTTTCTTCCTAGCATCGATGGCCTTTACAATTTGGCATGATTTTGTAGTGGCTGGTACCGATTGTTCCTTTCCATGTTTAGTGCTTCCTTCAGGTGCTCTTTTAGGGCAGGCCTGGTGGTGACAAAATCTCTCAGCATTTGCTTGTCTGTATAGTATTTTATTTCTCCTTCACTTATGAAGCTTAATTTGGCTGGATATGAAATTCTGGGTTGAAAATTCTTTTCTTTAAGAATGTTGAATATTGGTCCCCACTCTCTTCTGGCTTGTAGAGTTTCTGCTGAGAGAGCTGCTGTTCGTCTGATGGGCTTTCCTTTGTGGGTAACCTGACCTTTCTCTCTGGCTGCCCTTAACATTTTTTCCTTCATTTCAACTTTGGTGAATCTGACAATTATGTGTCTTGGAGTTGCTCTTCTCGAAGAGCATCTTTGTGGCATTCTCTGTGTTTCCTAATTTGAATGTTGGCCTGCCTTGCTAGGTTGGGGAAGTTCTCCTGGATAATATCCTGCAGAGTGTTTTCCAACTTGGTTCCATTCTCCCCGTCACTTTCAGGTACACCAATCAGACGTAGATTTGGTCTTTTCACATAGTCCCATATTTCTTGGAGGCTTTCTTCGTTTCTTTTTATTCTTTTTTTTCTACACTTCTCTTCTTGCTTCATTTCATTCATTTGATCTTCAATCACTGATACCCTTTCTTCCAGCTGATCGAATTGGCTACTGAAGCTTGTGCATTCGTCACATATTTCTCGTGCCATGGTTTTCAGCTCCATCGGGTCCTTTAAGGACTTCTTTGCATTGGTCATTCTAGTTAGCCATTTGTCTAATCTTTTCTCAAGGTTTTTAACTTCTTTGTGATGGGTTCGAACTTCCTCCTTTAGCTCAGAGAAGTTTGATCATCTGAAGCCTTCTTCTCTCAACTCATCAAAGTCATTATCCGTCCAGCTTTGTTCCATTGCTGGTGAGGAGCTGCGTTCCTTTGGAGGAGGAGAGGCACTCTGATTTTTAGAATTTTCAATTTTTCTGTTCTGTTTTTTCCCCATCTTTGTGGTTTTATCTTCCTTTGGTCTTTGATGATGGTGACGTACAGATGGGGTTTTGGTGTGGATGTCCTTTCTGTTTGTTAGTTTTCCTTCTAACTGTCAGGACCCTCAGCTGCAGGTCTGTTGGATTGTGCTGGAGGTCCACTCCAGACCCTGTTTGCCTGGGTATCAGCAGCGGAGTCTGCAGAACAGCGAATATTGCTGAACAGCAAATGTTGCTGTCTGATCGTTCCTCTGGAGGTTTCAAATCAGAGGGGTACCTGCCTATGTGAGGTGTCAGTCTGCCCCTACTGGGGGGTGCCTCCCAGTTAGGCTACTCGGGGGTCAGGGACCCACTTGAGGAGACAGTCTGTCCATTCTCAGATCTCAAAATCCATGCTGGGAGAACCACTACCCTCTTCAAAGCTCAGTTGGAAATGCAAAAATCACCTGTCTTCTGCATCGTTCACACTGGGAGCTGTAGACTGGAGCTGTTCCTATTCAGCCATCTTGGAACCGCGCCTCTGGATACAAGTTTATTAAAATGAAGACAAACTTACATGGGAATATTGCCTGGAAAGTAGAATCAAATATGCAATAAATTTCTAGAAATTAACAAATGGTTTCATTTACATTATAAGCAATTATTGATTTATAACCATTAATCTTTTCATTTGTTTTCTGATCTTATAAACACTTCAAATAACATTTATTTAAAAACTTTTTAATTGATTAAAAATTAATCTCAATAATTATAATAATTTTTGGATAAAGTTTACGTAATCATCATTATTATTAAAAATGTAAAAAGTCCAACTATATAAAGTTAAACCTGTACAGAAGACCACAAACTTATTCAAGCATATTTTTGCTTTGTCAAAAATCTTTTTCCCTTAACGTCAAACAAAAGATTATAGAGCTAAGTAGTACGTTTCTATGAAAAGAAAAATAACAATGACAACAATGAAAATAAAAGTCAGGACTTAAGCTAAGAAAGAATAGAAAACCTTAAGGAATATAATAGTGACAGGCAATTTTAGCATTAATTATATAATCTCTTATTTAAAGTTAAACATCGCTATGAAAAAACTGAAACAGTCTCTTGCTGAATGTGATATGCCAGCTGAATAATGAGGTTTGGCTTCTAAGTAGCTTAAACTTAGCCTGGAAATGCAGATTGTTGGTATTTTCTCTGCCCTCCAAAATTGTGATAATGAAATCTTTTAGTCTTTCCATTTCTGTTATACATAAATATGATAAAACAAGAACAAGAAAATATGTTTTCATTGCCTTAGGATGATGCATTTCAACTCAGAGTCTTCATATAATTATCATACTATCAGAACTTCTACAATGGCAGTAGTCAATACTGAGAGCAAAAGGAATCCCAAAATTCTTCCATAACGAAATGTATTATTAGCAAAGATTTATTTAACAATTTCAAAGTATTTTATAGTCTAAAATCACATACATTCACACCTTTGTATATTTGAATAAATGCCTAAGAAAATGAAACCAATGTTTAAAGAAAACACATTTTTAAATTTTAAAGCAAAGATAATTTATAGCTCTAATTAAAATGTTAAATACCTCTTAAGTGTGTCTACGATTCATGGGCAAAGCAGTCAGTACTCTTGACGGATTTTATTTCTTGACAATTTTTGCTCACTTGAAATCCATAGAAAATATGCCCACAAGGTTAACAACAATTTTAGAATAACTTATGAATTGGCTTTTAGGTAAAGTTTCTGAATATTCCTTCTTGAGCTACATCCTGCTTCACACATAAATTATGATATAAATTGTTCTAAATGTAATATATATTATCGTTACATGTGATCAAGTGTCAAACATGTCCCCAAATACCTGTTCACCTCATCTGCATGACTGAATGGTAGAAGTTTTAGAGTTATTACCCCAAGCAACAATGTCAGCCATCTCTAATCTTCCCTACACTTCCCACAGTTCTCTCATAGATGACAATATGCCCTTCACCAAGATCCATCCTTTCTTAATTATATGGAAAACCTCAATTTCATAACCCATGAACAGAAAGGAGAAAAATCTCTCATTCTTTTACTCTCTACAGTGCCAAATATACTGTTTGATTTTTCTCTTTCTGCCTCTCTGACTCTGTTTTCCTGTGTCTTTTTCTTTATCTTCTCTCTTTTTTAGTGATCAGGTAATTGCTTCTGGTCCATACTGTGGCCTCTTTTCCATAGTTTTATTTTCCAAGCGCGCTCTGCATTATCGATTCCTCTCCCTCTCTAGATTATACCAGTTCTCTATTTTTTAGTAGCTTCATTTTGGAAACACCAGCAGTGACATTTTTATGAACACACTACATTTCCGTACACACACACGCACACACATACATACACACCTCTGTTTAAGACCTTGAAACCCAGAAAATTCTAAAAAAGTAGATCAGAGATGTACTTCCTTTCAACAAATTCAACCAAATTTTGGCCAAAAATATCTTTTTGTGAATACTTTGTAAATGTATACCCTCATCTATTGAAAATTATGCATAATGTTTCCAGTTCTGTTGATATGCTTCGGTATAGGGTGGCATTTTTTCCTATTTTCAGTTAAGAACTGAATAGAACCCAATTTTGAGAAGGATTGACAAATGAGATCCCTTCCTGAAGCAACTATGAGGGGAATATAAGGTCCACAATGTAGCTCCTTTTTGAAATATTTGTGATTAACCACTGAATTACACTAATCTCTTTGTAAAATCCTGCATTATCATGTAGCATATGCAGTATTGGAAATTTAAAAAATATATGTAATTCTTCTATACACTTCGAATTTTTAGTCCAAATGTCAAATGATAAATTATAAATGCTGAGCACTAATGTTCTCCCTCCAAATTGCATTAAAAGTGCTCTGCAGCATAGGAAATGGAAATTTTAATTCACTAGTCTACTTACAACCTCAAATTAATCTTCTTACAACATTTTCTGTCTTACAAGTATATTTACATATCAATTTACTCAACTGAAATTAGAACATTTGTAAGAATTGATATATGCATAAAAATGTTGATTCTGTATAATTAGCATTTTTATTATTGATAGCATTTTTTAAATTAGAAGAAAAAACAAGGTTTATTATGTTATGAAAAGCCAGCAGAAACATGCAATTGCGAGATTATATCCTTAAATATTCACGGATGTCCTGTTTCCGTTTTATTTACCCCAGCTTCTTGACTTAGTAATCTTGAATTCAGCAAATATTTATATATGTTGGCTAGGTATCCTTTACAATACGTAGTAAAAATCACTGATAACTTGAATGAAGCATTGCAGGAAGTATCCTAAACAACACTAGGAAAAAAATCTATTGTTAATATATTGAAAATTACAAAAGTAAATCCATCCCTCTTATGCTAAAATAATGAAATTTGTTCTTTGTAATTTCCTAGAAGTAGATGGATAATTTACAAATTTTTGATTAGTATATTATTTAACTTATTTTTTATTTATTTCATTTTTAAAATTTTGTTGAGAGGGAGGCTCTCTGTGTCACCAGGCTGGAGTGCAGTGGCATGATCTCAGCTCACTGCAACCTCCGCCTCCCAGGTTCAAGCAATTCTCCTGCCTCAGCCTCCCGAGTAGCTGGAACTACAGGTGTACGTCACCATGCCCAGCTAATTTTTGTATTTTTAGTAGAGACAGGGTTTCACCATGTTGGCCAGGATGGTCTCAATCTCTTGACCTTATGATCTGCCCGCCTCAGTCTCCCAGAGTGAATTTATTTTTTCAATGTGAAGCAATTTAACGTATAGAAAAGGGAAGCACGTAATATTCTTTTCACTCACATGCTAGTGATGCCTTCTCATTTTCAGTAGAGCACTGCTTGGAATTTTATATGATTGGGCATTTGCACTTTATAGCAACAAACTGATCAGTTGGTGGGGTGCTGAGATAATATGTGCTAATATTTCATTTATACCGTAATTAGGAGGAAAATTATTGGAGACATGTCAGCTTATGTGTGAAATACATTCAGGGTCAGAATACAAAAATCACAAGTACACATAAGGCATTTGGCATAAGCTTCCTGACCAAGCTTCGAAGTGTTACAACATAGATTATTTGCCTCCAATTCAAAATGTCTCTTCCCTTAAATTAGGGACATAAATGGAACCATATTTTTCAGTGCTTGAGAAAGCATCCTTTTAGAGCAATGGTATTGAATTAAGAAATTCTGGTTCAGAATACAGTGGAACTTTAGTGTCCCATGGACAACCCTTCAATATTTCTTATTTATTTATGAACTCATAATCAATCCTGTATATTCAGAGAAGACAGAAATAATGGCTGAGATCTTTTCCACCTCAGTTGGCTTGATTTTCTAGGCATAGATATACTGTTGCTTAGGATCATAGAAAGAGCACTGGGGCAAGGGTCAGGAGAGCTGAATCCTAGTCCTTGGTTTGACACTTATAGGATGTGGGATTAGCCTCTATTCTCCTGTCTGTAAGTACCTTTCCTTTCTTAGAGTTGTGACTATAAGGATTTTATTTTTATTTTAAGTTTTAATTTCTCATCTCCTCCTTCCACAAACATATAAAAACTCGACACCGTCCCTCAATTATCTTGTTAATGCCTCTTTCTTTTCACTAATTTTATGGCCAAATTACTGTTGTTCCTGGGGAAAAAAATAAATGACAAGAGCAAATCTCTATCATTTTCAAGCCCCAGTGGTAAATAATGTTAGCAGTTTTGGGTGGATCCTTTCAGAAATTTTCAGTGTATATATATTCTCATTATATGGTGATGAAATTATTCTCTACAAACTCAATTTCTACTCTTCTTTTTGTAATGCAATACTTATTGACCACATTTATATTAACATATCCTTTATAACATCTGCATAATATTCCATGGAACGGTCACTTTGTAGTGTAGCTAATAAGTTTATATTAATGGATTTTTTTACTATTATAAATAATACTGTAATAAGCATCTTCATATATATTCATCTAGATTGATTCTTAGTGTAAATTATTAGTGGTGCCATTGCTGGATGAAAGGAAGTGAGTGTTTTAATTTGCCAGATATTTGTAATGGCTCTTCGAAAATTTGGAACTATTACAGTCTCGCAGGTAGTGCATTAGCATGTTTCTTTCCTTTATCTTTGCCAAAATTGAATGTTTTACAGCTAAAATTTTTGTTAATCTGATATTCTTATTGTTTCAATTGACATTTTTTAAAAAGTTATGATTGAGGTTGGACTTTTTTCATATGTATATTAATTATCAACATGCTTTTTCTGATTAACTCAATAATTTTTAGTAAGTTGTTTATATGCTATGATTTCATTTTTACCACCTACCCCACTTTACAAATAAAAGAATAATGTATTGTCAATATGGATAATTTGGAAAATGTACAAAAGTTAGCAAAACAATCGAACAGGAAGCTGAAGAAGGAAGGAAAATGCTGCTATCTTGATAAAGTAAGTAAAAAAAAAAAAAAATCTATTGGATTTGATGACTGGCAGGGTGATCCAAAGCCTAGAATCTTACCACAGACCCAATCAATCACCAACTACCACCAATTTCTTCTTCTCGTATCTCACATTATCTCTCTTCTCAGCCCTTTGTGTTCACCATGGTATTTGATTTCTGATTATTCTTTCTCCAGACTAGCCCTGCTTGCAACTTCCACGTGCAGTCCTCCGCAATGCTGCCAGAGCGGCAGCTACAACTCTATGATTGAAGGCATCGCCCTCCTGGTTCTCCATATTGTTTGCCATCTTGGACAGATAAACTAGATGAGCTCTTTTTTCAACACTCAGAGAATGTTTTGAATTCACATTTCTGCCATCTTACTCACCTATTCGAATCAGTTCCCTCCCCCTCCCTTGTATCAAATATTGTCTCTGATAATAATACATTGAGTTATTTGTAGTTCCTGAAGAATTTCATGTTCTTATAACATGAAATTTTTTCCCACACTATTTGTTATAACTAGTTTACCTATTTCTGCCTAAATAAAATCTTCTCCAAATTTCAGATCAGACATTACTTTAGGTGAAGACTTTCCAGTCTGACTTCCCTTACCCGAGGTAGGTATTTATTCTTTCCTCATTTCACAGGACTTTGCAAATCCCACTATTATGGTAGATAGAATATTAAAATCTAAATTGCTGGCTTGCGTGTCTATTTTTTCTACTCAGGATGAGTTCATTCTCAGTAGTGATCATGTCTTTGGTTTTCAACAAAAGTGGTTTTCTTTGGATTTTCCAGAAACAGAACCTAAGAGAAGAATTCATGTGAAAATAATTTATTAAGGAAGAGCTCCAGGGTAGATAAATAAGGCAACTAGTGAAGTAGGGCAAGAAAGAGAAGGAAGTCAGGCAAGTGTGTGATCGCCATGCAAAGCCCAAGAACAGCCTTTAGCCTGACTCCACAGGGAAACTTTGGAGCGTAAACTAAGCTTCAGGGCTATTCCAGACTATGGATCTGGGTCTTTCGTCAGTATCTTTCAGTCACTGGTTAGTGGAAACCTTACGGGGATTTAAACTCCCAGGCCCTTCACGCCCTTTGTAAGCAAGGCCCAGGTAGCTGCAGTAGCTGAATGGCATTTCTCCAAAGGAAAAAAAACCATGTAGGCACTCAGTAAATTTTGAATGGCTGGCTGGCGGGACGAATGGATAAATGACGAATTATGCAACTTGGGGTGGCTTGAAAGACAACAGGGGGACATTGAAGACTTTTCACGAAGACAGTGGTACCCTCAAAATGATAACTTGAGTAGATAAGTTTAGAAGCATTGAGTAGAATAGATTAATGGAAGGAAAGCTAAATGCAGGAACAGTGTTTAACAGAAAATTGCCATGGCGATAAAGGCCTGTTCTAGCATGGAAGCAGCGGTATGCAAGATAAGACATGCCTTGGATTCATATTGGAAATGAAAATTTAATCATTCTTGATGACTGTCGGCATTTGTGAGATAAAGGAAAAGAGACAGAGTGGGGGTTTTGTGTTCAAGTGACAGTGGGATTCCTTACAGAAAAGGAAAATCTGAACACATTGGGAGTTGAGTTATTAGGATAGGCTGGGGGCAGAGATAATGTTAAAAATTCAGCTCTAGATGTGATGAGAGTCAGTAGGGACAAGCACACACATATATAGCAGACATATTGGAAAAGTGGGACTTGATCTTGGAAGACATGACAGATTGGAAATATGGATGTGAGATTTAGTGTTTAAGACAGGAGAGCTGAATATGGAATAGGGAGAGGGAACCTTTAAAACAGAGGTTATGGAATAAAGTTATTGAAGAAGAACAGGACTATGACAAATGTCATATGGTGATACAGAAAAAGAGGAGATAGGAAAAGGTAGAGGAGAAACAGGACTTAAATTCACACTGCATTCTTATCTTACTCTAATGACAACTTAAGCTGGTATAACTTTTCTGAACAACAGTTTGACAATAAATACCAAAAATGTTTTAATATTTGGATATTTTATTCCAGCAATCCTACTTTAATCTCAATAAGCCTAAGAAATCAGCTAGAGATAATCATGTTAGCAACAGTATCAAAATAGTAGTCTAAATGTTGAGCAATAAGAGAATATTATTATAGAACCAAAGGGTGAAATTTTACATAATCATTACAGTCGATGATTTTAGACACTATTTAATGCCATAAAATTCTTTTATAAATATTGTTTGAAAAAATAGGCTATAAAATATATAAACCAAAATTACTAAAATTTATTTTGTTTATATTATGTGCATGTGTGTAGATATGGATAGGTATGTACACAATCTCATTTAGTGTATATAATTTATACACTAAATATGAATGTTGACAATTGAGTCTTGATTGATTGTCTATTTTTTTTTCAAATTTTTCCGATTGAGCATGTTTTTTTTTTGTGTGTGTTTTTTGAGAGAGGGTCTCGTTCTGTTGCCCAGGTCAGAGTGCATTGGCATGATATGGTTCACTGCAGCCTTTACCTCTCCGGCTCAAGTGATCCTCCCATCTCAGCCTCCCTAGTAGCTGGGAGCATAGGCGTATGCCAATACTCCAAGCTAATTATTATTATTATTTTAGTTATTATTATTATTAGAGATGGGGTTTTTCTTTGTTGCCCAGGCTGGTCTCAAACTCCTGAATCAAGCAACCCTCCTGCCTCGGCCTCCCAAAGTGCTGTGATTACAGGCATGAGCCACCATGCCTGCCCTGAGCGAGTTAGGTTTTGTTTTTTTTTTTTCCTTTTAAGTGTAAGTGGATGGTGAAAATGGAATCATAGGAGAACTTCTGTCTAATATAAAAGTTGCTAGAAATGTTAACTTTAAAATAATTATAAATAAATATATAAAAATAAAAGTTCAATTCTTTAATTAGCCATGTTTCAAGAGCTGAATAGCTACGTGTGGTTGGTTAATACTTTATTGTGCAGTACTGATTTATAGAATATTTCCATCATAATAGAAAATTGTGTTAGATTGTGTTTATATAGACTAAGAGATCTGTCAGGCAGATTTTTCAGAAAAGAAAGTAATAGAAATTCTATAACTAAAACAATGTAATATGTGAAATAGCCTAAATTAAGAATTCAATGGATAAGATGCAGAGAGATCATTAAATGGAAGAGAGGGAAGAAGAAACCATCAATAATGATGAAAAGAGAGACACAAACAGAAAATATGTGAAAGGAGATAGAAAAGTACATAATTTTATATTAGTATTATGCATGAACTTGTGTTTGCATATGTTCACATTCATATATATATATATATATTTCTTGCTGTTTATTCTAGAGAAATGACGTGCATATGTGTGTCTGGATGTTTAATCATATATGATTTGTGATCACTAGAAATACAGAAACATCAAAAATGTTCATCATCAAAGCATTAGGTTCATGAATTATTGTATATTCATACAAAGAATCCTATCGAGCATCCAAAATGAATGAAATATGTGACTCAAGAACATAAAAAAATTGGAAAAACAAAATGTACTGTAGGTAAAATCATACACGAAGACTATATGCTTTATGGTTCCATTTATATACACTTAAAAGGAAATTCTTAAGAGTGGTAATTAATATAATAAGGAATTATTGCCATAAATATTTGAACAGTGTAGTTACTATTCCTTTAGTGGAAGAAAAGGGGCTGTGACTGGAGGAGCAGACAGAAGGCTTCTAGAGGGTTAACAATGATGGTTTCATATACAAGCAGTGGCTCCTTGGCTTTCTTTCCACACAGGTTTCTTTCAGTTTCTGTGATGCCTCCCACTCTGCCTTGCCACAGGGGTTTTGCACATGCTCGTTCCCATTCTGATAGCCTTCCTTCCTTTCCTTTTCACCCTCATATCCCAGATCAGCTATCACTTCCTCAGGGAACATCAGCCCCACCAGATGTGGGAAAGCTTGCTGCTTACATACCCTCTGAGAAGGACATTCATTCCTTCCATCAGAGTATGCTTCAGTTTGTAATTTTGTAATGTTTGACATTATTGAAGTAATTGTACCAAAAATTCAATTGGTATGACTTTCACCATTGAACCTCCAATGTCTTATACATTGGCTAATAATGGCTTGTTAAATTAATGGATGAATATGGTTAGACAAATTGAATTTAGTGTCTATAGAACATGCACATCTAGTAAGCAGCGAGATATAGGGACTAGTTGTTCCTCAGAGTTTTCTGTCTAGAGGTAGGGAGTCATGAATAAGTAAGGGCTAGCATGGCTAATAGTGTATTTAATTGTTCTGGAAGAGGCAAAAAAAAAAAAAAAAAAGCCAAATGAAAAGACAACCCAGGGAGTGAAATAAAATATTTGCAAACCAGATGTCTGTTAAGGGGTTAATATCCAAATTATATATGAAACTACAACTCAATAGCAAAAAAAAAAAAAAAAACCTGATTAAAGATGAGCAAAGGACTGGAATGACATTTTTCTAAAGAAAACATAAAAATGGCCAATAGGTACATGAAAAAATGCTTAATATCACAAACCATCATGGAAATTCAAATGAAAACCATAATGAGATATCATTTCACACACGTTAGGATGCCTATTATTTAAAAAGAGACAAGAGATAGCAAGCATTGGCAAGGGCATGGAGAAAGAGGAATCTTTGTACACTATTGGTGAGAATTTAATTGGGTATGGTCATCATGGAAAACCATATGGAGGTTCCTTAAAAACAAATAAGTAAATAAAAAGTGAACTACCGTATGATCCAGCAATCTCACTTCTTGGTATATAGGCAGAGGAAAATATATCAGTATCTTGAAGAGACATCTGCACGCCCATGTTCACAGCAGTGTTATTCATAATAGCCAAGATATGGAAACAGACTAAAGTATCTGCTAACAGATGAACGGGTGACGAAAATGTGGTATACATACAGTACAATATTGGCTATGAAAAAGATGAAATCTTGCCACTTGTGACAACATGGATAAACCTGGAGAATATTATGCTAGGTGAAATAAGGTAGACACAGAAAGACAAATACTATTTGGTCTCACTTACATGTGGAAGCTAAAGAGGTCGAATTCACAGAGGCAGAGAGTAGAATGGTGTTTGCCAGGGGCTAGGAAGTTGGGAAAATGGGGAGAAATCGGCCAAAGGATATAAACTTCCAGTTATAAGATTAATAGGTTGGAGTGATGTAATGTACAGTCTGGTGACTATAGTTAGTGACACTGTGTTGTATAGTTGAAATTGGCCAAGAATAGATCTCAAGTGTTCTCACCACACACAAAAATCCAGTAACTATGTGAGGTGATGGGTGTTTTAATTAGCTTGATTGTGGTAATCGCTTCACAACACATAAACATATTAACTCATTATGTTGTATACCTTAAACATATACAACTTTTATTTGTCAATTTTGTCTCAATAAAGCCGGAAAAATAATAGGAGCAAAACATATATCTCCTATAATTCAACCCTGATGCCTTGCTCCAGCTGTAATGCACTTGACCCCTTTTCAAGATCTACACTCCCAGCTCTCTGGGTTACATGTCTTTTCTGAAGTGTTTCTTTTCTTTTCTTTTTTTTCCTCATTCTATTTTCTTACGCTTTATGTCATTTTCCTGAAATGCCTATCTCTTCCTTCTTTGGATCGCTGTTTGTCTGACAATGTGTTCCACAGT
The DNA here is from genome assembly GCF_000001405.40 of Homo sapiens. Taxonomy (NCBI): domain Eukaryota; kingdom Metazoa; phylum Chordata; class Mammalia; order Primates; family Hominidae; genus Homo; species Homo sapiens. The sequence goes on from NC_000015.10 coordinate 99,844,201, forward strand.
TTAAAATTCTGAAAGAACAGCAACAACAATAAAACCGGAATACCAGCTCTTAAAGCTAGAAGATTTTAAAATATTGCATTATGCAACAAAACTTGACACAGCTTGAACTCGTTTGGTTGCAAAACCTGATCTGGAAACACGGGAGGCAAAACGTGGTGCTGTCCAGTGCTGGAACAGGTGTGAGTTTAAAACGGGGTACACGTCACATTATCATTCTCAAATCCAAATAAATAGAATTCTCAATGTTGCAACATAGATGTCCCCAAATGCTCTGTATAAGATAGAATATACACTTTGTGTTGTGTCTTGCACTTCATAATGATTGATAAATATCGCCATGTAGAATGCCAAACCAGTGAGTGATTATATGGTTTTATAAAGCTCTGTCAGTTTCAAACAACAGATAAAATACCTATCTCATGTATGATGCTGGAAGCTAGCTGATATAATTAGGAATATTGGGATTTTTTTTACCCCAAGAAGTTTCTAGTCTAGTGACTAATGCCCACATAGATGATAAGAAAGACAGTGAAAATCTGATGAGGGCTGTATGTAGAATAAAAGTAATAGAATTGGGGTAAATGTATAATAAACACAGAGTAAAGTTCTGTGATATTATAAATTAGAGTAGGTAGTTTTAGAGTTTTCAAAATAAGAAAAGTAATACAGTAAGGAACATATTTGCTTACAGAAGTATGATTCATACCAGTGTGCAAAGAAATAGAAAAATAGAAAAGCAATTCAGATGATCTCAAATTTATTAGTTTTCTAGGAAACACTCAGAATGTGGCACAGACTGTAGTAACAGTCTGAAAAGTTAAAAGAATGTAACCTTAGAAATAAAAAATTGCAGAGTGAAGAATCCATTTCCTGTTTTCTGCAGACTTATCTTGGAAAATTTGAAGTATTCATTGTGCAGAGCGTGTGGTTACATTGAGGTTACTATTGCCCCACTGCTTCATGGAACACACCTGTCCATACTTCAATTTTTGAACTAAAAAAAAATACCTTCTAGAAAACTAGTAGTTCTGACTCACACTCTTCCGTGCCAGTTGTTTCTCTAATTTAGTCATAGCTATTGGTATTTTCCCTTTTGATTATATGCAATTTGCACCCTGGGATCTGGATTTGGAGTAAAACACACAGGGATCCAGTGTTAGAACAAACACTTAGAACGAAAAGACTTTAGAATTGAGAGCCAAGCTGAGGCCTTGAGTGAGATCATTAAAGGGTTGCAGTTTTATTTCTGGAACAATGTTTGTACTTTTTATTTACTTAGTATTTCCATGAAAAATATGACTTTTTTCTTTTCATTTAAATAAATTTATCGCACTTAACTTTAATATATCTTAAAATAATAAATTGAGTTACTACTTCAAGTCATCATGTTCATTATTAACATGTGTCTCTGCCATCACCAGCAAAGTTCAGTTAAATATGAACCATCTAATGAGAGCAAGGACTGTTCATGTAGATTTTCAAAATTTACTTAAAATTATGTCTTTTACAATTACCTCAAATTATTTCTTTTCTTTTTTTAATTATGTTTTGAAAATATCTAGCTGTGTAATATCAAAAAAATTTTGCCTTTTTTTTTTTTTTTTTTTTTGAGACAGGGTCTCTCTTTGTCACCCAGGCTGGAATGCAGTGGTGAGAGCATAGCTCACTGCAGCCTTGAACACCTGGGCTCAAGCCATCCTCTGTCCTCAGCCTCTTAAGAGTAGCTGGGATTACAGATGCATGCCACCACACATGGATACTTATTGTTGTTGTTGTTTTGTTTTTGTAGAAAAAGGGATCTCACTATATTGCCTAGGCTGGTCTCAAACTCCTGGCCTCAAGTGATTCTCCCACTTTGGCCTGTTTTTGCTGTTTTTGAAAGTTGACTGAACTTAGTTTAGCTAAATAATGAGCTAAATCAACCAAATGCTATTCATAAATAGAAGTAGGCTAATTCATTTGAAAGAATAAAAAAGCGTGTTTGTGAGTGGGTGGGTATATACATAATTTGAATGTAAATAACAGAAAATCTGTTGTCTTGAATGTAGCCCATTGTTCCTACCTCTCCATTGTGTACCTGGGCCCTGCCCTTCATCTCGGGTGTCCGGCCTGGAGAAAACTGCACCGTGACGCCACTAACTTCCACTAACTGGAATCTGCCTTTCCCTCCCCGCTGTCTTTCCTTCCCATCTCTACCGCCAATTAAATCCCCAAACTTTGCTGATTAACCATTGAAACAATCCTTTTAATCCGTCCATTTTTTCACTTTGATTTTTTCATTGCTAACTCTCTATGTGAAGCCACCTCACCTTTTTCTCAGAATGTCAGCTATAATGGCCTAGCTGATCTCCCAGTCATTCCAGGCTTGCATCTGCCCAAACTACCCTCCACTCTACCCCGTGCTGTTTTCTAAATGACAAATTTTATCCTGTTGCTTCCCAACTTCAAACTCCTCAATGACTTGCAAATGCCTTCAAGCATATAGCTGAACATGATATGCCTCATTTTATTTCTGTAGCCTCATGTTTCCCTTTTCACTGTATATTTCATTGTATATTACAGTCATACTTCGAACTCCTTGAAGTCCGGGAAATTGTCTTACTCAATGTTGTATTCCCAAACACAGTGTTTGCTATGTAGCAGGTTTTCAAGATAATTTTTATTTTAAATTTCAGTTTGATGAGTTTAAATCAGAAAAATATATGACTTTTTGGCATCCTGAGTCTATTTCTATTCTTTCATTTTAGAGTTTAAGTAAGCTTGGGCTATGATGAGAGTTACTTGAAAACTGTTACTCAGATCCTCTGGAGGTTGAAATACTGGTAATAGAAGCATCTGGTCCGTTGTCAGTTCTAATTTTGCTCAACCCAAATTGGCAGATAGAAATACTTGCTAATAAAGGCCGACTCTTGATACTCCAAAAGTGGCAATTGGCTGGGCACGGTGGCTCACGCCTGTAATCCCAGCACTTTGGGAGGCCGAAGGGGGGCGGATCACTGGAGGTCAGGAGTTTGAGACCAGCCTGGCCAACATGGTGAAACCCTGTTTCTACTAAAAATACAAAAATTAGCCAAGCTTGGTGGTGCACACCTGTAATCCCAGCTACTCGGGAGGCTGAAGCAAGAGAATCACTTGAACCCATGAGGCGGAGGTTGCAGTGAGCCAAGATTGTGCCATTGCACTCCAGCCTGGGTGACAAGAGCAAGACTCCATCTCAAAAAAAAAAAAAAAAAAAAAAAAAGGCAATCAACTCTTCATTTCCAGAATTAATATTCCAAAAAATTTTTCCTGGTGGATGAGAACGGATCTGGTACTGTGTTTTATTCTGTATATATTTACTTGGACTACTGTAACAAACATTGTGACTTCAAACAACAGATATTTATTCTTTCGTGGTTCTGGAGTCTGAACATTTGAAATGAAGGTGTGGATAGGATTGGTTCCTTCTGAGGGCTCTGAGGGAAAGTCTAACTCATGCTTCTTCCCTAGATTTTGGTGGTTGCCAGCAATCTTTGGTACTCTTGCCAGTGGCAACCTAACTCCAACCTCTGTCTCCATCTATACACGCATCTCTTCTGTGTGCCTGTGTCTGTCTCCAAATTTCCCTCTTCTTATAAGAACATCTGTCATATTGGATTTCAGATCTTTAGCAATCCAGTGTAAATTCATCTTAACTTTATTATATTTGAAAATGTTCTGTTTTCAAATAAAGTCACATTCACAGAGCCCAGGTAAAAAAGAATTTTGGGGAGATACATTCACTTCTATTTTTTTTTTGATGAATATAAGGTAAAAAAAAGTTGAGTATAAAAAATAAAATTAGAAAACTATTTTTAACATGGGATGAGAATATTATTTTCAATGAATCATGTTTGTTAAACTATTTCAATAAAAAAAGACAAAATCCAAAATTGTAATAAATGTTTAACAGCTAATTAAATACAGGATCCTGAATCACTGACTGACAGAAATATTCTCCCAAGTTAGAAATATAGAAATGATAAAGTGTAATTTAATATATTTTTTTCTGATATATGGTCATCCAATATCAGCACCAGCCAATCTCCTACATATGCCTTTTGTTAACAGTAATGGTAAATACTAATAAAATATGCCTTATCAAATGGAATTATTTTGTGTTCATGGAAGCCAAACAATTTTCAAAGCAGGACTTTAGCGACTTAGGAAAACCATTTTTATTGCTTCATTTAGAAGAGGAAATGGAAATACTGAGTTACAAGAGAAGATGGCATTTTTTTTAAAACCAATCTTTACATCATGATTATTAGAAGCCGTGACACTCCCCTATGATGAAGCTCTTCAACATTTTAAGGGCATTCATTCACAATATTGAGATATCAGTTTGCACTTTTCGGAAGGCAAAAGTTAAACGAAGTGCAATCCTGGAATACTTTACAATGAATAGCACAAGTGTTGTGAACGGACTGAAACATTCAACAAATATCTATTTAGTACTATGTGTTACTATGTGAGGCACTGTTCTATTTGTGGGGGATAGTGCAGGAAACAGAGGGACAAAAGTCAGGCTTTCATGCAAGTTGCGTTGCCCTAGTCATGCTGAATATTCTCCACCTGCTCCTCTGGCTCTGCTTCTCACCCTTCAGTGAGCTTTGCGCTCTGGCCACTGACTCCTAAGTCCTGCTTCACTTTCTATACTCTGGCTTTGTGTTGCTTTGACCAATAAAAGACAAAGACAGCAGATCAGAGGTTGGAGGAGAGATCAATCTGAGTGTGATTTCTCGGATCCTTCCCTGCCGAGGCATAGCTCAGCAGTGCCTGATTTCTGCTACTTAAGGCCACATCTAAAAGTTCAAGTGTCTGTTCCTTATCCTTGCTTCTTTAGGCAACAGAAATAGCTTTAGTCCATCTAGCTTTCTTGTAACTTGTGAAATTCTTCTTGAAAACTGCTTACATATTAATAAATAGCCATTTTGTTAAATTCTCTTTAATTATCCCCTTTGAATATGCCTTCTGTTTCCTAAAGAACCTTAAATGATGCATAGGGTTAGAAAGGAAATACAAATACATGAGATATTTGAAAAAAAGACATTTTTGCAGATGCTGTCAGCAACCCATCCATATTTCCTTGGCTTTCACCATTCTTGGGTATGCTCCCTATTAACAACTCTTCAACTGAGCGCTCTCTTTGGCTGCTACAGTTTGCCAGGCTTAAAGATAAAGTAAATTGGGCATGCTAGAAACTAATGCATTCCTTCCATTTCCTTCCCCAAAGCAGCCATCAACCAATAACTGGCAGATGGTGTGGACCAAATTTTCAGCTTCTTGGAACCTTGGTTGGAATGACTCTGGGTCATATTCACCCTATCCTTCTGAGTTTCCTACTGAGCCTAGGCACCTGGTGCCCACAGCAGTACACTGCTTGATAACAAACCTTTTATTGGCTTGCTTTCTTCCCTGCCATATTTTTCCACTCCAGTGTTGGCGATTCCTAGGATTACCTCCACAAATACACATTCCCTCTCACACACACATATACACATGCCCATACAAACGCTACACAAACTCACATTCTTGTGCAATAGTAAGCTCTGGAAGGTTCTGAGGAGAGGAGACATGCACACTTTTTAGGCTTCAATGGGCCCACTCTGGATATTGTGTTGACAGAGACTTGAAGGGTTGTGAGGGCAGACACACTGAGACTCTTTAGGGAGGTTAGTTCATCTGTAACACTAATAGACCACTGCCAGAATCTAGAGAAAAGATGATGAGGGATTACATCTTTGCCATGATGCTATGATGAGGTTGCTTTTTAGATCATCTGATCAATATTTATTAAAATATATTATGTATCAGTTTCTATACTAGAAGTTAGCAAGAAGGATACTGTCCTCATTTTAGATGTAAAGAAATTGAGATTAGGAAAGTAAAGTAAAATATGCAAGTTCTCAGACACAGAGCCCAAATCTGCCCAGAGCTTTACCCTCTCCACCACACTGTCAGGAAGGTTGCCATACACTAGACTGAGTAGAGAGGTAAAGGCGGAAGACAGCCTGCAGTGAACTGACAGAGAAAACTACATAGGGAAGTAGAAATAATGATGATAGACAACACCTTCAGGAAATTTGGCAGAAAAAAAATACGGGGTAAGCTTTTATCGTTTTGTTTTGTTTTCTTATTTTCCTCTTTAACCTGGGAGAAATTTATTCTTGTTTACATGCCTAGCAAAAAGAAGCATTGGAGAAGACACTCGATGTTACATTAATGAAACAGAATAATGGATTAAGTCAGGCTTGGTAGCAAAAAGAAGTTAAAATACATCTAAGAAAAGTATTTTATATCATAAGTAACTTATAAGTATCTGCAAATACATGTTTATTGTAAAATATTCAAATAAGAGAAATGTATAGAAAAAAGGTCTATGCCCACATTCACCCCATTTTCTACAACCCTCAATGTTATCGCTATCTTTAACCAGACTTTAGTGTGTACCTCTTCAAATATTTGGGTGTATGCATATGTGTTCACATTTTTGCATAAAGTGAGTCACAACAATGCAATGTTTTTGCAATTTGCTTTTTTTTTTACATAATGTATCCTTGACTTGCTTCCATATCAGTACATGTGAATCTAGTTATATTCTTATTAGTTTAATTATAGCATCAGCTGCATAATTATACTACTGTAATTATCAATTACATTTTAAATTTATTTTTAATAAGCTTTTAATTTTTAAAGTTTTAGATTTACCAAAAAATTACTAAGATAGTACAGAGACTTCTATACAGCCCACATCAAATTTCTCCTATTAACATTTTTCATTAATATGGTACGTTTTTTACAATTAATGAGTCAATATTGATCTATTATTAATTAAAGCCCACACTTTATTCAGATTTCCTTAGTTTTTCTCTAGTATCCTCTTTCTGTTCCAGGATCCCAACCACAATAATATATTACATTTGGTTGTCATGTCTCTATAGGCTCCTCTTGGCTGTGACAGTTTTGCTGGTCTTCGTGTTATTGATGACCGTGATAGTTCTGAGAAGTACTTGTTAGGTATTTTGTAGAATGACCCTCAGTTGGGATTTGACTGATGTTTCTCTCATGATTAGACTGAGGTTATGTGTTCTGGAAAAGACCACAGTGGAAAAGGACCATTTTCATCACACCATTTTAATGACATATTATCAACAAGGCATATCGCTGTTGATTTTCACTTTGATTACTTGGCTGGGGTAGTGTTTGTCAAATTTCTCCACTGCAAAGTTACTCTATTTTTTTTTCAATTTTCATATGGTGTATTGGTCAGTGTTCTCTTAGAGGGACACAACTAATAGGATAGATAAACATATATATAAAGGGGAGTTTATTAAGTATTAGATTACACGATCACAAGGTCCCACAATAGGCTGTCTGTGCCGAGCTGAGGAACAAGGAGAGCCAGTCCGAGTCCCCAAACTGAAGAACTTGGAGTCCAGTGTTCGAGGCCAGGAAGCATCCAGCATGGGAGAAAGATGTAGGCTGGGATGCTAGGCCCGTCTCTCCTTTCATGTTTCTCTGCCTGCTTTATATTCGCTGGCAGTTGATTAGATGTTGCCCCCCAGATTAAGGGTGGGTCTACCTTCCCCAGCCCACTGACTCAAATGCTAATCTCCTTTGGTAATACCCCACAGACACACAGGAATCAACACCCTGCATCCTTCAATTCAATCAAGTTGACACTCAGTATTAAGGATCACATATGGCAGTCTTTGGAAAGAGGTCCCTATGCACAGCCCATACTTAAAAAACAAGGAGTTGTGCCCCATCTCACTGAGGGCAGAGTATCCACATAAGCTATTTGGACTTCTTCTGACCAGAATACTTATCTATTTTTCCCATTTATTTATTTACACATCATTTATTGTTAGTATGAATTCATAGTTATTTATACTTTGAGTTATAATACTACTGTATTTTTTTCTGTTGCTCAAATTTCTATAGCTTTTGTTGAGAACTCCTTCAGTTGGTTTCTTTGTCCCCGACATATCCCCATCACTGAGGGTTTTAGGATATTTTGAGGTTTAGGTTTGTTTTGTTTTGCTTTGCTTTAGCACTTCCTTACTTCAGTGCTCCCATCCTCCCCACCCTCGGAGAGCTTGTAATATAGTTAGATCCTTTTGTCAAATTCTGCATTCTATCCAGGTATGCCTTTGACCTTTAAATAATTGATTTTTTTCAAATTTGCATATACCAAGGAACAATTTTTATGTTTAATAGTTCAATTGGTTTTGACAAATACATAGTATTATGTATCAAAAATTACAGTATCATATAGAAGATTTTCTGTACGCTAAACAATGTCCTGTGCTTTACCACTCTCACCCTATGTTGAAACTCTGGACACCACTGATCCATTAACTAGCTCTATAATTTTGCCTTTTTCAAAATGTCATGTAAACTAAATAATGCGGTATGAAGCCATGGCCTTTTCAGCCTGGTTTATTTATTTACTTATTTATTTTTGAGATGGAGTCTCACCCTGTTGCCCAAATTGGAGTTGCAGTGGTGTGATCTCAGCTCACTACAACCTCTGCTTCCCGGGTTCAAGCAATTCTTCTGCCTCAGCCTCCAGAGTAGCTGGGATTACAGGCACATGCCACCATGCCCGGCTAATTTTTTGTATCTTTAGTAGAAATGGGGTTTCACCATGTTGGTCAGGCTGGTCTCGAACTCCTGACCTCATGATTCACCCACCTTGGCCTCCCAAAGTGCTGGGATTACAGGCGTGAGTGCCCGGCCCAGCCTGGTTTATTTCACTTAACAATATGTACTTTAAGACTTAGCTATGTGCTTATGTGGTTTGATAATTCCTTACTTTTTATTGTTGAATAATATTCCGTTGCATCGAAATATAATAGTGTGTTTATTTGCCTAATGAAGAACATTTTAATTGATTCCAAATTTGGCTATTATGAATATAGCCACTTATAAACATTTACCTGTAGGTTTTTGTGTGGTCATGTGTTTAAAAAACATTCAGTAAATACCCAGAAGCATGACTGCTGGGTCAAATGATAATACTATGTTTACCTTTGTTAGAAACTGCCAAGCTGGGTCTTCCAAAGTGACTGTATCATTTTACATTACTATCAGCAATGAATGAGATTTCCTGTTGTTCCATATCATCAGCAATTTGTATTTTTGGTTTTTTGGATATTAGCCGTTCTAATAAGTGCATAACTGGTTGTTGTTTTAATTTGCACTTCCTTAATGACAAATTATTAGAGTGTATTTTCATGTGCTTATTTGTCATCTGTATATCATGTTGGGTAAGAGGTCTATTCAGATCTTTTGCCCACTTTTAAATTAGGATGTTTGTTTTTTTAGTGTTGACTTTTAAGAAGTATTTGTATATCCTGAATACCAGTCCTTTATCAGATTTTTGCTATGCAAACATGTTTTCCTGGTTTGTGGCTTGTGTTTCCATTTTCTTAACTTGTCTTTTGCAGAACAGGCACTTTAGTTTTAATAAAGCCCAACATCAAACTTTTCTTCCACAAATTGTGCTTTTGGTATTAAAGCTAAAAGCATAACCAAACTCATGTTCACGTAGATTTTTCTCAGGTATTTTATTCTAGAATGTTTATAGCTTTATATTTTACAGTTAGATCTGTGATCTGTTCTGAGTTGATTATTGGGACATGTATAAGGTTTGTTGTTAGGTTGTTTTTTGCATACAGATGTATAACTGCTTCAGCATCATTTGTTAAAAATATAATTCTTTCTCCATTGAATTGTCTTTTCCCCCTTTTTAAAGATAGCTGACTGTGTGTGCTACTTTTAGACTCTCTCTTCTCTTCTGCTGATCTATGTATCTTATTTTAACCAATACCATGCTGTCTTGATTATGGTAGCTTTATACTAAATATTAAAACCAGGTAGCATGAGTCTTCAAACTTTTTTTCTCTTCAGTATTATCTTGCCTATTTTAGGTCTTTTTCTTTTCAACATAGACTTTAGAATCAATTTGCTAAGAGCTATTAAATACAATTTTTATTTTTATTGCTTTTATTTTGAATCTATATATTCAGTTGACATCAAACAATATTGAATCTTCCAATCCATGAATATGGAATATTTCTCCATTTATTTAGATCTTCTTTTAGTCTTTTATCATGTTTTGTAGATTTCTACATATAGACTGTATATATTTATACATAAGTAATTCATTTTTTGGTGCTAATGAAAAAGTTTTTGGTGCTATTGTGACTGTGTCATTCTTTTTTAAAATTCTGAAATGTTTGTTTATGGAATATAGGAAAGAAATTTATTTCATATATTAACCTTGTATCATATTGACCTTATTGATCTTGGTGGTATTTTTATTTTTTAACATTTCTTTGGAATTTTCTCCATAGCCAACCATGTCATCTACAAATGAAGACATTTGATTTCCTTCCTTTCCAATCTATAAACGTTTTCCTTCTTTTTCACATATTACATCAGCTATTTCTTCCAGTAAAATGTTGAATAGGAGTTGTAAGAGAGGGCATCCTGGCCTTGTTTCTAAACCTAGCAAAAACACTTCCAGTTCCTCACCATTAAGTACAATGGAGGATTTTTTTGTAGATGTTGTTTATCAAATCAGTTACTTTTTAAGAAGACATAACGCCTAAGAAGCTATGAATTCAGGTGAGGGATATTATTTATAGACATTAATTCCAGTTAATTTTTCCGAAATCATTCCTGTTATCATTTACCTCAATTTAGAAGTTATGGTTTTAGTAAAAATAGATCTTGATTTACTTATATGTGGAAATATTAGCAAAAACAAACAAAACAACCAGGGAACTGGAGGTTGAAAAAAATAAAAGTAAAACTGGCAACAAACTAGTGGTATCAACTTTGGAAAAGAAGGATCGGGAAAAGTGAAGGAGGCTGAGATGAGATAACCCTTAGCTAGCTGATGAATGTTGATGGGAAGAGATTGGAATTACTCTAATTTGCTATCACAGTTGAGCTAGAGGGAGTCAATATCAGTAAATCCTAAAATTAGAGATGGTCTAAGTATCGAAAGAAATATTACATGCATACAAAAATATCTCTAAACATATATATTATTCTCAGTAAAGCAAGATATCAACAAAACAATCAGGGAAGTAATCTTGGAAAGTTTCTGGAAATTAAAGGAAGGTAAATAAAAATTCACTGTAAGACAATTCTCAAAAGAAGATTTTTACACAGCCAACAAACACATGATAAAAAGCTCAACATCACTGATCATTAGAGAAATGCAAATCAAAACCACAGTGAGATACTATCTCACACCAGTCAGAATTGCAATTATTAAAAAGTCAAGAAGCAATAGATGCTGGCGAGGTTGTGGAGAAATAGGAATGCTGTTACACTGTTGGTGGGGAATGTAAATTAGTTTAACCATTGTGGATGACAGTATGGTGACTCCTCAAGGATCTAGAACCAGAAATACCGTTTGACCTAGCAATCCCATTACTGGGTATATACCCAAAGGAATATAAATCATTCTACTATAAAGACACATGCACACGTATGTTTATTGTAGCACTATTTACAATAGCAAAGTCATGGAACCAACCCAAATGCCCATTGATGATAGACTGGATAAAGAAAATGTGGTACATTTACACCATGGAATACTATGAAGCCATAAAAAGGAATGAGATCATGTCCTTTGCAGGGACATGGATGAAGCTGGAAGCCATCATCCTCAGCAAACTAACACAGGGACAGAAAACCAGACATCGCATGTTCTCACTCATAAGTGGGAGTTGAACAATAATAACACATGAACACAGGGAGGGGAACAACATACACCAAGGCGAGGGGAGGAAACTTAGAGGATGGGTTAACAGAAGCAGCAGACCACCATGGCACACGTATACCTATGTAACAAACCTCCACGTTCTGCACATGTATCCCAAAACTTAAAGTAAAATTTAAAAAAAAAATTAAAAAAGGAAACCCTAAAAGAAAAATTTCACTGTACACCACCAAATATTATTATTACAAGAAGTATGCTGTCTTTTTTTAAAGCCCATTAATGGGCAAAACCTCCATAGGGACTTTCATAAATGTATGCGAATTTTAATTTATCAGATTTATTTTTCCCAGAAGATCTTAAACTATTCAAGCATGAGCTCTACTATTTTGTCATTTTTCAAGAATATCTGGCCTGTATATGCACCGTATTTTCAGCATAGAACCTAATACTGATTTATAATTGATGCTTTAGTACTAGTATTCATAACACAATTATTAAAATATTGAATTTGAACTAAAATTGGTAACATGTCTAAAACATTTGGAAGCATGTTTGTATTAAGTGAGATTTTCATTTGCAGGCCATTTGCTCTGAAAATCACTGGAAACAGAGACATTTCTGACAGCAGAATCCTATAGTGGGTGAAGGGAATTTCCTTATATAATTATATTTGTAAGATATCAAATGGAAAATGAGTCCTTTTGCGTTTCATTTGTTATCCTGAAAGCCAACAGCATTGACTTCAAAATTCTATAGGCTTTGAAAACTTCCAAACCCTAAATGATCAGCATTCCTACCTGACATATAAACAATAATAACACTGAAGAATCAGATATATTGTATACTCAGTGAAAAATGAAAAATAAAAGCTGTAAGTAAAATCAATGATACTATGCCACATTGAAAGTAAAATCTTACAGGTGAACTTAATGAGAAACAGCGACAAAAAACCCTCAAATCAACATTGCATTTTTATACTTAAAGCTCTGCATGTTTTTCTAAATAAGACTAATCCGTCAATGGTGAATTTTTTGAGGCATAAAATGAGTACAATGGCCATGCCTAGCCTAGCATTTTTAAATTATTCAAAGTATTGCCAATAATTAAAGACAATAATCATAAACTAAAGTCATAGTTTCAAAGTTTAAGGAAATTAGGTTTTAAAAGTAATAAACTATTTACTGATAGGGAGAATAATTAATTCAATTACTTCTGTCTTACTTTACTGACAAGGAGAGAGATGTCAATGAAGCCAAGTTTCTTTTACAAAATTACAGGCAGGTGGTTGCTTGGCCAGGAGGATAATCTAAATTTCTTGATTCATATCAAGGATTGTTTGCTTTTTCCTCTACTACAAAGTTTATTTCAAAGACATTTTGTTATCCCTTGTAATTCTACTTGGAACTGAGTCCATTTAGAAGAAAAGTGAATTATACTTATCATGGCTTTAAAATAAACACTGAGTGTCATACCACTGGCAGTTTATACAGTATGATTTGAAACTCAATGCCAATTTTAAAACACAATTTATTAGACAATCAAAAATTACCAAGGATTTCAGTGGAGATATACAAATAGGGTTTTGTGTTAAATAAACGTAAGGCAATGTGAATAACAAAAGTCTCACTTACCATGATGGACAGATTTATTATTGGCAAGAATCAGATTATTGAAGGGAGCTTATAAGGGAAGCCTATAGCTATCTGAATTTCCTATAAAACTCCACAGCAACTAAACAAAAGCTGATGGAAGAATTTAAGTTGAACTTGGATTAAATTTTTACATGTATCCTAATGTCAGCAACAGGATTATGGAAATAAATGTTTGTGGTGTTCAGTTTTCTTAGTAATTTAGAAATATGCCATTTTCTCCTTTGGATTAGTGAGGAAATAGAGTGCATTTTCTGGATATTGTTGTAATATATCAACAACATTCAGCAAAAGCTCCAGCTTTAAAGACCACTATTACACACAAAGGCAGAAGGAAGCCTCTTGCATACTGAAGGTTCTAGCTGGTGATTATACACACTTCAATCCTCTTGACATGAATAACCACCCTCCATGAGAAGGCACTCCTACTGGAAGCTCACATGTGATGGTGTCAGAGGAAAGTTACGCCTAATGAGCAATTCAGAGCCACTCAGTTAACTCTTTTGTCAAAAAATGACATGCCCTAGTTTGATCCTCCCTTCATCCAACAAAACTTAGTACTAAATAGCATGATTTTAACAGGGATTAATGTTTTAATCTATATATATAGAATAATTAGCAAAACAACTTGAGTTTTGTTCTATTAAATATATTAAAGAATGAATATAACTTTCTTAATGTCTGAAATAAATCTGGAAACAACAACAAATCTAGACATCTGCTTAGTTTGTAACTTAAGTAAAAAGTTTAATTAGAAATTAAATAGTTGGACAAATCAAAATAGGGTAAAAACATGGAAATAACTATAATTAATTTGGAAATATTTGATAGCAGAGGTGAATGGTGGTTACTCAAATAAATCTGCACTAGGAGGAGGCTTTACTTTGATGGATAAAATAGGAGCAAAAAATATGCCTAATATTGAATATCAGCAATTAAATTTCAAATATTTTTATAAAATGATTAGTATGGTGCTATCAATATAAACTGAAGCATGTATCTTTAAATAACTCCAGAAGAATGGATACATTTTAAAGCCTGAACATGGCATTATTTGACAAAACAGATAATGTATAGAAATGGACTTATTTCATTTGTAGCAACTCAGCATAATTCTATCTAATAAGAGGTGTATAGAGGATAAATAAATGCAGAAATATCACAAAGCAAAGTAACTTCCTAGAACAAAGCCAGTTTTTTGTATTCTTATTGAAAATAATAACGAAATGAAGATATATATATAATCATTTGTGTATATATTTTACATTATTAGTGATTACTTAGGAAAGGTCTCACAAACGTTTTAGGATCTAAAAGTACTTTATATCCTAAGAGAGGCTATCATGTTATGGTCAATCAATATGCACTCAAATAAGATGAACACATTTGCCTGCAGTACCATGCAAATAATAATAATCATCTCCCCTTGGAACAAGACATGGTTTTTCATGTTTTCCTTTCATCATATCAGAGCCTGAAAAATGCTTGGACCCCTAACAGACACATTCAATAAATATTTGTTGAATGAATGAAAACAATATATACTCTATCATACATTCTCCTTAAATTTCAATACAGTAAGAAGAGTTTAGAAGGGTTAACTTCCATTATTCTCAATTAAAGATACCATGTGGCCTGTATGGCAGAAATGTCTCTTCAGAATATTTAGCCTTTGATTCCATAATGAACTCAAAAACAACTTTTATGTTAATGTCTGAAATCAGGAACTCTATTATTATAATTGTATTTCAGATTAGAGTTCAAAATCTACTTGAGGTGTGATTATCTGCTTAGTATCCAGAATCAGAGCAGAACCAAGATTCCTTGTCATGTCTCTGACTGGAGAGGAGGAATTTTCTAGTCCCCGTCAACTGAGAGTACAGCATTTATTCCTGGGCCTATGTAGGCAGCTTAGATTCAGCTTTTTGCTTGAAAACACATACAGTAAAACACAACAATAAAATCGTATTGCCTGGCCCTGCAACAGGAGCACTGACATCCAAGCACCTGGAGGATCTCAATACATGCAGAAATGCACTTGATAAAACTCAACATTTGTTAGTTATAGTTATAAAGATCTTAGCAAATCAGAAAGATAAGGAACACTTTCAAGCTGACAAAACCTACCATGAATATAATACTAAATTGTGAAAGACTGATGAATACACCTTAAGGTTGAGAACAAGGTAAGCATGTCTGTTCTCACCATTTCTATTCAACATTAGGCTGAGGTCTTAGTGAAAATAATAAGCGAAGAAAAAGAGATAGAGGCATGCAGACTGGGAAAAACAAAACTGTCTTTATTAACAAACGTTATAATTAGCTATTTAGAAAATCTCAGAAAGGCTACAAAAATACTAAACTGATTTAAACGTGAAATTTACAAGGTCATAGAAAGCCAGGTTAACATATATATTATAAATGTCTATGTATATATATAATATATGTTTATATTTATATAATCATACCCTTGTATATGAGCTAAAAATAGCTGAAAATTGAAATTAAAAAACATAATACCATTTGCAGTATATCAAAAACATGAAATTATTCAGAATAGATCTAGTAAAATATATGCAAGGTTTGTGTGCTGGAAATTAAAAATCATTGATAAAAAATCAACATAAAAATAAAGCAATCGAGAGATACACTGTGTTTATGCAATAAAAGACTAAATATTATTTAAATCTCAATTCTACCCAAAATTGATTTATAAATTCATTTCAATCCCTATCAAAATCCCATCAGGTATTTTTGTTGAATTGACAAGTTGATTCTAAAACACTTGAAAATGCAAACCTTGAGAATAACTAAAACAATATTTTAAAAGAACAAATGTGGAGGATTCTTACGGTTTGATTTAAAGTCACACTATAAAGCTATAGTAATATAAGGTTGCATTGAGGTAAAGTATACAAATTTACAAAATAATTTGGAACAGAATGTAGTGTCTAAACATAGTTCCACACATATATAGCCAGCTAGTATTCTACAATGGTTGATTTTCAATGGTGAAAGAACAGACTTTTTACAAATGATGCTTGATTAACTTGGTGATCAAATGAAAAAAGATGAGTCTTGATCTTCACCTTTCTTGTTATAGAAAATATTAAGTTGAAATAGATCAGAGGCCTGAATGTAACATGTAAAACTCTAGAACTTCTAGAAGAAAATATTTGAGAAAATCTTTATGAACATGGTTAGGAAAAGATTTCTTAGATAAGGTGAGAAAATGGGATAAATAATAAAAATAAAAATAGAAAAATTGGACTTTATAAAAATTAAGAACGCCTGCTCTTAAAAAATCGCCATTAAGAAAATTAAAAGATAATCCACAGAATGGGAGAAAATATTTGCAAATCATAGATCAGATAAGGAATTTGTATCCAGAATATACAAAGAATTCTTACAACTCAATATTAAGAAGCCAAACAATTTGGTTAAAAAAATTAGGTAAAATATTTGAAAAGACACTTCACCAAAAAACAATGATAGCGATGACAAGTAAAAAGATGATCAACATTATTAATCATTAGGGGAATGCAAATTTAAACCATAAGAAAATATCACTATTTATTGGAACATTTAAAATAAAGATAAGGTAACAAAACCATGTTGTGGTAAGGATGAACAACCAAACACTCATATGTTTTTGATGAGAATGTAAATTACTATAGCCACTTTGGAAAACAGATTAGCACTTTCTGTTATAAATTCATACATGCACTTATTGTATGACTGAGCAATTCCATTTCCAGGTTTTTACCAAGGAAAATGAAAATATGTCTGCACAGTATCTGTACATGAATATTTATAGCAATTTTATATGGGACAACCCCAAACTGAAAACAACTATAGTGTCCATTAATTGGTAAATAAATAAACTCATTGGGGCATATCCATACAATGAAATGCTACTTAACCAAAAAAAAAAAGAAAAAAAAAGGAATGAAGTACTAGCACATATAAAGACAAGACTTACTTGAAAATGCATTATGCTAGGTAAAAACATTAGTACTTTTCTCCTTGTAATGAACAGCAGTCTGTGAAGAGACACTTTGAGAACATGCAAGCAGCCTGCTTCTCATCCAGCTCTTCCCAACGATAAATATTCTCCTGATATTTCTTGCTTGAATTATT
Organism: Homo sapiens; assembly: GCF_000001405.40. NCBI lineage: Eukaryota > Metazoa > Chordata > Mammalia > Primates > Hominidae > Homo > Homo sapiens. The sequence goes on from NC_000015.10 coordinate 99,861,754, forward strand.
CTTTACCACCATGGTTGCAAATGGTATTCCCCACCCCACCTCCCTCCACACCGCCACTCCATGACTCTTCCTTTCACATGTATCAGCTGGCACACTAATTTAAAGAAATGTTCTCTTTTCTCCTCTGCCTATTTATCCATTTATGTATGCATGTATCTGTTTGTTTGCTTATGATAATAGATGAATAATTTTCTACTTTAATCATCCTGTTTTATTTAATCGTTACTATCTATTGCAGTCCTCAGTTATTTTGATACTCAAATTGTTCCTAGATTTGGTCAGCAGGAACCCCTTCAAGCTATTGCCTGTTTCTTTTTGACATGTCCCCATTGTTTTCTTGATCACTTCCTTTCTTTCTGGCACAAAAAGGTGTTCCAGTTTCATCATGTACCTTCTTTGTCCCAGCCCTGGAACCAGACATTTCTCCAAGAGGCTCTTGTTCCTTTCAGTAGGGACAGGTATTAAAAACCATCTGTGCACAAAATTTGCTTATGGCTCTTAAGGTATTAGTGCTTCTTTTGTGGGTAGAATTAGGAGAAAAATAATACATATATATGTGTATATATACATACACGTAAATATATATGTGTATTGTGCATACATATATCTCTGTCTCATACTGAGACTCTAGTCTGTTTGCTTAGCTACATTTGACTTAGTTGCCAATTTCAGCCAGAATTAGGAGAGGGAAGAGATGAGGGAGGAGGGAGAGTGAGAGACAGAGATAGAGAAAGAATTCCTCAGGATCACTTATAAAGCAATTTCTAGAAGAAGTGAGTAGGAGTGGTTGCATTTTACTTCTGGATTCTGAGCATTAACTTTTCCCATTCGTGTCTATGAAGATGTTTTCTGTTCAAATGTTAACCTTCAACTGGGCTTCGATGTGGGGAGGGAAGAGTTTTCAATTCATCTGCACCCATTTGCTTTTCAGTTTCTCCTGCATTTTACTATATCCTAGAAAACCACTACCCAGGTACAGGTACCTGGTGTGTGCTCACTTAGCTTTAGAAATAAAAATTATAGGGTAGAATTGAAAAGATAATGTTTGAATAAATGGCTTAAGAATGCCCAGACCACCTAAGAGAAAAATGAACACTGTATAGATGATGTTGTCACGCCCACAGATCACTGTGATAGACAAGACTCCATGAACAAACCTTGAATAGTGTGCACCGTTCTGTGGCCAATTCATTTGCCATTTCAAGTTATCCGCCACTTAAAGGATTTAAATCAGGAAGGATTTCACAGGATCTATGATACAGTCTTTTTTAAAACCACTTTAGATAGTCATTTTATTTTTTCATTTTATTTTTAGCAAGCACAGAACAGGTGGGAAACACAGCTTAGTTGGAATGGAACAAAGGCAGATTTGATACTTTTTTAGGAGCTTTTACAATATAATCTATTCTTTAATGGATAGCGTTATGAGAGAAAATAAGATTATAATGGAATAAAAAGTGGTCTAATGTTCATTATTCAATTTAGTGGATATGTTACAAGATTATTTCTAAAATCTTTTGTAGATTAAACTAGATGCCTTTCTTGATTCTGTGACTGGTATTACTCTATCATGATTTCTGAGACCTTTACTAAGAATGTTTTTCTGAACATACTAAAGCATATTATGTAAAAGATAGTGAGCTGTGGTGCAAGATCCTATGCAGCATGGCCCCTGGTATTATGACTACCTCTCCACCGATTTATACATAGAATTTACGTGGTATACACAGGTTGGCAAATACTGTAATTATTATAAAATGATTTTTCAAAATCTGTATTTGTATCTAACAAAATACTAAAAAAGAACTGTGTCAAAATAAAATGTTAGAATTTCATAAGTCTTTTGTTCCTAGAAATTGCTGAGATGTAAACCTTTTTTCATGAATGCTTTCTCTACTGACTCCTCCTCCCCCTAAGTTGACGAGTACTCTGCCCCTTGCTCTTTGTACTAAACACAGACAGGAGTGAGTGGTGGTGGTTATGATTAAAGCAGAAGATATTTTCACTGCAATGAGATGGAAAAGTATTAGCAGAGCCCTGGGTCGTGAGAATCCTTGATCTGGTTCCTATGACTGTCACAGGCTCCTGAAAAAGTTACATAGTGAGGACACAGTGAACAAGGAGACACTTTTTATAATTAAGGCTTTGACACATGTGACCGCCTCACCCTGGCATACTTGGTGACATCACCTTTGAGTCTCAAGGTTACCTCTGTCCCTTGGACCAAAAGCTTAGATACTGTGTCCTATGCCTACACTTAATTTTGACTTTTGGGTGTTAACCACTCTAGGATGAAAAAAGGCAAGTAGAAATTACTTCAAGGAAAAGACTGCTGAAGGAAGTAGAGTTTTCTTATTAAAGCTGGGAGCAGCTGAATTATGTTCACTAAGAATATCCTCCCAAATCTTGTAAGGTCTTGGTTAGTTGAATAGGGGGAAGTTGGCAGAAGGCTCAGCATTAAATTGCACCAGGATAAATTTACTTGTTCTTTTCCACTGAACTCCACATTGATAGCCCAAAGTTTCTATCTTTGACTTGTATCATCTTTCTTCTCTTGATTTCACACTATACATTAAAATGTACAACTTATTTTTATAGCTATTTCCTAAAAGTATTTCATCATTAATCAGTTTTCAACTCAGATGTTATATCGTCAATAACAATTTCCTGGTGGTCCTCTGCAACATTTTTTTAAATGACCAAAATAGTCATATGTCCCAACGGAGGTACAATTTACAGCATTGTGCGTTCTATTTCTGGACATATAACTATATAATCTGAGTTATGAAAATCAAAGAAACTAATTTAATATGTGAATTTCTATCACTGAACATTTTAAATACTTGTATTCAAGATAATATCACAGATTATATATGCAAATTAATGTAAATTCGCAGTGGACAATATTATATTGTCAAAATCACACTGACACAGACTCTCAGAAGTAGAAGCTTCCTATCAGAAGGTTAATATTTTCTGGATATAACACAGCAATAATAAAAAGCAAGCTCTGGATTAGATAGAAATCCAGGGATTTAGATCCTGGGGATTGTGAATCTAAATTTATGTTAAATGTAAGTACATGCTATTGTGAGACAGTTATTCATGTGTTCCTTGCAATTCTGCACATCTTACAAGTAGGGACACTGACTGCCCTTTGAACTACCTCATCATGGATATGTGCACAGTAAGCCCTGGAAAGCGGAGTGTATTTCTCCAGAACAAAGACCAAGTTGGCTTGGAGCCTTAGAGATTGTGATAGTGTCTCCCTGCCGAGAAGAAGCAGGTGTGCCTCCTGTTATAAAAGCTGTGGGTTCCCTAAACTCAGGGTTTCTTTCCTGTAATCAAACTCATTGTGTCAGCATGTGCCATCTGACCATCTTCATACTGACTTGTGTAAAGTGGGCTTGGAGAACCAATGCAAAACGTGCTGGTATTCTGGCTACTGTTATTGTTGTGAGAGAACTGTATCATCTTCTGCCATCATTCCTAAATCTGTGGTTGGATAACTTGCAAGAAAGGTAAAAAAATCTCAGAATATTCACATTTTATATGTGCATCATACTGAAAAATGTGTGAATGGACATGGCAGAAATAAACATTTGGAAAAGTTTCCATTAAAGGGTTTGCCTAGATTCAAGGACCTTTTTCACTAGATTTAAATTTGAACAGGCTGGGCACGGTGGCTCACGCCTGTAATCCCAGCACTTTGGGAGGCCAAGGCAGGTGGATCGCCTGAGGTCAGGAGTTTGAGACCAGTGTGGCCAACATGGCGAAACCCCGTCTCTACTAAAAATACAAAAATTAGCTGGTCATGGTGGCGCGTGCCTGTAATCCCAGCTATTAAGGGGACTGAGGCAGGAGGATCACTTGAACCTGGGGGGCAGAGGTTGCAATGAGCCAAGATCGCGCCACTGCACTCCACCTTGGGCAACAGAGTGAGACTCCGTCTAAAAAAAACAATTTACTAGCCTAGCCAACATGGTGAATCTCCATCTGTACTAAAAATACAAAAAAATTAGCTGAGCATGGTGGCAGCCACCTGTAATCCCAGCTACTTGGGGGGCTGAGACAGGGGTATTGCTTGAACCTGGGAGGCAGAGGTTGCAGTGAGCCAAGATCGCACCACTGCACTCCAGCCTGGGCAACAAGAGCAAACCTGCTTCTCAAAATAAATAAATAAATAAATTGAACACTATCAATAAACTTTCTAAGGGAAATGACTATGAATAATTGCATTCCTGAAAAATTTACAATGCTCAGAAGCAACTGTTTCACTCATTTTTTTTAATTTGGAAACTATTTTTATATGTTTAGTTATGCAACATTTCTTTCTTTCTTTCTTTCTTTTTTTGAGACAGAGTCTCACTCTGTCGCCCAGGCTGGAGTGCGTTGGCACAGTCTCAGCTCATTGCAACCCCTGCCTCCCAGGATCAAGCCATCCTCCCACCTCAGCCTCCCTAGTAGCTGGGACCATATAACTTTTTACTTTTCTGTTATCTCAGAAGAAAAAATATTTCTCCTCATTTTCTTGCCGGAACATTTCATTCCTTTCTTCTTCTCTCAGACCTCATTATTTTCTCTTTTTTGCCACATTCTCACTGAGGTGCTAACTCACTTCTGCCAAGTGTTTTTAGAGTTATACAACTGGTTCTTCAAGCATTAGGCCATCATCTACTTTCAGGTTAGATAAGACTATAATTTATCATTAAATTTGGTAAGACTCTGATGAGGATTTTTTAAAAGAGAGTAGTTGGCATATTAATATGGATTAGTAAGGGCCAGACATGGTGGCTCATTCCTGTAATCCCAGCTACTTGGAAGACTAAGGAAGGAGGATTGCTTGAGCCCAGGCGTTCGAGACTATAGTGGAGCCAGGATCGCACCACTGCACTCCAGCCTGAGTGACAGAGCGAGAACCTGTCTCAAAAAAAAATAAAAATAAAAAATCAATCAATGGAATAGTACAAAATGTTAGAGAGCAGCATGGAGAGAGTAGGGTGCCTCGTCTCGTTAATCCAAGCACAGCAGTGGAGGCCCTAGTAGGGAACAGATAACACACTGAGTTTTCATTTAAAATGTTAATAGAGGAACGATTTATAAAGTTGTGGAGAAGATGTGGGAAAACAAAAATGGAGCGTGCAGCATCTGGTGTGAGCAACAGAGCAACTGCAACCATCCCTGAACCTCAAGAGGGAAACAGAAATGGAGGTTTCGGAACCCAGACCTGTGGCGACACAGCTGAGGACAGGCCTCCAGGAGGAGCTGGGTCTTTCAGACAGGAACAGTGCCACTGCCAACCCAGAGCCTGGCGGGGACAGGGTCAGAACCACCAGTGCCTCAGCTCCTATTTCCTCCACACTTTCTTCTCCCGGTGGTGCTAGACAGAACCAGAGCCAGAGGACTGGACGCCGTGACAAACCATCCCAGGAGCAAACAGGAAGGGTTGGAGCCAGATAGAGAATGGCGGTGGAGGGGAAAAGAGAAGGTACTGGAAGCATCAGCCGAGGGGAGCTTTCAGGAAGATACTCAGAGAGCTTGGTGTATGTTCTACTATTATTATTGTTGTTGTTGACATTGTTGTTGGGTAATATGTAGGGACTTGGACCTGAGTCATGCTTTAAAAGCCTAAAGGCCAGAGACTGGCTTGAGCTGGAGAGTGCAGAAATATTTTATTTATTTATTTATTTGTTTATTTATTTATTTAGAGACAGAGTCTTGCTCTGCCACCCAGGCTGGAGTGTAGTGGTGCCATCTCTGCTCACTGCAACCTCGGCATCCTGGGTTCAAGCAATTCCCGTGCCTCAGCCCCCATGTAGCTGGGATTACAGGCGCCTGCCACCACACCCAGCTAATTTTGGAATTTTATTAGAGACAGGGCTTCCATCATGTTGGCCAGGCTGGTCTTGAACTCCTAACCTCAGGTGACCCCCAACCTTGGCCTCCCAAAGTGCTGGGATTACAGGTGTGAGCCACCATGCCTGGCCAAGAAATATTTCCTTAGGAGTGAAATGCTTCAGTATCTCCAGAAGTCTGGGCAGAAGTTCAGTCACGTTTTCTGTGGGCTAGATGTTGGCCTCACAGAAGAAATATGGTTGAATTTATCTTTACTAAAAGGAATTTTACCCAAGGAGGTGATTGGAGATAACTGTAACAGAGGGACGACCTCTGGCAGCTAAGGCTTGAGGCCAATTCATAAACATCTTGCCAGATATGGGGGCTGAGGGTGGGAGTGGAGGCTTTGGTGGGTACCATCAGGGGTGGGTTTCCCAGGACCTCACATGGCCAATGGCAGAGTTGGTTTTGGACAGTTGCCTCAGCCAGAGGATCACATTGTCTGATGACAACTCTGCTTACATAAAACATTATCTTTTCTCATTCTTACAACTTCATTCCCTGGGCCCAAGCAGTAGCCAGTGAGTGTGACATAAGAAGAGGCAAGAGAAAGAGATGTTGACCGCACCCCAGCTTCCCACTATAGGTTTCCCAGACTCTATAAAGATAAAATGGTGAAATGATAATTTTACATTGACTGTGTTTTGATTTACAAGACTGGATTGGAATATTTAGTCTTTCAGAATGACACTATAAATTCATGCCTGAGCACAACAAAGACAGCTATACTATCTACCTGAGATTTCATCTAGAATTGGTATAGAATAAGTCCACAGACCTCTTTTAAAGATAGTGATATGGGAAGAGAAAGCCATCTTGTAACTTCCTCTCTAACAAGTCCCATTCCTTCAATAAAGTGTAACATTTACACGAATATATTGTAAATTTGCATTCTGCCTTCCCTGACTTCCCACTCTGCCTACAATCATGCTTAAGTTTCGCACATTCTAAAAATCTTCCCAGCTGTTGACACTGGTAATGCATTTAGCCATCAGTTTCAGCTTCTTTTCTTTGTCAAATACTTGAAATAGTAGCTTTCGGTAGTATTTCTAGTTTTATCTTTTGAAACTATTTTGATTTAATTGTTTTAATATTTTAATCTTTAAGTCACTTTTAGAATTACTTCTATGTGAGCATCACCAGTGACTTTATATTGCAAAATGTAAAACAAAAAACAAAAAACCTGGTGGAACTCCTGAAGATCTCCTTCCTGGAGAACCTTGATGTGTGTTATCTAAGATGGTTTTTTTAGGCCAGCTGCATTACTTAGTTGATAATCGTGGAACTCCCCTTACCAAATGATGAACAACCTGGATTGATCCTCTAAATATTTTGTTTTTTGCCTCTTTAATTTTCTTTATTCTTATCTTTGTATTAGATATTTTTTCTGAAAGTTTTTTCTTAAGTTTCTAGTTCTGTAATCCTTTTCTTTCTTCCACTTATTTCTTCAGTTATTCTCTTAGTTGTGTAAAATTTTAATAAAATTATACATGCATTTTAAAAATAAAATCAACTGGTATGAAAGATTAATAATAAAAAGTGATCATTGTTCATCCTCAAACCATTATGCTCCCAGGGCTAATAATACTAACTCTGATAGCTATTTTTCTGGTATTTATTGCCATCTGTCTAAATAAAATTGATTGTTGTGATATCTTGACTTATTTATTTTAGCATTATATACTGTCCTCTGATTGTGGATTAGTGATAAGGTTAAACAATATTCAAGTGATTCAATAAATCAATTTTAGCATAATCTTGACTAGCAAATATTATTTGTTTCAGTTAGTATATTATTTCCTTTTCACTTTGGTACAACTTTAGCTTTTCCTAGAAATAAAAAAAAATCTACTTTTTGTTTCTCATTGTTTTAAACATAGTTTTCTAATTACCAACCAACCCTTGTCATACTTCAAATGATTGATCTATCAGCTATTTGTCTAGGATCTTCCCTACATCTCATCTGGATGTCACACAATCATTTTTATCATTAATAGCAATCATTTTATCCTTCGTTTTAGAATTTTGTATATATGGTTAATTTATACTATCAAACTGAAATTATTTAAGAGAAGAATCTTATCATCATCATCTTTGACCTCTTCAGTGTTTAGAAAATGCATGTTACTTGAATTTAAATGAATTTGATTAAGTATATGCTATATTTGCAAAGAATGTGTTAACCTAAAAAAAATTGGTGAATTATTTCATAAAATTGCTTATACAACAAATGTTATTTTAAAATTTGCGGTTCTATTTTAAATAATAAATACATTTTAGTGTATGCAATATGAAGCCATTCATAATAAAAATGCAGTTATCGAGGCTATGAAGAAATAAAATATGACATAAAAATTAAATATTCCACTTCAAAAATAAATAAAACACATTAGTAGTGATTATTAATTTGTTAGAAGTAATCTTGACTCCTAGTTCTCAGAAAATTATCTCTGTGCATAAACAATGTGTTTATTGATATGCTAAAACAATTGCTTGACAGGAAGCCCCTTAAGTATTTTATTATTTTAAATACAAAGTGAGTGATTTAGTTTTGAGAAAATTAATGATCATTATTCTGCAGTTACTTTTGCATTTGTTATTATAAAGTGACAGTTGTGACTTAGAAAACTACTTTTTAATGTAGATGTGACTAAATTTATTTTTGGTTACTAAATATGTGAGTCAATATAGAAAGTTAAATTTAATAAAGTATTCATTTGTTTTACTTCAATATCTTAATACCATTACTAGATAGTGAGACTTGTATTATTGTGATAAAAGGTTGTTAATATTTTGTAGGGACATACACATTGCCTAACATCACCCATCTTTATTTCACATGATCCTCTATGGTTATGTCGTGTTAGTGGTCAATCTAATCATTAGAGCCTGAATACTAAACTTCATTCAGTCACAGTGTTTTGTTTTTACTCTTTTTAAACATTTTCTTACAACATAATTTGGAGTTATTCAACTTGTCAGCGACATCTTTATTAATATGTAAGTTGAAATCAGCAAACATTTCTTGCGAAAATCTTTAGAATAAAAGCGAGGAAAGAATTAAAATGCCCTGTTTGTAATCACTGGTATAGATGTCCGCACCGATGTCATCCGAAGTGTATCTTAGTGCGTTTTTAATCACTGGTGTATCTACTTACCTTTTCCCCATCATTAGTATTAAGAGCACTTAGCTATTTACTTTTTAATTTTCTGTAGTTTCTCAGATCATCAAGAGTGACTAAAGTTAAGTATTTGGGGAGCAGAAGTCAAATTAACCTAAATAATTTTTTTCTACTTTTCCTTGTAATAATATATCAGATTGTCAGTGACCAGATTATTTATGACAATCAATTGTAAGAGAAGAATACCATGTTAGTTTGGCTTGAAAGATATATGTCAAAAAATCTTACAGAGTCATTTGTGCAAATAACTATGTAATTAAGATATCCAAGAAAATTTGCCTTAATTTTTAGAGGTTACTTAGTAAAAATCAAGAGGGGAAAAAAAGGATGCAAAGTCTAGCTGCTGTTCTTAATTTCACTGGTGCACCATTTGCATAAGTTTTATTAATTTCACAATGGCAATTACCATGGGAAGAGTACTTAAGAGCTGCACATAAATGAAGCATTAGATGTTATTTCCTTTTAGCTATTGTTCAAAATGAGGGTGGTGCCTTTGTCAGTTTAAATTCCTGTAAGTATGTAACTCCTAGACTATGAGTATACATTTTGTAAATCCTTGAAAAGTATAGTAATTATATTCATTGTTATGTTACTACCAGTCATTGCAATTTATAAAAATGCCCTGAAATAATACATAAAGTAAAATTTTTACATTATCAATTTTAGTGCAGTAGTGAATAACATATGTCTGATGCCTAGAAAGAGAAAAAAATCATAAATACATATCAAGTTAGGTGAATCTTTGGTGAGAATTACACAAGGTGGGAAATACAGTGGCAGTCAAGAGACTCGGGTGAGAAATTTAGTTACAAATGGAACTAGGAGCTTCTCGGTGGAAAAAGAAGTAAGCAAATGTAAGGAATACAAACCCTGGAGAATAGCAGAAGGGAGAAAGATTAAACTGATATCTATTAGAGCAGAAATCTATAGTAAAATGTGGGTGTTCTGATGAATAAAAGGAGATTTAGAATGGAAAGAAGAGCTAAAGGAACTGAATGCTGGATTGTTGATTGCTGTTTATTATGATACCACCGGCTTCTATGCAGAGCATGATTTCTAGGTGGCAATACTTGATGTGAGGGGATCAGGTAGAAGAAGTTACAGCAGATGACCTCTGATCGAATCTTTGAGGAAGGAGTAACTTGGTTCTGAGGCTGCTTCAGAGATGTTCCAAAGTCCTTCAGGATAAAGTACTCAGCAAGCCAAATCACCATGCACTGGGTATCATTTTCTAAGCCCAAGAGCATTACATGTCTTCTTTTTCTAGTTTCAAATTTATTGTCTGATTTATTTAAATATCCCATAACATTTGAAATAAGGGTCTCTTTTTAATATAATGAAACATTTCAGTGTATATGTTTATGTGTATGTATTATATTCAATATTTTATTGACATTTTCCTTATCTGTTTGAATATTTTGTGTATTTCATCTTTCATGGCCTTAGAGAGGGAAGAAAGTCTTTAGCATCACTTTGGGTCTGTCTTTTCCTGTTTGTCATTTCTACAGTTAATGCAGTTCTTGCTTTATGCATGTTGAAGCTGTGTTATTTCATACATGAAGTTTCACAAGAGATAATCCTATGTTATAGCGTTTTCCTTTTATACCATGTTTCCCATAAAATGCCCGTCTTTAAAGTTGGACACCTGAGCAATAAGTATTGTAATCCTTTGTATAAACATGTCCAATATTATCAGCAATTGGATGTATCCAGATTGTGGTAGTGTAAAAACACGGTTCCTAAAATATATTATAGTAAAATAGGAAGAACAAAGTTATATAATACTTCCTTGCTAATTTTATTCAATATTTGGGTACCAGAAGTATTTTGTAGTGTCATAAATCACCGCACAATCTGTTTCACATTTACCAGTTATGTCCCCCATAACTTCTCTACACATCCAGACTTTTCTACACATTATTACATACTTCCAAGGTATGCTATAGTCTTATTAACTAAGCATATTTGATTTCAAGATGCCACTTCTGATCACTATACATTGGCAAAAGATTAAAATATTGAAAACTCTCTATGTATTTCTATAGTGGAAGCACAAACATAAATTTTTATATTAAAATGCCCTGTAGGTATCAAGTTATTAAATCTTCTTTAGAAAACTTAAGTTTTATCTCACTGTCCCTCTAGATTATTCTATTTTACTGGGGAAAAACATAAATCCTTATTTTTATCAGCCTTTTCATTTGCTTTACATACTTTTTGGGTGTAGGTGTTGTTGGTAGGGGAAGTTTTATTGGTCAAAAAAGTTTGGGAAATGTTGCATTGCTCATAGCCTTTATACCCCTTCTTGGAGACTTAAACTTAACATTAGCATATTTAAGACCATAAGAAGTCTATTTTACTGCCTTTGCAATAGTTTTTGACATCTAAGGAACACAATTTGGTAATTTTACTGTAGATACATTTATTTTAAAAGCAGGTTCAGGAAGGCTATATAACTTCTTAATGCCAATGAAAGATCAACTTTTGTTGTAAATTCACATAAACAGGAATATTCCAAGGGCAAGCTCCTTCTGTGGTCACTGTGTGTGTTCCCTCCCAGGGATCCTGCTAAACCACATGTTCTATGGAAACGGGGGCACATTGACAGGTTTGCATTTTCCACCTTATACTTCACACACTGCTGGAAATGCAAGCTTCTCTTTTTGTGGTTCAAGTGATTAACACATTTGATTTTATGCCTATTGTCTTTCTAGCTCTATCTGAAATAAAATATTCCTATGCTTATGAAACTGTCTATAATGCTAAGCCTTAACTGTCATCATAAGAACAACTGTTGTGGTAAAGTAAGCAGTGGACTTCCCATTAGACAACAGAGGTTTAGCGTCTGGCCTCACCACTGCTGAAATATGTGATGTGTGAAAAGTTATTTCAATTACGTGACTCTGCTTCCTTAAATGTGAAATTGAGGTAATCATATGCATAAGACTATTCTTACAGATTTAATTGTATGACCCTTTTAAGGAGAAAAGCATTACTGTTTTGTCATTTTGCTTTCTATATTTAACAAAATATCTCCTGTTAAATGTTTGGAGGTTATACAAAAGTTTTAGCTGCTCACATCAATATGTTGCCCTTCTGGAGAGTTAACACTATTTTGTAAAAGATATTTCTAGAGAAATCTCGCTCTGCAATTAGAACTTGCTTTTTGAATAGGTCAAGATTAGTGTCATAGAATGAAGATGTAAGAATTTGAAAAGGTATTTGAAATAACCTTGCTTTTCAGTGTCTCTCCTCCTACCCATTCCATTGCTGAGAAAATGGATGACTAGAGAAGCTAAAAGAAGCTAAATTACTTGCAACAAGTGAGTGACAGACCTGGACATTGAATCCAGAGGCCCCTAATGTGCTACTCTCCCAACTTTCTTGTAACCAACCATTTGAATTATTCACAGGAGTAAGAAAATGGCTTCTCTGCCGAAAAGCAACTCACGATTCTGCCAAGTGACCTGAAATGCCAATGCAGATGATCTCTGACTTACCCTGGTTTGAATTAGGATTTTTTTACTTTTATGTTGGATTTATCAGGACATAATTCCATCCTCAGTGGAGGAACATCTGGACTTAAAATGGTTCAACTTACAACTTTTCAGTTTTACAATGGGTTTTTCAGGGTATTAAATGCATTTTCAACTTAGGATATTTTTGATTTCCAGTGGATTTATTGGGACATAGCCACATCATAAGTCTAGAAACATCTGTCTTAGAAACTTGAAGGCTTTGTAATCTTCAAATATATCTTAATGAAATTTAAGTATCTTTGAAAAAATAATACTTTAGTGAATATTCATCTACATCCAATTATTTTTCATGGTATTAGACAAGGAGAGCCATAGCAAAAAAAAAGGGATAATAATAAATTATATTTTGTGAGAGTTGATAGGGTGGAGATTCATTCTTTTGCTGAATATCTTAAAAATTCCTGTATAAAATCAAGCTTCTTAGCAGAGCACACAGAACCATTCATAGGCTGATAATTCTCTGGCTTCATTCCTTTCCTTCCCATTCAGTCTTAAATTCTAGGCAAATTGAATACTGACTTGGTACTTTCCAAATCTGGCATATATTCTCACATCTGTGTGACTTTTTCACCTTTTGTTCCTTTTTTTTTTTATTTTAAAAGAATTTTTTAGAGACAGGCTCTCACTCTTTTACCCAGGTGGGAGTGTAGTGGCACCATCCTAGCTCACTGCCGCCTTGACCTCCTGGGCTCGAGTGATCCTCCTGTCTCAGCCTTCTGAGTAGCTGGTTCTATAGGCATGCACCACCATATGTACATTTATATATGTAAATATATATTTATATATATAATATATATATTTAATGTGGATATGATATCTTGCTATTTTTTCCATACTTCGTATATTGTGAACACAGTTCGTGTTTGATTATTTTTTCTTTGTCGTTGCAAACCTAATCATTTTGGAAGTTTAATTCAGGCTTATCGCTTCTATAAAGCCTCTCTTAATCAATGTCTGAATCATTTAGGTCAAGTTAGATGTCCTCTTCCTTGGCAATAACCCATTTGCACTTAATTGCTTTGCATCGTAGTTTCCTCATTTATAAAATGGGGGTATCGACAGTGCCTACTAGGAGTGTTGTAAGGATTAATACATGTAAAGTGTTTCAAAGGGTTCCTGAAAAATAAATGTTATTTTGTATGTTATTTTTATTGTAGTATGCATTATTTACCTGTCCATCTTTTCCATTAGACTATGAACTATTATAGGGCAAAGAATGTTTACAAACATCTTATTTAAGTGATTATCCCTGTTCCTATCATAATGTCTGGCACAGAACAGGCAATATTGTTTTTTCACTGATTAGAAAGGTGAATTCTGTTGGGAGAATGAATGCACCTTTTGTCTATCAGGGTCTCTGTAGTGCAATGTGAGCACTATGAGAACAACATAAGGGTCCTGAAATTCCAAAGGAAGTTGTGTTTGTTTGTCTTTGATGCAAAAGTTGCCAAGAAACAACACTAACTGTGGAAATGTGATGGTATCAAAAACAAGTTTCGTGACTTTATAGTTTTTCTCAGAAATAGCCCTCTCCATAAAATACGTTTTACTGGCCTCATTGAATAACTTATTCCTTTATTTGTATCATATGTATAAAGAATATAATAGAGACAAAAGAAGATAGTGTAAGATTTGAATCATTTTCCATATGGATTCAAGTCTCCAAGAAGTTAACAATAAATTATACTAATAATAATGACTGAAACTCAATATTTATGGAAAACTTATACAAATGTAGATAACAGCACAATTCATGATGTGCTTTGATTGGTCTGAAATGGCAGTTTTCAATAAATATTGAAATTAGGTGATAATCACTAGCATTATGTATTGTTTATCAGCATTCAGATTTCCATGAATAGGGATGCCCTTTTACACATTAACCTCCCTTCAAAGAACTTGGAGAAAAGACCTAATTCCAAATGCAGTAATATTTTTCATGCTTTTTCATTCTTCGTTATTTATTGTAGAAATGTATGCATACTCTTGGGATAGTAAGAGAGTTCATTTTTACCCAGTCATGTCTAAAATAACTCTGAGCTAAAAATATTCTCCCTGATACATAATGCAAATAAGCCTACCATGCAATTTTCATGGTTGATTCTTTGAAACTTTTGTAAAACTTAAGCTCTAAAATATTTGGAATCTTGTGGCAGTAAAAATAGTGGGAACATCCTGTTTTACATACTGCTATAAAGTATTCACCAGAATGATGTTTTTCTGTATTAGAAATACTTTCTTAGTTTGATTGCCTGAGAGAAAGAGAAATCTTTTTAAAAGAAAAGAGAGAATATTTTTAGTATTTTAATAACAATTAAAATTTTCGCTTCAAAATTCATTAAATAAGTGTTTGGAATAAATCCTATAACTAGAACATAGTCCTGAGCATTAAACAGTCATTTGCAAAGGGGAAGGCAAGTGGGCTGATAAATATGAAAAAAAAAAAATCTTGAGGACTACTAGCAGATTCCGTTTTATAGACACTTGAGAACAAAACTATAGATTTTTGAAGGTGAATTTTCATCAAAGAAAATACTTTGAATACATTATGTTACTGGAATTTAAACATGGATTATCTTTTAGTCTTGAGGATCCATTTTCTGAGACGGTGATGGGAAAGATGTTGGTTGTCAAGTGGAATCTCAGCAGTCATTTTCAGACAAAGTTAGAGAAAACAAGTATGGAAGATGCCTGATTCTCAAAGAGTCATCCAGTCTTGGGATTACCGCCTACGTCCATGGAAGTGAAAGTCCTCTTTTTCTTTGTACCACTTACTGAGGTAAGTGATAAGTCTGCTGCAGTTAATTTTATTAGTTACATTCTATTCATTGGTTATAACTACATATATACTCCGCCTCCCGGGTTCACGCCATTCTCCTGCCTCAGCCTCCCGGGTAGCTGGGACTACAGATGCCCACCACCGCGCCCGGCTAATTTTTTGTATTTTTAGTAGAGACAGGGTTTCACTGTGTTAGCCAGGATGGTCTTGATCTCCTAACCTTGTGATCCACCTGCCTCGGCCTCCCAAAGTGCTGGGATTACAGGCATGAGCCACTGTGCCCGGCCGGTTATAACTATATTTTAAATATACCTGGTTTATAAGAATTTAACCTATATGCCATACCATAGTTATTGCTTCAGAAGCCAAATGTGATTTTATTATGGTCATAAAATTATTTTAGATACCCTTATACCTCTTATATATCTGAACTGCCCAGGAAGTTTCATGATTATAATGTACTACATAGAT
This sequence comes from Homo sapiens, assembly GCF_000001405.40. Taxonomy (NCBI): domain Eukaryota; kingdom Metazoa; phylum Chordata; class Mammalia; order Primates; family Hominidae; genus Homo; species Homo sapiens. The sequence continues at coordinate 99,877,620 of NC_000015.10, forward strand.
GATCACTCAGCAGAGAAGTCTACCTAGATTTAGCAAAAAATGTATTGAGATTGATATGGTTAGTCTTTGTGTGCCCACTCAGGTCTCATCTTGAATTGTAATCGCCATAATCCCCATGTGTCAAGGGAGGGATCAGGTGGAGGTAATTGAATCACGGGGGTGATAGTGAGTGAGTTCTCACAAAATCTGACGGTTTTATAAGGGTCTCTCTCCTTCACTTGGCACTTCTACTTCCTGCCACCCTGTGAAGAAGGTGCTTGCTTCCCCTTCACCTTCCGTTATAATTGTAAGCTTCCTGAGGCTTCCGCAGTCATGCTGAACTGTGAGTCAATTAAACTCTTTCCTTTATAAATTGCCCAGTCTCAGGCAGTTCTTTATAGCAGTATGAAAACAGACTAATACAGAGATTAATCTTAATTTTTCCTTTCAGACATGCTGAATGCTGTTTCTAGATTTGTAAAAGTGCAGTGTGCATTAGCTGCCTCAGTGTGACACTTTCCTTTTGTGAGACTAAAGAAATTGAGGTAGTACTATATGGTACCTCAGAATTGTCATCAAGAAGTTTTGAAAGCTAACTTGAGTGCATTTCTTTGATGCTCCTCCTAGCTGAAATTAGAACATGTATAAACTATTATCGATATTTCATTAGGGAAATCTTGAAATATATGATAAATTAAGTTTGTGAAATTGTTCTGAAGCAATGAATGAACTCTCTAGATTAACTCTACTAGGATAAAATAAAATATTCCTATTTATTTTCATTCACAAAATAGTTGTTCTCTAGATAATCAAATATCCATAACAATGATGAACCCAAAAAGTTTTAATTTTACCTGATATGTATTCTAGTTAGTTCAAAGTTCAGTAGAAATCTTTCTCTTTTTAAATTTTTGTTCACAAAGTTTAACTTTACCTAAGGAAATGTTAAGGCTATTTTTACACTGAACTTCATTTTTTTTTCTTTTTTTGAGATGGAGTCTCACTCTGTTGCCCAGGCTGGAGTGCAGTGGTGCTGTCTCAGCTCACTGCAAGCTCCACCTCCCGGGTTCAAGTGATTCTCTTGCCTCAGCCTCCTGAGTAGCTGAGACTACAGGCCTGCGCCACCATGTCTGGATAATTTTTGTATTTTCAGTAGAGATGGGGTTTCACTATGTTGGCCAGGCTGGTCTCGAACTCCTGACCTCGTTATCTGCCCACCTTGGCCTCCCAAAGTGCTGGGATTTCAGGCGTGAGCCACCGTGCCCAGCCTGAACTTCAATTTTAATACCACTTGGGTCTTTATATATTTTAGCTAGTATGAATCTTATGTTTTTCTTACTTAAAAGCATCAATAAAATGCATTTTAAGATTAGCTGCCTGTGCCTCATAAGGTTTTCATTGCATGAAAGCTGGTCAACACAGCGGGAACATAAAACTCATTATTGGCACTAGTTCAGGTCTGTTACATTAACTGGCCCCATCACAAAGCACTCTATTTTTTGCTTACACATTGAATAGTAAATGAAGGTTAAAGTTTTAAATAGTGAAGCAAGATATCTGGCCATTTCCAGTGTTTTCTTTTTACTTTTCTTTTGAATCTTAGAACAAACCTGCCAGATAGGTATTACTTTTCCTCCAAAAAACTGAAAAGAAGGGAGGTAATAACTTATCTAAGGTAATAAGTCAGCACCTATGTATTCCCCAACCAACCCCCTCTCACTTACTCTCTCTTCCTTTTTTCCTTTATTCCCTCTTCCTGATTCACTTGTTAAATACCTACTGTATGCTGAGCATTTTTATTGTTCCTAGGGTTTCAAAGATTTGGCACGTTCCTTCGTACACAAGTTGCTGGAAGATACCAATATTCAAATACAAACCATAAGCTAGAATGTAGTATGATAACACAGATTCATGCACAGAATCCTCTGCAAAGAGGAGTAAATAAGTAGCATTTTGAGGGTTGTGGTGGAAGAATTGGGGAAAACTGCGTATAGGAGACTTTGACGTATAAGTAAAATAATAACAGATTTTCAAGACAGGAAAAAAAGACAAGGCGAGAAAGGATATTCATGACAAAGAGAATTCAGAAGCAAATTCACAGAGGCATAAATTAGGTTATATATTTAGAATAGCACAATTGCCCCCTATACATTATGGTCGGAGCACAGAAAAGAATGGAAAAAAAAATAGTCTAGGCAGAGTGCACAGAGCTAAGTCACGAAGATCATGACGATTGTGTATAACAAACAAATGAGTGATTGGATAACTCTATACAACATCTTCACAAATGGAGTCACGGGGAGGAACTAAGCTCAGATTCAGCACATGCAAACACGTACATGCACAGGGATAGGTGAGTGCTTTTCTACTTTAATATGAATTTGAATATTAATTGGAGCATTCTTTCTTGATATTGGACAGTTCTTCCTATTATATCTGTTCCAAAATAATCCATTTATATTACAAGTTTTCCCCTTGTATGCATTTAAGTTTAAAAATTCTCTATAGACAAAGGGAGACAATTTAAGATTTCAAACGAATATGGCTAGAACTATGTCTTAGAATTGCCTACCATTATAGGATACTGTTTTATAGACAATAAAGTACTCCTAGACAAGAGCAATGGGTGGGGGAAGAAGTAGCATATTCCAAGCTCAGTTGGTCAAATACATGGCTAAGTGTTTTTAGATAAGTAAAGTTTCACAGCTCTTGGAAAGGACTGTGCACAATTAACAGTTAATAACAATGTACAGTTGACGCTCAAACAATGTAAGCGTTGGAGGTGCTAGCCATCCACACAGCTGAAAACCCAAATATAATTTTTGACTCTCTCCCAACTTAACTGCTAATTGCCTACTGTTGACAAGAAGCCTTTCCAATAACATAAGTGGTCGATGAACACATATTTTGTATGTTGTATGTATTATATACAGTATATACAGTATTCTTACAATAAAGTAAGCTAGAGAAAAAGAAAATGTTATTAAGAAAATCATAAGGTAAAGAAAATATATTTGCTATTAAGTGGAAGTAAATCATCATAAAGGTCTTCATCCTCATTATCTTCATGTTGATTAGGCTGAAGAGGAAGAGGAAGAGCAGGTGTTGGTCTTGATGTCTCAGGGCAGGCAGAGGTGGAAGAGAATCTGTGTGTAAAGCACCTGCACAGTTCAAACCCATGCTGTTCGAGGGTCAACTGCATTCTTGAAAATTGCTAAAAGACTCCATTGTAAGTGTTGTCACCACAAAAAATAGTAAGCATGTAATGTCATGCATATGTTAAATCAGCTCAATTTAGCCATTCCACAATGTATACATTTTTGAAAACGTAATGTACACAATATATATAATTTTGTCAATTAAAATGGGTAAATACCTTAATTAATTTAAATAACTGTACACAATCTCATAGACAATTTGAGGCTCACCATGGTGGACTGGAATTGAAAATCTCCTAACTTATTATCCATCTCTTCTATTAGAAAGAGAAGGAGAAAAGAAGTCTGTTCTTATTTTTATGTCTGATATTTTAAATGTTTTTTCTGTCCTTTTCCATTCTCTTAGGGAGACTAGAATATAGGCAATATATTAAACAAAAGTCTTCTTCCTAAATAAAAATTATTATTTCTCTAATGCAAGCCATTGTAAACAGAATTGTAGGTGCCACTAATGAGCCTGAACATGTTACTCTTCTCCAGGGAACAATCATTAAAAGTAATTAAGTTGGTCTTGGGGAAGAGTAGGGTAAAATGGGAAAGAGAGCTTTACATTTCTTCTCATATTACTTTATTTTCAAATAAATAAAGTCACCTGGGTGACAAGAGTGAAATTCTGTCTCAAAGAATAAATAAATAAATGAACAAACTGGAAAAAAAAAAAAACCCACACATGGGAATACTTTCTTTACTGGCAGAATCTTGCTAGATATATGCTAAATAATATTCTCTTTAAAAGGCTCCAGAAATAAGACATAAAATGGGAGAAATAACTTCCAATAAATTGCTGTGCCAGTAAGAAAGTTAAAACAAACAAACCAGCAAAATATCCAGAAGCCAAAAATAAGATCAAAGCACATACAAGATGATGAAATATATTCTAATATATCCATACTTCCCTAAATATAAATGGACTACACTCTATGGTTGTATTGGTGGAGAAAAAAGCAAATCCATCTACAGGAGATTTACAAAGACACTTGAAAAATGCATGGATTTGTATAAGGTGTAAGGAAGGGATCCAGTTCCAGCTTTCTACATATGGCTAGCCAGTTTTCCCAACACTATTTATTAAATAGGGAATTCTTTCCCCATTCCTTGTTTTTGTCAGGTTTGTCAAAGATCAGATAGTTGTAGATATGTGACATTATTTCTGAGGGCTCTATTCTGTTCCATTCGTCTATATCTCTGTTTTGGTACCAGTACCATGCTGTTTTGGTTACTGTAGCCTTGTAGTATAGTTTGAAGTCAGGTAGCATGATGCCTCCAGCTTTGTTCTTTTGGCTTAGAATTGATTTGGTGATGCGGGCTCTTTTTTGGTTCCATATGAACTTTAAAGTGGTTTTTTTCCAGTTCTGTGAAGAAAGTCATTGGTAGCTTGATGGGGATGGCATTGAATCTATAAATTACCTTGGGCAGTATGGCCATTTTCACGATATTGATTCTTCCTATCCATGAGCATGGAATGTCCTTTCATTTGTTTGTGTCCTTTTTTTATTCTGTTGAGCAGTGGTTTGTAGTTCTCCTTGAAGAGGTCCTTCACACCCCTTGTAAGTTGGATTCCTAGGTATTTTATTCTCTTTGAAGCAATTGTGAATGGGAGTTCACTCATGATTTGACTCTCTGTTTCTCTGTTACTGGTGTAGAAGAATGCTTGTGATTTTTGCACATTGATTTTGTATCCTGAGACTTTGGTGAAGTTAGTTATCAGCTTAAGGAGATTTTGGGCTGAGATGATGGGGTTTTCTAGATATACAATCATGTCATCTGCAAACAGGGACAATTTGACTTCCTCTTTTCCTAATTGAATACCCTTTATTTCTTTCTCCTGCCTGATTGCCCTGGCCAGAACTTCTAACACTATGTTGAATAGGAGTGGTGAGAGAGGGCATCCCTGTCTTGTGCCAGTTTTCAAGGAATGCTTCCAGTTTTTGCCCATTCCATATGATATTGGCTGTGGGTTTGTCATAAATAGCTCTTATTATTTTGAGATACGTCCCATCAATACCTAATTTATTGAGAGTTTTTTGCATGAAGGGCTGTTGAATTTTGCCAAAGGCCTTTTCTGCATCTATTGAGATAATCATGTGGTTTTTGTCTTTGGTTCTGTTTATATGCTGGATTACGTTTATTGATTTGCGTATGTTGAACCAGCCTTGCATCCCAGGGATGAAGCCCACTTGATCATGGTGGATAAGCTGTTTGATGTGCTGCTGGATTCGGTTTGCCAGTATTTTATTGAGGATTTTTGCATCGATGTTCATCACATTAATTCAAGATGGATTAAAGACTTAAATGTTAGACCTAAAACCATAAAAACCCTAGAAGAAAACCTAGGCAATACCATTCAGGACATAGGCATGGGCAAGGACTTCCTGTCTAAAACACCAAAAGCAATGGCAACAAAAGCCAAAATTGACAAATGGGATCTAATTAAACTAAATAACTTCTGCACAGCAAAAGAAACTACCATCAGAGTGAACAGGCAACCTACAGAATGGGAGAAAATTGTTGTAATCTACTCATCTGACAAAGGGCTAATATCCAGAATCTACAATGAACTCAAACAAATTTACAAGAAAAAAACAAACAACCCCATCAAAAAGTGGGCGAAGGATATGAACAGACACTTCTGAAAAGAAGACATTTATGCAGCCAAAAGACACATGAAAAAATGCTCATCATCACTGGCCATCAGAGAAATGCAAATCAAAACCGCAATGAGATACCATCTCACACCAATTAGAATGGCAATCATTAAAAAGTCAGGAAACAACAAGTGCTGGAGAGGATGTGGAGAAATAGGAACACTTTTACACTGTTGGTGGGACTGTAAACTAGTTCAACCATTGTGGAAGACAGTGCGGCGATTCCTCAGGGATCTAGAACTAGAAATAACATTTGACCCAGCCATCCCATTACTGGGTATATACCCAAAGGATTACAAATCATGCTGCTATAAAGACACAAGCACATGAATGCTTGTTTATTGTGGCACTATTCACAATAGCAAAGACTTGGAACCAACCCAGATGTCCAACAATGATAGACTGGATCAAGAAAATGTGGCACATAGACACCATGGAATACTATGCAGCCATAAAAAAGGATGAGTTCATGTCCTTTGTAGGGACATGGATGAAGCTGGAAACCATCATTCTCAGCAAACTTTCACAAAGACAAAAAACCAAACACCGCATGTTCTCACTCATAGGTGGCAATTGAACAATGAGAACACATGGACACAGGAAGGGGAACATCACACACCGGGGCCTGTTGTGGGGTTGGGGTCGGGGGAGGGATAGCATTAGGAGATATACCTAATGTTAAATGACGAGTTAATGGGTGCAGCACACCAACATGGCACATGTATACCTATGTAACAAACCTGCACGTTGTGCACATGTACCCTAAAACTTAAAGTATAATAATGAAAAAAAGAAAAACCCATGGATTTGAAATGTTGACAGTGACAGCGCAGAAAGTTCAAGGAAATATTAAATAAAAAAATTGAAAGCCATGATAGCAACAGTAATAACAAGTGCCTTTGACATCATTTTTTACTGCTTCTGCCACTCGATCTCCTATAAGTCACCAAGTCCTGTGTTAAATGTCTCTTAAATGTTTCTTGTTTGGGATGATTAAAATCTTTTGGAAATAGTGGCGATTATTGTACATTATAAATGTAATCAATGCCACTGAATTGTACCCTTAATAAGGCAAAAAGGGCAAACTTTCTGTTGTATATATTTTACCAGAATAAATTTTTTTACAAGAAAAAAAAAAAGTCTTAATTTAACCCTCTCTCTTAATCCAGGAAAATTCTCCATTAGTGAATGTTCCTTCCATGGATAACTTATTACTTCCTAACTGGTCTTCTTGCTCTCCCTGTTTTGTCCTTCAACCCCTTATCAGCAAGGAAGCCAGAGTCAACCTTATGCCATTACCCTGTTTAGTAAGGGCCCCCGACCATCAGTAGTTCTACTCTGTCAGCAGGTTAAACTCCAAACCAATTAATACGGCTTCATCATCAGCCCGTTCATTTTCCACACCCTGCACATCTTTGCACACTCATCCTTTAATGTATCCTGCTTGACATCTTGCCTTGAACTGTGTTCAGCTCTGCAAACACATGCTTTCTTTAAAATCAAGGCCTTTTTCAGGCTCATCCTTCTATTTAGAACACCCTTTACCTTCCCCATCTTCCATCTTCAAGCCAACCTCTCCCATTTCTCTTGCTAATCCTTTCCAAGTCTTCAAATTTTAGCATAGGTATCCCTTCCTGCAGAAGCCTTTTCTGGTTCCCTAAATATAGTTCAGGTGCATATCTACCTAATAATTGCACTCACTGCACAGTATTAAAATCATCTGCCTGTAAGTCTGTATATCTCATTATATTATAAGCAGTAAGGTCAAGAAATATGTCTGTGATATCAAACATTTAACATCTGGGTTTACAACTATGTTAAATAATTGTCGAGTTACAATGAAAATGTTATTTATTGTTTTGTAAACAATACAAGAAAATCTCTTGGATGATAATAATAATTGTGTCTATTACTAGATAGTACTAAATAGATACAGTGTCACAACTATGGAATAGTCTACAATTGAGGTTAAAGGTTTTTTGTTGTTTTTGTTGTTTGTTTGTTTGTTTGTGACAGAGTCTTGCTCTGTTGCCCAGGCTGGAGTGCAATGACACGATCTTGGTTCACTGCAATCTCCACCTCCCAGGTTCAAGCGATTCTCATGCCTCAACCTCCCGAGTAGCTGGAATTACAGGCGCCTGCCACCACATCCAGCTAATTTTTGTATTTTTAGTAGGGACGGGGTTTCACCTTGTTGGTCAGGCTGGTCTCAAACTCCTGACCTCAGGTGATCCACTGGCCTCATCCTCCCAAAGTGCTGGGATTACAGGCGTTTAAAGTCCTTCCTGGTATTGATCAATAGGTAGAAAGATGATAAATTCTAAATTGTTTCCCCTTAACATGACAGTTTGTTCGGTGTACATTTATTTTGAAATGCTATCGAAAATTTTCTTTAAACTCGTTCTACATGAGATGTTAGTTAAAAACAAACACTAAATTCATGTTAAACCTGCCTTTGTTTTTTTTATTTCATAGTTATCTAACATAGAATAAAAAGGATTAAATAAGAGGGGATCAGAGCAACAAAAATCTTCATAATCTAGAAGCTAAATTTCCCATGAAAAGCTGAAAAGCTTTTAAGGAGAGAAAAGCAACACCGAAGGATACCAGAGTCAGAGACAACGTTAAAAAAAAAATTGGGGCCAGGCACGGTGGATCACGCCGGTAATCCCAGCACTTTGGGAGGCCAAGGTGGGCGGATCATGAGGTCAGGAGATTGAGACCGTCTCTCTGGCTAACGCGGTGAAACCCCGTCGCTACTAAAAATACAAAAAAATTAGCCGGGCCTGGTGGCGGGCGCCTGTAGTCCCAGCTACTGGGGAGGCTGAGGCGGGAGAATGGCATGAACCCGGGAGGCGGAGCTTGCAGTGAGCTGAGATCGCGCCATTGCACTCCAGCCTGGGGACAGAGCGAGACTCTGTCTCAAACAAAAAACAAACAAACAAAAAAATTGATCTGACATTCCAAACACATGAGAAATTAGTGAGAGAAAATTAAAAATTAATGCAACAAAACACATTCTGCTACAGTCCAACCTCCCTAGCAACAATTTGCACCATATGCATTTTATATTCCATACCTTGACTGTGAAATTTAATTAAAAATAATTATAAATACAGCTCCTTGAGGCTACTGAGGATTTCACAGTTTGAATTTTATTTTCACAAAATATCATGCATCACTAATGGTCTTGTCAGAATTTGTCTTCAGAAGAAATGACAACTCATCCAGTTCAAATATATCCAAGTAAGCTAAATTTAGATGGAATGACCTGGGAACCTTGACTCAGGGTTCAGTCAATATATAAAGTGAATAAACTGAAAACTGTCCCTGTAGTTCCAAATTTGGCCTTGATGTTCATTCATTTCAGATGGAAGCTCTCAAGGGAACACAGAAATAGAGCTATCTTCAGCACTACTGAAGTGTTAATTCTGCAAGAAAATAACTGGATAAACAACAACAGTAAAATGAATGAATGAATGAATGAATGCTGGATGCAATAGTAAAAAGTATTTTAGGGATAGAGAAGGGTTAACATAAAGATAGATTCATTTATCCTATTAAGTTTTGGTTCCTATTTTTTCTCTTTTCTCTGTCTTCTTTTGACCCCAAAGTAAGCTTGCATGCAAAAATGTCAGTGAATGAAGTGGATGCCTACACTAAAAATGCGATCTAGTTTGTTTCCTCGGCATTATTTGGAAAAATTGCAGTCCATAGTTTTTATTCGGCATTATCTTAGATTTTCTATGAAAAGGGGGAAAAGCCTCATTCTGATTCCTCCACTCACCACCCAGAAGCACTCAGTAATTTTGTGAAAATGTAATTGATTTATTTTTGTTTACTTGATAAACTCAGTGCTTTAGCTGGGAGGATGTCAGACTTAAATGCAATTTTACAGTCTCTTCGAAGGATACAGTTAGTCAAACATCAGGCAGCTAAAGTATCTGTCTGGCTCCTGAATGTCTTCAGGTCATGGAAGTAAGTGCCCTGGTTACAGGTTTCTCCAAATGAACGTTAGGAATATTTCCTTTTCTCTACGTCCATGTTGAAAGTTTTTTCTGTTTTGTTTTGTTTTGTTTTTACTTTTTCCTGGCATTATATACTGAACTCCAGAAGATGAGGATGTGGATGGTTGAGATATGCTTTTGGAACTTGGAATTAATAAAGGCAGATGCTAAATTGCTGAAAGCATTAAAACCTGACACTGCGTGTTAAATCATTGTAAGCAAGGTCCTAACAGAGCGTTTGTGATTCGTAAAATAAAAATTAAAAAAAAAATAGTGTTCTGGGCTCCCTGGATATTTTACATCAAAGAGGCGGAAATGAACAACAAACAGCTGAAGCATTTGTCTCTCCATATTGTAGCTGCTGGTAATCTTCAGCGCTGCAGATCATGCCAAATAAGGTGGAAAATCTGTGTACTTTCTGAGTACTCTTTAAATTATTAAATATTATTTTAATGTTGTCACCAAACATGTATACAAAGAATTCATAAAGAGGCTGTTTTAGAATTAAATTGTTTTATCAGTTTTATGACTTTAGAGTTATACTGAATATATCTACATGCATATATATATGTATATGTATATATATATAAACCTTGTGTAAAAGTATATTTAGGAGAAAATCTTCACTTTAGATTTTTCTAATATCTTAGTTGGGGCATTGTTGGGAGCAAGCTCCCCAAAATCTGTCCATAAACTGGCCCCAAAACTGGCCATAAACAAAATGTCTGCAGCACTGTGATATGTCCACAATGGCCCTAACGCCCAAGCTGGAAGGTTGTGGGTTTACGGGAATGAGGGCAGGGACCACCTGGCCTGCCCAGGGTAGAAAACTGCTTAAAGGCATTCTTAAGCCACAAACAAAAGATGAGCGATCTGTGTCTTAAGGGCGTGTTCATTCGGCCTATCCCTTCGTTTCCCATAAGGGATACTTTTAGTTAATTTAATATCTATAGAAACAATGCTAATGACTGGTTTGCTGTTAATAAATATGTGGGTAAATCTCTGTTTGGGGGTCTCAGCTCTGAAGGCTGTGAGACCCTTGATTTCCCACTTCACACGTCTATATTTCTGTGTGTGTGTGTGTCTTTAATTCCTCTAGCGCCCCTGGGTTAGGGTATCCCTGACCAAGCTGGTCTCAGCAGGGCATATTATATGCCATCTGAATATTTATTTATTTTAATTATTATTGTACTTTAAGTTCTAGGGTACATGTGCACAACGTGCAGGTTTGTTACATATGTATACATGTGCCATGATGGTGTGCTGTACCTGTTAACTCATCATTTACATTAGGTATATCTCTTAATGCTATCCCTCCCCCCTCCCCCAACCCCACGACAGGCCCCAGTGTGTGATGTTCCCCTTCCTGTGTCCAAGTGTTCTCATTGTTCAGTTCCCACCTATGAGTGAGAATATTCGGTGTTTGGTTTTCTGTCCTTGCGATAGTTTGCTGAGAATGATGGTTTCCAGCTTCATCCATGTCCCTACAAAGGACATGAACTCATCCTTTTTTATGGCTGCATAGTATTCCATGGTGTATATGTGCCACATTTTCTTAATCCAGTCTATCATTGGCCATCTGAATATTTAAACACGGTGTTTTATTTTTCATTTATGTCTCACTTTATTTTGTGTTTACATCTTAGCAACGTTTCTTTCAATACTTCCCAAAGTAGGTGATATTTTCTGAGAAATGAATATGGATGTAAGTGAAAAGACTAGAGGCCTGGAGTTTTAGTTTGGGGACTGCCACCAGTTATAGGTGTGGCCTTGGTTTGTCACTTAAATTTTCTGGGTGAACAACGTTTCTTCATCTGAAAAATTAAGAGTGTTAATTAAATTAAGTGATTCAAGGTCCTCACAACATCTCTATCTGAATGACAATGGATGTGTATACTTAGAGACAAGTATGAAAGTTTCATGTAAGAATAGCAAATAAGAGCAGTGACAAATAAGTGAACTAGATGAAATAAACTGACAAAAGTAACAATATATTTTCACATTGTCACCTTTGATTTTATGATGATTTTGAGAGAGCTCAGGAGCAGGATTCTATTTTACAGTAAGCAAGAATAAGGTTCACTAAAAATATATGACTTTCTCAAAATTACCGAAAAGATTATTCCATAAAACAAAGTGAATACTATCTTTTGACTTCCAGACAAGGTCTATGCACAACTCATAATTGTAGGTCTACATATGGTAGGTGATTCTTACTACAACCATTGTTTATGACAGTATAATAATAAGCTAATATAATTGTGCATAAATGCGTGAGAGAATGATTTAGATTATCATTGACAGAACACTGGCTAATTTTATCGATGTCTACATTGGCCTGGAGCGAATAGGTATTTGGTCTGCTTTGTTTTTAGATCCCCATTTAAACTTTGAAAAGGGGGCATAAAGCTTTCTCTGGTTAATTATGAAAGTCTTCTATGACAGTTTACTTACAAAGAATAGTTAAGACGTGAATTTAATAATGAGGTGCAGAAAATATGGTAAAGCATCTGGATCTCTGCCTCCTTGAATCTAGATAATGATTTGGAAAACTGAGATTTTAAAAAAATTATGCCATCAAATATCATTAAACACCTAGAGGCATGTGTTATTGAACCAGGTCTTATATCCACTACACTGGACCATATGTTTTCACATAAATACCTGCTTAGCTACATTACGATAATATTTGCACACATTTTAATCACATCCAAATTACATAAAAACACAATAAGATGCACCGGGTGAAGTAAAGCAGCGACGATTACAAATGTTTGCATGTTAATGGCCTCTTGTGTTTGACATAATATTCAATTTAAGGTTGGAAGTAGATGGGAATGGGGACATTTCATTTCAAGCGATTTTTTTTTCTCCTTTTTTTGTAAACATGACAGAGTCCTTTAGCTAAATTTGAAGGAGGGCTTTTCCAAATACAGGAAGCAGCCTGAGACATGTTTCACCATTGGTTGCAGAAAAAATTGGATGATGTCAATGATGAGAGGGTTATCAAAGATGCAGAAGAGGAAACGGGTTATTGCTATAGGATCACAACCCTCAAAACTGAAGGTGAACTTTTTAGAATGCTTTACAGTGGAAGGGCGCTGATGCAGGCCTGGCAGCCATCTTTGTGAAGGTAAAGCAGAGAAACAGACAAGGAAGCAGGGTAAGGAGTGTCTTACCCTTCATTCAAGAATTTTACTTAAAATCTCCCCATGTCAGTAAGGCACTGCACATTTGCTCTCACCTGTGTCTGCCATCCCCATGTTCAGAGCCTTTTAACCCCTTGTCAAACCTTTCCAGAGAGTAATACTCCCATGCCTGCTTGCACCGAGCTGGGAAGTAAAGTGTGGTATCTGGTAGCTACTTAAAAGATCTTCAATCAACCCTGTTTTTAGCTCCATTTCACACTCCTCCCATCTAAGGAAGCTGGTTCTCCACTTTCTGAGCCTTCTTGGGGTTTAGCAGTAAATAGAACTATATCTTTCTGGCAACCTGAATATAGGGTTACATTTCCCCTTCTCTGGCCTACTGAGTCAGTTACTACCATACCAGATTATAAAATTTTGTCGATGTGGGTTTTCTGCCTGTTGTTTCCTTTTCTACACTCTTTGTCCTTGTAGTTTATGCCAAAAAAAATTCCATTACATACATTTTATTGGTGTTTTGGGAGGATGGGGAGATAAATGTATTTAAGTGGAAGTTCTCCCCACTCTCTCTTTAATCCTCTCCAATCAGACCTTCATCCCTACAAATCCACTGAAATACCTTTGTCAAGGTTACGTACGTCTTACTTGCCATTTCAGGGCATTTGATGCTGTTGGTTATCTCTTTCTTGAAATACTTTCTTTCTTTGACTTCTTAGACACACACACTGTACAGGTGTTCATCTGATTAGTTGCGTCTTCTTGGTCTCCTTCACCGTGTCCTTCTTCTCAAGAAAGTCTGGGTACTTATGGGCTCAATTCTAGAACATCTTCTCTTCCAATTCTAAACATATTTCCTGGTTGAAAAAATCCAGTCCTCTAATGCCGAGTGCCATCTCTGCTGATGATTGCCATATTTATTCGTCTAGTTCTGACATCTATCCTGAGCTCCTGATTGTTTTATCTAACTGCGTACTTAACATGATTCTCCAGATGTCTAATAAACATTCAGAAAAGAACTCTTGAACCCCCATACTTCAACCTACAATCTTCCTTATCTCAGTACATAGCATCGACACTCACTCAACATTTACACATTCATCTCATCAGCAGTCTCCTTCCTCCCTGCCTTCAATATATAACCCAGATGCAATCACATTTCCACCATGGAACCAGCCACTGTCATGCACTCCTGCAAATATTGTCATCTTTTCTTCTTATTTCTCCCTTTTTTTCTCTACCGTTAGTTCTCAACAGACAGAGATGGTTTAAAAACTTATATTAGTCTCTGTATCCATTCATACTTAAATCACCCCAGTAGTGCTGAATCTCTCTGATCTGCTCTCTCTTGGCTTCTCAGTTCATCCCCATCCCTCAACCTCACTTACTGCACTCTAGTCACACAGGCCATCTTGCTTTCCCTCCATTGAGCCACGCTTGTTCCAATATTGGGACTTTTTGTAATCACTGTTTATCTCCGACCAGAAGATACTCTCTGCTGCTTATGAACCACTTACTCCCTCATAACATGTAGACATTTTCTCTCAATTGACACTTCTTCAAGGAGCTTTCCTATGATCAAATCTACCTCGTTTACAGTCCTTTCATTTTTCTCCATGCCGCTTATCATCTCCTGATGTTCAACATATTTACTTGTTTATTTTCTATTTCTATTTCTTGAATGTAAGCTCCATGAAGGGCGAAGAATTTTTCTGTGGTCCTTACCATTCCATCCCCAGTACTTAGAACACATGCCTGGCAGGGAGTAGACATTTGTTGAATATAAGGGTGAGAGAAGAAAAAATGGAAGAGAGGAAAGCAGGAGGAAGACCTGTATGCTCCAATCCACTCTCTCTAACCTTCATCTAGGAGGGGATGTGGATGACTGAAATATAAGTAAAGGTTACATGGGTTGACCGGAGCAATGGTGGGATATGATCTTTATAAACTTGGTGTACTCTTTCATAAATTGATATAGAAGAGAATTCCACTGATGTGTGGTTTTCATAGCCTGTCTTCAGTTCTTGCTTGACATAGATATATCAGCAGGCCTAGCATAGTGCCAGCCACTTCAGGGAAATGTGAACCTTAGCCGGAATTAAGGGTGGACTCCCTGGTCAATGGCTTGGGTGAAGGACTTAGCAGGTGCTCACATTTATTAACGAAGAGAGCTTCTTGGAGCTTGAGCCAGTTCTCTGCACTATCACTGACTAAGACAAAGATCTCACTCATAGGTAGAATCTGAAAAAGTTGATCTCATAGAATTAGAGAGTAGGATGGTGGTTACCAATGACTAGGGTGGTTGGGGGGTGGGGGAGTTGAGGAAATGTTGGTAAAAGGATATATAATTACAGTTAGGGGAAATGAATTCAAGAGCTCTATTCTACATCATGGTGACTATAATGAATAACACAGTGGCATGATCGTAAAATCTCATGAATTATTCTTCTACTCACTAACAATTTTATGATGTTTAGGAAGAAAAAAAGTTTTTTATGATTTTAAAATAAAAGAAATCAAGATCTGATCAGAAATGTTGGGCAAAACGAGGCAGGATCCAATTCTGTAGAATAAAGCTGGTGAATAAAATGGACCTTTGTGAATTAGAGAATATTGTCTGTAGCCTCAGGGATGAAAAACAACAGTAGAAAATTGCAGCACTATGTGTAAATGCATGATGATTCCTTGCTGCACTGAGCTCATGATTCTCAAGATTTCAACTAAGTCTTCTCATTTGAAAGTACAAGAGAAAAGGAATATTTTCTAGGCCTCTTCCAAGTTTTGGTACAGCCGGTAGGTGGAAATCTTTCTAGTGTTCCTCAAGGTTGCAAACAGCTTCACAGGAAGAGAACATCGTTAGTGCTAACTAATCAGGACCTACGATGAATGCATTTGGTAACCAAAGTCAAGAAAGGTTTACTCAACTGACTTGAAGAATGGGTCCTCTAGTAGAGATACAAAGAAACTGCCACATCTTTTTCTTCTCTTGAGATATAACTCTGGAAAGCACCCCTGTCACCTTTACTTGAAGCCTCTCATTACTTGCACATTTTCTCCCAATGTTAGTGAGAGAGAGATTTCCATGCACCTTGGTTAGGATGACACTTCTACATAGAATAACAATAATTAGAAATCTGAGCAACAATTTCTTTAGAGATCAAAGCAATTTCTTTAATTGCTTTATGACCCAGGATGCCAACTGAATGGAGCTAATGCCTCTTCTATCAGGAACCAGGACAATTTCCAGATAATTATATAAAATGTGCTATTGTAAATAGTGCTGCAATAAACATACATGTGCATGTGTCTTTATAGTAGAATGATTTATAGTCCTTTGGGTATCCCATCAATGATAGACTGGATAAAGAAAATGTGATACATTTACACCACAGAATACTATGCAGCCATAAAAAAGGATGAGTTCATGTCCTTTGCAGGGACATGAATGAAGCTGGAAACCATCATCCTCAGCAAACTAACACAGGAACAGAAAACCAAACACCGCATGTTCTCACTCATAAGTGGGAGTTGAACAATGAGAACACATGGACACAGGGAGGGAATACCACACACCAGGGCCTGTCAGGAGGTCGGGGGAAAGAGGAGGGAGAGTATTAGGACAAATACCTAATGCATGTGGGGCTTAAAACCTAGATGACAGGTTGATGGGTGCAGCAAACCACCATGACACATGTATACCTATGTAACAAACCTGCACGTTCAGCACATGTATCCCAGAACTTAAAGTAACAAAAGAATAGGCCTTTCAAAAAACAAACAAACAAAGAATGTGATCTACACCTGGTAATTCCAACCAGCATATTAACCCTAACCACAGAGAATATCCAACACGACTCCAGAGGGTGGAGACCTGGGTAGAGAGCATGGCTGCCTCCAGGAGTGAATGCCCAGGAAGCTGGGCATTTAAGGAGATCAGAATTAGTGGCTGGAATGGTGATGGAAAGACTGTATCTATATATTTTTCTTTTTTTTTAGCAAATAATAGGCTCAATAATTTTAAACATTAAATTTTTATTGAGACTAGACAATATGTTCTCTTCCTTACATAAGCCATTCTCTCAAATATTCTTCTGCAGGAGTACCGTAAATAATGTACAATAAGATTTTTCTCTTTTTCTTTTTAATTTTGTTTTAACAAAATACTGCCTATTAGACAATGGGGTGGTATAATAAAAACCATCCTCACTTTGGAGACAGAAGATGAAGGTTCAAGTCCTGGCTATGACATTTACTTGTAAACCTTGAGAGAGTCACATAATTCCATGAATTTTCATTGCTTAGTAAAATAAAAGAATACTTATTCCCATGTACCTCTAGAGCTTTGTAAGGATAAATTAAAATGGAGTATGTATTATCATTTATAATTTTATAGATTTACAAATGTAAGTAGTTATTAACTTTATATTTTAGTTCTTTATATAGAATGTCAGTTCATATTATTGAAGGAAAACATAATTTTTTATTCCATTTATTAATACAAGATATGATATTCAATATTTTACTTAAAAGTACAATAACAGTCATCTTCTCAAACCACATGTATTTACTAATTCTCAACTAATTAGGAGATGTTGATAGAGATGTTTTTGATCAATGGTTCCTGTGTATGTGTGTGTGTGTGTGTGTTTGTGTATATGTGAGAAAGACATACAGACAAGTGTACTGTGATGTCTTCAAGAACTGGTTCAGAAATGCTGAAAGCTCTGGGGAACTCCGTAAGCCCCAGGAGTTGGTACTGGCCTTGCTGATAAAGAATGGTCATGCTTGACCTCTTTCACCTTCATTTCTGTTCCTCTTCTAGCTCTCTGCTCCCAGGGCACTTGGAGAAATTGCCTTTCTCTCCTATAAGCTCTTCTGGGGCAGGGCAGGATTGTGTCATATTCACAACCATCCATTTGCCAGGAATCAGCACTGACTGGCAACTCATAAATGTGAAGCTTAACTAAGTAAAGCTGAACTCACTGGGTGTCTTTCTTCAGCTTTCTTTGTTGGTTCCGCTTACTCTGCTCATTGCTTCAGTTCATTCTGTACACTGACATCAAAGTGGCTGCTTAAATGCAAAATTTCATCATGACAACTCATGGCTAAAAACCCAACTTCACATGCTCGGCTTCTAGGTTTTTCATTATCTAAATGCATCCTGCTTTACTGGACCTATTTCTCACACTGTTGTTCTCACCTGTTATGCTTTCTGTTCATATTGTAGGTACTTGCAATTCTAAGAATAGTGCATGGTCTTTTATTTCTCTAGATATTTGCACATGCTATGCCTTACGCATGAATATCTTTCAGCCTCACCTATGAGAATTTGCTCTTCACTTCAGAATTTTCAGAAATTTCCTTGCAGTTTCTCTAACCATAATGTTTTCAGGGAAGACACTGGAAAATATTTGGCAAGCTTGACACCGTTATGTCTTCTAATATTGAAAGCAGACATGACTGATCCGTCACTACAGTCTTCACAAGTTTCATGTTCACAATACATTTAAGCACCCATTACCAAATATTAACATCCGCATATAAACTAAGCTCTGTTAACCTAGCCAGGCATATTAGTCAGTTCTCACGCTGCTGATAAAGACATACCTGAGACTGGGCAATTTACAAAAGAAAGAGGTATAATTGGACTTACAGTTACACTTGGCTAGGGAAACCTCACAGTCATGGCAGAAGGCAAGGACGAGCAAGTCAGGTCTTAAGTGGATAGCAGCAGGCAAACAGAGAGCTTATGCAGGAAAACTTCCCCTTACCATCAGATCTTGTGAGACTTCCTCTCATGAGAACAGCACGGGAAAGACCTGCACCATGATTCAATTACCTGCCACCAGGTCCCTCCCACAACACGTGGGAATTCAAGATAAGATTTTGGTGGGGACACAGCCAAACCATATAATTCTGCCCCTGGCCCCTCCCAAATCTCATGTCCTCACATTTCAAAGCCAATCATGCCTTCCCATCAGTCCTGCAAAGTCTTAACTCATTTCAGCATTACTCAAAAGTCAATAGTCCAAAGTCTCATCTGAGACAAGAGAATTGCCTTCTGCCTATGAGCCTGTAAAATCAAAAGCAAGTTAGTTACTTCCTAGATAAGATGTGGGTATAAGCATTGGATAAATACAGCCATTCCAAATGGGAGACATTGGCCAAAACAAAGGGGCTACAGGCCCCATGCAAATCTGAAATCCAGCAAGGCAGTCAAATCTTCAAGCTGTGAAATGATTTCCTTTGGCTCTGTGTCTCACATCCAGGTCACACTGATGCAAGATGTGGGTTCCCATGGTCTTGGGCAGCTCCACCCCTGAGGCTTTGGTGGGTACAGCCTCTCTCTTGGCTGCTTCTGTCGGCTGGCATTGAGTATCTGTGACTTTTCCAGGTGGATGGTACAAGCTGTCAGTGAATCTGCCATTCTGGGGTCTGGAGGATGGTGGCCCTCTTCTCATAGCATCCCTAGATGGCGCCCCAGTAAGGACTCTGTGTGGGGGCTCTGACCCCACATTTCCCTTTCACACTGCCCTAGCTGAGGTTCTCCATGAGCCCCCCACTCCCACCCTGGCCACAGCAAACTTTTGCCTGGGCATCCAGGCATTTTCATACATCTGAAATCTAGGCCGAGGTTCCTAAACCTCAATTCTTGACTTCTGTGCACCTGCAGACTCAACACCACGTGGAAGCTGCCAAGGCTTGGGGCTTCCACCTTCTGAAGCAAAGCCCAAGCTGTACTTTGGCCCTTTTTAGTCATGGCTGGGGTGGCTGGGATGCAGGGCACCAAGTCCTTAGATTGCACACAGCACAGGGACCCTGGGCCTGGCCCAGGAAACCATTTTATCCTAGGCCTCTGAGCCTGTGATGGAAGGGGCTACCATGAAGACCTCTGACATGCCCTGGAGACATTGTCCCCATTGTTTTGGGGATTAACATTGGGCTCCTAGTTACTTATGCAAATTTCTGCAATCCACTCATAAAATGGATTTTCTTTTCTATCACATTGTTAGGCTGCAAATTTTCTCAACCTTTATGCTCTGCTTCCCTTATAAAACTGAGTGCCTTTAACAGCACCCAAGTCATCTCTTGAATGTTTTGCTGCTTAGAAATTTCTTCCACCAGATGCACTAAATCATCTCTCTCAAGTTCAAAGATCCACAAATCTCTAGGGCAGGGACAAAATGCTGCCAGTCTTTTTACTAAAACATAACAAGAGTCACCTTTGCTCCAGTTCCCAACAAGTTCCTCATCTCTATCTGAGACCACATCAGCCTGGCCCTTATTGTCCATATCACTATCAGGCTTTTGGTTAAAGCCATTCAGCAAGTCTCTAGGAAGTTCCACACTTTCCCACATTTTCCTGTCTTTTTCTGAGCCCTCCAAAGTGTTCCAACCTCTGCCTGTTACCCAGTTCCAAAGTTGCTTCTACATTTTTGGGTATTTTTTCAGTAATGCCCCACTCTACTGGTACCAATTTCCTGTATTAGCCTCTTTTCATGCTTCTAATAAAGACATACCTGAGACTGGACAATTTACAAAAGAGGTTTAATTAGACTTACAGTTCCATGTGGCTGGGAAAGCCTCACAATCATGGTGGAAGGCAAAGAGGAGCAAATCACATCTTACATGGATGGCAGCAGGCAAAGAGAGAGCTTGTGAAGGAAAATTCCCCCTTATATTAACCATCAGATCTTGTGAGACTTCCTCTCATGAGAACAGCACAGGAAAGACTTGCCCTCATGATTCAATTACCTGCCACCAGGTCCCTCCCACAACACATGGGAATTCAAGATGAGATTTGGGTGGGGACAAAGCCAAACCATATCACCAGGTTTCAGAAGATGAGAGGAAACTCACCCAGCACTGACTCTTCTGGATAGCTTCTTGCCTGGTAACCTCAGACTGAATGTGTCCTTCACAGGCCCAAGCTCCTCTCAAGATGGCCCTTTCCTTACAACGTCTCATGCTAGGTTCCAGAAACTCCTCCTCTAGCCTGTTCTGGCCAAGACAGTAATGGCTCCACTGTCACTAGAATAGGGCATTTCACTAACCTCTGTTCTTTTCCTATACACTGTTCTTCCCTTTGTAAATAGGTTCTTTATTCAATCTTCTGCAATTACCTTTATTTGTTTGTGACAGCTGCTTTCTGCTGGTAAACTGACTGACACAGTAGGAATTTTGAAGCTACCAGTTTAAATAGCAATATAATTTTCATAATTAAGTGGGATTTATCCCTGGGATGCAGGAATGGTTCAACATACACAAATCAATATATACTATCTACCACATTAAAAGAATGAAAGACAGAATTAATATGATCATTTCCATAGATGCAGAAAATGTGTTTGACAAAATTCAACATCCATTCATGATAGATACTCTCAATAAGGAACAGAATGAATGTACCTTAACACAACAAAGGCCATATATGACAATCCCAAAGCTAACATCATACTTAACAGTGAAAAGTTGAAAGCTTTTCCTCTAAGATCAGGAACAAGATAAGGACGTGTCCGCTCTCACCACTTTCATTTAACATGTTACTGAAAGTCCTAGCCAGAGCAGTTAGGTAAGAGAAAGAAATAAAAGGCATCCAAATAGGAAGGAAAAAAGTTAAATCGTCACTGCTTGCAGATGATATGATCTTATATAGAGAAAACCATAAAGACTCCACCAAGAAACTGTTAGAACTAATAAAGAATACAGTAAAGTTGCAGGATAAAAAAATTAACATATGTACCCTAAAACTTAAAGTATAATAATAATAAAAAATAAAAAAATTAACATACAAAAATAAGGATGTTTCTACAGTAACAAGGAACTATCTGAAAGAAATTAAGACTACAACCCCCTTTACAATAGTTACAAAAAATTATATAAGAATAAATTTAACCAGGGATATGAAAGATCCACACACTGAAAAGCACAAAACATTGATGAAAGAAATTGTAGAAGACATAACTAAATGGAAAGATATCTCATGCTCATGAACTAGAAGACTTAATATTGTTAAAAGTTTATGCCACCCAAAACAATCTACAGATTCTGTGTAATCCATATCAAAATTCCAATGATTTTTTATAGAAATAGAAAAATCAATCCTAAAATTTGTGTGGAATCTCAAATAGCCTAAGTAACTTGATCAAAATGAACAAAGCTGACAGCATCACATAACCCAATTTCAAAATCTACTCTCAAGCTATAGGAATCAAAAGAGTATGGTACAAGCATAAACAAATAAATACATCATTTTTGGTCAATTTATTTTCAATAAAGGTGCCAAGAACACACAATGGAAAAAGAATAGTCTCTTCAATAAGAGGTTGTAGGAAAAGTGGATAACCACACACAGAAGAATGAAATTCAACTTTTATATTACACTAAATACAAAAGTCAACTCAAAATGGATTAAAGACTTAAACCTAAAACCAAAAACTATAAAACTACTAGAAGAAAGTTTAGGGGCAAAACTATAGAACATTGATATAGGCAATAATTTTTTTAGATTTGACCTCAAAAGCACAAAGCTAAAATAGACAAAGAGGATTGCATCAAACTAAAAAGCTTCTGCACAGCCAAGGAAACATTCAACAGAGTGAAGAGACAACCTACAGAATATGAGAAAATATTGGCAAACCATGAATATGGTAAGGAGTTGATATCCAAAATATATAAAGAACTCAAAAGTAAGAAAACAAAATACCTGATTAAAAGTAAGCAAAGGATGTGAATAGACATTTTTCAAAAGAAGTTATACAAATAGCCAACAGGTATAAAAATGCTCAACACCACCTATCACCAGGGAAATGCGAATCACAACCACAGTAAGGTATCATCTCACATTTGCTAGAAGGGCTATTATCAAAAACTTGAATGACAACAAGTATTGGTGAGAATGTGAAGAAAAGGGAAATCTTTTTAACTGTTTGTGGGAATGTAGATTGGTACAGTCATTATGGAAAACAGTATGGAACTCCCTCAAAAATTAAAAATAGAACTACCATATGATCCAGTAATTCTACCACTTGGATATATTTCCAAAGGATATGAAATTGGTATGTCAAAGAGATATCTGCACTGTCCTGTTCATTGCAGCACTATCACAAGAGCTAAAATAGATTTAGCTGTTTAGCTATTAGAATCAACCTAAGCGTTCATTAGTGGATGAATGGATAAAGAAAATGTGGTATATATACACAATGGAATAGCTTTAAAAATGAAGGAAATCTTGTCATTTGCACCAACATGAATAGACATGGAGGACATTGCATTACGTAAAATAAGCTAGGCACAGAAAGACGAATACCACATGATCTCACTTACACGTGGAGTATAAAACAGTCCAACTTATAGAAATAAGAAATAAAATGGTGGTTACCAGAGGCTAGGAAATGGAGGGACTGAGGACGTGAGGGTCAAAGGGAGAAAACTTCAGTTAGGGGAAGCAAGCTCAAGCGCTCTATTATACACCATGCTGACGACAATCAATGCAAATGTATTGCATATTTCAAAATTGCTAAGAAAGTAGATTCTAAGTGTTGTCCCCACAACAGATAAAAATGTGATGTAAGGTATATGTTATATAGCTTGATTTAATCATTCTACAATGTATACATATATCAAAAACATCATGTTGTACAACATAAATATATATAATTTTACTTGTCAATTAAAAGAGATACTATTGGTTGTTTCTGTACATATGTATATGCATATTTATATCGTTTGGATATTTGTCCTCACTCAAATCACATGTTGAAATATAACCCCCAATATTGCAGGTGGGGCCTGGTGGGAGGTGACTGGATCGTGGAGGTGGATTTCTCATGAACAGTTTAGCACCATCCTCTTGGTGCTGGCCTCCTGATAGTGAGTGACTTCTCAGAAAATTTCGTTGTTTAAAAGTGTGTCACCTCTGTCTCTCTCTTGCTCCTGCTTTTGCCATGTGATGTGTCTTCCCCCGCTTTGCCTTCCACCATTAGTAAAAGCTCCCTGAGGCCTCTCCAAAAGCCAAGTAGATGCTGGTGCCGTGTCTCCTGTAAAGCCCGCAGAACCTGAGCTAATTAGACCTATTTTACTTATCAATTATTCAGTCTCAGGTATTTCTTTATAGCAATGCAAGAATGGCCTAATATACATATAAACATATATTTACATATTTTTTACATTTAATTGTGTTTATATGTATACTATACATAATTATTAAAATATAAAATACTTTTTCTGATGACACACATGTTACTTCAGTGTGCAACTCATTGGACTAATTTGGGAGACTAGAAACCACAGTTCCTGCAGTGAATAATTATCCTTTTATTTACATTTGCCAGTCTTTGCAAAATGTCACTCTTTTGGATTTGTGCTTAGCCTGAAATTTTGCTCAACATGGGTCATTCCATTCTTGAGATATTTTTATGTTTTATTTAATGTTTAGTTGTCACCTTTCTTCAATTTGAATTTCTTTGATTTGCCCACAGCCTTTTCCCCTTGAACATATTGTCCTTAACAAAGGTTGCACACAGCAGTTACACTTCCACTTTAAAATGTACAGTTATCCTAAGTGAGTAATAAAAGTGACAGAGGTCTCTTTCACCTCTACAATAAAGTCCTGTCATTGAAACATGGAGAAAGTTTTTAGAATATATGCTTGCTTTCTTATTTGAGAATATTCAATGCTTTTACAAAAAGAAAATAAACAGGAGTGATACAACTGATAAAGAATGTTAAGCATAGATAGTGAGAAAGCTATCTTACAATAAAGAGAGAGAGAGAGAGAAACCTTATAGGATGTGTTAAGTCTGGGTATGAATAAGCAAGTAGTTTTTGCTATGTAGGCAGAATTCAAAAGAGATGTTAGCTAGATGATGTATGATGATAATCTCTAAGAATGTTAAAGATAGAAAGAATAAATGGGTTACATGATGTAACAAATACAAGACTTTCTTCTGAAAAAAGACAATATGAAAAGGCCGAATCATAAGACATGATTCTCTCAATTCACAGCTATTTCTAAATTCACTGCCCATTGGTAGCACATGCAATAGTCCCCTGATGGCTCCACATACACTATGCCCAATAAATACAGATAAAACCCACATCTGTTCAGCAAGCTAACTGGTGATGTCATCTGCAGTCAGGAATACTTGCCTGATTATCTCAAATACAGCAAGTGTATTCTGTTGCCCCAAGCATCATCTATTGGCCCCCAACATCAGCTGGGAAGGGTGATGAAGCAGAGAGAGAGAGAGGGAGAGAGCATAAATATGGTAATGTGTTAATCTAAAATCTATAATTCAGGGAGGATGGCCCTTCAACCTGCTTGAATCCCACCTTACCTCTTTTTTCTTTCTTCTTGTTTCTTGCTATGTATTTAAAATAGATTTGATAAGTGTGTGATTGAAGAATATTAATTTTAACAGTGAGCTTTTCTCTTCTATGACCTCTGAATAACTTTCCTAGAAGTGTCCTGCGAAGCTACGATTGCATTAATTTTCCTACATGACTGTTGCAAAAAAATTCTAGTCTTCTACTTGAATTCTGTGAGATTATCACTTACTGGGATCATGTGATGTATTTTTAAGATGACTGGATAATGCCATTCATCCATGTGGTTATCAAGCCTATTACTTGAATCCATGTATTCTTCTAGGCCAAGTCACTATGCTGACAGCATTTGTGATGGTTAATTTTAGTCATCACCTTGACTGGTTTCAAGGAATATACAGATAGCTGCTAAAACATTATTTCTGGGTATGTCTGTGAGGGTGTTTCTGGAAGAGATTAGCATTTGAATCAGTAGACTGAGTGAAGAAGATCTGCCCTTACCAATCCGTGTAGGGACTAGATAGAACAAAACAACAGAGGAAAGGTGAATTTGCTGTCTCTTCTGGAGCTGGGAGCTTCTCCAGCCCTCAGACAACAGAGCTCCAGGTTCTCAGGCCTTTGGACTCAGACTGCATTACACTACAGACTTCCCTGGTTCTCCTGCTTGCAGATGGTGTATCATACGATTTCTCAGTCTCCGTAACTGGGTGAGCCAATTTCCGTAGTGTATCTCCTCATGTATCTCTATCTCTTTCCATTCTTTACACCTATTTATCTAATCCATCTGTATCACATTAGTTCTGTTTCTCTGGAGAAGCCTGATTAATATGCCATCCTATTCAATTAAAGTAGTAGGGCTCAAATTTGGTTGCTCATTGGAATTACCTCAGGAGTTCTGGAAACCAAGTTGCCTGCTTTTAGTGCTGTCTGGGGGTAACATACATAAAAGGGTTTCAATTGAGCCATGTCCCTGTTCCTCTTACCTTGACTGCCATAAGCCCAACTGCACCATTCACAGCAAAAAATAAGAATGCTTGTCCACCTCTACTACGAAAGGAGCTAGGATGAAATTGGGAGCCAGTGGTCAATCTCATGGTAAGTACATTCAGGATTTTGCACAGTTCTACAGCATTTGCAACCACCAGCATTTTCACAAATAAACCTTCATTGCGTATCTGTCCTTCCTGATTCCCAACTGCACATATGTGCAAAATCTTTTTAAAAAGTCTAAAATAATGCATGTGCCGATATCATTTTGACTAAAAAATGACATAATAAGGCCATTTCTGTATTGCCAATGTTTTTTATTTTTTTCTGCTCCTTGTTTTATTTTTCTTGTAACCAGACCAATCTCTTGCATAGTCTCTGTTTCTTATGTTATTTACTTTTTCTTCTGTAAACTTGCTCTCACATGACTTTTATTCACTGCTTTTCATAAGATTTTGTACTTTGTGACTTGCAGGATATTACTTAAATAAATAAAAGCAAAACTTATAAACTCAGGAAATCAAAGAGCTTTTAGTCCATTCCAGTTTTAATTTATCTTTGTAGGATCTGACATATGAAGCTTTACTAGCAAGGGAGGTGACTTATTGTAAACCACATGGATTTTGGAAATTGAGGTTTGAATCTTGGTTTAGTTAGTCTACAACCTTGAGAAAGTTATTTATGTATCTGCAAAACAAGGCTAATAATACCAAACTTTCAAGGTCATTGACATACATACATACATACATTCATGTCTGTGTTTATCTATCTATCTATGTCGTATTTGGAAGCAAATGGTAGCTACTAATAGCTTGCCAACTCTGGGTGAAAGCGAGATTGATGGCTGGGGAGATGGGCTGGTGAAAAGTAGGTCTTGTCAATTATTTTTTAGACATAGTTTCACGATTATTCTAAGTAAAGGGCACCAAAATCTCCAAAAGGAGAATTCGAAAGGAAGCATGGCAGGCAGGATGTGGATTTGAATATAATATACCCACATGACTTATGACTAAAGGCAGGTGACCTTTTATAGCTTTTAATATTGCAGATAAAATTACGCAGCCTAGTATCTTGCAAATTTGTTAGCTAAAATCTTAATGTGTCTGAATGATCCATTTTATTTTGAAGATTACATCACTTCAACTTTTTGAAAAAGTACTTATTGCAGGATACAAAAGAAGATTAAGATGTGGTTCTTGGCCCCATTGAATTGTAATTGCAATAGGAAAACAAGCTATGTACAGGTGAAGTAGTTTAGATAGTGCTACAAGATGGTATCTGATTTCAAGTTTATGATTGACAGATAAGTACAGATAAAGTCTTTGGAGAAAGAGATCAATGTGGGCTGGAATTGTCTGAGAAATTTTGCTAAAAGTCAGGTGACTTGAGCTGGCTTTAACATTTTGAGGTTAAGGGACGGAGGGTATTTTCTGATGTCAAATGATTTGAACTATGGTTTCCTATCACATAGGGATTCATTAAATTGTATTTCACTTGCTCTCATTTTTCTTAGAGTTGCAGGGTTATTCATTTTTAATGTCTAATTTTCAGGCTCTCACATCAAAGGGAGCTATTTAAGGAATATTCTGTGGCTTTAGTCCTGAACACCTTGCTCTATCAGAAGCGCCACATAGCCTCTCATTTGTAAAACTTGATGCATGTACAGGGCACTTATTGCAGTGTCAAGGTACAAAAATTATTTCAATTTAAACTATCTTCACACTGAGAACCAAACTTTAAGATGTTTTAATGAAGAAAAACCCATGCGACCGCCCATCCATTCCTAGGTACCATCTGCCTTCAAATGCCCTCCTCCCATTTACATATCTAATTCTTCAATGGCAGTAACAGATCACTGCACGATTTTTGCTGGAGGAAAGAAATAGTAGGAGCTTTTCATAAAGCACATTTATGTCTCTGAAGGTTTGAAGTCAAAAACTAATGTTATGAAGAGAACTGATTTTATACTTACTCTGACTGAAATTAAAATGAATATTGGTTATATCTGGAGGGATTTTGTGAAACAATGCCAGTGGAAGAATGAGAAACTGAATATACACATACACATAACACTTTTATGACTGAGATGGCATGGGGGCCACTGAAGCCGAGTAAGAAGCTGCCACACCCATCATCTTGATTGGCTTTCGTCTTAAATGCACTTGGTCTGACACAATTTCGTCAGGGAAATGCATACTCTATGTGCCAGGGAACCAAAAATTAAATCTCCTTTCTTGTAGCGGAATGCTTTCTCTTCAATCTAGCCTGAATCTGAATCTGGCTTCTAGGGCAAGACTGAAGATACACTGGAGTTAAATATTAAATATTATTTTAAAAATTTCAATGCAGACTGAAACTACCTCACTTCTGTCCTAGTCAAGAGAAACAAAACGAAATAAATACACAGCAGTACTGAGAGTAATATGGGCCCAGGGTTTACATGAGCGGCTCAGAGATTTCTGGAGGACTTCTGAAAGACAGGAAGTTAATGAGATTCTATTTATATGAGTTTCCTAGGGCTGCCATAACAAATTACTACACGCTTGGTGACTTAAAACAACTGAAATGGATTCTCGTGCAGTTCTGGAGGCTGTTATACGAATAAAAGAGAACAGAGTTGCTAGTTGTCCAAAATTTGCCCAGAAGGGAGCAGAAGAAGTAGGGAAGATGGATACTATTGTCAAGGGTAGGGCCTCAGGAGGTTTTAAGCTTCATGTGATCAAATGAGTAAAGCAAAGTTGTAATGGAACAAAAATCAGGGAAATCATTGAGGTTTTGTGGATGAATAGTTCTATGTCTTTCCAACTTCCCTTTCTCTTCCCTCCTTTTGGCCCATTCTGAGATAAAAGCAGGCAGAGTTGCCTTTACGCCTGACCTTCTTGCTAGCTACGACCAGCAAATAACACTCTCATGTAATAACCATTCTTCCTGAGTAGGATTAGTCCTTTGATTTATTATGATTCTCTGGCATTTTAGGGCAATCTTAGCTGCTCTCCTGCTCATGTCAAGGTTGTCTTGACATGCCTGTCTGCACATAGAGTTCAGAGCCAGCCTGCCCACTCAGAAGACAGACCTGCTGATGATGAAATCATTCACAACTGAAACAAAATCTTACAGAAGCTACGTGTGTCAGTCATCTAGTTCTTTCACATGAATATAAACAGAGAATCAAGGATCATCAGACACATGCAGCTCTCACTCAGGATTTAGATAAAAGTCACTTCCTTGGGAAAAAAATGATTTCTACTTTATCTGTATCGCTCTTGAGTTCAATCAGTAGAACATTCATGAGAAATCCACCCCATGATCCAATCACCTCCCACCAGGCCCTACCTCCAACATTGGGGATTATTACAATTCCACATGAGATTTGGGTGGAGACACTGATCCAAACTGTATCACCTGCATACACATTAATTCTTTTATTACTCGGAGCTAGAGCACCAGGAATGAGATTGCTAGATTGAAGGGTATATCTAGTTTTAATTTTAATAACTGTTGCCAGGTTGCTTTCCAAAAATGCCATAACAATTTATGTTTCAGCAACAATGTATTAGAGAATGCTTTCCCTGAATCTTTGCCCACAAACATATTAACACATTTCGTTTTTAATCAGTTTGATGGGTATAAAGTGTTGTGTTGTTTAATTTGCATTTTTCTAATTACCGACAAACTTCAGCACCATTTTCTGTTGGTCATTTGGATTTGAGCCTCTGTGATTTGCTGTGTTAATTGGATTAGGTTTATTTGCATATGGCAGAAAAACCAAAAACAACAGAGGCTTAAATTGGATAGAAATTTGTTTTTGTCCCTTGTAAAAGTATTCTGGAGGAAGGGAGTGCGGGATTGGTATTGTGGCTTTGCAAACTAATCAGGGACCCAGGCGTCTTCTAGGGCTGCATTTTGCTCTCCTTAGGGAATGGCTGTGGTCCTCAGCCCCACGTTCCAAGATGGCTGCTAGAGTGCCAGGCATCACACCCTCATTCCAACCAGCAGGGGAGAGGCAGGCACAAAGGAGGACACACTCCTTCCCTTTAAGGAGTCTTCCTGGACATAACACACAACACTTCTGCTTGCATATATTGAATCAGAATTTAGTCACATGGCTATACCTATCTGCAAGGGAGGCTGGGAAACATGGTCTTTCAATTAGATAAATGGCAACTCTGAGTAACATCAGGATTCTATTACTGAGAAGGATGGGGGTTGGGGGGATGGCAATTGAAGTAAGTACCTAGAAATCTCTGCTAAAACTGCCTTCCTTTTGCCAGTTTTTTTTCCATTTGGCTATTTGCCTTTTTTTTTTTTTTTTTTGTCAATACAGATGGTCCCCAATTTACCATGGTTCAATTTAAGGATGTTTTGACTTTACAATGGTGTGAAAGTGATATGCATTCGATAGAAACTGAACTTAAATTTGGAATTTTAGTGTTTTCCTGTGCTAGCCATGTGTGGTACAAGACCGTCTTGCAATGCTGGCCAGCTGCAGTGGCTACAGCTCCCAGTCGGTCACTCAAGTAGGAGGGTAAAGAACTGATACTGCGGCCGGGCGGGATGGCTCATGCCTGTAGTCCCAGCACTTTGGGAGGCCGAGGCGGGTGGATCACGACGTCAAAAGATCAAGACCATCCTGTCCAACATGGTGAAACCCCATCTCTACTAAAGAAATACAAAAATTAGCTGGGCATGGTGGCATGTGCCTGTAGTCCCAGCTACTCGGGAGGCTGAGGCAGGAGAATCATTTGAACCTGGGAGGTGGAGGTTGCAGTAAGCCGAGATTGCGCCACTGCACTCCAGCCTGGAGACAGAGCAAGACTCCATCTCAAAAAAAAAAAAAAAAAAAGAACTGATACTCCACAGTGGACTGCCTTGCCAGATGATTTTGTCCAGCTGTAGGCTAATGTCAGTGTTCCGAGCGCGTTTAAGGTAGGCTAGGCTCAGCTATGATGTTTGGTAGGTTAGGTGTATTAAATTCATTTTCAACTTAACAATCATTTCAACTTACAATGAGTTTATGTGGATGTAACCCTATCTTAAGTTGAAGAGGCTGTGTATATGTATGTATGTGTGTGTTTATGTATCATTTCTTTGGAGCTTTTTGGATTTTGGAATTGTAAACAAGAAATTGCGACCCATATTTTCACCCCTATTTTACAGAGGAGGAAACTGAGACACAGAAAAGTGAAGTAACCCGCCTGGGGTCACACAGTAGAGGTCTAAGTCAGGATTCAAAGCCAGCAGTCTGGCCCAGAGCTCCAAATCTTTGGCCTTACAATACTTTGCCACCGCAACAGCGTGATCGGTGACAGGCCCGCTGTCTGTCCTGGGACGGGTCAGCTGAGCCCCCATTCTGAGAGTGAGCCCTCTGGCTGCTTGTTGCACACTGGGCTTGGGTTGCAGGGCTGCAGGCCCCCTCGCTGGCTGGCTCCTGGAAGCGCTGTGCTCCCACAAAAAGCCAGCCAGGCCTGAGGGCTCAGGGCTCACAGGTCCATGGAAATCAGCCCCAGGTGACTCCTTCCCACCTCTGCCCATGAAATGTGCCTCCCAGGCTCCAGGTTTCCCCTGGAATACAGGCCCCTGGTGTTCCCAGTGCTGTACCTGCAGTGTCTGCTTTGCTCTGAGGCCATGGCATTATTGACTTAAAATAAGCTGCTTGGGCTTTTAAAAAACAAAGAATCTGCAGACTCTGTAGCCCTTTTCCTTTCCACCTGTGCTGGGGAGCATGGCAGTGGAGAGGGTGGGCAGGCCGCTTCCTGTTGCGTAGGTCAGGCCCCCCCCAGCCCGCCCTGCTCCACGCTCTGGCCCCTCTATCAAGAGCTATTTCTCATTTTTTCCAAGCATGAGGTTCAGGTGTCTCCATCCTCCCAGGCCCCCGGCCCCCTGCCCAGGGATGCCTTTTATGGGACCATGTCTGCCCTCAACTGGGCCGCCCTCCGAGTTCTCTCCATTTTATTCCCCTGATGCCTGAAGTGGTGTTTGTTTGTTTGTTTGGTTGTTTCTGGAGATCCGAATACACAACACTTGGGGTTGAGGTTTTTTTTTACTTTGCTGGCTGGAGTCTGCTTCTCTAAGGGTGGAGGAGGGAATGAAGAAAAGTCCTGAGCACATTGCTTTAGAAACCTAATCTAGTGTGGTCAAGTGGAAACTCAAGGGCAGTCTGTCTTGGAGGAGAGCGAGAGGGACAGGCAGACAGGTCGTGGGGCTCCCTCTTCTGGGCCTGCCGAATACAACCTGCTCCGCCCATGCCTCACTTGGTCCTTGCAACCCAGGACTCGTGCTTTTCCTCCCCCTAGTTAATTTAGTCCATTATTTTTTCATTCTCCATAGAATATTGGTTTTGTAACACTCAATACAGTTTAATATATACCATTTAGACAAAAGTTCCACCTTACGAAAGATCAGCAAAAATACATCAGCAAAGATATAACTAGTGCATTTATAAAATACATCATAACAAGGAATCCAAACGATCACACACAATAATCTTCACGTTTGACATACTGGTTACAGCCTAGGAGAGCTCGCTAAATGCCAGTGTCTTTGGCAAGTGATTCACATCTGTAAGCTGTAAACCCAAAAATATCTGAGACAGGTCTCAATCAATTTAGAAGTTTATTTTGCCAAGTTAAGGACATGCTTGGAAAAAAGGCACACAAAACCACAGGAACAATCTGTGATCCGTGACTTTTTCCAAAGATGATTTTGAGGGCTTCAGTATTTAAAGGGGAAAAGCGGGCTGGAGGGGAACGAGGGAGGGGACAGTTGCATTACTGAATCCACATGTTGCAAGAAAGAAACAGGTAGGGGAATGGTCAAAAATGTGTTCAATTTTTCTTTCTTTTTATTTTTTTTGAGATGGAGTCTCACTCTGTCGCCCAGGCTGGAGTGCACTGGCGTAATCTCGGCTCACTGCAACCTCCGCTTCCCAGGTTCAAGCGATTCTCCTGTCTCTGCCTCCTGAGTAGCTGGGATTCCAAGCGAATGCCACCATGCCCTGCCAATTTTTTGTATTTTAGTAGAGACAGGGTTTCACTGTGTTGCCCAGGCTGGTCTCGAACTCCTGAGCTCAGGCAGTCCACCCGCCTTGGCCTCCCAAAGTGCTGGGACTACAGTTGTGAGCCACCACACCCGGCAACATGTATTCATTTTGTGGTCAGTAAATTAGCACTTTACCCAAGATAAAGTGAACATAGAGTAGCTACCTGTGGAGATATCTGGCCTTTCATCTGTAGCAATCTGCTTACGAACAGAAGGAAAGGCAGTTTCTTGCACGGCCCAGCCTTCAGCTTATTTTTTTTCCTTTCGGCTTAGTGAAATGGAATCCTGAGATGTTATTTTCCTTTCACAAAGCAGTAACACTGATCAATCCTAACACCTCTGAAATGTTAGTTCTTGATCAGATAAACCCAAAATAAATCAACAAGAGTACTGAAATATGACGAGGATGAAATCCAAAGTTTTTGAAAGGGGCAATGTTTAATAATAAGAAGAATGTTGAATTGGGAGCTAGTATATTTGGGTTCTTGTCTTTTTCCTGATCTTGGGCAAGTAATCTAGGATTTACTAATCCTTTACTTTTATTTATTTTTATTTTTATTTTTTATTTTTTGAGGCGGAGTCTCGCTCTGTCACCCAGGCTGGAGTGCAGTGGTGCGATCTCAGTTCACTGTAATCTCCGCCTCCCAGGCTCAAGCAATTCTCCTGCCTCAGCCTCCCAAGTAGCTGGGATTACAGGTGTGTGCCACCGTGCCCAGCTAAGTTTTGTATTTTAGTAGAGATGGGGTTTCACCATGTTGGCCAGGCTGGTCTCGAACTCCTGACCTCAAGTGATCTACCCGTCTCAGCTTCCCTGGGATTACAGGCATGAGCCACCATGCCCAGCCTAAATCCTTCACTTTTAAAATGGGAGAGTTGGCTGGATGTTTCCCTATGGTCTTTCTAGGTTTAATTTTCCATGCTTCTAAAATCTTCCACGCTGGTTCATTTTGGTGTTGCAAAATGCAATCTCTAACAATTCTAACTTGGTAGTTGGAGTGAATCCAGCTCTGCCCACACAAATCTGCTCAAATAGTCGTCTGTCTTCTGAGCCGCGAGAGAGCTCAGTCCTCAAATTAACGAACTGTGATGACAGGCTTCATGAGGCTCACAGCTGGTTCTCCACTAGACACAAACTCAAGATAAGTAGTTTTAAAGGTCTCAAAGTCATGGTTTGAACTTCCTCACAGCTGGGGCAAAAAGGGACACACCCTAAGTTTCTCAATTCTCACTATGTACCACCTCACAAATTCCATCCCCAGCCTCTTTCCTTACCCCTCACTAAGGTTCTCAAGGCTTCAATAAGCACCTACTGTATGCCAGGCTCAGGGCAAGGAAGAGATAGCCCTGTCCTCAGAGGGCTCTCAGTGGAGGGGACAGTTTTCTAAACCCTTGTGGATATTCCAATTCCTGGGGCATGAATTAGTTGAGGGAGCTGCCCCAGCATCCTACAAAATGGAATAGGATGGGGTAGAAAACAGCAAAGGTCAACATCATATGTGGCGAGGGCGGGCCTTTCTGCCTTTCTTCCTTTCTTCCTTCTTCCTTCCTTCCTTCCTTCCTTCCTTCCTTCCTTCCTTCCTTCTTCTTTCTTTTCTTTCTTTTCTTCAGATGGAGTTTCGCTGTTACTGCCCAGGCTAGAGTGCAATGGCGCGATCTCCGCTCACTGCAACCTCTGCCTCCCAGGTTCAAGCAATTCTCTTGCCTCAGCTTCCTGAGTAGCTGGGATTACAGGTGCCAGCCACCATGTCTGGCTACTTTTTTGCATTTTTAGTAGAGATGGGGTTTTGCCATGTTGGCCAGGCTGGTCTCAAACTCCTGATCTCAAGAGATCCACCCTCCTTAGTCTCCCAAAGTGCTGGGATTACAGGTGGGAGCCACTGCACCCAGCCGGCGTGGTTTCTTTAAAGATGATTCTACTCGTTGGTGTGGACATGAGTCCTGGGACATGAGTTCAGAGCAAAATTGAAAGCTTAACCCAGAGAGTTAAAGAGTTAAAGCTTAACCAGAGAGTTAAGTTTAACTCTCATAGTTTAAAAACAATTTTATTAACATATTATATGTCAATTTTGTGAGACCTCATGTCCTTTTTGAAAAAAAAAATAAAAAATAAAGAAAAGAAATGCATGTGGCTGCTGTTGCTGGGGGAGGTTGTGGCTCTGTGTCCTCCAGGGAAGGGGACCCAGCACAGAGCACTGAGGTGCAGGCTGGACAGGCCAGGACTGCACGGCACGCAGCCTGCTATGTCAGCTGGCCCCAGATGAGCCCCATGCATTACAGACACTTAGGAAGCAAAGCCTTCCACCAGGACGCTGGACAACTCAAGACACACAGACTATGCCTAAGGCCGACAGCTGTGGGAGGAGGCCTGGCCTGGAAGAGTAGGCTGTTACTTGTCCCTCCTTTGTGATGGGAGCTGACACTGACAGAGGAAGCCATGGCACCTTTTCCAGCT
Source organism: Homo sapiens (assembly GCF_000001405.40). NCBI lineage: Eukaryota > Metazoa > Chordata > Mammalia > Primates > Hominidae > Homo > Homo sapiens. The sequence continues at coordinate 99,913,416 of NC_000015.10, forward strand.
AGCAGGAGGGTGGCCCCATTTCAGGCCTGTTGTTCTTTTTTTTGAGGTGGAGTCTTGCTTTGTTGCCCAGGCTGGAGTGCAGTGGCATGATCCTTGGCTCACTGCAACCTCTGCCTCCTGGGTTCAAGTGATTCTCCTGCCTCAGCCTTCCGAGTAGCTGGGATTACAGGCACCCGCCACCAGGCCCAGCTAATTTTTGTATTTTTAGTAGGACAGGATTTCGCCATGTTGGCCAGGCTGGTCTCGAACTCGTGACTTCAGGTGATCCGCCTGCCTCAGCCTCCCAAAGTGCTGGGATGACAGGCATAAGCCGCCGCGCCTGGCCCTGAGCTGTTGTTCTTGGCATTCTGAACGCTCCATTTGTCATCTGCACAAAGCCCAAGTCAAAAATGTCAGGTATCATTACGGATGGCACCTAGACTAGGCAGATACTCCCTTTTAGTGTCCCTTCCAGAGGCCTGTGCTGTCCATCCGTCATGGCCTCAGCCACTACACCGTCTACAGTCACTTCCAGTACAACCCTCTGCTTTCCACTCTACATCTCCAGGGCTCAGCCTGGTGCCTCAAACATAAACACATGGAAAGTTTGTTGACCCACAACCGACTGACTGTCCAAGTGACTGAAAACAGAGTTTCAGAGCTTCCTGTTGCTTCAAGAAATTCCTACCAGGAAAAGCAGGCTTTAACACAGAATCCTCCCCTGTATGCAGTTGCCTTTTCAATTTTTTTTTTTTTTTTTTTGAGATGGAGTCTCGCTCTCTCACCCAGGCTGGAGTGCAGTGGCATGATCTCGTTTCACTGCAACCTCCACCTCCCGAGTTCGAGAAATTCTCCTGCCTCAGCCTCCCAAGTAGCTGGGATTACAGGTGCTCCCAGCTAATTTTTGTATTTTTAGTAAAGACGGGGTTTCACCATGTTGGCCAGGCTGGTCTTGAACTCCTGACCTTGTGATCCACCCGCCTCGACCTCCCAAAGTGCTGGGATTACAGGTGTGTGCCACCGTGCCTAGCTGCCTTCTCTATTCAGTCGTCTCAATTGCAGGGCCCTTCCCTGCTCCCCAGGTGGGCTGGGTTAAGAAGCCAGGACAGAGTCTTCAGTGAGCCCTGAAGTGGGTTCTTTGCTCCCAGGTCTGGGTTCTTCTATAGTGAATTCTCCTGGCTGTCAGCTCCACCTTCCTCCCTGAGAGGTACTCGGACAACCTTCTTTTCCTCTTGCCCTGGGAGAATATTTGCTTCATTTTTTTCCCCCCTGGAGACCTGAATTTATTCTTTAATGGAAATTTAAGCACTTTGAATTTCATCTGGCTTCTGCTTTATTATCTTAGGGTTAAATGCTAATTTCTGTTTTTAAGAAAAGCCTTTCGGTTTTTTTAAAGTCTTGAATCCAGTCCCAGTGCAATCCAAAAAGATGGGTTTATTACATCAGGATCACAGACAGACGAGACTTTTGCCTTAGAAGGAAGCTAAATAGCATCTGGTTCACCCTCTGCATTTTGTTAATTTTAAAAAATCTCAGTTCCTCTTATTTCCCATGCCCAGCATTCAGAACTGGATCCAAGTTTTGGGGACATGAAGCTTATTATACAATTTTGGGGATAGGTGTTGTCCTCTTGATGAGAAAGAGACAAAGTTACAGACAGAATTCAATGCAGGGCCTTGGACAGGGCGGCTCAGGTGAGGGACTGCAAGCTTAGGCTTTGTTGCCTTCACAGTAAACCCGCCTCTGCAACAAGCATGTTCTGTGGATGCCTTGGGTGCTTCCTGTACATTCCTGTGTCATTTTACCTTCAACACCCGAACAAGAAATATTTCCTGCGTAGGTACTTTACACATATTACCTTGTTATCTCCAGGTAGTGCTGCGTCCATTTTATCATGTCTGTACATAAGGTAGGTACTTCATTCCCCAACAGGGGAAAAAAAGAGCTTACTGTTCCCAGTAATTCCAGGAAAAGGCATGGGAAGGGCTTCCATTGTCTGCCTTGGGTGATGTCGAGCTGCCTTAAGCTGACGGCTTGACAGTGGGGGTGAAGGGCGGTGACTCCCCCAGGGAATAGCAGGACATTGGAATCAAAGTGGGTGGCTGCTGGCTGCAGAAACAGAGGCCTGTGGTCCCCAGGGTTCCAGGCCAGTATGCACTCCATGTGCCCTGAGGGTTGGATCATTAAAGTTGGTGAAAGGCATTTGGCTAGGCCAGGGGCGGTGGTTCACGCCTGTAATCCCAGCACTTTGGGAGGCCCAGGCGGGTGGATCACCTGAGGTCAGGAGTTCAAGACCAGCCTGGCCAACCTGGTGAAACCCTGTCTCTACTAAAAATACAAAAATTAGCTGGGTGTAGTGGTGCACGCTTGTAGTCCCAGCTACTTGGGAGGCTGGGGTGGGAGAATCACTTGAACCTGGGAGGCAGAGGTCGCAGTGAGCCAAGATCGTGTCATTGCACTCCTGTCTGGGCGACAAGAGGGAAGCTCCCTCTCAAAAGAAAAAAAAAAAGGAAGGCATTTGGCTGAGTCTTTGCTAGAATGTGGGAGGGCAGGGCAGGGGCAGGGCTAAGACAATAATTTCAAGATAACTTCACTTGAGGTGGGGTGGAAAGTGCACTGAATTCATCCAACAGCCTTAGTTGTACTTTCAAGGTCGGCATCATCCTCCCCGGCAGGCAGGTGAAGAGAGGCTCCGTGGCTTGTCCTGGCCCAGCCCTTCCGTGACAGTGCCTTTGGCCTCATGGACTGAGGTTTCAGGAAGTTTGCGACAGTGTCTGCGGGTCTGGACACTCATGTGACATGTGGAGGACGTCCTGCAACATGCTGTGGAAACACCCTCATTTGTCTCCAGCGCTGGGGATTGCCCAGGGAAGAGCCGCCTGTTGTCCATTCCCCAGGCCTTGTAATACTTTCTCTAACTGTGCTTGGGGGTCCTGGAATTTGTGTGAGAAAATCCATGGGTCCACATCTGGGCTGTCCGGGTAGAGGGGCCATCCGTACCCCTCCCTCACTGTGATGGGTGGCACTGCATCCTCTGAGGACTCGTATGTTGAAGCCCCGTCCCCTGTACCGCAGAACTGGTCCCATTTAGGTTGTTGCAGATGTAACGAGTTAAGACGAGGCCATACTGGAGTAGGGTGGGTCCCTAATGCGGTGCAACTGGTGTCCTTATAAAAAGGGGAAATTCGGACCCAGAGACAGGCTCGCACGTAGGGAGAACACCAAGTGAAGATGAGGGCAGGGATGGGGCGAGACCTACAGGCCAAGGAACACAGAAGATTGTGACAACCACCAGAAGTTAGACAAGAGGCCTGGAGCAGTCCCCAGTCAGGGCCCCCAGGAGGAACCAACCCTGCCTCACCTTGATCTCAGACTTCTCGACTCCAGAGCTGTGACAAGATAAATGTCTGCTGTTGAAGCCGCACAGTTTGTGGTACTTCATGGCAATCCCAGGAGATTAATATATGCACATCACGCAGCCCAGGACCCCAGCAGGCCTGCAGGCTCTGGCAGCGGCTGTTGGAAGTGGCCCGTGGTCTGCCCGGGGGAGACACTGACAAGGCCTCCCAGGCTGCCGTTAGCCTCCTCCGGTCTGCCCTGGCTGACTTTTCCCCCTTTCTCTTTTCCCAAAACAAACCCCAGCCCTCTTGGGACTCATTCATTTCTGTTTACCAGAAACTTAGCATGTAACTGTCTCAGAGCTGTTAAAAGTGCCGCCTCTTCACTGCAGGGTCCTTGCCTCAAGTTAATTAGCCTGAGGAAATTTCCAGACGCTCCCTTTCCAAAAGGCTGTTTGGAAAAAGCCCTCCCTGGGTGACCTCTGGCAGTGTGAGGGGCTGAGGGCTACCCTCCTCCCTGGGAGCAGACAGCTCTGCCACTTCCCCATGTGCATCCTCCAGTCAGTGACTGGACATCTCCAGGCCTCAGTTTCCCCGCCTGTGCAGCGGAGGGCTGTTAGGAGGATTAACTAGAACACTGCGGTGCTTGGTGTGTAGAGAGTCCTCTCCATGTGTTGGTTACTAGACCCTTTGTTCATGTTGTTTCCATAGAGAATAAAACAAAACAGGAACACTTGCTTGGGGGAGGGAGGGTGCAGGAAAGGTTGTCCAGTTGCAAGCGTGAGAGAGATTTATGTGTGTCATTTTGAGCCTCTGAAATGGCAGATCCCTCCCGGGAGGGACAGTCCCTGAGCCAGCATCCCCAGCACCCCCAAGGAGTTAGAAAGGCCAAACCTGGAGTGCCGCCCAGGAACACTGCAACAGAAAATGCATTTTAACACCCAGAGATTGGGGGTGCCCCATTACAGAGGCACTGCTTTACTGCTGGGGCCACCACCCATGCAAACCCTTTGCCTCGGAAAGACCAGCCCAGATGCCTCCCTCCAACAGAGCCAGCGTCCCTGGCTGCCCTCTGGTTCTTTCCCAGGGGCACTCCTTGCATTGCTGTGACACTGCCGTCACTTGCACCCCCATTCATTGCTCTTTGCAGACACTTCCCTCCCCCAGCAATGTGACTGAGGAAAGAAGGAGGGTTCCATGGTGAATATGAGGGATGTGGGCATGGCATATCTGGGAAGGAAAGGGGGACCCCCGACACCCCGTCCCAGTTCTCCAAAGCCCTCGGAGCCTGCAGAAGAGCTCTGCACGAAGGAATAGGATTGGCAGAGGGACAGAGCCTCTCTGTCAGGCAGAAGTCAAGTTGAGTGATGGGCACCCACCTGGACAGCTGAGACAGGGTCTCAATGTCTGACCAGGCTGAAGGGGAACTTGGGAGGGCTGGTTCTTAGCAATGGAAAGGTTGGCGTGACACTGAACTCTGCCTCTCGAAAGCCCGACCCCACCTATGGGAGACGGCAGCGGTAGAGGTCACCAGCATTGCTTAGAAGCAGCCCCCTGCAGACGTCTCCCCTACCCCCACCCTGGGCACCAGAAGGGGAAGCCCGCAAGAAAGGGCAAGGCCAGCGCAGGATCAAAGCTCAGCCTCCTCTCCAGCTCCAAGACTGTGGCTCTGGCTGGCATGGGAAGGGGAGATGAGTTTCAAATGGAGCTTGAGAGTGAAGATTTAACCAGTGAACGGGATGGAATCCTAACTCCTACAAGCAGTAACCAAAAGAAGTCGAAAGCTTATGGCTCCCTAATAAGGACTTAGGGAGCTGCTGCCCAGTGGGAAAGGGGGGTTCTGCAGTTAAGAGGTAGATGCTGGAGGAAACCAAACCATATTGTGTATAAACCGCAGGGGAGAGACTCCTCAACCATATGGCTCTGCTGACCCGTGGTGAGGATGGAATGGATGAGGATGCAGGCCCTGTAACTGGATCAGTAAAAGGCCCCACCACTTGGAGCAATGAACCTTCTGTTGAGCTCCTTCACCCCCTGTTCTTCCTGCTCAATCAATTCGTAGGCCTCCATATAGTCCTTTCTTTCAGCCTGAAGAAAGGTGTCCATTACCACCCCCAGTGCCCCTTGCATTAGTCAGGTCTTTCAGTGAAACAGAACCAATAGGAGATTCATATAATAAATAATTGGCTCCTGTGACTGTGGAGGCTGACAAGTCCCAAGATCTGCAGTTGGCCAGCTGGAGACCCAGGAGAGCCGGTGACGCGGTTCCAGTCTGAAGCCAGCAGACCCAAGACCCAGGAACAGCTAATGCTTAAGTTTGAGTCCAAAGGTTGGGGGGCTTGGAGAGGGTGACAAATGTCCCAGCTTGAAGGCAGTCAGGCAGGAGGCGTTCCCTCTTACTCATGGGAGATCAGCCTTTATGTTCTATTCAGACCTTCAGCTGATTGGCCACTTTCGCCCTCTCCTTGTGGTCCTGTCAAACTCCTGGGAAGGTGGGGAACACTTGCCCTCCTACTTCCTTGCCTGCCTCAGCTCCTCGGCCCACTCCACTTGAGCTTCTGCCTCCTGCACTGTCATTGGGTGAGTGGCTGATGGCTCACTGACTGCCAAGTCCAGTGGACATGGGCAGCCACACCTTACTTGACCTCTTTGGGACTCTCAGCCCTGCTGGCCTTGTCCCATCTTCGGTCCCTCCCAAGGGCTTCTGAGGTGCCACCGTGCACTGCTGGTGTTTTCACAGCACTGACTGCCACTTTCTGGCTGGCCCCTTCATCTTGTTTGCTGACTCCTGGTCTTGTGTTTCAGCCTCTAACCCTGGTGTTACCAGAGATGTTGTAGGTTCTCTTTCATCCTTGACCTTTTCCGTGGGGTGGGTCACATCCTTTCTGCCCACTCACCAATGGCCCTCAAACCTGCCCCACATCCTTGACTTCTGCCTGTGTTCCCAACCTGTCTCTCCCACTGTTTCTGGACATTTCTGTCCACATGCCTCAAGACACATTGACACACAACCTTCCCCAAACAGAACCCTTTATCTTCCCACTCACACTCCCTTGATATAGCCTATGGCCCCAACACCAGCCCCACACCGTCCTATACTCCTCCCTCTCCTCATGGTCAATGGCCCACAGACGCTTCCAAGTGGACCTCTTAATCCCCATCACATCCATTCCTTCTTCCTCATCCTTAACAACACATCAAGCTGTCCAGCACCACTTCTTGTTTCCTTTCTAGCCTCCCTTTCTCCCATTTTCTCACATTGCTGGAATGATCTTGCTAAAATACAGTTTAGTTGTATCTGCCCCCACCCCCAGCTCTGGGGGCTATTACACAGAGCTGCTTATCATTTGCTGTAATTGTCATGCCCTTTCACATATCTATGGCTTAGCTCATATCATTCCCCTAGCCCAGAATTATTCTTTACCCTTTCTGCCTTATCACAAACTGCCTGGAAATAATAAAGCTTAGAGCAGGGTGAAAAATATAGAGAACAGAAGAATGATAGAGAAAATTAATGAAACCAAAGTTGGTTCTTTGAAATGATAAAAAAAATTTGACAAACCTTTAACTAGACTGCCAAAGGAAAAGAAAGATTCAAATTACTAAAATCAAGAACGAAAGAGACAATTCCATCTGCATATTTTTCAAATATAGACAAGTTGATCTTATAATTCATATGGGATTAAAGGAGCCCAGAATAGCCCAAACAATCCTGGAAACAAGGTTGGAGGATGCACAGTTCTCTAATTCAAAACTTACTACAAAGCAACAGTAATCAAAATTGGCACGAGAATAACCATATATATCAGTGGACTAGAACTGACAGTCAAAAAAAGTCCTCACATTGAAGGTGTCAATGGATTTTTTACAAGAATTCTAAGACCATTAAACAGATGAAAGAATAGTCTTTTTTTTACAAATTATAAATGTTCATCTCTAACACATACCACATACTAAAAATTAACTCAAAGATCTCAATATAAAAGTTAAAATTATAAAAATCAGAAGAAAACATAGGTTTGAAAATTTGTAATCTTGGATTAGGCAACAGCTTTGTGGATATGACACCAAAAGCACAAGCAATCAAAGAAAAAACAGATAAGCTGAACTTCATCAAAATTAAAAAAATTGTGCATCAAATAACACTATCAAAGTCAAAAGACAGACCACATACTGGAAGAAAATATTGCAAGTCATATATCTGATAAGTGTCTAGTTTCTAGAACATATAAAGAATTCAAAGAATTCATACAACTTAATAATAAAAAGACAACTCCAATTAAAAATGGAGAAAGAAATGGAATAGGCATTTCTACAAAGAAGACATAGAAATTACCAATAAGCACATGAAAATATATTCAGTATCACTAGTCATTAGGGAACTGCAAATCAAAACTACAGTGAGGTACCACTTCACACTCACTAGTATGGCTATAATAAAAAATAATAACAAGTATCAACAAGGATGTGAAGAAATTGGAACCCTTATACATTTGTGGGTGGGAATGGAAAATTGTGCAGCAGCTGTGGAAAACAGCCTGGCAGTTCCTCAAAAAGTTAGATGTCCGGTTACCGTATGATCCAGCAATTCCACTACTAGGCATACATCCAAGAGAACTGAAAACATATGTTCACACAAAAATGTGTACGTGAATCTTCATGGTGGCATTCTTCGCAATAGCCAAAACAGAAACAACCCAAATGTCCTTTGACTGATGAATATATTAACAAAATGTGATAAATCCATACAATGGAATATTATTTAGCCTTAAAAAGATGTGAAGTATTGATACATGCTAAAACATGGATGAACCGTGAAAGTGTTAAAGAAATGTCAGTGAAGGAAGAAGCCAGATGTAAAAGACCACATATCGTATGGTTTCATTTATTTGGAATATCCAGAATAGGCAAACCTATAGAGGCAGCAAGTAGATTAGCGGTTGGCAGGAGCTGGGAGGAGTGCAGAAATGGAAGTGACACCTAATGGGTAGAAGGGATTTTGGGAGGCGATGAAAATGTCCTGGAATTAGATCATGGTGATGATTGCACAACTTGGTGAATATGTTAAAAATCACAGAAATGCGTCCGTTAAGATGGTGCATTTTATGCTACATAGATTGTATCTCAAGAAAACCTGGAATCTAATCTGGGATCACACATTGCACTCATTCTTCATGTCTCTTTAATCTCATTTAGAACACCGCACCTCCTTTCCTGCTCCCTCTTTTCATGATATTGGCATGTTTGAAAAGTCTAGGCCGGTCATTTTGTAGAATGTCCTGCAGTCTAGATTTGGCTTGTTTCCTTATGACTAGATTCAGGCTAAACAACTTTTTGGGGAGAAATTAATTTTCTTAATGTTTGTTGTTGGTGTGAAGAAACGCAAATGATTTTTCATAGTAACCTTTAGCCAGTAACCTTGATAAATTATTTCATGAGCTTTGATGTTTTACCTGTTTTCTTTTAATTTTTTATGCATGCAATCATGTTATCTGTAAATAATGACAGTTTACTTTTTCCTTTCTAATCTTCACCCTTTAGTTGCCTTTCCTTGCCTCACTGCACTGAACAGACGGTTATCTCCCAAACCTCCTAACGTTCATCTCGGGCAACCATTAGTCTATTTTCCAGCTCTGTAACTTCATTATTCCAAGAATAATGGAATCATATAGTGTGTAACCTTTTGAGATTGGCTTTAAAAAAAAAATACTTCCCTTGAAGTCTATTCAAGTTGTGTGTCAATGTCGACATGATTTTTAGAACCAGACTGCACAGATCTATTAGAGAACTGATATTTTTAAATATTGAATATTCCAGTCTATTGCATAGTACATTGCTTACTTTATTTATATCTTTAAATTTTTTCTCTAAATGTTCATCTTTTTATTCTTTTTTAAAAAAGGTGGTACATAATTTTAATTGTATTCCCCTTTTCCTATGCTTTGGAAGATTTTGTGTAGAAGCAGTGTTCTTTCTTTCTTAAATGTTTGTAAGCATTCACTTGCAAAATTGTCTGCACCTGGTTTTCTTTGTGAGCAGATTTTTAATTACAATATCTTTTTTAATTTTTTTTGATGGTAATGTGTTTCTCAATGCTGTTTGTCTTTCAGCCTCTATTTCTCCTTCACTTTTTGAAGGATATTTTCACTGGGTATAGACTTCCAGTCTGGCAAGATGGCATCAAGATGCTGTTCCTTTGTTTCCTGGAGTCCATTGTTTCTATTTTAAAATCAGTCATCAGTCTTAGTGTTGCTCCTTTGAAGATAATTTTCTTTTTTTTTTTCCAAATGCTTTCAGATTTTTCTCTGTTTTTGCTTTTCATCAGTTTGCTATAATGTCCCTAGATATGGTGTTGCTTCTCTCCTTCTTGGGAATTATAGTGTTGCTTGTATCTGTGGTATCCCATCTTTTATTCATTTTTGAAAATTCTCTTCTTTTCAAATAGTACTTCTCCACTCTGTCTTCTCCTTTCCTCTGTGACTCCTCATAACAAATATGCTAGATATTTTTACCATACTCTAGACGCCTCTTATATTCCTTCTGTATTTTCCAACATTTTGTCTTTCTGTGCCTCAGCATGTATTTTTTTTCTGATTCCATCTCCCAATTCACTTTTTCTTCAGTTGAATTCAAACTCCTGTTAAACCAATCTATTGATTTCCTAATTTCAGTTTGTTCTAAAGTTTTAAGATTTAGGATTTCTATTTTGAATGCTTTCTCATTCTCTGACAAAATACTTCTGTATTTCTTAAACCAATTAATTATAGCTGTATGAGGTTTGTTTCTGATAATTTCAAATCCTGGATGCTCCAAGGATATGTCCCTACTGTTCATTGATTATCTTGAGTTTTGTTAATATCTTAACCTCTACTATTCCTGGCTTTTTAAAAATTAAATGCCGGGCATTATATGTAAACATTTAAGAGGTAATTTGAGGTTCTGGATAATTGTATCTACATTTTAAGAGGATTACTTTTTCTCTAGGCAATGAGACTAGAAGCCCCAGTTACCCCAGGTCATCTTAATATCATCAGGGACTGACATAATTTTGCGGTTGGTCTTCAGTTCCTTTGAGGGCTGATCCCTTTTTAGTATCCCCAGGTCAAAATGATTTCAAATTCTGAGCTAACTTTTCTGGAATTCCGTCTCTTTTCCATAATTTCTCACTCACTTGTTTGCTTGCCAATGATGTCAAGATTTTCTGTTGTTCTTGAGGGAGAGCTGTTCTGATTCACTCAGTCTACCATTACCAAGCATGGAACCTATTTCATGACAGTTTGTTTCTTCATGTGTTTTGTGACTTTTGATTATAAAATCATGTTCCTAGTCACTATCTTTGAGAAATCGTTAAGGCCTCAGCTTAAACCTTTTGGAGAGAACTTATATTTGCTTATGCTAGATGCCAGGAAGCACAGTCAACTTCAGATCACTTTAAACTAAAATTTCTGGCTGAGAGCAGTGGCTCATGCCTGTAATCTCAGCACTTCGGGAGGCTGAGGCAGGTGGATCACCTGAAGTCAGGAGTTTGAGATTAGCCTGGCTAACATGGTGAAACCCCATCTCTACTAAAAATACAAAACTTAGCCGGGCATGTTGGTGGGTGGCAGTAATTCCAGCTACTTGGGAGACTGAGGCAGGAGAATTGCTTGAACCTGGGAGGTGGAGGTTGCAGTGAGCCAATGCGCTCTAGCCTGGGTGACAGAGCGAGACTCCGTCTCAGAAAACAAACAAACCCAGGCCGGGCACGGTGGCTTACACCTATAATCCCAGCACTTTGGGAGGCTGAGGCGGGGAGATCACGAGGTCAGGAGACTGAGACCATCCTGGCTAACATGGTGAAACCCCGTCTCTACTAAAAATACAAAAAAATTAGCCGGGCATGGTGGCGGGCGTCTGTAGTCCCAGCTACTCGGGAGGCTGAGGCAGGAGAATGGTGTGAACCCGGGAGGCAGAGCTTGCAGTGAGCCGAGATCACGCCACTGCACTCCAGCCTGGGTGACACAGTGAGACTCCATCTCAAAAAACAAACAAAAAACACCAAACCCAAAACTTTCTATTTGCGAGGGGGCTTCAATTTTCACAAAAAGTGTAGATTCTTGCCCTCTTCCTAGTCAAATAGGGACAGATGGTTAGGAATGTGTTAGGGGAATGTTTTATTTCTTTGCTTCTGTGCTCACCCACTGAAGGTATTGAGTTCTGGGATTTCTGACTTTATGCAGGGGTCTCTGGTCAGAACTCTTCCTCCAGCCCAGCTCCCCTCTTACTTTGGTCATTTGTACCCAGCATAGTTCAGTGTAACTGTGGTTCTAGGCGACTGGAAACCAGCAGAAGCCTTCAGGACAAAATTCAGCTCACTCATACAGGATTTTGATTCCAATGGAATTTCTGCCCTCTCATTGTTTTCCTTATTTTATTGCTATCTCAGTAGAACTTTAAATAAATAAATAAAGCTAAAATTATTTTATTTGCCATTTTTATATGTAATGATCTCGGAGGGATTCTTGAACAGATGTGGTCTACAGTCTACAGCTAACATGTAGCTGCCTGCTTTCACTGTGTTCACTCTTCAGATTAATAAAATGAAAAGCAATGCTGATAATAGTGGTTTCTTTTCTTTCTGCTTTCTCCAGTAATTAGCTTATGGGGGACACTCAGAGGACAGGATTTAGGATCAGCAGACCTGGGTCTGCCTCCCATCTCCACTGCTAAGAGTTGAATCAGTCCATGCAGGCCACTCCCCATCCTCAGCCTTTTCTTCTGTCAAATGAACAATATAATCCCCTAGTTTTAGGGAATTTTGAGGAATACATCAGATTACCAAATCGTGAGTTCCTTGAGCTGATAAAGAGTGAGCACTTACTGTGTGTAAGGCAACTTTCCTAAGTGCTAGGGATACAAAAGTGAACAAAACACACAAAAAATGTGTCTGTGTGTGTGTGGGGGTTGGTGTGGATGTCCACAGGCATACATGTGTGGTAGCAGACAATAATATAAGAAAAATAAAGTAAAATATATAGTGTTTTAGGTGGTAGTAATTCCTATGTCAAACAACAGCGCCGACGAAGTAGAGGGGATAGGAATGCGTGTGTATGCCTGTGTGGGCACGTTCGCTACCTCTGCATCCCAGGCACCTAGACACGATCTGGCTCAGAGGGGAAGCTCAAAGAATGTTTGATGGATGAATTAACACTCATAGGACACTTACTACCATGCCTGGCGAATAACAGTAGCTTTTGGTTTTAGAATGGATGCAGTTGCTATTGGGCTCCCCTCTTTATGTCCAGTTGATGCAAGTAGGTTAGGGGGTCTCTAGAGGCTCACAAAGCTGTGCTTGGCTCAGAAGTTATCCAGATAAAAACTAGTATAGGAATCCAACTCCCCTCCTCCCTCCATCTTTCACCCCTGCAAATCTGGTGAGCTCCATGAAGCTTTCCTCCCCAGGTGACGTTGTTGCTGCTGTACTTAAGGGACAGCACAGGCCACCTGGGTGTGGGACAGAGCTGACACCTTCCTGTCTGGGCTCTTCCAGCCTTCACTCTAGAACGAAGCGGGAAGCCTCAGGTCCAAGGGGAGAGCCGCCGCAAAGGCCGCGTTGAACGCCGAGGTGCACGCGCAGGTACTGGCTAAGTGCGCGCCAGGGTGCTCGGGAGGGGGCGGGTGCGGGCCGCACTGCCGGGCGGGGTGCGCGAGTGAGGAGGGCGGGGTGCGCGAGAGAGGAGGGCGGGGTGCGCGAGTGAGGAGGGCGGGGTGCGCGAGTGAGGAGGGCGGGGTGCGCGAGTGAGGAGGGCGGGGGAGTGCGCGAGTGAGGAGGGCGGGGTGCGCGAGTGAGGAGGGCGGGGTGCGCGAGTGAGGAGGGCGGGGTGCGCGAGTGAGGAGGGCGGGGTGCGCGAGTGAGGAGGGCGGGGGAGTGCGCGAGTGAGGAGGGCGGGGGAGTGCGCGAGTGAGGAGGGCGGGGTGCGCGAGTGAGGAGGGAGGGGTGCGCGAGTGAGGAGGGCGGGGGAGTGCGCGAGTGAGGAGGGCGGGGGAGTGCGCGAGTGAGGAGGGCGGGGGAGTGCGCGAGTGAGGAGGGCGGGGGAGTGCGCGAGTGAGGAGGGCGGGGGAGTGCGCGAGTGAGGAGGGCGGGGGAGTGCGCGAGTGAGGAGGGAGGGGTGCGCGAGTGAGGAGGGCGGGGGAGTGCGCGAGAGAGGAGGGCGGGGTGCGCGAGTGAGGAGGGCGGGGGAGTGCGCGAGTGAGGAGGGCGGGGTGCGCGAGTGAGGAGGGCGGGGGAGTGCGCGAGTGAGGAGGGCGGGGGAGTGCGCGAGTGAGGAGGGCGGGGGAGTGCGCGAGTGAGGAGGGCGGGGGAGTGCGCGAGTGAGGAGGGAGGGGTGCGCGAGTGAGGAGGGCGGGGGAGTGCGCGAGTGAGGAGGGCGGGGGAGTGCGCGAGTGAGGAGGGCGGGGTGCGCGAGAGAGGAGGGCGGGGTGCGCGAGTGAGGAGGGCGGGGGAGTGCGCGAGTGAGGAGGGCGGGGTGCGCGAGTGAGGAGGGCGGGGGAGTGCGCGAGTGAGGAGGGCGGGGGAGTGCGCGAGTGAGGAGGGCGGGGTGCGCGAGTGAGGAGGGCGGGGGAGTGCGCGAGTGAGGAGGGCGGGGGAGTGCGCGAGTGAGGAGGGCGGGGTGCGCGAGTGAGGAGGGCGGGGGAGTGCGCGAGTGAGGAGGGCGGGGGAGTGCGCGAGTGAGGAGGGCGGGGTGCGCGAGAGAGGAGGGCGGGGTGCGCGAGTGAGGAGGGCGGGGGAGTGCGCGAGTGAGGAGGGCGGGGTGCGCGAGAGAGGAGGGCGGGGTGCGCGAGTGAGGAGGGCGGGGGAGTGCGCGAGTGAGGAGGGCGGGGTGCGCGAGTGAGGAGGGCGGGGGAGTGCGCGAGTGAGGAGGGCGGGGTGCGCGAGTGAGGAGGGCGGGGTGCGCGAGTGAGGAGGGCGGGGGAGTGCGCGAGTGAGGAGGGCGGGGGAGTGCGCGAGTGAGGAGGGCGGGGGAGTGCGCGAGTGAGGAGGGCGGGGGAGTGCGCGAGTGAGGAGGGAGGGGTGCGCGAGTGAGGAGGGCGGGGGAGTGCGCGAGTGAGGAGGGCGGGGTGCGCGAGTGAGGAGGGCGGGGTGCGCGAGAGAGGAGGGCGGGGTGCGCGAGTGAGGAGGGCGGGGGAGTGCGCGAGTGAGGAGGGCGGGGTGCGCGAGAGAGGAGGGCGGGGTGCGCGAGTGAGGAGGGCGGGGGAGTGCGCGAGTGAGGAGGGCGGGGTGCGCGAGTGAGGAGGGCGGGGGAGTGCGCGAGTGAGGAGGGCGGGGGAGTGCGCGAGTGAGGAGGGCGGGGGAGTGCGCGAGTGAGGAGGGCGGGGGAGTGCGCGAGTGAGGAGGGAGGGGTGCGCGAGTGAGGAGGGCGGGGGAGTGCGCGAGTGAGGAGGGCGGGGGAGTGCGCGAGTGAGGAGGGCGGGGGAGTGCGCGAGTGAGGAGGGCGGGGGAGTGCGCGAGTGAGGAGGGCGGGGTGCGCGAGTGAGGAGGGCGGGGTGCGCGAGTGAGGAGGGCGGGGTGCGCGAGTGAGGAGGGCGGGGTGCGCGAGTGAGGAGGGCGGGGGAGTGCGCGAGTGAGGAGGGCGGGGGAGTGCGCGAGTGAGGAGGGCGGGGGAGTGCGCGAGTGAGGAGGGCGGGGTGCGCGAGTGAGGAGGGCGGGGTGCGCGAGTGAGGAGGGCGGGGTGCGCGAGTGAGGAGGGCGGGGTGCGCGAGCGAGGGCGTCCGGCCGGCAGGTGGCACTGTGGCGTCGCCGTGGGCCGAGCCTGGCGAAGCGCTGCTCGCCCGAGATCGCGCAGCTTGGTGAGTGGCAGCGCCTGGCTTTATACTCGCGTCTCGGACACCGATGGTCATCTTCCCACGTCCGTGACTCAGTGGCCTTCCAATGCAGGCTGCGGCCTCTCAGCCCAGAAGGCCCTGGGTTCTGGTACAGGCCTTCCTTGTGGCAGACGGAAGGAAGGCTGACAAAGGGAGTTCACCGGGTTTGCCTGACTTGCCACGCTCTTCTCTCTCCGTGCCAACTTTAACCTGGGAAGCCACACATACCTCTAGGGCCTCTGATATCTTCAGTGTCCCCAAGGCCCATGCTGCTCAGAGCCTCACGTGGCCGCAAACCCAGGTGCCAGTACTTGAGAGTTGCACCTTGAGCGGGAACTGCAGAGGGTTTTAATGGCACCAGCTCCAAACATTTCGCCCACAGCGTCTGCAGTCCTCCACTGCGGAAGGCAGAATAAACGCCCCAAGGGTGTCCACATCCTACTCCCCAGAGCCTGTGAATTTGTCCCCTTACATGGCAAAAGGGAATTACAGTTGCGGATGGAATTAAGGTAGATTAATTGCACACACAGACAGAAACACGCATTTTTGTGTGTTTTGTTCACTGTCGTATCCCTAGCACTTAGGAAAGTTGCCTTACACACAGTAAGTGCTCAGTTAATCTTTATTGACTCAAGGAACTCACAGTTTAGTAATCCGATTTATTCCTCAAAATTCCCTAAAACTAGGGGATTATATTCTCCATCTGACAGAAGAAAAGGCTGAGGATGGGGAGCTTAATGGGTAAGGAGATTAGCCTGGGTCACCCAGGTGGGCCCAATGCAATCACCTGTCCTTATAAGGAAGAGAGGCGAGAGAAAGAAAGAGAGAGAACAGAGAACAGAGAAGGCCGACAGCACCAGGAGGTCTCAGCCCGGTTTTTCTGGCTTTGGGGATGGAGGACGGGCCACGGAACAGGGCGGCCTCTGCCTAGCAGCTGGAAAAGGTAAGGGACTAGGTTCTCCCAACGAACCTCCGGAAAGAAACGCAGCCCTGCCAGCAGCTTCATTTCAGCTCAGTGAGACCTCTTTTTACTCTTTCGACCTCCAGGACTGTAAGATCATAAACGTGTGTTGTTGGAAGCCAGCAAGTTTGTGGTAATTTGTCACAGCAGTCGTGGGCCCACTAAGACACCTGTCGTGGGCCTCGTGTCCAGAGGCCTCAGCTGAAATGCACTGGGGGCCTGGTGGTGTGTGTTAGGTCCACTTGGCTTGCTGTGTTGTTCAAGTCCTCTCATTTCCTTTCTTATCTTCTGTCTGGTTGTTCTTTCCATTATTGAAAGTGGGGGACTGAGGTCTCCGACGATTATTGTAGAACTACTTTTCCCTCCAATTCGCTCCCTTTCTGCTTTGCATATTCTGTTAAGTGCTAAATGTTTATAACTACTTATTCTTGCTGTATTGAATCTCTTCTCAATATATAATGTTCTTTGTCTCTTGTAACCTTGGACAAGATACAGACTACTTAGACTATTGAAAATCCTGACAGTGTATTTGAAACATGCACGTGGACATGGTTTTATTTTTCTCAGTTACTGCTTTCAACTGTGTGCTGATTGAAACTCCTTTCCCCTGGATAGAAGACCTATTAAAATAACCCAACTTTATTCACTAACTTGTCAACTACTTTTGGTCAGTCAGAATTTTGTCTTTGGCCAGAGTTAATCAGCTAACCCGTTGTCCCCAGATCATCAGTGCAGCTTCACCTGGGTACTTCTTATAAATGCAAATTCTCAGGCCCTGCCCCAGAAACTCTGGAGGTGGCCCTGCAGTCTGTGTTTAAGAAGCCCTCCAGGGGATCCTCAGGTGTGATAAACTTTGAGAATCAGCGGTAACCCATCTGCAGAGGTATTTCTATTATTTCAGTAATTATATTTTTAAAATTTTACTTTCTGGAAATACTTTTTAAAATTTACCTATTTTTTCATGTATCTTGATTCTTTTTTTCTGTTTTTATTTCTCATTTTAGGTCTTTAGTAATTTTAAGCCAATTTATCTTGTAGGCTCTGTTTTGATCATTCTACTGGCTTTCCATCCCTGAAGTTTATTGACTTGGAGTTGCCAGTGTTTTGTAATTTGGGATTGTGAGCTGGTCTTAATGGGGACTTCATCTATTGGAATCTTCTGTACCTTACATGAGAGTGGGTGCCTCCAGAGTGCTTTTGGGTTTGCTTCAGCCAGGTGCTTGGCGTTATCACCAGCCCAGGACTGCTTTGCATACCAATGTTTTGACCTGGGGATTTTCTGGCCCATGCATGTCATATACAGCCTAATCCCATCACATGAGTATGGGCCTGTGATGACAAATTGATAGGAGAATCATTTTCCCTACTCAGAGCCCAGGCCAGGTCTAATATCCCTGACATAACTGCCAGTGGGGGAACTTTCTCTAGATGATGATTACTGAGAGTGCATCCTGCCCTTGAAGGACCCCTCATTTATGAGTGTTGTGGGGCAGGTCCAAGGCTTCCTCTCCAATTCCTCACAGCATTAAAACCCAAGTCCCTAGGCCAGGGATGGTGGCACACGCCTGTAATCCTGGCACTTTGGGAGGCCAAGTTGGGTGGATCACATGAGGCCAGGAGTTCAAGACCAGCCTGGTCAACATGGCAAAACCCCATTTCTACTAAAAATAAATATAAAAACTAGCCAGGCATAGTGATGCACATCTGTAATCCCAGCTACTCGGGAGGCTGAAGCATGAGAATCACTTGAACCCGGGAGGTGGAGGTTGCAGTGAGCTGAGATTGTGCCACTGCACTCCAACCTGGGTGGCAGAGTGAGACTCTGTCTCGAAAAGCAAAACAAAACAATCCAAGCCCCTGAGTTAGTGAGAGGATGCCAGCCCTGGTGGGTGGGGAGATCATGAAGTTGTATACCTAATTGTTGGTTCCCAGTTCATCTTTTGGCCTTTACTTTCTGTTGAACTCTGCATTTAGAGTCTGTTCTATTGCACCAAGCAATTCTGAGCATATTGCGGTGGGTGTTGCCTTTCAGGTTACCTAGTTTCTCATATTGCTGTAAATAGAAGTCCCCTGATAGCTCATTTTGAAACGTCAATCTCTCTTCCCTTCTCCACCTAGTGCAGGCTAAACCTAGTGTTTCCATAGATGGAGAGTGGGGTAGGGGCAGTTGCACATGACTCTCCTGCTTCTTGGCACTTGCTGTTCTAATGTTGGGGTCAGGAAGAGGGGCTGGCAAGGCATGACTGTGGTGAGCTCTCCTCTTGCTTTTCGGGTGGTAACTGCTGGTCCAGCTTATTGTCCACAGCTCTGCATAGGTAGGAGGTGACCAGAAACCCTAGGCATGATGAGGTTCAGCTGCCCCTGTGGACCCCCAGATGGTGGCCTCATGGTGCGTTCTGGTGCACAGGCCTTCTGCTCCATGACGTGACCCCGTAGCCCCGGTCTCCTCTGCCGTTCAGGGCCTTCAGCCTGGGCCCTAGACACGCATGCCACATCCATCTTCTCCCCTCTTGGAACCCGAGGACTCAAAGCTCTACTGGCATCCCCTCTCCTCTGTCCTCATTTCCTGTTTCCCTGGCTACAGGAACACCTGACGATGCCCATTTGCAGCAAACCAACCATGGCTCAGAATTCCTCCAAGCTCAGTCATGCTCTGAGGGCATGTGAAAAGAATGCCCTGCAGAGGAGGAGAGATTTGTTTGTGGCCTTGATGTCATTTGAGATTCTGAGTGTCCAACTGGGGAAATCAACGTTTCCAGGTGGAAACAAAGGGGGCTGCAGAAAGCTGCCCACCCAAGCCAAGGGTCCCTGTTTTGCTGAGTCTAGCGAGGGACTTCCTGTCCCCACTGCTCCACTCCCTCCTCCAGCCCAACTCTCCCTGAGGCAGATGGCAGCAGAGAGAGGAGCAGGGGTTTCCAGGTCAGGCGAGAGTCCTCAGTGGGAGCCTGCTGGGAGGTGGTTTTCTGCCTGAAAGCAGAAGTGGTGGTGTGACAGTCCGTGGACACCAGAGTAGGGACAGAAAAATTGTCTCAGACCCCATCTACAATAAAAATGTATACAAAGGCCTCCCATCCTAGGGGCAGGTATGTGCCTAGAAAGTACCCCTTCTGGCTCTGCCAACAGCTGTACCAGCTTCATTTGCTGGAGGTGAAGAGGCGGCCACATGACCCTGGACTGGCCGGCGTGGTGGGGTCGGCACGCAGGTCTTGACTGCAGCAAGTTCTATGTGTTTGTGCACAATTAGCCAGATAGCCTCTCCTCTGGGGAACCAGTTCATTCCAAGCCAAGAGTAGATGAGTGGGCCCTGTGCCAGGGAGACAAATGACTGGTGACACCGTGGTGTTTCACTGAAGCTCTGCTGGGGGACCCATCACAGCCTCTGCCTGAGCTGCTGGCTTTCAAGTGCCCTGGGGCTGAGCCCTGGGAATATCCTTGTTTATCTGCAGTTGCTGGCCTGGCTCCTCTTCCCCTTTCTCTATTCCTCCCTCTCTTCTCTGGGGAGCAAGCGGCCCACCCCCACCCCTGTACCACTGGGTCCTGAATGTCCAAAAAGCCAAGGAGGTTCTGGCCTCAACTCAGCCTCTCCTTGAGGCAAATCACCTCACTTGGGAGTGGGGGTTCTTCAACTTTACACATCCCGGTTACCCAGGGGGCGTGGTGAGCATCGGATGAAAAACTGGGAGGGGGAACTTGAATGCTGCTTCTGAACGCGTATCCGGGGTGAGAGCTCATCTCCCTCCTGGATCCTGTCTTCCTGCACCAAATTGCCAAGGCCAATGCTCTGCCCCTTGGGTAGGCCAGTCCACCCCCCTTCCTGTCCACCCACCCCAGATGCCAAGTCTGTGGTGGGGTGGCCCATGCTGGGGCATGAGAAGTTTGGGGGATGAGGAGGAGAACCATATCCACCAGGGAGGACCCGGGGTGAGGAAAAGATGAGACAGGATGACACTCAGGAGAGGCCGCCTTTCAGGAGATGGACCTCAGAACGATGGCTTTTCCTTGATAACTCTAGACCTTGAGCTACACTGGCCTCTCTCTGAGCCTGCGCCAGCCACAGGGATGTGAAGGTTGAGATATTCCATACGTGGTTGGCTGACAGGTAGCTGAGTACAGCCATTGTAGAGGGGGATCTCGCTCTGCTTAGTGACATTGATACCTGTATCATTCAAGTGCTAGACATTTTGTTCCTGGGCATATGTCCCAAAGACTTGCACACAAAGCGACCGAGAAGTGATTTACCACAGTATTGTTTGGGGACAGTGGAGTTAGAGGCTGGCATCCATCACTGGGGAATGGGTGAGTAAAATGAGATTGTCACATGGATGACCCACAGCCACAAACAGGGTGGACACCCATCACTGTGGCTACAGCCTTAAAAATAGCGTGAGTGAGAAAAGTAAGAAGCAGGACAAAATCTCTAACACTGCATCATTTGTAGGAACCTGAAAATACATACCTATCAATCAACTTGTCAGGTTTCTCAAGTGTGCGGAGAAAAAGAAAGATAAACATTAAATGCAACAGTAGGGATGAATGTGCAAAGGTGGGAGTGGAGAATTGGGATAAAGAGGAATAAAGTAAAGCACAGTAGGAGCAGGACCTCACATGGAGAAATTGTGCTAGCACACCATGAACTGAGCAACTGGTTGACTCTGCCCCTGAAGGAAAAGGAGCAGTTAAAGCCCTAAAGAAGTGAATGTCAGCTGCAGAGAAGGGATACGCACTATTCATCACTAAAGCATGGGCAAAACTGTGATCACAGGGCCAGCCCCTCCCTCTGCTCCCATCCACACCAACAGCACCAACTGTTGGCTAGGTCTAGAGCAGAACTCTTCCCCTTTGCCTTCTAAGAACAGACTCTGAGACGTGGTGACTGCTCCAGGGCAACCTCCCTCTTCCCAAATGACACCAGAGGATCTCTTTGAGTGGTGAAGGCTCAGCATCTTCATTAGCTCTCCGATTTAGAGATGGCCAAGCTAAAATCTACAGCACCTAGCTCAGTGCCTGGCAGAAAGTTGATCCTCAAATGATGGATGGATGAATGACCATACCTGCTTGGCAGCTGCTTAGCTTTGGTTGGGCCAGAGAAGAATCAGTCAAATGATCCCTATGGTGTGCTGAACACTGCAAAGTTGCCAGAATAAGACCCTGTGCTTGCTCTTGAGGTGTTTGCCTAGTGTTTCTCAACTAGGTTACATATGTCGTGGTCCCAAAACTTGTCTTGGCCATCTAGTATGTGCTGGGCTTTTGCTACCAGTTGGGGTAAAGAAATGAGTACAATGGGTCCTAGATACAGACATAAAACAGATAACCTGCAATATGAGGAGTGACTGAGATACGCCAAGAGTGTGGGGAGTGCAGGGAATGTAACTGGCAGGCAGTGGACCTAATGAGTGAGTCCTGAAGGTGTCAATAGCCCAAAAAACAAAATTATGAGTTAGGAAGATTTGTTCTTTTCAACTGCATATGAAAATATTTGCCAAAGAGGATCTCTACAAGTTTGAGCAGTAGCTGGTTTCTTTTTTCTTTTTCTTTCTCTCTCCCCTCGACCTTCCTTCATGGGTGATTTGGGACAGAGACAATGCCATGGGCTCACCAAATCATATTTCACTTTCCTCTCCCTGGGCACATTGGAAGACTTTTCCAGCATGACTTGTAATTAAATTGGAGCTATATGACCATAGTTTGGCCATTGTGGTGCAGGAGGAAGTAAGGTGTACAACTTTCAAGCCAGCTATAACCTCCCTTGAACCATCATCCATTCTCTCTTGCCTTTCCACAGTGACCTCAGTGGGTATATATTTACATGGCAATGTCACAAGATGAAGCTTGGATCCCAAAGTCACCACTCAGAGAAATTGCCCAGGAGAGCTAGTCAGCCAGCACTGGGTGTGATATGAGTCACTGAGATGTGGGTTTATTTGTTCCTGCAGCAAAGCCTGTTATATCCTTACTAATATGCTAGGTACACTGCTTTCCAAAGTAGCTATTTTGAGGAACCACAGCTCTTCTTAAAAAATTATGCCAATTTTATTTATTTATTTATTTGAGACAGGGTCTTGCTATGTTCCCAAGGCTGGGTTGCAGTAGCTATTCATGGATGTGATCATGGATCACTGCAGCCTGGAATTCCTGGGCTCAAGCAATCCTTTTGCCTCAGCCTCTTAAGTAGCTAGGACTGTAGGCATGTGCCACTAAATTTATTTTATTTCTTAACAGCTTTATTGAAATATAATTTACATACCATACTATTGACCCATTCAGAGTGTACAATTCAGTGGTTTTTGGCATATTCAAATTTATACCACCATTACCAGTCAATTTTATAACATTTTAGTCACCCCTAAAAGGAAACTCCATCCTTATTAGCACCCAATTCTATACCCTACTACTAGGCAACAACTAATCTTCTTTCTGTCTCTATAGATTTGCCTGTTCTGTATATTTCATATAAATGGAAGCATAAAACATATGGTCTTTGTGACTGGTTTCTTTCACTCTTATCATGTGAATGAACCTTAAAATGTTTTTCTTTCTTTCTCTCATTATTATTTTGAGACAAGGTCTCAGTCTGTCACACAGGCTGGAGTGCAATGGCGCAATCTCGGCTCACTACAACCTCTGCCTCCTGGGTTCAAGCAATTGCCTCATTCTCCCGAGTAGCTGGGATTACAGGTGCACACCACCCCACCTGGCTAATTTTTTGTTTTGTTTTGTTTTGTTTTTTGTAGAGATGGAGTTTCACCATGTTGGTCAGGCTGGTCTTGAACTCCTGATCTCATGTGATCCACCGGCCTCGGCCTCCCAAAGTGCTAGGATTACAGGCACGAGCCACCATGCCCGGCCTTGTTCTGTCATTATTATAAGCATCCTAGTGTGTGTGAAGTGGTATGTTATTGTAGTTTTGATTTGTTTTTCCCTGGTGACTAATGATTAGCATTTCCTCTACTTGTCATTTTAAAATCTTCATTGAAGAAATTCTATTTAAATCCTTTACCCATTTTTTAAATGTGGTTGTCTTTTTATTGTTGTGAGCGTTCTTTAGATGTTTTTGATGTTAGAACCTTATCAGAAATATGTCTTGCAAATACTATCAAGAAAGTTAAAATGGGAGAAAAGTATCTTTTGAAGTGAAAAGTTTTCAAGTTTTATGAAGTCCAATAGATTAATTTTTTCTTTGGTTGCTTGTGCTTCTGGTATAATAGCCAATAAACCATTATTTAATCCAAGGTCATGAAAAGGTACCTGTATTTTCAAGGAGTTTTATTACTTTGGTTCTTACATTTAAGTCTTTTTTCCATTTTGAGTTAATTTTTTGTATACGGTATAAGGTAAGGCTCTAATTCATTCTTTTGCGTGTGGATGTCCAGCTGTTCCAGCACAACATGTTGAAAACAGTATTCTTTCTCCTACTTAATGATCTTGCCACTCTTGTCAAAAATTAATTGACCATAGATGTGCAGGTTTATTTCTGGACTCTTAATTTTATGCCATTCATCTATATATGTATCCTTATGCCTGAACCACACTGTGTTGATTACTGTAACATAACCCCACTGACACTGGGAAGTACAAGTCCTCCCACCTTGTTTCTCTTTTTCAAGATTGTTTTGGCTATTTTGGGCCACTTACATATCCATATGAATTTTAGGATTTTTCTTTCCGTTGTTGCCCAGGCTGGAGTGTAGTGGTGCAATCATTGCTTACTGTAGAGTCAATCTCCTGGGCTCCCACCCCAGCCTCCTGAGGAGCTGTGATTACAGGTGCATGCCACTGCACTGGCTAATTTTATTATCTCTATTTTTATATACATGGGTTGAGGGGGGGGATCTCTCTTTGTTGCCCAGGCTGGTCTTGAACTGACTTCAAGTGATCTTCCCACCTCAGCCTCCCAAACTGCTGGGATTACAGGCATGAGCCACCATGCCTAGCCTGAATTTTAGAATTAGCTTTTATATTTCTGCGCAAAAAAAAAAGGCGGTTGGAATTTTGTTAGGAATTAGATTGAATCTGCAAATCAATTAGGGATACTCAGTGTCCTTTGACCTACATCTTCCCATTCCCCTGCCCCATAACTCTGGTCTTGGTAACCACTGTTTTATTCTCTATATATTTGACCTTTTAAAAAAGATTCCACATGTAAGTGAGACTATGCAATATGTTTTGTGTCTGACTTAATTCACTTAGTGTAATGTCCTCCAGGTCCATCCATGCAGGGACAAATGGCAGGAGTTCCTCTTTTTTAAGGCTGAATAAAATATTCCATTGTATATATACCACAGCTTCCTTATTCATTTGTCCATTGATGGACACCTAGATTGTTTCCATATCTTGGTTATTGTGACTAATTCTGCATTAAACATGGGAGTGCAGTATTTTTATGAGGTGGTCATTTCATTTCTGTTGGGTATGTACCCAGAAGAGGGATTGCTGGGCCATATGGTAGGTCTATTTTTTAATTTTCTGAAACTTCCATACGGTTTTTCATAATGGCTATACCAATCTACATTCCCACCAACAGAGTTGATACAAGGGGTACAAAGGGTTCTCTTTTCTCCACACTCTCACTAGCACCCGTTATCTCTTGTATTTTTTAATAATAGCCATCCTAACAGGTGCGAGATGGCATCTCATAGTGGTTTCATTTACACTTCTCTGATTGGTGTTGTTGAACTCCTTTTCATGTACTGTTGGCCATTTGTATGTCTCTTTGGAGAAATGTCTGTTCAAGTCCTTTGCCCATTTTTAAATTGGGTTATATGTTTTCTTGCTATTGAGTTGCATGAGTTCTTTATACATCTTGGATATTAACCCCTTATCTGATACATGGATTTTTCTAATCTGTAGGTTGCCTTTTCATTTTGTTGATTATTTTCTTTGCTGGGCAGAAGCTTTTTAGTTTGATGTAGTCCCATTTATTTATTTTTGTTTTTGTAGCCTGAGCTTTTGATGTGATATCTAAGAAATCATTGCCGAGGCCAATGTCAAAGAGCTTTACCCTTCTAGGAGTTTTAGAGTTCCAGGTCTTAGGTTTAGGTCTTTTCTTTTATCCTACACAAAAATCAACTCAAAATGGATAAGAATCCAGTGTAGGGTAACAGTCCAGTTTTATTCTTCTGCATGTGGAAATCAGTTTTCCCAGGACCATTTATTGAAGAGACCATCCTTTCCTCATTGTCTTTCTTGGTGCCCTTGTTGAAAATTAGTTCACTAATTATGACTGGATTTATTCCTGTACTCTATTCCACCGGTCAGTATGTCTGGTTTTATGCCAGTACCATAGTGTTTGATTACTATAGCTTTGTAATACAATTTTGAATTGGGAAGTGTGATGCCTCCACCTTTTTTTTCCTCAAAATTAATTTGGCTGTTTGGAGTCTTTTGTGGTTCCATGTGAGTTTTGGGATTCTTTTTGCTATTTCTATGAAGAATATCATTGGGGTTTTGGTATGGATTGCATTGAATCTATATATTGCTCTAGGCAGTACGGACGTTTTAAAAACATCAATTCTTCCAATTCATAAGCATGGAATATATTCACTTATTTGTGTCCTCTTCAATATCTTTCATCAGTGTTTTATAGTTTCAGTATACAGGTCTTTCACTTCCTTGGTTAAATTTATTCCTAAGTATTTTTTTTATGCTTCTGTAATTAGGATTGTTTTCTTGATTTCTTTTTCAGTTTGACCATTATTTGCATATAGAAATGCTACAGATTTTTGTATATTGATTTTGTATTTTGTAACTTTACATAATTCATTTATTAGATCTAACAGGTTTTTTTTTTTTGGTGGACTCTTTGGCATTTTCTACATATAGGATTATGCCATCTTCAAATAGAGATAAGTTTACTTCTTCCTTTTTGATTTGGGTATCTTTTTATTATTTTTTTCTTGTCTAATTGCTCTTGATAGAACTTCCAGTACTATGCTGAAAAGAAGTGGTGAGAGTGGGCTTCCTTGCCCTGTACCAGATTTGAGAGGAAAAAGCTTTGTTTCTCCCCATTGTTTATGATGTTAGCTGTGTCTTTTTGATGACTAGCTTTTATTATCTTGAAGAACTTTCCTTCTATACTTAAACTGTTAAGAGTTTTTTTTATTATGAAATAACGTTGAACTTTGTTGAGTGATTTTTGTGCATCAGTTGATATGATCATGTGGTTTTTGTCTTTCAGTCTGTTAATGTGATGTATAACACTGATTGGTTTGCATAAGTTAAAACAGCCTTGCATGACACTTGATCATGATGTGCAATATTTTTGATGTGTTATTGAACTCAATTTGCTCCTCAAATTTTATTGTGGATTTTCACATCAATGTTTATCAGAGATATTGGCTTGTAGTTTTCTTTTCTTGTGGTGTCTTAGTCTGGCTTAGGTATCAAGGTGATGTTGGTCTTATACAATGTGTTAGGGAGTATTTCTCCCAGTTCTATTTTTTGGAAGTGTTAAGGAAGCGTTGATATTAATTCTTTGAAAGTTTGGTAGAATTCATCTGTAAAGCCATTTGGTCCTGGGCTTTTCTTTGTTGGGAGATTTTAAATTACCACTTCAATCTCTGCTGTAATAGCTCCAATTTCATTTCTTATTTTATGTATTTGAGTCTATTCACCTTTTTACTTAGTCTAGCTAAGGGCTTTTTTTTTTTTTTTCAAAAAACCAACTCCTATTATTATTATTATTATTATTATTATTATTATTATTATTATTATTTTGAGGGGGAGTCTCACTCTGTTGCCCAGGCTGGAGTGCAGTGGTGCGATCTTTTTTTACTGCAACCTCCACCTTCTGGGTTCAAGCAATCCTGCTGACTCAGGCTCCCAAGTAACTGGGACTACAGGCATATGCCACTACACCCAGCTAATTTTTGTACTTGTAGTAGAGACGGGGTTTCACCACGTTGGCCAGACTGATCTCGAACTCCTGACCTCAAGTGATCCACCCTCCTAGGTCTCCCAGAGTGCTGGGATTATGGGCATGAGCCACTGTGCCCAGCCTACTCTTATTATTGAATTTTTCCCTATGGTTTTTCTGTTCTCTATTTGGCTTATTTCTGCTCAGATTATTATTTCCTGCCTTCTGCTAACTTTGGGTTTAATCTGTTCTTTCTCTAGTTCCTTGGGGCATAATATTAGGCTAAATGTTTAGTGTTTAGTTGGAATCTTTCTTCTCTCTCTTTTTTTTTTTTAATGAATTCTCTCACTCTGTCACCCAGGCTGGAGTGTAGTGGCGTGATCTTGGCTCACTGCAACCTCTGCCTCCTGGGTTCAAGTGATTCTCCTGCCTCAGCCTTCTGAGTAGCTGGGATTGCAGATGTGCAGCACCACACCCTGCTAATTTTTGCATTTTTAGTAGGTGCATTTTTCTTGTGGCAGTTCTTGACTTGAAGTCTATTTTATCTGCTGTGATTATAGCTGCACTGCTTTCTTTTGGTTATCATTTGCATGAAATATCTTTTAACCCTTCATTTTCAGTCAGTTTGTCCCTAAGGCTAGTGTGGGTCTCTTGTAGGCAGCATATCCTTAACCTTATTATTAAAAAAAAATCCATTTAGCCACTCTGTCTTTTGATTAAAGAATTTAATCCACTTACTACATTCAAAGTAATTATTGATGGGTAAGGACTTACTACTGCCACTTTTTTGTTTTCTGGTTGTTTTGTAGATCCTTTGTTCCTTTCTCTCTTGTTCATCTTTGATTTGATGAGTTTCTGTAGCACTATTATTATTTCTTTCTCTTTACTTTGTGTATCTGCTATACTTTTTTTTTCTTTGTGGTTACCATAAGGCTTACGTAAAACTATAGACTATTTCATACTGAAAACACCTTAATTTCAGTCACATACAAAAACATTAGACTTTTACCCTCCCTCATTTATATTTCTGATGTTGCAGTTTACATCATTTTATATTATGTATCTCTTAATATAGCTTTTTTTTCTTTGACTATTTTGGTCTTTAACCTTTATACTATCTGTATCTATATATACTTTATAGAACTATATATAACAATATTAGAATATTCTAGAGTTGACTATATATTTACCTTTACCAGTGAATTTTATACTTTCATATGTTTCCATGTTAGTTATTAGTGTCCTTTTATTTCCACTTAAAGAACTCCCTTAGACATCTCTTGTAAGGAAGGTCTAGTGGTAATAAATTCCTTCAACTTTTGTTTGTCTGGGAAAGATTATTTCTCATTTATTTCTGAAGGACAGCTTTGCTGAGTATAGCAGTATAGTTAGCAGTTTCTTTTCAGCACTTCGAATATGTCATTCCATTCTCTCCTGCCCTACAAGGTGTGTGCTGAGAAATGCACTGATGGTCTAATTGGCATTCCCTTATGTGACTTGACATTTTTCTGCTACTGCTTTTAAAATGTTGTCATTGACTTTTGATAGTTTAATTATAATGTGTCTTAGAGTGGACTTCTTTGGGTTGAATCTATTTGGGAAAAGTTGAGCTTTGTGTATCTGAATATCCATGTATCTTCCAAGGCTTATGAAGTTTTCAGCAATTTATTATATAAGCTTTCTTTCTCTATCTTTGTCTCTTCTCCTTCTGGAACTTTCATAATGCAAATATTTGTTCTTTTAATGGCATCCCACAGGTCCTATAAGCTGTCTTCACTCTTTTTCATTCTTTGTTTTCCCTCCTCTGACTAATTTTAAAAGACTCATCTTCAAGTTCAAAGATTCGTTCTTCTCCTTGATCTAGTTTGCTGTTTAAGCTTTCTATTGTATGTTTTATTTTGTTAACTAAATTTTTTAGCTCCAAGGTTTGATTAAATTTTTATGATATCTCTTTTGTTGAATTTCTCATTCAGATAATGAACTGTTTTCCTAATTTCATTGAATTGTCTATCTGTATTCTCTTATATCTGAGTTTTCTTAAGGTCACTATTTTGAATTCCTTTTTAGGCAATTTGTAAACTTCCCTTTCTGGGGAGGGGGGAAGGTCAGTTGCCTGAGAATTATTATGTTCCTTTGGTGGTATCATGTTTCCTGGCTTTTTCTTCTTCCTTTTTTTGGGGGAGGAGGGGAGTGGGGCAGTGTCCCATTGTCACCCAGGCTAGAGTGCAGTGCATGATCATGGCTCACTGCAGCCTTAACCTCTCAGGCTCAAGCAATCCTCCCACCTCAGCTTTCTGAGTGGCTGTGATCTCAGGCATGTGCCACCATGCCTGAGTAATTTTTTTATTTTACATTTTTTTTGTAGAGATAGGGTCTTCCTATGTTACCCAGAGTGGGTAACATAGGAAGTTATGGGGAACATATTCAAACTCCTGGGCTCAAGTAATCCTCCTGCCTCAGCCTCTCAATGTGTTTGTTGGGATTACAGGCATGAGCCACCATGTCTGGCCTTTTCTGGCTTTTTCATGTTTCTTGTGTTCCTGCATTGATGTCTGCACATCTGATGGAATGATTACCTTTTCCAAACTTTACAGAGTGGTTTTTGCAGGGAAAGTCTTAGTATACCAGTTGGGAAGAATATGGTGGTTCTACTCTGCATCTGAGTAGACACAGTAGTATAACCTCCATGCAGCTGCTTCAGCTACGATCAACATCAGCAATGACTGGGTGCCTCAGTAGCCTAGGCTATAGCAATATGTGGCAGCAGCAGTGGCAGTGTAGGTTGTTAGGATCCCAGGTGGCAACAGCTTTTGGGGTCCTCCTGTTTTTCTTTTCCCCACAATGAGAAGACTAGCTGAGAGGACCCCTTTTGATGTTCTGACACAGCCCACGAGCAGCTGCAGCAGCGTGGGGTTCCAGGTCACAGGTGACAAGAGCAAATGTGGAGCTTGGGCCCTGGACTCAGGGTCTTGAGAACGAACTGTGGCACCTGGGTCTTGGGGTACAGGTTCAATCTCTGAAGGAAGGGTTGCATGCAGACTGCCCACAGAGCCAGAGTCTATAATCTGAGGCAACTCCCAGCAGCTTGAACCCAGGCGGCCGGGTTGTAGCTGTGACTCCGA
This sequence comes from Homo sapiens, assembly GCF_000001405.40. NCBI lineage: Eukaryota > Metazoa > Chordata > Mammalia > Primates > Hominidae > Homo > Homo sapiens. The sequence continues at coordinate 99,943,509 of NC_000015.10, forward strand.
CTCTAGGGGTTAGGGAATAGCACTGGCCTAGCTTCATAGAAGAAGGGGAGCTCTGGAGGTGTGAGCCTGGGCATCAGGGGTACAGCTGCAATTCAGGAACCAGAGCCAATAGGGTACAATGGCAACTCAGGCGTAGGGGGGATGAAACACCATGTAGTCATGACTCTGGACCCTGGGATGGTGGGAAATGGGAGGCTCGGTAAGGCAAGGTGAGGCTGCAACAAGGATCTCAGATTAGCAGAGTTCAGCTTTCACTTGGGTCCACAGCGCCAGTTGGGGAGGGGGAGGCAGGGAGAAGTACGACAATGGCACTATTCCTTGTGAGTGAAATGTCTCAGCAGCTCAGACTCTAGGGGTGAGTCCAGTTCCAGAGAAGCAAGGTACTACAGTTATTTGCCCAGTAGGATGGGGTGTCGCAGCTTAGCCACTGCCCTATTTCCCTGGGACACAGGGGACCATGTCAGTTCATCCCTGGGATGTGCCACTGCTTAGCTTGGCCAAGGCATTAATTACACCGGAGGTGATGCACCATTTCAGCTGAGGCCTGGGGAGTGTGGCTGCTCTGGGCAGTCAGGGCACCATTTGCTGGAATGCAGGGTGCCACTTCAGTTCTGGCCTGGAGAGTATGGATGCTCTAGACAGCCAATGTAGCATTTCCCCAGGATGCAGTGTGCCACTTCAGCTCAGGCCTGGAGGGGCAGGGCACAGTAGCAACTGGGAGTGGTAGATGAAGTAGTTCTACAGTAGCATGGCCGCATGGGGTAGGGTGTAGCAGCAGCTCTTCTCAGGGATGGCAGACCACCAGGCAGGGATGGCCCAGTGGTGTCAAGGCCTCAGGGATGGAAAGGTGCTGAGGGTGCTGTGATCACTCACTCCTGGAGCAGGACACACTCCAGCAGTGATTCTGGTTCCAAGATGTCATAGCACAGTAGCCAGGCCACTGGAGTGGGACACAATGTTGACTCCTTCTCTTGGGGGAGCACAGCTGTGTGAACTCCAGGCAACTCCCTAGGCTGGCCTTAGTGCCTGTGAGAACTACAGGTGTCCAAGGTGATAATGGAGGCTGATGAAGTTCTTACCTTTTCTCTGTAGGAAATAGTCCCTCCTAGTTTTTAGTTGATCCCAACTGGGAAATGGGGTGGCAGAGGTGAGCTGTGTTCCTTCCTTTCTCCGTGGGGCAATAGTGGGTTTCTTTGCTCTACAGGGTTTCTGCTACTCCTTTGATGTACTTTGGTGCCCTCCTTTAGTTATTTTCATCAAAAAGTGGTGGTTTGTTTGTTGTTTTGGCTGTCTTTGTGGGTGGATGAGTGCGAGGGTCTTCAGTCAGTCATCTTGCTGATGTTACTCTAAAACTTCGCTTCTGTTCCTAGTGTGTTGTGTTTTTATCATGAAAGAGTGTGGTGTTTTGTCAAGTACTTTTTCTGAATCTGTTGATGATTATGCTTTTCCCCCTCCTTTTTTTGGTTAATATTTAGTTTCTCTCACTTCTATTGGTATCTTATATTATTAAATTAACATTATCTGATTAATATGTGGTATGCAGAATAATGACAACTCAAAGAGGCCCAAGTCCTAATCTTCAGAACCTATAAATATATTATCTTATGTGGTAAAAGTAACCTGTAGATGTTAGGTTAAGGTTCTTGAGGTGGGGAGATTTTCTTGGATTATCTGGGTGGAACTAATGCAATCACAAGAGTACTTATAGAAAAGATATAGGAAAATCAGAATCAGAGAAGATGATGTAATGATAGAAACAGAGTTTTAAAGATGCTATCTAGTTTGTGTCACCAGATTTATGGTAACTTGTTACAGCAGCCATAGGAAACTAAAGCAATTACATTGGTTGATTTTTCATATGTTGAACCAAGGTTGCATTCCCAGGATAAATCCCACTTGGTCATAGTGTTTAATTCTTGTAATATACTGCTATATTCTGTTTGCTACTATTTTGTTGAGGACTTTTGAATCTATACTCATAGGGACATTTTTCTTTTTTTCTTTTTTTTTTTTGAGACAGGGTCTCATTCTGTAATGCAGGCTGGAGTGCAGTGGCATAATCATAGCTCACTGCAGCCTTGAACTCCTGGGCTCAAGGGATCCTCCCACCTCAGCCTCTAGAATAGCTAGGACTACAGACATGTACCACTACACCTGGCTAATTAAAAAAATTTTTTTGTAGCGATGGTGTCTTGCTATGTTGCCCAGGCTTGTCTCAAACTCTTGACCTCAAGCAATCTTCCTGCCTTGGCCTCCCAAAGTGCTGGGATTACAGGCATGAGTCACTGTGCCCAGCCTCATGAGGAATATTGACCCATAGTTTTCTTTTAATGACTTTGTCTGATTTTGGCGTCAAGGTAATATCGGCCTCATATAATGAGTTGAAAAATGTTCCCTTATTTTCTATTTTTGGGTAACTTGGTCAAAGATTAGTTAGCTCATAAATAGTTTGGTAGAACTCACTAGTGAAGCCGTTTGGTCCTAGCCTTTTTCTGTGTGTGTTGAAAGTGTTTTGATTACTGACTCAATCTCTTTACTTGTCATAATCGATTCATATTTTCTATTTTTTCTTGAAGTAGTTTTGGCAATTTTTACCTTTCTAAAAATTTGTCAACTTCATCTAGATTATCTAATTTTTTGGCATTCAGTTCATAATATTCCCTTATATCCTTTTTATTTCTGTAAGTTTGGTAGTAATATCATCTTCATTTCTGGTTTTAATACTTTGAGTCTTCTTTTCTTTTTTGGGCAACATAGCTAATAGTTTGTCATTTGTGTTGATTTTTTTAAAATAATTTTTATGGTCATTGATTTTTTTCTCTCATTTTTCTATTTCCACGCTTATTTTTATTATTCAATTTCTTATGCTTGCTTTCAGTTTAGTCTGTACTTCATGTCCAGTTTCTTAATGTTGAAGGGTAGGTTATTTACTTTTTTTGAAGTGAAAGCTTGTGTAGCTAAAAATATCTCTTTGAGCACCGTTCTAAGTGCATTCAATAAGTTTTGGAATGTGTCTTCATTTTCATTTATCTCAAAGTATGTTCTAATTTTCCTAACACTTTCTCCTTTGATTCATTGGTTATTTAGGAGTATGTTGTTTAATTTCACATATTTGTGCATTTCCCAAATTTCTCTCTATTATAGATTTCTAATTCCATTATAGTTGGAGAACATGCTTTGTATGATTTGAATCCTTTTAATTTACTGAGACTTGTTTTATGGCCTAGCATATGGATAATGTTCCCTATGCACTTGAGAAGAATGTGTATTCTGATATTGTTGGGTGGAGTTCTATAAATATCTGTTAAATATAGTAGATTGATGACATTGTTCAACTGTTGTATTTTATAAGTTTGTAATTGTTAGATTGTCTTGATGGATTGACCCTTTTATCATTATAAAATTATTTCCTTGTCTCTAGTAACAATTTTTGACTGAAAGTCAATTTTGTCTGAAATAATTATAGCCACTCCAACTCTCCTTTGGTTACTGTTTGTGTGGCACATCTTTTGCTATCCTTTTATTAATTCTTTCAACCTATATGCGTCTTTGAATCTAAAGTGAGTCTCTCATAGATAACAGTCGGATCATGTTTTTATTTTAAATCCATTCTGACAATCTATGCCTTTTAATTAGAGAGTTTAATACATTTATATTTAATTTAATTACTGATAGGGTAGAATTTATGTATGCCATTCTGCTGTTTGGTTTTCTATTAAGTCTTATATCTTTTTCTTCTTCAATTCCATCATTACTGCCTTTTCTGTTAAAAAGATATTTTCTATGTACAATCTCAATTCCCTTGTTTTTTCTTTAACAATATATTTTTGAGTTATTTTCTTAGTGGTTGCCCTGGGAGTTTACCATTAACGTCTTGATTTATAGTAATCCAGTATGTAATAATATCAACTTAATTTTAATAGTATACAAAAACTTTGTTACTATATAGCTTTGTTCCCTCCTCCATCTTCATGCTCTTTTTAAAAATAATGTATTATATCAACTAGTCATTATATATATATATATATATATATATATATATATATATATATACATTTTTTTTTTTTTTTTTTTTTTTTTTGTCTTGCTCTGTCGCCCAGGCTGGAGTGCAGTGGCACAATCTCAGCTCACTGTAACCTCTGCCTCCCGGGTTCAAGCAATTCTCATGCCTCAGCCTCCCAAGTAGCTGAGATTACAGGCTCCCACCACCGTGCCTGGCTAATTTTTGTATTTTTAATAGAGCCAGGGTTTCACCATGTTGGCCAGGCTGGTCTCAAACTGACCTCAAGTGACCCGCCTGCCTCAGCTTCCCAAAGTGTTGGTATTACAGGCGTAAGCCACCACACCTGGCCCATTATAGGTAATTCTTAAAACAACCTGAAAGTTAGGTATATTTATTCTCATTTTATAGATGATGAAATTGGCAGATAGTGTAGTTAAGTACCTTCTCTAAGGTATAAATGCTTAAAAAAGGGATGACTGAGATTCAAGCCCAGGTTTTCCTTACTCAGTTTATTTTTACTTTCAACCACAAGTATCTCTTCCTCTATTTCCCATCTCTATCATAATGACTTGGCAAACCTTACCTCTTCAACTTCTGCCAGGCTATGTAAGGTTAGAAGTTTCTTTCTTTTTTTTTTTTAACACCAAAGTTTCTCTCTCATGTAATAGTGAAATGCAGGGTGTCTATAGATGATACAGAGTTTCATGATATTGGGGTATAGATTTTTTCTCATTGCTCTGGTAGTTTCTTTTAAATCTCTTTCCTTTGATATCTACTGTAATAGGAATTTTTTTTTTTTTTTGAGATGGAGTCTTGCTCTGTCACCCAGGCTGGAGTGCAGTGGCACGATCTTGGCTCACTGCAAACTTCGCCTCCTGGGTTCAAGCAATTCTTTGCCTCAGCCTCGCAAGTAGCGCCCACTACCACACCTGGCTAATTTTTGTATTTTTAGTAGAGATGGGGTTTCACCATTTTGGCCAGGCTGGTCTTGAACTCCTGACCTCATGATCTACCCACTTCGGCCTCCCAAAGTGTTGGGATTGCAGGAGCGAGCCACCGTGCCTGGTCAATAGGACTTCTTAAAAATGAATTAATATTTTATGTTGAAAATTATAAATATTTATGGTATATAACATGATTTGAAATATATACACGTTGTAGAATGGCTAAATTTAGCTAATTAACATGCATTACCTCATGTATTTTTTTGTGGTGAAAACACTTAAAATCTATGTTCTTAGTGATTTTTGAATATACAGTACATTGTTAACTATAGTCACCATGCTGTACAACAGATCTCTTGAACTTATTCCTAATGTATATCTGAATTTTGCATGCTTTGACCAACATCTCCCCAACACCCCATACCCCAGCCCCTGGCAAGCACCATTATATTCTCTGCTTCTATGAGTTCAACTGTTTTAGTGTTTTTTTTTTTTTTTTTGAGACAGGGTCATGCTCTGTCACCCAGGCTGGAGTGCAGTGGCACGATCTTGGCTCACTGCAATCTCTGCCTCCCAGGTTTAAGCAATTCTCCTGCCTCAGCCTCCCTAATAGCCGGGAGTACAGGTGCTTACCACCACACCTGGCTAATTTTTGTATTTTTAGTAGAGACAGGGTTTCACCATGTTGGCCAGGCTGGTCTCGAACTCCTGATTTCAAGTGATCTGCCCTCCTTGGCCTCCCAAAGTGCTGGGATTACAGGCGTGAGCCACAGCACCTGGCCTAGATTTCATGTGTGAGATCATGTGGTATTTGTCTTTCTGTGTTTGGCTTATTTCACTTAACATATCTTCCAGGATCATCCATGTTTTTGCAAATGACAGAATTTCCTTCTTTTTAAGGTTAAATAGTATTCCATTTTGTATACACAGCCACATTTACTTTATTCATCTGTTGATGGACACTTGGGTTGTTTCTCTATCATGGTCTTTGTGAATAATGCTGCTGTGCACATGGAAGTGCAGATATCTCTTTGACATATCGATTTCCTTTGTATATATATCCAGTGGTAGGATTGTTGGGTCATATGGTAGTTCTATTTTTAAGAAGCCTTCATACTGTTTTCTGTAATGGTTGTACTGATTTACATTCCCACCAACTATGTACAAGGGTTTCATTTTCTCCACATTACCAACACTTGTTATTTTTCATCTTTTTGATAATAGCTATTCTAACAAGTGTGAGATCTCACTGTGGTTTTAATTTGCATTTCTCTAACGTTTAGTGATGTTGCAAATTTTTTCATATATCTGTTGGCCATTTGTATGTCTCCTTTTGAGAAATGTGTATTCAGGTCCTTTGCTCACTAAAAACAAATAAGGTTATTTGTTTTCTTGCTATTGAGTTGCTTGAGTTCTTCAGATATTTTTGATTTAAACCATTATCAGATGTATGGTTTGCAAATATTTTCTCCTGTAAATTGTCTCTTTATGCGGTTGGTTGTTTTCTTTACTGTGTAGAAACTTTTTAGTTTATATAATCCCATATGTGTATTTTTGCTTTTTTTGCCTGTGCTTTTTGGGTCATATCCAAAAAATAATTGCCCAGACCAATGTCATCAAACTTCCCCCTATGTTCTCCTCTAATAGTTTAACATTTTCAGGTCTTACATTTAAGTTTTTAATGCATTTTATTTTTGTATATGGTGTGAGATAAGGATCTAATTTCAATCTTCCATATGTGGCTATCCAGTCTTCCCAGCACCATTTAATTTACACTGTCCTTCCCCTCATCATGTATTTTTGCCATCATTGTGGAAAAAATCAATTGCAAATGTGTAGATTTATTTTGGGGCTCTCTAGTCTGCTTCCTTGATTTATATGTCTGTTTTGGGGCCAGTGCCATGCTCTTTTGATTACTATACCTTTGTAGTGTATTTTGAAGTCAGGTAGTGTGATGCCTCTGGCTTTGTTCTTTTTGCTCAAGACTGCTTGGGCTATTTGGGTCTTTTATGGTTCCATATGAGTTTTAGAATTGTTTCCTATTTCTGTGAAAAATGTCGTTGGAATTTTGATGGGAGTTGCATTGAATCCATAGGTCACTTTGGGTAGTATGAACATTTTAACAATATTATTTATTCCAATCCAGGAACACAGGATATCTTTTCACTTATTGAAGTCTTCCTCAATTTCTTTCATCAATGTTTTATAGTTTTCAGTGTATAGATCTTTGCCCTCCTTAATTATTTCTATTTTTTGATAGATATTATTAAGTGGGATTGTTTCTTGATATTAAGTGGGATTGTTTCTTGATTTTTTTTCTCATATAGGTCACAGTGTATTTCTTTTATGCTCTTATTATAAATTACATTTCTATACATTATGTGTCCATTGACAGAGGCTTGTTTCATATAGTTTTCTCCTATTTTAAAACAAATAGGAGAAAAGGAGTTACAAAAATTCCAGTTGTACTGTCTTTTATATCTACCTATGTAGTTACCTTTATCAGTGCTGTTTATTTCTTCATGTGGATTCACATTTCATTGCCACCTGTCCCCCCTGTCTTCACATTCATTCCCTCTCACTGTCTGATGTATCTTCCTTCCCTACAGTTTCAGACATCCTTCCATTCCACCTGGCAGGCCTGTAAGAGTTTCACTTCCTGCCCATGCAGCCAGTGACCCCTGCTGCCTTTGGAAATCACTGGTTACAGGTTGCCTTTTCTCCCTGCCCTCATCCAAAGCACAATGTGAAGGCATCTATTTCCCAGTCTGTGGGAATATGATCCACTTGAAGGCAAACTGACTTTTTAAAAAATCATATTTCCCATCCTCTCACTAGGAGGCTGAAGCAGTAACCTCTAAAGTGTCTGTTCTACTCTAGCTAATTGCACGTGGCTAGCAACCATTAAACAAAGCAGTTGCCCCCATAAGCAGATATTGGGCTCCAGTAGGGATGCTGTAAAACACAGGGTGGACTTAGTAATGGGTTTCTGGTAGGAACAGACCACCGGGGCTGGCCATTAACACTACGTTACTCAGGGCTATTGTTCATGGACTAATCAATTGTGAATTAGAGTTCTGAGCCATGTATAACTTATTTGTGGCATGGCGTCACCATTAATCATGTTCTGGAATGCCAAGAAAAGACTGAATTGAGTTATGCATTGAAGGTTTAAGGTTTCTTGAAACCAAGCTCACTTAACAGTATTCATGAGTAGATGACGTACTGTGGTAACCGGTCCTTGGTATTAGTCCAATTTCGCAGTGATCCCAGGGGCTAGATAGCTGAGCAGATGCTGAGGTTTCTGGAAAACAGTGACTAGTGTTCGGCATGAGTCTGGGGAGAAACCATATATGGCATATCTTATATTTTCAAAGCTCCAAGTGAGACCAAATGAGAAGGAGAGGTTTAAGATTTCCACATAAAATTCAAATGTTGTATTGGGCTTGGGGGAGAGAGAGAGGTCAGATTTCCTTGCAGTTTGGAACTTCCTTGGAATTCCATAGTACTAGAAACTGACCTTAACATGAGAGTCAACTTTGGAGGGAGAAGACACAAAGCAAGCTCGGAGTTGCAGAGACTTCTAACCTCTAGGTACTTCTTAATGCTCTTGCTACACTATCACCAACAACAATCACACTGGCTACCATGTCTTTGGACCTACTGAGTGCCAGGTGCTGTCCTAGGTGTCTTGCAGACATTAACATATGTAGTTTAACGTTCAGAGCAATATTCCATGGCAAGTTATATTATCCCTATTTTAAGATGGCAAACCATGTAGCATGTGTACCTGTGGCATTGAACACACACAAATTCCAGGTCGGGGGAGTCCCCATGAAGCATGTTCTTGCCACCTCTTCACTGTCTCTATAAATCTATTCTTGGGGCTGGTTCTTCCCCTGACCCTGGATGAAAGTTTTGGTCCATGAATTTTTTTGGTCTCTCCAAGGTAATAAAAATAGTTTCCCAGTCAACTTTCTCAAGTCAACTTAAGTTGCAAAATATGGTCTCGATTCAGTAATAAAACTATCCAGTTTCGTGGCATAATACAACTCTGAATTTCGTTTAAAGTTGAATCTATTCTTTCTCTTCTGGCTTCAGGAGGAAGATTGCCTGGGGGAAGAGTCCACAGTAAGCCTGTTAGAGCTTTCCCCACCTGGGAATTCTTTGTCTTCCATGGGCTGGGGGCAGGTGGAGGGGAAAGGGGACCAGGAAGGTTCCTTCTTGGCAGATACTGATGTGACTATCAAATATGATTGTTCTCTGGGCCTTGCAAGTGCTCAGAGCTAACTTTGCCTCCTAGAGCACGTTCATAGGTGGCCTGGAGATACACATCCATCACCCTGTTATCTGCTGACATCTCTCTCCTGCAGGCTGATGTAGAAGATGGGCTTTTCTCTACTTGCGGTTAGTACTCCTTCTTCAGCTCCAGGGACGCTGGTGGATCACAGCTGGTATTCTCCTATTGTCTCCTCACCACACAGTCCCCTTGGACAGGACCTAAGCCACCGCACATCAGCTGTCTCTCGTACATGGCCCCCCACTGTCTCTACTCTGACACACTCTGAAAGTGCAGGCTGATTCTGGTGCAGCTACCTCCCTTCCTCTGCCATCAAAGTAGCTAGGTTGCCTGCTATAGACTGAATTGTCCCCCTGCCCCCCATTCATATGTTGAACCTTAACCCCCAGTGTGACTGAATTTGGAAACAGGGCCTATAACAAGGTAATTAGGGTTAAATGAGGCCATAAGGGTGGGGCCCTCATCCGTAGGATTAGTATCCTTATGAGAAGGGACACCGAGAACTCTCCTTCACTCTTTCTCCAAGAGTGCTCAGAGGAAAGGCCATGGGAGGACACAGCAGCTGTCTGAGAGCCAGGAAGAGCACCCTCGCCAGAAACCAAGCCCTGCTGGATCTTGATCTGGGACTTCCAGCCTCCAGTACTATGAGAAATAGAGTTCTTTTGTTTAAGCCACTTCTGTGGCTTTCTGTCCTGGCAGCCCCAGCCAACAAAGGGCCAATCTCTTTCCATCTGGATTTCTCAGCTGTGAGCCAGGTACCCATCCACTATGCTGCCTAAACATCTGGGTACGTGTATGGTATGAAGTCCCTTTTGAGGTCTCCATGTAGCCCCTCTTCTTTTCTAGGCCCAAGATGGGTGGGAGGTACCATCTCCTCATTGGCAGGGCTGGAACGAGGCACACCAGTGGCTATCTCCAAAGAAATATTTTAATCACCAAAGCCCAGCTTTTTTACATCCATACCCATGGGTAAGGGGTTTTGGTTTGATGGTTTGGGGTCAGGTATTGTCTTGGGCACATGGTATCTCTGCATATTGATGTCAGTCCAAACTTCCATTTTCACATTGTTTAGTAACCAGTTGGTGAGAAGCTAGGCCCGTGTCTTGAATCCAGGTCTCTCTGACTAGGATTTGTAGTCTTTCCAAAACTATATTGCCCTGACTCTCTGAAATACAACGATTTCAGACTGTAAACTCACGAGGGCAGGGCTGTGTCTGTCATGTCTACCACTGTATCTCTTGACTTCTAACGTGTTTAACACAGAGCCCATGCTATTATGGATGTGGAAGTTGCCACGTGCATGGTGGCCAGTGCAGTGCCTGGCACGTATGAGAACTCACTCAATATTTGTTAAAACTGTGGAATGGAGCGGAGAGGCCAGCTTTCTGGTGCCGGAATGAGAATTGGGAATCATATAAGCATGCTGGAGCCTTCTGGAGGTCAAGGAGGTCTGCTGGGTGAGGAAGCTTTCTGGTTACTTCCCAAGGGGCTAGGCCAGGCTCTTCCATTTGGGTCCAGTTTCTACCTCCTTCCTGCTTTCTTTCAGGCATACATGAGTCATCTCCTTCTCCCCTCAGGGGCTTGAATCTTGCCTGGCCCCCAGAGGTGACAATCACTGCAGGACAGAGCCACACCGTAGTAAGCAAGTTACACTCCGCTGTGGGGAGCCGGCATCCCAGCCTGGAGGAGGAGACCCTGTCCTGGGCCTAACCCGCAGATAGGAGCTGAGTCATGATTTGGTAGGTCAGCCTTGGCCCCTGGCTGAAGCAAGGGGGAAAAGCATCAGAGAAGAACATGGTTAGGACAAGGGGCTGAGGGTCATTGCTGCTTTCAGTTTCACCCCTCATGTGCTGTGTGACCTTGACAAAAATCTTCACTCTCTAAACAAGCCAGAGCTGGGAAATCTGCCCGCTAATGCTTTGCATATGTATGTTGCAAGGAATAATGAGACAGGCTCCACGAAGCATGTTCTGTCCTTGGGGGACAAACAGTACAAGCTATTTATTTCAAGAGCATGGCTTAACCAGCTCATCCAGCTTAGCCCAGAAACACCCCTGGCTATCCTGGCATGATCTCTGTAGAAGCAAGAAGGTCTAATTAGGTGTCCTTTTCTGCCTGGAGCCCAGTTGGCCCACTCTGAGCAGAAGGCAAAATGCTGTTGGTCTGGCATTCAAGGTCCCACGTCTCTGTCCATGGCTGTGTCTTAAACTCATTCATTCATCAGGAAATCTTTATTGAATCCTTCATCTGCACGAGGCCCTGTGGTGGGCCCTGGAGGCGGGGGGCAAAACTGGAAACATGCTGGTCTTTGGACCTCCGGTTTCAATTGCTATCAACCCCACAATGCTGCACCTCATGTGCCACCGATTTCCCACTCTCCTCTGTCCCCTTGCACAGCCTGTCCCTTCTGTCCAGAAAGCCCTTCCTCTCCTCTGCCTGCCAGATCCTCACTTCTCCTTCAGGTGTCCTCTCCTCTGTGAGTCTCCATGGACTGCATGAAGCAGAGTGAATCACTCTTTGCTATGTGGCTCTGAGAGATGTGACAGCCTCTCTGGCTTTGGTCTTCCTGGTGTGGAATGTGGCTGCACCCACTCTGTAGAGTGGCCGACAGTCCTGGATTACTTTCAGGGGGCTTCATGACTCAAAGCCAAGCAGGATCTCATTTTGAGATGGGTTCACCCATCAATCTGCCTCAGGACCCAGACCCTGCAGCCAGCATTCCATCCAGCCTCTGGGAGGCAGTTTTGGTTCAGACAAGGCCATGTGTTACATAGCCTTACAGAGAGAGGGCTGGAGGGCAGGGTGCATGGATAGAAGGTACAGAAGACTCCAGGATGCTTGCATTAGAATAAAATGAGAAGAAGGCATACTTTGGTGTTTGATTTATTGGTGTGCTCTCCTTTAGAAGAGAGCCTGGAAGAGTCTGCCTTATTTTCCAACCTGAGGAGGAAGTGCAGTCCACGGGCAGGCCGAGGGTGGGTAGGTGGGGCGTGGCAGGGCAGGAGGTAGCTGCTGACCACCTGCCTTGACGTAACGCATGACCCATCTGTTCCCCTCCCTTAGAACCCACCCGTCCTGGCAAATAGGCCCCATGTTCCTGTCTCTAATCCTCCCAAGAGTCCTGACCACTTTCTTCTTTACCCTCTGTTTTAAAATATACATTAAGAGAGAATGTGAGGAACAGCAGGACCAACAGATCAGGAGGCAGCTGCCCTTGAAAAGATGGTTTGTTACTCACAGTTCCCAAGACAAGGGAGTGTGCCATGGGGGGTCGTGCCAGGAAGCACAGGACTGGGCGGGAGGCAGAGGCAGCAGGAATAAAACATGGACAAGAGCCTCTACTGTGGTTCCATGGGAAGGACTGGGCAAGGCAGGGTAGACAGGCCAGGGATTGGCCTGTTTGATTAATTTCTGCAGGCTTTGGGGTGTTGGGCCTGTCTCTAGTTGCCTGGTACTCGCCCTGGGGCAACGCGGGGAGGTGGGGGTGGCTGGAAGGATGGGGGTGTGGCCAGGGGTGTGGCCTCTGGATTGGTTGGCTCACATTTGAGGAGCACGCTGTGGGGGTGAGTTCTTTATTCTCTCTAGGAAATAGTCCTGGGAGGGGCCATCCCTTCAGGGTTGGCAAGGCCCCAGATGTCAAAGCATCAGGAAACAGAAAATAAAAGACATGGTTATATCTCCTCACACCCAGGAGCACAGCTCTCTGGCCTCCACGTGGCTCTGCACCTCAGCCCTGGATTCTCATCCCTGGTGGGGCTGGGGGTCCTTTGTGGATGGGCACGGGCCTCATGCCACTTGAGAGGGGGAACCTGGACCCAGCCTATGTCCTGCCTAGCACCCACCAGGGTGTGGCATGAAAGAGACTGTGGAGAATGGAAGGGGAAGCTCTGGTGCCCACCAGGAAGGCATGTGGGGAGGGGTGGTGTGGGCTGTGGTATGGGGGATGCACGGAAGAACAAGGGCTCCGGGAAGGACTGGAACAACACGCAAGGCCACAGGAAAGAGGCTTTGTCCTTGCCTGGAATTCCTATGCCTTTCTAAAGGATCAACTTATACAGAGGGGTAGAGCAGACTGGATGCGATTCTCAGAGTAGTCAGAAGTGTGGCACCCAGAGTTACCTGCAGGCTTTTGCTGAAAGCGATCATGTGGCACAGCTGGGAATGACCCCACAGCCAGGGACTGGGCAGAGGGGGTATCCAAACAGTGTGGCCGGTGAGCCCTGGTTTGTAGACCCCTGGCTTGGAACAATGGGGATCCCAGGCATGGGCAGGGGGCAACAGGGGGAGCACATTGCCTGAAGGGTGAGCTGGGAGAGCTTTGAGTAGGAAGCAGTAAAGGGAGCCCCTGTTAGCGGTCTGAAAAGAGTGACTTTGGTATTGGTGAGGTGGTAGGGAGCAAGGCGAGCCAGGCGGCTCCTGCAACAGGCCTGAGCCGGAGCAGTGCCCACAGGGATGGACATGTGGGAATTTAAGACAAAGGACATGGGCTGGGTACGGTGGCTCACGCCTGTAATCCCATCACTTAGGGAGGCCAAGGCAGGAGGATCCCTTGAGGCCAGAAGTTCGAGACCAGCATAGTGAGATCCCATCTCTACAAAAAAGGAAAAAAAACCAAAGTGACAGGACTTGGGGAGGTTCTGTCTATGGGCTGGCTCTCAGGTTTCTCACTTTTGTAAAAACGGAGCAAGGTGGAGCCACTCATTGAGACACACAGTCCCCGGGCGGGAGCCGGGATTCTGAGAAATGTCCGCTGTCAATTGTGGGAGACTCTGGAGAAGGAGGAAGTGGCGCTCCCCACAGTCTGTTCCATGGAATGCTAATAGCTGAACTAAACAGCCACGGCTACGACCGCTCTCAGCACTTTAAGATACTATTCCATTCCCTCTGGCACCTGCTGTCAGACTGTTATTCCTTCCAGGGTGCCTGTCTTTTCTCTGGTTGCTTTTAAGATTTCTTCTTCCTCCTTGATCTCTGTAGTTTCAATATGATGTATGAGGTGTGGATTCACTTCTGTGCATTGTCACTCTTGTCTTCAATTCTTGCACATCCCCAGCCATGATCTCAATACATTTCCTCTTCCATTTCTTTGATTCTCATCTCTGGAGTGGCGTTTAGACAGAAGTCAACACCTCTCAAACTCTTTGCCTAACTACTTTTTTTTGTGTGTGTGTGAGATGGAGTCTTGCTCTGTCACCCAGGCTGGAGTGCAATGGTGTGATCTTGGCTCACTGTAACCTCTGCCTCCTGGGTTCAAGCGATTCTCCTGCCTCAGCCTCCCGAGTAGCGGAGATTACAGGCACATGCCACCACGCCTGGCTAATTTTGGTATTTTTAGTAGAGATGGGGTTTCACCATATTGGCCAGGCTGGTCTTGAACTCCTGACCTCAGGTGATCCACCCATCTCATCCTCCCAAAGTGCTGGGATTACAGGCTTGAGCCAACGCGCCCTGCCTACACTTTAATTTTTAAAAAAGTTCCTTTGCCTCTCTACACTGCCTTCTGGGTACAACTCTTCCCTCTTCCAAGTAACTTTCCCATTCACGAGCCCTGTGTTGGATTCCTTTGTCTCTCGCATTTACCCAGGGCTTCGAGGTTTTCACTGTAACCACTTTGCTTGTCAATTAGAATTTTTTTTTCTTGTTGGTTCTTTTCTCTATCTACTTGATTTTGTTTCATGATTTCCTGCTCTTTGATCTTTTTGAACATCCTAAAACAGCTGTGTAAGTCTAGCTCACATAAGCCACCAGCCTTGTATAGATAGACATGGCCGTTCATCCTGACCAGCCAGCTTGGTCTGGACAGAGAGAGCCACGCAGGACTCCTCAGTGGTCTGACCCATCAACACACTCAGAAAGCACAGGTCATGCCATCAGGAAGTGATATTTGGGATGAGTGCAATGTCAGAGGCAAGAAGTGCATTTGAGGGTGCTTATGCGGGAGGAATTCAAACTCTGAGAACTTGGCTTTGCTGAGTTAGATCAGAAAGACAGCGGATCTGATTTCTCTTTGGGCAGAGGTTTGTTTATTCTGTATTCAGAGCCAACAGCCGTGTTAGTTTTGAACTCACTTAAATATTTTCCACATTTGGGCAGAGTCACTCATTTCCAAGAGAAGGGCACAGTAACATATTGTTATGACTCTCTGAGGACAGGGGACTGTGTGCATTCATCCTTCACCCCTACCCTGTATCTGCCACACTGCTCAATAGAAGTTTATTGACTTACATTGTAAAACGGTTGTTGAATATATGAGTCATGATATAAATTTTTATATACCATAACTTAACATTTTCAGATGGGTGTTGCAGCCGCTTTGGGAGCCTCTGTCTTAATTGAGTAATGGGGCCATTGCTCCAGAGGTTGCAGGAACCTCATTGAAATTGCTCTATGGCCATTAGATATGAACCACAGTAGATTGTCCCACGTCAACTCTGTGGCCACACTTCACATGTATGCACTGTGTGTATGTATATATGTGAGTGTAGGTATCTATAGAATAAACATACAATATTCTAATGTGACATAGATATATTACATTATTATTTTGTTAGAGAAAATATTGGCAAAACCCACTAACATCTCAAACTAACACCACTGCGACATTTGCAACACTCTTCCTTTCCTGTATCCCAATTTAATAAAATGGCATTTGGCTCCCACTGAGGTTTCAAAATATTTCAGTATTTGATAGGTCAACAGTTACAATCGTATGTTGACTTTGCAATATACTATTTTGATGATGTGTTAATACAGAGCAATCCTTGGATGGGATTTCCAGAATTGCTGTTTTATAACTATCAGCTGGCATGTTAAAACTAACCTCAGTGGCGAGAAAGCCAATTGCTGGGGATACATTGTGAGCCAAAGAATTGTTGAACGTGTGACTGGCACATACAGAAATAAGTTGGAAGTGAGCACGCAGAGACCTCTAAAACTTCTAAAGAACAGTCTGCAACGATACTGGGTGGGTAGTTTGCAAGTGAATTTTTAAAGGGTACTTGGTATTCTAAAGGCTCAGTAGAAACACAGCCCTTAGGGCAGCCCCCGAGTCCCCAGGGATCTACGAGCTGACCCTCTGTGGAAGCTTCTGCATCTATGATGGGGCCAAGTCAGAAGTGGATAACCCTCTTAAATTGGAGAAGGTGGGAAATAATGCAGGAAATGGAAAGGGAGGGAAGAGCGAAGGAGAGATGGATGTAGGGAGGGAGGAGAGAACAAATACACGAGAAAGAGGCAGAAAAGTGAGAGGGTAGGATCAGGTGCGTGGAAAGAGAAAACTTTGGAGACAGAGACAGGGTGGGTAGGAAAGAGCTTGTTGGAGACTTCAGGGACCCTGTTATTTTCCCTGAGCCTCATCACAGCAGTGCTGGGCTGTAGGTAAATATGGATAACGGTGGGGTCTGTGGCAGCCCCTGTTAAGGGCTGACATTTATCCTGATGGCTCTGCCAGGAAGGAGTTTTGTTTTGGCTCTACTGGGCTCTATTTAACAACGAACTCTGTTTTTTTTGTTTTTGTGTTTTTGAGACAGAGTCTTGTTCTGTCACCCAAGCTGGAGTGCAGTGGCACCATCTCTGCTCACTGCAAACTCCACCTCCCAGATTAAAGCGATTCTCCTGAGTAGCTGGGATTACAGGCACATACCACCACGCCTGGCTAATTTTTGTATTTTTAGAAGAGACAGGGTTTTGCCGTGTTGGCCTCAAGTGATCTGCCCGCCTCAGCCTCCCAAAGTGCTGGGATTACAGGTGTGAGCCACCACACCAGGCTTCCAACAAACTCTGATTCACTGGGTCCTTTACCTTCTTTTTGCCACAATGGGATGGATTCCCCCAGACATAAGTGTCTAGTCTTTTCCAGAGGAAATCCCAGTGTTCTCCTGAGCAATTCTAGGAGGAAAATATTCCTATTTCTTGGTCTCTTTTTATTTTCTAGACAGGGTCTCTATCATCCAAGCTGCAGGGCAGTGGCGTGATCATGGCTTACTGCAGCCTCAACCTCCTGGGCTCAAGCAATTGATCCTCCCACCTCAGCCTCCCAAGAAGCTGGGACTACAGGAGTATACCACTACACCTGGCTAATTGTTTATTTTTTTGTAGAGGCGAGGTCTTGTTATGTTGCCCAGGCTGGTCTTGAACTCCTGGCTTCAAGCGATCCTTCTTCCTCCATCCTTCTCCTGAAGTGCTAGGATTACAGGTGTGAGCCACCGTGTCTGGCCTTCTTGGTCATTTTTTATGTGGTCCCCTGAAATGCTGTGGCTGCTCAGGCTCTGAAAGGGGATGTCTTTCTGAGGAGGGCTTCCAAGCCACGGGGATGACAAGTTCACAGTGCACGAGGCATGACAGTGGTCCCTGGTTAAGGAAATCCCAGAGTGGGCGAGCCCCCATGTCATGCTGGGTCCCAGCCGGCGCGTGGGCTTGTCCCGAAGATACCATGAACCGCGCGGTTAGAACTTTTATTCTAGAGACACCAGATGGTGGCGCCACATCAGGCTTTTCAAAGATCCTCTCCAGACCATGAATGTTCTCTGCCTTCTGAGTCATCACTTTCCTATTCCACAGATCAAATGAAAAGACGAGAAAACAGCTTCTATCACCATGACAGCCACCTGGACACACCTATCTCTGTTGGCAAGGGGGAGCATTTGGAAAATGGTAAGCATCTTTTCCTTATTGATGTACATCTGGTTGTCCAAATGTCTGTATCACTTGAGGTATAAGCCAAAAAAATTACTAGAGTATGTTTGGCCAGGTGCGGTGGCTCACACCTGCAATCCCAGCACTTTGGAAAGCTGAGGCAGGTGGATCACTTGAGGTCAGGAGTTTCGAGACCAGCCTGGCCAACATGGTGAAACCCTGTCTCTACTTAAAATACAAAAATTAGCCAGGGATGGTGGCATGCACCTATAGTCCCAGCTACTTGGGAGGCTGAGGCAGGAGAATCGCTTGAACCTGGGAGGTGGAGGTTGCAGTGAGTCAATATGGTGCCACTGCCCTCCAGCCTGGGTGACAGAGCAAGACTCCGTTTCAAAAAAAAAAAAAAAAAAAAGTTAGAGTATGTTTTTATTACCCAGTATAAACATGTCCTGGTACAGTCTTTAGCTTATCTGAACATAATGTAAGCAATAGAATGGGAACTAACAAAGGTTAAGTGTATTCACTTAGGGGGTGCACATGCTGGGCACCAGGGCTCCAGCTATACAAAAGTGCCACATGAGTTCTGTGTGTGGGGAGCTTGCTTTCTAGATGGGAAAGTGACACTACACAAGCAAAAACGTTAATAATTCTGGGTTGTGACAAGGACCGAGCGGTGCTTCAGGACAGCAACCGTGACTGGGAGGCCATGTTAGCTGGATGCTTGGAACAGCTGTGTGAGGGGTCATGTGGGAGCTGAAACATGGCGGATGCAGAGATTTCAGCAGGGGAAAGACCCGCGGGATGTGAGATGGCAGCGTTACCTACGTGGGGAGCAGCACCTGCTGAGGCCCGGTGGGGAAGAGGGCAGAAGGCTCGCAGACAGAAGGGAGACTGGCTGGGCGTCCTGTGCGGGAAGGACAGGGTAGGAGAGGAGGGAACGGGGGTCTGAGAGGACCACAGGGGTGAGAAGCTATCAGAGGATGTTAAGCAGGGAATGCCACTTAAGTTTTTATTATGATTTACGTTTTTCCGATATTACCCTGGCTAGGGTGTGGAGAGTGTGTCGGAGGGAGACGGTCAGGAAGTGTGATAGTCTGAATGTTTGTGTCTTCCCAAAATTCAGATGTCGAACTTAATTCTCAGTGCAGTGGTGTTGGGAGGTAGGGCCTCTGGGAGGTGATCAGGCCACGAGGGTGGAGCTCTCATGAATGGGACTAGAGTCGTTACTAAGAGAACCCAGAGAGCATGTTCGCCCCTTCTACCACCATGTGGGGACTCAGTGAGAAGGCAGAATCTCTCAAGTAGGGGGGAGCCCTCACCAGACACTGATTCTTCTGGTACCTTGACCTTCCAGTCTCTGGAACTGGGAGCAGTATGTCTCTATTTATAAATTACCCAGGCTAAGGTGTTTGTTATAGCAGCCCTAATGGACTATGACAGGAAGCTACTGTGGGGTCCTGGTGAAATGTCTGCGACTTGGCGCACAGCCACCGCGTGGCAGTGAAGATAGGGAGAAGTGGGCAGATTAGAGATATCCTTTGGAGGTAGAACCAATGGTATCTGTGGCTGAATTGGGTTGAGGACAGGAAGGGAAACTGAGGAAAGAAAGGTGACTTTGATGTTTTGATATCAGACATTAGTTGGTTAGTGGTGCCATTTACTGATTTGGGGAAGCCGCAGTTAATTGGGCATTTAATTTGTAACAATCTAAGTTTAAGGCATGTGGTGTATGGTGTGGTATGCCACACAGATCCCCCTTCAGGACTGAGGGCTGTCCCCAGCTGCCAGGAGTGGTGGCTGCTCACAACTGAGTCTGTCCCCAGTACCCTCTCAGCAGAAGACAGTGAACCCTCAAGATGGCATTCGTCCTGTGATACACGAAGGCCTGCCACCTTGCCTCTGTTTGAGACAACCGTTCCACTCTACAGCTCCCCATGGTACCTGCCTGTGCCAAATCCTTTCTTCCTCATCACAGGATTCCCGAGGGTACCTCCCAATCAACCTCCCCACAAGCCTCCATCTCAGACTGGCTCTTGAGAACCCAAACTAAGGCAGCTGGTGCCAGGAGTGGTCCTATAGGAAGCAGACCCTAAAATAGGATTTTGGAGCTGCCATCACCTGCCAGCTGGATACAAGGGCTCCCCCGCACCCCCCCCCCCCCTCACCAACCTCCCAGGAGGGAAGCCTCTGGCATCTGTATGGGCAATGATTAAGCCTTCACTGATGGCGCAATAGCTCAGTCATTTGAAAGATACAGGGAAACAGAAATTCCAAGGCAAAGAAATGAAGTGGCTGTTGCCAGTGTTAGTGATGCATTGGAGAAAGACAATAAAAATGCTACAGATGATTAATCACTAATTTAAGGGGAAGTGTGAAACGAGGCCCTTATGTCTTAAGAGGGCAGAAAGCGTTGAGGATCAGGCCAGGCTTCAATGGTAATGACTACAGAAGCTTCAGAGAAGGCTGAATCCTCAACCCCAGGAAGTTGGCTACATGCAGGTCAGAATCCTGATTACGAAGGAGTGGGATTCTGGGATTGGAAGGGGGGATAACTCAGTAAATGTCCTAAAAACTGTGAAACCCCACATTCTCTAGACGCTTTCCAGCCTGCGGAAGTGGCCCTCTCTTCCCTATTAAAGCTATCTATCACTGCTCCCTTGCTTAAAGATGATACCGAGTCCTGTGCCTTGTAAGATAATACAAATGCTGTGTTAGAATCAGGATCTCCCCCACCTCCCCTCCTGGCCACCAGACAGATTCCTAAGTCACAATGTAACTCAGGTGGAGGGGGAAAGGAACTAGATCCCGAAGGAGCTGCAGGCCCTAGCAAGAACGGACATGCAGATGCCAGGAGAGTGTACCAGACCGGATCTGAAGTGCTGGATAAGGAACAGTGGACATGAAGGTAGAAGGGGGAATTCTACCTCTTGCAGCGGGAGTTCTCTGCATGGATTTAACTCCCTCCCAAGGACCCTGGGAGACAGATGGCTCACAGAACCTTGGGGACAGTGATGGTCTCGCAAAGTGCAGTAGAAGTGTTATGGTAGGGGCCGGGCATGGTGGCTCACACCTGTAATCCCAGCACTTTGGGAGGCTGAGGTAGGTGGATCACCTGAGGTCAGGAGGTCAAGACCAGCCTGGCCAACATGGCGAAACCCCATCTCTACTAAAAATACAAAAATTAACTAGGCGTGGTGGTGGGCGCCTGTAATCCCAGGTTCTCAGGAGGCTGAGGCAGGAGAATCGCTTGAACCCAGGAAATAGAGGTTACAGTGAGCTGAGATTGCACCACTGCACTCCAGCCTGGGTGACAGAGTGAGACTCAGTCTCAAAAAAAAAAAGAAGTGTTTTGGTAGGTAGAGATAGAGGGTTCAGAAGAGTCAGAGGCTGGGCCTGCTAGAGAGGATATTCTTTCTAAGGCTGGAACACCTTCCCAGCCCCCATCCGATGTTCCATAGGAGGGTCTGAGGGAAACTCCTCCATTTCCCAAAGCAGTGAGGAGGTCCTGCTGAAAGGGCAGCAGCATTGTGGAGAAGTTCCAGCAGAACGGTTCCCTGTAGGTCATGGCTGACAGCAGGGGATGCTGTGCAGAACTGGGCTCCCTGATAGCCATGAGGCTAATAGGATCACAAAATAAAGCCACATGGTAAGCCCTTCACAGTCAGAAAAAGGGTGGGCGTAAGATCATGAGGGGCAGCAAGGTCAGAGAAGCAGCAGGGGGCCTGACCTACAGACAGGGGTTGGAAATAGTTAATAGAGCCCTACTAGGGCCAGACAGAGGAGCAGCCAACTTCCCACCTATAACTCAATTCATTGTACATTTATAGTATTACTCAGTTTACACATTGACTAAAAAAGGGCGATCACAAGAGCAACCATCCTGTCAAACATGGCGTCTTGCTCAGTTTCCAGTCTGAGCCGGTTTTCATGCCCAGAATCCATTGACTGAAGGAGAGGTTGGGTCCCAGGGAGAAGGGTATCAATTAATTGCCCCCAATCTTTCCCCAAAGGAACCTACAGCCATTGACTTGTTGGAGAGAAAGATACGCAGGCATTTAGAGGACTTGCACACAGGATCCAAGTTGACACTGGTACCCCGGCTACTGAGTGTCATTGTGGTCCCCGTTTCAGAGTGACGAGGAATGGAGTTCACATAATAAATGGGGCCTGGTCCAGGTTTGGTTCACAGTGGGTCTGGTGGGTCCGTGAAGCCTCGCAGTGATGGTTTCCCCCTCCCTAAATGTGTACTGGTAATGGCTGGACTTGGTCCTTGGCCTGTAGGGTAAAAAACTACTGTAATGGGGAGGGCCAAGTGGAAGTCTGTGAAACTACCTCCCTCTCCCCGGGTGTATATAGCACCCTTGACATAACTAACTCCATCTTAGAAAAGGACTGCATTATATATTTCTTTTTTCTTTTCTTGAGATGGAGTCTCACTCTGTCCCAGGCTGGAGTGCAGTGGCGTGATCTCGGCTCACTGCAACCTCCACCTCCCAGGTTCAAGCTATTCTCCTGCCTCAGCTTCCTAAGTAGCTGGGATTACAGGCACGTGCCGCCATGCCCGGGTAATTTTTTTGTATCTTTAGTAGAGATGGGGTTTCACTATGTTGACCAGGTTGGTCTCGAACTCCTGACCTCGTGATCCACCCGCCTCGGCCTCCCTCAATTGTATATTTCATAGGGCACTTTGCCAACAAGGATGAGATGTTTTGCTTAGGAAACAAATAAAAAAATTAAGACAGCATCCAACCAGATAAGGTCACAAATAAGCATACTCTTCTATTTAGTACTATCAGTTCTCACCAGAGGACTCTGTGACCATAAAAGAACAGCCAGCCCTTCAGCAGCTTCAACTGGCCATCTTAATTGACATGGTCTTGCAGTCACTTATGATAAGAACTTCACATCTGCCTCCAAAGGCTCTGCTATATCAAAGGCTCTTCCTTGCAAGACCGATGGACTGGCCAACCCAGTCCAGGACTCATTTTGTCTTACTTCCCCTGGCCTGGTTGATTAATTCTTTCAATCTTTTTCTCTTGATGTTAAATGTTACTTTGTTTACTGTGGAATGTTTAATCTGTAACATTTATATAGTGACTATGTATATTATTATTGAGACTGAGTCTAGCTTTGGCACCCAGGCTGGAGTGCAGTGGCGTGATCTCGGCTCACTGCAACCTTCACCTCCCAGGTTCAAGCGATTCTCCTGCCTCGACCTCCTGAGTAGCTGGGACTACAGGCACCTGCCACCATGCCTGGCTAAGTTTTGTATTTTTAGCAGAGACAGGGTTTCACCATGTTGGCCAGGCTGGTCTTGAATTCCTAACCTCAGGTGATCCACCTGCCTTGGCCTCCCAAAGTGCTGGGATTATAGGCGTGAGTGACTATGTATACTATTATGCGTGGTTTGCAATATTGACTGACCCGTGGAGGGGCTTGAGCCTGGTGCCCATGGCTCTGACTACCAAGTGAATGGGTAGTACTAAGGAGAACTGCATACTTGGGAACCCCATCGAACTTTGGGCTTCTGTGATTGAAATGGCATCAATAAAAGTCTGACATTGTAGAAAGATACAAATGTTTGTGGACCTGGTTATCTCTAATCTTGCACCACTCATGACACCAGGCAAGACAGTAAATCAATAGCAATGTTGCAACCCAGTGAGAATAGCATTATGAATGTCATTCTTAAAGACCTAAAGGATGCTGCTGTGGTTGTCCCCATCATATTCCCATGCAATTCCTCAGTCTGGCATCTACGAAATTCACAGTGGATCCTCTCTGACCACAGTGGACTACTGCAATTGTATCCAAGAATGAGCCCCACACAAACTGCTGTGCCAGGTGTGATGTCTTTGCTAGAGCAAATTAACGTGATTCAGATGCAAGGATGATGGCCAGTGGCTGGGGAAGGCATTCATTTCCATCCATATCAGAAAGGAGGAGTGGGGCCAAAGAAGTGTGACAGACACAAGTTTCCACTTGTCCTCCCCGAGGCTGATGTTAATTCTCTGTTATGATACTGCCTGAGAGGGCCTGGATTGTAAAGACTCTCCCAAGAACTTGGACTGATCCACTGTATCTGTGACATCATGTTAATCAGACCAGATGCACAGGAGTGGTAAGTAGACTAGAGGCTGTGGGAGGACACATGGACTCTAGGCTGGGGGAGAAAAGCCCTATGAAAATTTGAGGGCACCCCCCTCTTTTTTTTTTTTTGAGACGGAGTCGCGTTCTCTCCCCCAGGCTGGAGTGCAGTGGCACCATCTCGGCTCACTGCAACCTCCGCATCCCGGATTCAAGCAGTTCTTCTGCCTCAGCCTCCCAAGTAGCTGGGACTACAGGCGCATGCCACTACACCCAGCTAATTTTTGTATTTTTAGTAGAGATGGGGTTTCACCATGTTGGCCAGGATGGTCTTGATCTCTTGATCTCCTGACCTCATTATCCGCCCGCCTTGGCCTCCCAATGTGCTGGGATTACAGGCATGAGCCACCGTGCCCAGCCCAAGGGCTCATTTTATCAGTGAAGTTCATAGGAGTCCAAGTAGCTGGGGGCGTGTCAGAACATGCTCTCCAAAAGGAAGGACACTTTATTGAATCATGCCTCCCCTATCATTAAGAATGAATCACAATATGCCAAAAGCCTCTTTGGCTTCTGGAGGCAGTCCAAGGAGAATCGTTCCCTGGCAGTAGGACTGAGCCTAATGGAATTGGCACCATGTGCCAGACTGGACGTCAGCTGCTGGATGGTGCCTGTCACGTGCCTTCTCTGTCCCTCCTTTTAAAATAGGGAGTGTCTGCAGTGGTTGTCTTATGCCGTTGCCACCATCTTCTCTTGAGCCTCTGGGTGGAGGGGAGAGGATGTGTCTCTTTAGTTCACGGAATTTTAGAACCAGTGCTCAAGGGCCCGTGCCTGGGGAACCATGCTGGAGGAGCCACATCGGCACCTGATTCAGGGGATGCAGTCCCGAGCCTGATGCTGAAAGGAGATGAGACTTTAGGGCTGGGGTGGGGGAGGGGTGAGTGTATTTTGCATGTGTGAATATGAAGGTTAATTTTATATGTCAACTTGCCTGGGTAAAGGGATGCCCAGTTGGCTGGTAAAACATGATTTCTGGAAGTGTCTGTGAGGCTATTTCTGGAAGACATGAGTGTCTGAATCCATAGACTGAGTAAAGAAGATCCACCTCCACCAAGGTGGGTGGGCACTGTCCAATCTGCTGAGGGCCCGAATAGAACAGGAAGGCTGACGAAGGGTAAATCTGCACTCTGCTGGAGCTGGACCATCCATCTTCTCCGGCCCCAGAACTCCAGGTTCTCCGGCCTTTGGACTGAGACTGAATTGCAGTGGCAGCTTTCCTGAGTCTCCCGCTGGCAGAGAGCAGGTGGCAGGACTTCTTGGCCTCCAATCATCATGTGAGCCAATTCCCTTAATAAATCTCATCTATTCTCTTGGTTCCATTTCCCTGGAGAACCCTGACTAATACAGGGGATGTGTGTGAATCTCCTAAAAATGGCCCTAACAGTATTTCCCAGTCCAGTTGTTCTTCCAGAACCCTGACACCACCCCCAGCAAGAGGTGGACTCTTTGTCCCCTCCCCTTAAACTCAGGTGAGCCTTTGTGCCTGCCTTGCTCTTAGGGTATGGTGGGAGTGATGCTGTGGAACTTCTGAGTTGTCACAAGAGGTTGTGCAGCTCACTCTTGGGATGTTTGCCACCAAAATCCCACCATCCCTTGGAGAGGCCCCTTGCAGGTGTCCCGGCTGATGGTCCTAGCGGAAGTTCTGACTGACAGCTGTCATCACCGGCCACAGGTGCAAGACTATAGCCCTTCTGACCCTTCCAGTCTCTACTTGACCTTTGAGCCACCCCAGCAGAGGTGAGCTGCCCTCACCAAACCCTCTGCTGAAATTGCAGATTTAGGACAACTATGAAGCGCCATCTTAGTCCCAAACTTCCCGGGGGATTGAGTATATGCACGTGGAGAGTCATGCGTGAGTACAGAGGTGGGCCGGGATGGCTGTCAGGGCCCAAAATGTTCACTTGGAAGATAACAGAATGTACATGGTGTAAAAACTCTTGAGTCCAGGTAATATGACCTAGGGAGAAAGTACATAGAAAAGGGTGGAGGACTGAGCTTGGGGCACTCCATCACTAGCTGGATGGTGGGGAGAGGCGAGGAAAGGCAGCAGTGTGTGGTGCTGCAGAGGGGCTGTGTCAAAGGGGAGGGCTGCTGGGAGCTGGGGAACAGGACACTAGGATGTCCACGCAACCTGATGCCATGAAGTCATTGGTGACCTGTCAAGAAGAGTGTTACTGCAGAGCAGAGGGCAAAAGCCAGGGGAGTTCATGACCAGAGGTGAGGTGGTGTGTGGAGCGCTGCTGGGGAAGGGGGGAGGTCAGTGATGGTGGGAGGGCTGGCTTTCCAGGAAGGCTGGGCACTGCTTCCTTGTCAGGCAGAGAAGGTGGACACACATGCAGGCAAGTTTGTACCTGGGAGCAGAAATGCAAAGGCTTTTGCTGAGACCTTTTACAGAGAGAGGGTGCTGCAGTAAAAGCTTCCAACCCCAGCCCTTCTAATCTGTGTCCAGAAGGTCAGTCAACAAACCCACAGAGGACATCCTGACCTTTCCCTCTTCCGAGCTCTGTTCCTCGGGCTCATTCCCAGCTGTGCGCGTCTCCAGGTTTCTCTGCCCCGTGGGGCTGTGGGCTCCTGAATAAGACTTCTGTTCCTTTGCATTCTCTTTGGTTCTAGGAAGTGCTTGGTCCCCAACAGATGCCTACTTGACACTTGCTGATGGACAGCTTGTCAATTTCATCTAACAAACCGGAATCACTGGGGCCATCCAGGAATCACAGCAGCTCATGAAGAAATTCCACATGAACAGGGCTGTTAAAAGCCAACCCGCCAGAAAGGGTAGAACGGAGGAAGGACAAGAGGGTTCTAACACCTCCTGGAGGCAGGTGGGCGACGGTTCTTGAGAATTTACACAAACCACAGGTTTTCCAGTGTCCAGGGGGCTGTGGGCAGTGTGTTGTCTGTCAAATTATTTTTTTAGTGAGATTTCTGGGTGCTACACCAGTTTTTTTTTTTTTTCTTAGATAGGGTCTTGCTGTGTTGTCCAGGCTGGAGTACAGTGGCACAATCACAGCTCACTGCAGCCTCCAACTCCTGGGCTCGGGTGACCTTCTTGCCTCAGCCTCCTGAGTAGCTGGGAGGGACTACAGGAGTATGCCACCACACCCGGCTAACTTTAGTAGACAGGGGTCTCACTATTTTGCCCAGGCTGGTCAACTCTTGGCCTCAAGCCTCCCATGTCAACTTCCCAAAGTTCTGGGATTACAGGTGTGAGCTGCTGCACCTGGCCTGCTTTAGTCTTCATAGAGGGTTCTAAGGTTGTGAGTGTAGGGGTTTCTCCTGACTCCAGGAGGAGATGGACTCCCCATCCCTGTAAGCTGTGACATGTGTGTTCCATGTCAGGCCCAGATGGGATCCAAATGGCTGTGGTTGTTCCCACTGTGGTGGTGTGGAACCCCTGTCCTGTCTGCAGTGCTGGGGGATGTGCAGGGCCGGGACTTGCCGTCACATCTGCTGGCAGAGGGAAGCTGTGAGGGCTGTTGGCAGGGTTGTGGGGGTGGGGGTAGCGGCTGGAGAGTTCAGCATGGCTCTCCAGCCAGCGTGGCCAGGGCGTGCACTCTGCAGCATGGGTCTTGGAGCATGGGCCACTCTGCCAGTGAGGTGGCTGCCCTACATCAGATGCGCAGGCTCACAGCACAACTGTCAGACCCTCAGGTCCCCACCCAGGGTTTTGCAACCACAACGGGATGAGGCCAGGACTGAAAGAAAGATTTGTTAGCACTCGCTCAGGGAGAGGCAGCCATCCCCCCGAACTGCATTTCCCAGTGACCTCTGACACCAACTCCAGCTGTGGCCAGCAGGCTCCCTGCAGCCAAGTCCCTGGCAAGCCAGGTGGCCACCACAGTGGGGAAGGAGACAGCCCTTGGGGACTGGCTTATGTCTTTTACTTCACAGACAGCTTTAAACTGTTATGGAAAAACATTTTATTACACATATTCAACTTGCTTCCAATGAAATGATTAATTTTTCTATATAATTTTCATGTATAATGGCGTCCAATGTTTGTCTTCCGTTTTTTTTCCTTTCAAAACCAGCCCCAAAAAGTAAAACAAAAATTCCATGGGTACAGTATGTAATGCAAGTTAACGAATGGAAAATAGATACATTTGACTCTGAAACGAAAAAAGGACAATCGTATTGCCATAGAGGCTCTTTTCCTGCATTCTGATCCTATCCAGCAACGGTCAGCTGAGAGGGTTTAATTTTGCACCAATAAAAATAGCACCGTAGGGTCGTGAGACTCTGGTAACACGTGCGTTAGTGACACGTGTGCAAGCACAAAGGTACAGTACTCGAGGGACAGTACAGGGTATTAACACAGAAACATCACTGCTGTGATCAGCATCTAGTGGAACAAGAATGTTTATGATGGTTTCACTGAAATCACTGCTCGTGCCATGAACAGAAGGTAGGCTGGTGGATTTCAAGATAAGCTAAAAGGCCGGGCGCGGTGGCTCACTCCTGTAATCCCAGCACTTTGGAAGGCTGAGGCGGGTGGATCATGAGGTCAGGAGATCGAGACCATCCTGGCTAACATGGTGAAACCCCGTCTCTAGTAAAAATACAAAAAAGTAGGTGGGCGTGGTGGTGGGCGCCTGTAGTCCCAGCTACTGGGGAGGGTGAGGCAGAAGAATGGCCTGAACCCGGGAGGCGGAGCTTTCAATGAGCTGAGATCGCGCCACTGCACTCCAGCCTGGGCAACAGAGGGAGACTCTGTCTCAAAAAACAACACCGACAACAAAAAGATGAGCTAAAAGAGCTCTGCAGATGCAGACTTTAGGGGAACTAATGGGGGTATCTGACAATAACCCAATCAATCCTTTTCATTCTGAGGGTGTGGGGCCCTTGCCAGGGTGACAGTGGGCATATCTGGAGGCCCCGGGGCCCATGCAGGAGACCAAGCTAAGGCTTCCTTAGTGAGCTTGCCCGGCTCTGCTCCTTGGCTGCAAAAGTCTAAATGTCTTTCAGTGAATTAACAGTTCATTTGGGGATGAAGAAAATTGAACCTCAGCGCCCCCAAAATTTTGAGGGCTTTGTGAAAATGGGAATTCATGGGAGTCTGCTGGTGGCCAGGCCTGAAGGGGAGGACAGCAGTCTGCGCAGGCCGCGGGGCGAGGGTGGGCCGCTCCATCCTGACACCCTCGGTTCTTTCCACAGAGCACCCACGGAAGTTTCTCAACACTTCTCGTTGATTCAAGTGGAAGTGAGTAAATTCCCTGACATCCCTACCGCTTCTCTGCCTCTAGGGTAGTAAAAACAAAAACACAGCTCGTAAGACAGGGTGGAGAAGGCAGAGAGGCTTCTTTCTGATTTAAGCTAACTCTACGGTTGTGACATGTAACAAAACAAAACACAGAAACACAGCACCAATAAATCAAGAAGCACAGGGAGATGATCCCATGGAAGTCCAAGTGAGACCTTCCGTCTGAAATCAGGGAGGAGGTGTTATTTACGGTAAAGTCCTAGAACATAAGCACCCATGAAATGCCCACCAAGTTGGTGAGCAAAACAGGCCTCCTGGCATCTAGGGTCCCTGCCCGGCCTCCTTGCAGGTAGGGTGCTACCATCCTCTGTGCTCTCAAAGAGGCCACTCTGCTTGTCTGCTGCCAGGCGTAAGGGGGCTGCAGGGGGGAAGGACCTTCCTTCATCATGCATCATCCTTGCCCCACCAAGAAGATGGGTCAATGATGACAGGCGTGATGATAATGGGTACCACAAAGTCTGGGGCTACAGGAAGGCTCGGCGGGTGTGCAGCAGTGCCAGCCAGATGGCGTTCCTCCCCTGGTCCTGGCACATCAGGCTGCTCCGTGCCAGGATAGAGCAGTCAGGCCTTGCTCTACAGATCCTAGGCCTGGGCTTGTGTCCTCAGAGGTCCCAAATGTCGTCTTACCTTCAGATAAATGGCCACGGTCGGTAGAAAGCCACTGGGATGTGGTACAGCATCTCTAAGGTACAAAGCTTTAGGAAGTGCAGGCCAGAGTGGATGTTCCCGGAAGGCGGGGCAGGTGCCCATCCGCCCCAGTGAAGCTGGCCCAAGCTTACCTTTGCCTTAGGAAGCAACCCCATCACCGCAATTACCGTTTCTTATGTCACAGCACCTTGAAGAGAGGCCCTTCTGTTTCCCTACACGGTGGACAGCAGAGCTCTGAAAATTAGATGCTTCCCCAAACCCAGACTCTCTTGGAACATTCTTCCCATGCGGGTGGTATGAACTGCGTGGCACTGCTGTCCTCGCTGGCATATATAGATTTACACTCCACGCACGAGACTTCCAAGGCAACACCTAGGATTTAGAGACTATGTTCTCAGAGACGGGCATGGAGGCAACGTCCTGGTTCTCATGTGGTCAAGAAGGTAGATGGAGAGAAACGTGTGCTAAGCAGCCCGGCCCTCCCCAGAGAAGCCACGGGCAGAGGCTCACCAACACCTGCCCCTCCCTCCATGGTGTCGCCGGCTTTCAGAATAAAGCCTTTTCTAGCATGTCTCGTTTTGGGGATGTTTCCTCCATGATATACCAAGCACTGGAAATTCAAATGTCAAAAGCGAGTCAAGACAAGAACACTAAATGATGTCTCTCTCTTGACGGTTGTCTGCCAGAGGTGCTTCCCTTCGAGGTACCTGAAATCCTAGAAATTGAAGTTACTTTGTGACTCATGCCTACTTTCTCCTCACTGTAGAAAGCCAGCCAGTGGCTGTTAACAATATATTAAGTACGGAAGCACTAATGGCAAACGCCAAGTCCACGCTCATGTTCTATGTAGTTGGATTCTTGTGGCAGCCGGGTGGGGGCGTGGCCACAAGGCTGGTAGGCTTGCGGGTGGGTGGGTTTCAGACCTGAGTCTGAGCTTTGAGCGACCCTTGGGACTGCGTGTCACGAGTTCGGCGGTGGCTGGCGCATCTTGTTTGCATAGAAGTCCCTGCAGGTCTGGCAGCAGCGCTGGTACCACCGCATGTCCTGGCAGAGGTTCTTTTCTCGGATGACCCGGCAATATACCGTCCACTGGTCTCGTGTGCATTTGTAGGTCAGAGCAGCTAAGGGGATAGGAGAGAGAATACCCAGGGTCAGGGATGGCCTAGGCATGTCCTGATGCAGGCACAGGGAGGGCTTGTGGTCTGACCGTCTGGGCTCCCTCACCCTCGTGCACACGTCAACCCTTTGCACTGATTAGGCCATGCCTCCTGCCAGGGCACTGGGGGTGCCACTTTCTGTCACAGGGATGCACCTTTGCATCCAAACCCAACCACATGACAGAGTGTGGTGGTCTGGCTGCCTCTTCAGGGAAGAGGGCACAGGCCACCTTGCTTCCGAGCTAAGTGGCACTTACTATTTTGTGGCCAAGGGTACCATTACTGTAGGCATTTATAAAACAGGACAACATGGAACAGTGGACATCAAAGGACCCCAAAAAGCATGAGGTCCAAGTACATACAAGTGGCCCAAATATCCTTCAGGGTCTTGATTGTACAGAGAGAAGGCCCTGCTCAAGGGAGGTCCTGAAGTTCCCAAGCAGGCCGGTGCTTGAAAAGACACAACTATACTTCTGCCAGCTCAAAGGCCTCCCCCGGAACAAAGATACTAGAAATCCCCTTCATTTTGGTGAGTTTCCAGCCTCAGGTAGGAAAATATTTCTCAGGGACTTGTATTTAGCAAAGCAGAAACTCTGTTAAAAGGAATCATCATATCATTGTTTTTTGTTGAGATGGAGTCTTACTCTGTTGCCCAGGCTGGAGTGCAGTGGCACGATCTCGGCTCACTACAACCTCTGCCTCCTGGGTTCAAGCGATTCTCCTGCCTCAGTCACCTGAGGCGTGGGGACTACAGGCACACGCCACCACGCCCGGCTGATTTTTGTATTTTTAGTAGAGAAGGGGTTTCACCATGTTGGTCAGGCTGGTCTCGAACTCCTGACCTCAGGTGATCCACCCATCTCGGCCTCCCAAAGTGCTGGGATTTACAGGCATGAGCCACCACAACCAGCCAGATCTTTAAGTGCTCTTCTTCTCCTTGTATCACCACTGACCTGGGGCATGAACTGGTAAGAGGCCAGGTTCCGAGCACCCAGGGCCAAACCACTCACACAGTCTGCAGCCCCTCCAACCACGCCTGTCTGCTGCTCAAGCATCAGCCTGGGGTGTGCCCCATGTGTGCATCCTCATGGCATCATGAAGGATGCCCCTGGAGCTTTCATTTCTAGAAAGAAGCACTTCCCTTCACATTCCTCATGCACAGGAAACCTACAGTGTCTGTGGAACATTCTCCTGTGTTGGGCAAAGGGGTGAGGGAGACGCTCAGGTGCCTGTGTTGGAGACAGCAGTAAGCAAACACCACTTCCATAACAAGGAATGGAATCCATCTCTGAAACCTCTTCTACAGAACTGACAAATGTCAGCCTTATGTGACAAGTGAGGCCCAAGAAGGGGCTTTCTGGCTGAAAGAACCTCACCGTCAGGGAGGACTTACTGGGCAGGAGACACAGCAGCCCCCTGGGAACCGGGGCCAGTGAAGACACTCACCAAGGCGGGGGGAGGTGATGGTGTTGGCGTTGATCCTGTCGTTGCAGACCTCCTGGTAGCACTGTCTGTAGGGGGCAGGCTTCGAGAGGGCGGGGCACTCGCTGCCGTGGCGCCCTGTGACCTTGTGCATGCACTGCACCACCCGGGACTGCAGGCCCTTCCCGCAGGTCGACGAGCACTGCAGAGACAGGACAGCCTGAGTGGGGCTGACATGAGGTCAAGGGACTGGGATGATGGCCTCACAATGTGGCACTGCGGAGACAGGACAGCCTGAGTGGGGGCCTACACGAGGTCAGGGGGCTGGGATGATGGCCTCACAATGTGGCACTGCGGAGACAGGACAGCCTGAGTGGGGCCTACACGAGGTCAGGGGGCTGGGACGATGGCCTCACAATGTGGCTGCCCCTGGGCTGGGCACTGTGTGTCATGCCCAGGCACTTGCAATCATTCAGGGCAAAAACAGCAGCTGCCTGATAGAAGACTGTTTCAAGATGTTATGGAATACATGTTTGTGTCTCTGCAAAATGCAGATGTTGGAGCCGTGGAGGTGGGTGGCTTTGGGAGGTGAGTAGGGTTAGATGTCATGAGGGTGGAGCCTCCATGCTGGGAATAGTGTGAGAAGGGAAAGAGACCCGAGCTTGCTGGCTCTCCACCGTGAGAGGATACCGTGGTCTGTAAATCGGGGAGGGTCTTCACCAGGCACTGGATTTGTTAGCACCTTGATTCTGATCCTCCACCTCCAGAACTGTAAGGAATAAATGTTTAAGCCACCAGGCTTCGGTACTTGGTGACAGCAGCCAGGGGAGACTAAGATGTTAAGACAACAGCTGAAATATTAACTCATGCTAGCTGCATTCCACCGCTCGCCTCTGCTCCAGGCTCTGACGTTTTTGAGATGGTGAGCAGCATGGCTTGGTGGCCCCCAGGAAGGACCGGGCCTGATGACCACAGAGGTCTCCCAAGCACTGTCTGCTGCCTGAGGCTCCGGGGCCTTTGCCCAGTCTTGGGCATGGAGAAGAGCCCAGTAATGACTGGGGTTGAATTTCCCACAAGCCTGGAGGATTGGGGCTTAGAATTAAGTAAAAGAAAACAAAGTACAACCTTTCTTGCATACCAGAGTCACGCACTAACATGTGGCTGACGGTGTTGATTTAGACATCCCTGGCTGCTGGCATCTCCAGCCCCAGCATGAGGAGGTGCCGTGTTTGCTAAAACCTGGTCAACATAGTTGAGCAGAGGCCCCCAAATTCCCAAGGAGTGGACCCGGTTAAGACTTCGTGGTTCTGTTCTCCGTCCCTCCTCTTCATATATATATATATATATATATATATATATATATATATATATATATATATAATTTTTTTTTTTTTTTTTTTTTTTTTTTTGAGATGGAGTCTCGCTTTATCACCCAGGCTGGAGTGCAGTGGCGCAATCTCGGCTCACTGTGCAACCTCCACCTCCCTGGTTGAAGTGATTCCCCTGCCTCAGCCTTCTGAGTAGCTGGGATTATAGGCACCTGCCACCACATCTGGCTAATTTTTTTGTATTTTTAGTAGAGACAGGGCTTCATCATATTGGCCAGACTGGTCTTGAACTCCTGACCTCAGGCAATCTGCCCGCCTTGGCCTCCCAAAGTGCTGGGATTACAGGAGTGAGCCACCGTGCCTGGTGTCTCTTCACACTCCTTAAAGCATTTCCCAGGTAGGAACTGGCCAGGTATCTGAGTCCTCTACTCAGATTCTGCTCTTGAGCTTTTCGGCCCCTGCTTTCTCCCAGGAGCCCTTGGAATGGTCTCTTCTCCCTTACATTGGCCTCTTCCCAGGAAGACAGCCAGGTCCATGAGTATACTTTGGTGTCCACCAGAGCCCACACAACCCCTGATTTACAGGGTTCTGAGAGCAGTCAGCAAAACCGGTACAGCAGCCGAGCTGGAGCTAGGAATGGCACCTGGGGTGGAGAGAGGGGAGCAGGGCGTGGAGGGTTTGGGCGCAGCCTTGTTCTCTGAATGCCACACGTGGTGAGGGAGGCAGGTGCCCCGCAGATCCTGTGCTTCCCGTGTCCTCACTCTTGGTCCTGACCCTGGCCTTGCTGGAGAAAGGACCTTCCTGGGGGTCATGCGGAGTCTCCAGACACAGGCTGCGTGGGAGGCGGTGGTGTCCCATCTGTGCCTGGGAGGGCTGTCTGCTCCCAGGGGGGCTTCTGCAAGCCAGGTGGATTCCTCAGCTTCCTTGCCTGACAAGCAGGTTCAGGTTTTGTGTGTCTTTTTTCACTTTAGAGTGATAAACATTCAGAGGGAATGTTGCTCTAAAGGGGCACTGCTTTTTTCAGCTCACAAAGGAGGTGTGAAAACTATAAGCAGCTCCCTAGTGGGCCCCCGGCACGTTCAAACTGGAACCCGGGCTCTGACCCGAGAGGCCAGGCCAACCCTAGGGCCTCCCCACTTCATGCCTTGTTCCTTTTCTTAGATAAACCCTTCGGAGGCAGCTCATGGCCTTTCAAATTCATGCATTACACATGCAGATTTCAGGGCTCCATCCCAGACCTCAGGAGTCGGCATCAGGCGCATGGAAGTTTGAGGAGTGCTGAGGTTGAGGGATGAAGTCACACAAGGAAGTTCCCGCCTTGAACACAAGACAGGTGCTACAGCAACGCGACTCCCGCCCTGCTGGTGTTGGGGGCACCTTGGAGGAAGCTGGCTGCACACTGGGATCTACTGCATGCAGCTACCTGGTGAGCTTTGAAAAATCCCACACCAATACAATCCGATGGTGGAGGGGGTCCCAAGACCCAGAGCTCAGTGTTTATAAAGCTCTCCAAGTGCTTGCAGTGGGCATTCAGAACCGAGGGCCTCCGACTTAACCTGAACCTCCTCTCAGGTCCCTGTGGAGAATGCAAAGAGCTCTCTTTTCTTCCTGTTAAGGAGTAGTTGTGTCTCTGCACACACAAATATGTATAATTAAGCAAGAACAACATCCAGGCGCAGCCCTGACTGCAGTCTATAGCCAGATGACAGGTGTGCCTAAAGGTAAGGGAGCAAAGGCTTTCAGTCAAAATTCTTTTTAGAGGCCAGGTGCGGTGGCTCACGCCTGTAATCCCAGCACATTGGGAGGCTGAGGCAGGCGGATCACGAGGTGAGGAGTTTGAGACCAGCCTGGCCAACATAGTGAAACCTTGTCTCTACTAAAAATACAAAAATTAGCCAGGCGTGGTGGCGTGCACCTGTAATCCTAGCTACTCGGGAGGCTGAGGCAGGAAAATGGCTTGAACCCAGGAGGTGGAGGTTGTGGTGAGCTGCGATCGTGCCACTGCACTCCAGCCTGGGCAACAGAGCAAGACTCCATCTCAAAAAAAAAAAAAATCACTTACAAAAGCAATCTGGTAAGTAGTTGTACCCAGAAACTGAGAGTCCACACAAATGTGGTAGATGAAGGGAAAAGCCAACGTTCCCAATGCGGAACAAAGCCACGGAGCCGAACGCTAAACGCAGAGCGAAGTCACGCCAATCCCCTGCAAAACCACGCGAGTGGTCCACTGGGAGCGGGACAGACTGAAAAAAGGGCAGCATTTGAGTGAAGTCAGATACAACCACGTGCCCTCTGGCAAACCGACAGGCGACTCAAAGTGGAGCTGGTGACGATGAGACCAACACTACAATCACCAGGTTGCACCACACAAAACTGCTTCTATTCAACTGTTTTGACCTCAAAGCATCCATTTCATAAGGCTCCATTTTATAACATACCAAGGAAAATAGCAACATTTCTAAATTTGAATGTTTATAATGCATAACTTTAAATATGAATGTATAACTACATCAATAAGTTACTTAATGGCAGGCATTTGATGAGTCCACTTACATCACTAGAGACTTTTATATCTAAATGTGTTATGTAATTCAAAAGAAACCCTGCTTCCTGGGAAAACGGGATTACCATATAATCAGGGTTAATTTCTGTGACTATTTGGCACGTATGAGGCCCACTTAAGAACAGAGGGCTGGGTGCGGTGGCTCACACCTGTAACCCCAGCATTTTGGGAGGCTGCAGTGGGCAGGTCACCTGAGGCCAGAAGTTCGAGACCAGCCTGGCCCACATGGCAAAACGCTGTCTCTACTAAAAATATAAAAATTAGCTGGGCATGGTGGTGAGCACCTGTAATCCCAGCTACTTGGGAGGCTGAGACAGGAGAATCACTTCAACCCAGGAGGCAGAGGTTGCAGTTAGCTGAGATTGCACCACTGCACTCCAGCTTGGGTGATAGAGCAAGACTCTGTTTCAAAAAAGTAAAAACTAAAAACAGAGAGATACACCTGCTGCCTGCCGACCTGCAGGCAACACCAACATCCCTTTTCTCTTCAGATCTTTTCTCGGGCCATTGGCCACAGTGCCGCCTCTACTGCAAAACATGTACCCAGGAGGGAAAGGCAGGCAGCCTCCTATTCCTTTCTGGAGAGAGGAGCATGGGGCAGGGGGCTGTTGGATTTCTGGGGAGGAAACTGCACAGATGGATGGAGGAACCCGCCTCACTCCCCTGCATCTCCTGAAGAGGTGTCCGTGCCCTGCCAGCTGGGGAGTCAGTCCCACTGAATCACTGCTGTTAAGGGGCTCAGCCCTGCAGGAGTGCCAGGAAGGGCTTCCGTTTCTTCTGCGAGTGTTGCTGATATGTATGTGAAAATCACACAAGGGCAAGGGCTTCACCCTGTGCGTCTATTAAAACCAAGTGCAGCATTGGCAAGGTTTCTGCCTGGAAATGATCAATGACCATCGTAAAACTCAGGCATTTGAGGTGACCTTGCAGACGTGTCCCCTCTGAAAGGTCTTAGTCTTGTGCAGCCTGCTCTGGGGCCGAGGGGAAAAGGCTGACATGTGGCACGTCTCCAGCATATGCAGATGGTATGCCTGCTCTTCCCAGTGGACCCCTCGTAGGCCTCCACGGCAGCACGGAACGTTCCACAACAATCCTCAGGGCTGATGCCGGCCACTGAGGTTGGCACGGGTCCACGTCTTGCTCAAAGTTGCAGAGGTAGGAGTGGCGAGTGGTCCAGGGACCCCATCTCATGGAATGAATTCCACCCTCCTATGTGAATAAGAGGTTGTACTGAATGGAGCTTTAATCGGAAGCGGGAATCAAAGAACCAGGTCACTGCCCATCTCCACCATTTACTCATTATCTTTCCTAGCATGGGTCACTGGCTTTTAATTTTCCAGTCTATAAATAGAACTGCTCCATGAGATCATGGAAGGGTGTCTCCAAAGTCCTTCAACAGGGACAGGTGTCTGTTCTCACTGTTCACTAGTGCCCCCATGAGGCAGGGCCAGGTGTGAGGCAGTTCTGAGGGCAGGTGGTCCCAAGGGCTCTGCCCCTTGTAGGCATTTTACTCTCATCAGAATTAGGGTTTGCTTAATTCTAGCTGGAGTCCTAGTGGGCACTGTTCACACAGCTGTGGGCTATGAGTGGCTCTGACTCACCTGGGAGAATTTTTGAGAATTTTGGGGTGTTTGCTTAACTGCCTGGAGCTGTGTCTGGGCCAGCCCCCTAGAGGATGCTTCCATGTGTTAGGTGAGAAGACAAGTTACAAAGTGGCATGTACAGAAACCACCCCGTTTTTGTTTAATATAGATGTGTGTATACCTATGTAACAGTTTGGAAGACAAACCGTTATAAAAATTTACCATGTCATCATATGGTTTCTGGGACTAATTTTCCTTTTAGTGTGTTCTATAGTAAGAGCTACTTATATAATTAAAAATAAAACTGGAGAATTCTGCCAATGAGTCTGGTGTAACCTGCTGGTGGCCCACCATCCTAACCAGCTGCATTTTCATTTGAGCTGAGGTGCTGCCAGGCCTGCCCTGGCCTAAAATCCACAGGTAATATACTCTCCTAAAGCAGAGTTTTGATGGAGAGGCCATGCAGTGCGGGGTGTCAGGCGGCAGGGGGAAGGGGTGCCTGTTGGCATGCTACGTCCCCACTTACTAGCTGTGTGACCTCAGGCAAATGACTTAACCTCTCTGAGCCTCAGTTTATTTGCAGCATGAGGATAACAAACTCTTGTTTGTAGAATTGTTTCCTGCAGTAGAGGCAGTGTGGAATAGGAGCCTAGCCGGGGGTCTCAGATAGAGTGGAGCTCCACAAATCCTGCTGTTATTATTCTCAACAGTGAATGCACGGCCAAGCGCCACAGCGAGCTGGGCAGGGAGCTCCTGCAGCCCAGCAAGGCACACTGCGTCACCTGGCCCACTCCCTTAGCACTCCTTGGGCTGCCCTTCGGTCACCAGGCCCTCCACAGGCAGGTGCACACAGCCCTGTCTGCCTGGCTCCCTGAGTTGATCAGGCAGCCAGACCTCAGGGAGCACAATTAGAGGCTGTTTTGGCCCTGAAGACAAACATGATTCCAGACAGGTCTGAAGGGGCTGCTGTTGAACGACACCCTCGTAACCTGAGCTGGGCCATGGTGGGCGCACGGGGTGAATTCCTTCTCTGTCGGCCTCCCCTAAGGCTTCAACGTTAATTGAACAGTGAGGAGACTGTAGTGTCTCCTGATAGCATCGAATTTGCCCCAAGCATTGCTGTGAAGCCATTTTTCAGGCTTTAATCATCCAAGCAAACAGATCTATAAAAAACATATCTGGTCTTGTTTGGTCCTTTTGTCAAGGGGCTCATCACATCCAATTTCATGTGGCTTCCCAAGATGCAGGTAACTGAGAGAAATGGGGGCAGCAATAAATTTAGCTGAAAAGCTCCTTGCCGGGAAACCTGAAGTGAGTGGAGCCCCCTCCCCAGCAGGTGCCCACAGCTGTGCGTCGGAGCTGGCTGCCCGGTGGAGAGGCAGCCTCTGCATCTGTCCACCACCCTTCCCAGGCAGGGAGGGGGTGTCACTGGAAAAAACAGGAACAAAATTGTTGATGCACAAAGGGCAAAAAGAGGTTCAATTTGGATTTACTCATGTGCTTTTTTTGTGTGCAAATTATTTCATGAAGTTACTGTGTAAAAGAGATTTTCCTTTAGGTAGAGTTTCCGGCAAAAAGAGAAAAGGTGTTAGGTTCCCCAGACCAGCGTGATACTGAGACATTGTGCAAGCGTTACTAGCTTCTTTAATAATAACAGTAACGGCAGTCACCGTCGCAGCAGGGCCCACCACCTGCCTGTCTGCTGTGTACGGGGGACCGGGCTTACGTACGAGCTTGTTAATCCTCACACTGACAGCTGCCGTGGCCAGAGCTCAGAACACAGTAGGTGCTCAATAAGTGGTGTCTGCTGGGGATGCGGCGCCACCTTTCAGAGAGGCAGAATGTGAGGTTTCAGAGCGTCCATGTAAGTCTTCCCAAGCCACACAGCTAGCCTGCCCCTGCCCCCCACCTGCCCGTACCACCCCCAACAGGGGAGGAACCAGGTCTCCATCACCCCTACCCTGATGACATCCTTCCCCACAGCGGGATTCCCTTCCCCTAGCTTCTCCCAGCTGTAAAATCACAACTGTAAATAACACCAGATCCCAACAGGATGTTTTGAGAATTAGCGAGAGGAGGCTGTAAAGCTCTCAGGAAGAGGAAAACACTCCAGGAATGTCAACTATACACGCCTGGGCTCTGCTTCCTGCAGAGTGGCCCAGGCAGGGCTGCCCCCCACTGTCTCCCCGCACTGGGTCTGGGGTGAGCACAAGCCCAAGATGGGGTGAAATCATGCAAGGCTGAACTCTCAAAGCACAATGAATCCACCCCCGTCCCCACTGAGTGAGTCTCTGAGGGGCCAGCCTGCCTCAGGCTGGTTTTGGATAGCAAAGAAAGAGACTGACGGAATCCTGACAGTAACTGCAGTTTCTACTGAAAAGGTGCTTGGCTGGTGAAATGTCAAAGCTCTTCAAAAGCATTTTGAGCAGGTTTCTCCCCGAGACTTGGCATGAGCGAGGAAAACCTCGGAAGCGGTTGAAACCTGAAACAGCAGAGTGTTAGACAACAGTGAAAACACCCACTCCCTGTGCCGTCGCTGGGAAACAGGAAATGCTTCCCAGACACCCCCTCCCACGCCCCCTGCGACGCCTGCTTTCTTCCCGGCAGTCTCAGCTTCAGGGGTCCCTCCTTCCTCTGAATTCGCGGCCTGCTGACCTGCATATTGTGGCTGGGACCTTCTAGCCAGGGAACCAGGAGGCTGAGGTGACCCCCGATGGCCTGCAGGGGCCGGGTCGCCTCCAGAGCTCTTGGGGACTGAAGCGCAGAGGAGACTGCGGGCAGCTCTCATCCTCTTTCCTGGGGCTGGAGCTGTTCCCTGTGGGTAACTTTGCTTCCCACCATCCACTGCAAAAGCTGCAGTGAGACAGCTGCCCCACGCCATGCCGCCATCACGTGTGGGTACCCAACCACGGAACGCACCATTTATGGGGACTGAAGCACACTCGAGGGACTGTTCTTCGAACACGTGAACACTTTACAGGCCCATATAAGAAATGAGATTCTGATGAGAGAAGAGGCTGATGACTGCCCCAGATGGTGATTGTGAAAATAACGATGATCAAAAGCCCCTACTGGGCATTTCCCCTGTGCCAGCACTGGGGTGAATGCTATGCTTGGATGCCATTCACTCCTCAATCAGCCCTATGAGGGCTACCCCTAAACTCATCTGATGGCGGATGATGCCCACACAAGGTGAGATGGGGACAGCAGTAGGGCTGGGTTGTGAACCTGTGTTGTCTTAACCACCTGCCCTGCTCTGAGGTCAATGACAAAAAAGCACTCCTTAGGGATGATGTCTTCTGACTTACCAGCCACATGCAGGCAGTGATTAGAACCTAGACTGTGGTGGAGACGGGGCATGGGATGACCAGGCTTCCCCGCTCTCTGATCTCTCACTCCCTGCAAAGGCGGCTGGTTTGACAAGGGACACTGAGCAAATGGAGGGACGGCAGGGGACCCAGGAGATGGAGGCACTGGCCTTTGGACCATTCGGCATGGCCCTGCGGCCCGCCTCACTTCCCCGCGGCCACCCCTCCTGGCAATTTCCTGGGACCTCGCTGCTCTTCAGCAAGCTCACTGCTCTCATGTGAGCATGGCCCAGGTCTCGGACTTCTCTCTGTAAAGCACGGATGGCCCAGCGGCGGGCTCTGTGGACTCACACACAGTGTTCCACACCAAAGAAGTGTCTGTCCCCGCTCCTTTTTGCCCCTGCCCAGAAAAGCACTGAATTTTGGTCACTGCCTTTCACGGGCTGCTCACATTC
This sequence comes from Homo sapiens, assembly GCF_000001405.40. Classification (NCBI taxonomy): domain Eukaryota; kingdom Metazoa; phylum Chordata; class Mammalia; order Primates; family Hominidae; genus Homo; species Homo sapiens. The sequence goes on from NC_000015.10 coordinate 99,985,258, forward strand.
CTGGGAGTGATGGTGAATGGAGGATCTGCCTCTCTTGATCTGGATGCAGAGTGCTGGCTGCTGCCATGGCACAGTTTCATGTGTCCCAGAAAAGGGCCCCAGGGTCCCCAGTGCCTTGTGCACTTGATTTTTGATGGTCAAATATTCTTCAATAAGGACTCAACTTTTACTTTCACAATTAAGGGGAGGCTAAACATGCAGGATCTCCTAGAGAGATAAGAGATTTACACTAAAGTGTAAACGACTGACTCAAAGCCTTTGGGGGAGCAGATTGTGATGGACGTCATGGGCTGGGGAGAGAGCAGACAGATACTTGACTTAATAACGACCACATGAGCATCTTAGAGCTCAGCTCCTTCTTGTTTCAAATTCGGAATCTAAGCCTCTGACATGATCTTGCACTTGAAGCCAAGGTGGATTACCAGCTCTGCCATTTTCTAGTTGTATGACTGTGAAGAAAGCCATATCACCACTCTGAACCTCAGCTTGCTCATCTGTAAAATGGGGACAGATGGGTGAGGGTCCAATGAGATACCCTGAGGGAACGTGCTTTGTAAATTCTAAAGCAACGGCAAATGTCACGGGCCAATATCACTGATCCCAATAAAAGTAGTCTTACCCTCTACCTGCACCCACCCCCAGCTGTGGCTCCCCAGGCAGGGGCTGTCTGGATCCCACAGTGCTGACTTCATACCTGCCCAGTGGGACTCAGCATGGGCCACTATAGCCAGCTCCTTGTCTGTCTCCCTTTAGGCCAAGTCACTGTCCACTCTTGTACCACCAGCACAGGGTCTGGCATAGAACAGTAACTCCAGAAATGCCGGCTGAACTGAAGTGGCTTGGCCACATGCCCACAGCAAGTGGGGGCCACAGCCAGGCAGGCAGGCCTTGCAGGGTGGGGCAGGGGGGTTCAGGCCCCACCAAAGCAAGTGCAGGCCTCAGAGATGGTGTGTCCACATTGAAAACTGTCTGTAACTACCCTCTCGCGTGATACAAGGTTCGTTCATTGTTAAGGTCATGGAACTCAAGCCTGTATCTCCTTGCCTAGAACACAGAAAGGCATCTAACAGCTGGGTTTCTGGGGAGCACACAGACATAGCAAAATACACATGAACTTGACCTCAGACTGATTCTCCCTGACTTCCTCCTAGGGCTCAGAGCACACAGATCCTTGAACATGTATTGCATCATTTGATTCGAAAGGCCTCTGAGGCACTGCTATCTCCACATCACACACAGAAAGAAGGCTGGCTTGGGCTGTCAGGGTGCTCAGAGGCCTTGCAAGTCAGATCAGCCCCTTCCACTGGCACCAGGGGGTCAACGATCACTTTCTTCTTTTCAGTATAAGGGAACACTGTTCTCTTCCCTTGGTCTGTTAAGTCATGGTTTTCTTTAAAAACATCATCCATTATAATCCCTCCAGAATGTGTTTTTCATTGGAAACATCCCATCATTTCAGTGGTGATTAATGCTCAGAAATCATGCTATCTAGAAAGAAAGGAGATTTCCTCCTCCCCAATTTTAAGGGCCCGCCACCCCCAGAGTGGAATACATAGACCCGGCATTCAGTGGGTGAAAACAACGATCAGCATTGTTTTCTGGAAAGAGCTACTATCCCGGGTGGGAAGGCAGCTGCAGGTCATTTTTCAAACATACCAGAGTGATAGGAGTGCCCTAGGCAGAGATGGGAACGTGATGTGTGTCCCTCATACACGACCCTGGTTAGGGTTTGGCTGCTGGCCAAGGTCAGGATGAGGGCTAGGGGCAGGGAGAGAGGGGCTCCATCTTCCCTAGGGGCCTGCCCACCTCCCCAAGGCTCTGAGTGGCAGGAGTGCTCAGCCATGCCTGGGCGTCCTCCCCCAGCTAGCACCTGCAGCATGCTCTTGGACTGGCCCATTCCTCACCTCCTTGGAAACAGTCTCATCTTTCTCAACAGCACCTTGGGGTGAAGTGAGAGGAGACTGCTTGGATGGGGATATCGAAGCTTCCATCTGCTGGAAGATTGCCCCTTTAAGCTCCCTCTACTGCAACACAGTGAGCGGAACACCTGCTTAGCATGCTGCTGCTGCTGCTGCTGCTGCGGTGTTTGCCTCCCAAGACCTCGAAACTGGACAACTGGTTACATTAACAACCTTCCACAACTACAGTGATACACGGATAGTGTTCAGCCTTCTCTCTGCTTTCCTTTTGGGCACTTTGTCTGCTGCCTTCAAATGCCAGCACATGATGAGGTTTGGTGGCTGGTTACAGGAAGGAAGCCCTGGGTGACTGGTTTAAAAAGGCAGTGGAACCCATGGGTGCAACCATGGCACCATCTGCAAGCTGGACAGCAAAGATGACACATAAACCATACGGCAAACGTAAACAGTCCGAATCAGACAAAAACGCTCGGGAAGCCTCATCCCATGGAATCTAATTAGAGAGGTCTGGTCTCCAGGGAGTAAGGACATGGGGTCCCCACCACCACCCTAGGGAAATGTATTCTTCCCACTTCTCCAGAGAAGGCAGAGAGGGAAAACGGGCAAGTTTCTCTATCTGGGGAGAGGGTAGTGAGGGGCAGGTGGTGGTGGTGGGGAGGTGCCCAGCCCCCAACTCTCCTGGGTGATGGCAGCAGGAGGGTGGGTGGTGAGGTCCACAGTTGGGGTCGGGGTCTCTTGGTTCATGTCTATGCAGCCCCCACTGGCATGCTCCTGGTACACCATACACACACATGGTGCCAACTCCAGTTTAATGTCCCTGCAGGCCCTCTCTGCTTGGTAAAACCAACCTTCCCCCAGCTCAGCCTCAGGCTCAGGCTCTGGCTGGGGGCCCTTGCTAAGACCTCTCCATAACAGCTCGGTGCACACAATGGGATGCCATCTGATGCCAGCTCCAGACAGTGGCTGATACAGTTTGGGTGTTTGTCCCACCAAATCTCATGCCGAAATGTGTCCCCCAACGTTGGAGGTGGGGCCTGGTGGGAGGTGTCTGGGTCACGGGCACGAGTCCCTCAGGAATGCCTTGATGTCCTTCCCACGGTCATGAGTGGGTTCTTGCTCTGTTAGTTCACCAAGAGCTGGTTGTTTAAAAAAGTCTGGGGCCTCTGCCCTCTCTCTCCCTCTTTCACCATATGACATGCCAGCTCCACCTTCTACTGCAAGTAAAAGCCTCCTGAGGCCTCCCCAGAAGCAGATGCCAGCATGGTGCTTCCTATACAGTCTGCAGAACCATGAGCCAAATAAACCTCTTTATCAATGATCCAGTCTCAGGCATTCCTTCACAGCAATGCAAAGTAGATTAATATAGCAACCAAGATGTCACAGAGGCCCTCACATCCCACAAATCCCTTTTGTTCTTACTGCAGGGACAGCTTGTCAAACGGGCTGTGGCAAAAGTGGGCACAGTGACTCCAATACCTCACTCTTCTGAAAGCCTGGAAGTGTTCTTCACAGCATGGCTGGTGAAGAGAGGACGGCCAGGCAAAAGGCTCCATCTTACCTGACAGGCATTCCCGGAAGGCTGAAGGTCCTGTCTGGGGAAACCTGCACAGTGTCCTTGGCCAGGGAGGGACCCCAAACAGCAGAGGAGGGAAGGCTCATGGGCTGAGTGAGCCACGTGATGCATGAGCACCAGGTCTTGGGCAGGGCTGCTGAGTGTCCCACATGTTATTCCCATTCATGTTTTGGTTGTTTTGCAGCTCCTTGTACCAGGAAGGTCAAGGTATGTACAAAAGCAAAAGTGTCCAGCGAGTCCTCAGAACAGGAATGGTGATGCTGAGGACAGCCAGGCCTTGGAGCCCAAAGACCATCTACAGGACGCCCCTTAGCTCTCCTACCCAATCCCTTCTTGCTTGGTTTCCACCAAGTAGCCTGAGCACTGAACTGGGTCCAGGAGCTTGGACTCTGCCGGGGGGTGTGGGCGAGTCACGGAACTGCTCTGAGCCTCTGTTCCCTCTTCTGTGCAGCAGGGGTGACAACCTTGGCTGGAGGGGACCAGTGACATGACGCACAGGGGTACCCCACAAAAAGGAAAGCAGTGCTAGGTGCCCCGACCCCAGATGGGCAGATGTGGCCCAAGCCTAGAACTGACCACTTCTTGCCTCCACTCCTGCCCCGGACCCCTGTGGGCACAGGCGCCAACAATAGTACAGGCTGCATTTAGGGCGTGACCGCTAGGACCCTTCCAATTCCCTGATGACAATGACAGCTTTATTCCAGTTCACATCTGAACACTCAGTGTCCAAACAATGCTACCCTGCCTGTTACTGTGCTGGGCAGCTTCCCCTTCTACACCTTCTGGACTCTCCGTAACCATGCAGGCATGAGGTAATCATCAGTTCTTCAGATGATCCCGAACATCTGCCAGTGTGTTACTTATGGATCAGAACCTGGTCTGTTGGTAGCTCACCTACAGTCTTTGGGCTAGGATCAGTGACCGTTTTCAAGCTAGGTCTGGATGTGCTTGGACAGAGAATTTCTCAGTGTTGTCTATAAAAGGCCAGAAGCCCTACTGATAAGACAAGGTGAGGTCAGATCAGAATGGGTTATAACCCTGGGGACTGTGCCCCAGAACCGTGTGAACATTGGGTGGTGGATTTTGGGCAATGAAATGAAATGGGTTTAGTTGTCCAAGTACTTAGACATATATATTAGCATCTTGAAACCTCTAAGCATCTCTGAGAAACAGGCAGGGTCAGTGTTTATGATTCCCATTTCAGAGATAAAGAGAGGTTAAGGCACACAAGTAGAGAGTCAGAGCTGTAAATCAGCCCCTTAATGTCTCTATTGTGTGAGTTCAAGTTCTCATGGTTCGAAGTGCATCTTTCTTTTCGCTCTCTTGACTGAGCTGGAGTGCAGTGGTGCAATAATGGCTCACTGTAGCTTCGACTTCCCTGGCTCAAGTGATCCTCCCGCCTCAGCCTCCTAAGGAGCTAAGACTATGGGCATGTGCCACCACGCCCAGCTATTTTTTTGATTTTTTTTTGTAGAGACAGGGTATCCCTATGTTTCCCAGGCTGGTCTGGAACTTCTGGGCTCAAGCAATCCTGCCTTGGCCTCCCAAAGTGCTGGGACTACAGGTGTGAGCCACCACGCCCAGCCAAAGCACACATATCTTTTGTGGGAGCTCTGAAGTTAAGTTTCTCTGCCAGTGAAAGATACATCCTGGCAGCTCCATACTAAGCTTTATTAACATCCAAGTAACTGTGTGACGTCCCTGTTTGGTTTTGGGGAAACTGGACTGACAGCCTCAGTTCTATTGCCTTGGTCAGATGTTTTGACCAGGGAGTAAATAGGAAGGAGGTGTTTTAGGTCCTTCTCAAATTCACTGTTAATCCAGAATAATAGGGTACCTTAGCACTACCAGGCAAACTGGGAATTGGGAAATTTGGCTTTTTTTTTTTTTTTACTCAAAGGGTTTGGGGAACTTTGTGTTCTGACTTGGGCTGATGGGAAGGTGGTAGCATTTCTGCAGGGATCAGATTCTGATAAATTTTGCCTTCCAATGGAAAACCCATTTTTCCTTCCGTAAAGCACAGGCAGAAGCAAAATTACCTGCCTGAGCCATGTTGCCACATTTTCATAGCGAAGCCAAAACCTAAATTTTCAAATGAAATTTCAGAAATAATGCCACACATCTACAACCATCTGATCTTTGACAACCCTGACAAAAACAAGCAATGGGGAAAGGATTCCCTATTTAATACCCGGTGTTGGGAAAACTGGCTAGCCATGTGTAGAAAACTGAAACTGGACCCTTTCCTTACACCTTGTACAAAAATTAACTCAAGATGGATTAAAGACTTAAACCTAAGACCTAAAACCATGAAAACCCTAGAAGAAAACCTAGGCAATACCACTCAGGACATAGGCATGGTCAAAGACTTTGTGACTAAAACACCAAAAGCAATGGCAGCAAAAGCCAGAACTGACAAATGGGATCTAATTAAACTAAAGAGCTTCTGCACAGCAAAAGAAACTAGCATCAGAGTGAACAGGCAACCTACAGAATGGGAAAAAATTTTGCAATCTATCCATCTGACCAAAGGCTAATATCCAGAATCTACAAAGAACTTAAACAAATTTACAAGAAAAAACCAAACAACCCCATCAAAAAGTGGGTGAAGGATATGAACAGACACTTCTCAAAAGAAGACATTTATGCAGCCAATAAACATATGAAAAAAAGCTCATCATCACTGGTCATTAGAGAAATGCAAATCAAAACCACAATGAGATACCATCTCACGCCAGTTAGAATGGTGATCATTAAAAAGTCAGGAAACAACAGATGCTGGAGAGGATGTGGAAAAATAGGAATGCTTTTACACTGTTCATGGGGAATGTAAATTAGTTCAACCATTGTGAAAGACAGTGTGGCGATTCCTCAAGGATCTAGAACCAGAAATACCATTTGACCCAGCAATCCCTTTACTGAATATATACCCAAAGGATTATAAACCATTCCACTATAAAGACACATGCACACATACGTTTACTGCGGCACTGTTGACAATAGCAAAGACTTGGAACCAACCCAAATATCCATCAATGATAGACTGGATAAAGAAAATGTGGCACATATATACCACGGAATACTATGCAGCCACAAAAAAGGATGAGTTCATGTCCTTTGCAGGGACATGGATGAAGCTGGAAACCATCATTCTCAGCAAACTAACACAGGAACAGAAAATCAAACACTGCATGTTCTTACTCATAAGTGGGAGGTGAGCAATGAGAACATATGGACACAGGGAGGGGAACATCACACACCAGGGACTGTCGTAGGGTGGGGGGCTAGGGGAAGCAGTACATTAGGACAAATACCTAATGCATCTGGGGCTTAAAACCTAGATGATGGGTTGATGGGCGCAGCAAACCACCATGACACATGTATACCTGTGTAACAAACCTGCACTTTCTGCACATGTACCTCAGAACTTAAAAAAAAAATGCTAGCCACTAATTCCAACATGTTTAAGATATTCTGCAGGCTGAGCAAAAACCAATGGCTCTAGGTCAGCAGTTGGCAATCTTTGAGGGAAGAGCTATCAGGAGAAGCAAGCAGGAGTTTTTCAGTTGCTAAGACCATACAGAAGGACAAACACGGTCTATGCTTACAGGAGGAGTGGTACAGATTTTGTGAGAAGAGTCTAGAAAACCCACTAGAAGGTTCTTACAGGTGGCAGTGGGGCTCACCTTGGTCCCCAGAAAACAGGAATCATTCAAATATATCAGATGAATGAATAAAAGAGGAGTTAAACAACAAAGCATTTTCTTACCTGGAGAAACATTCAGTGGCCCTTTATTCACCCTTGCTCTCGGGAGTGCTGACCCGGCGGTTCTGTGATACTCCTCCCTGCTACCACCCCATGGCCCCCTGCCCTGTCTGTCCCTGCATCTCCAGGCCCTTGCCCAGGGGTCCCGGGAGTGAATGGAAGTGATGTTTGCCCCAAGTGTCCCCATGGCAGGAGGCTGGGGCCTGCCAGCACACCGCACAGCATGGCAAGCCTGGCATCCAGGGCACCCGCGTCCTGCCTTGGGCTGCGTTTCGGGTTCCTTCTGCATGCACGTGAAGCAGTGGGGTTCTCCCAGTGAGCCCCAAGGGGCAGTGCTGGTGCAGCCTGTGGGAGAAGCAGGGGAGGAAGCACACGGGGTCTTGGGTAGTTGCAGCGGGTGGAAGGAAAATGAATTTGCCTAGTTACGCTGGGACTGCCGCGTAGAATTGGGACCCGTCACAAGAGCTGAGTTCCCGACCCTCGAGCCCCCTGCACTGCGGCACGGAGAGAAATGCCAGCAGGCTGCTCTCACCGTAGACCAGTCCCCAGTTTTCCACTCGTAGCAGCCTGAGTAGTCCTCGCAGGCCTCCTCGGCTCTCGGCCTCGTGGATGCGTCGCATTTCCCTTGTGAGTTGGTGCACGCCACGGTCCGTTTCCACACCCCTTTACCACAGCTGGCAGAGCACTGCAAGACACCATTCAAATATTTAACCGAGTTCCAATTCGATTCAAGTCCATCAACAGCTATTAACTCCCTCCAATGTGCCAGGTGCGGTGTGGGGATGATACAAAGATGAAAACCCACACTTCTGTCCTCAAAAAGCTCCTGGTCTGCAGGGTCTTACGCACGTGGTCCCAGCTGGGGCCCCAGCCGAGTGGCCAGTGTTGTGGAAGGGACCTAGGAATCAGGAGTGGGAAGAACCTGGGGTACTCATAAGGTCACATGAGGGGAGTGGAATTCAGTGGCCACTTGTCGGGTCCAAAAGCTCAAGGCAATACGTGAGCTCGAAGGGCAGGTGTGTGATGGAGCCATGAGTGGGGCAGGGAACAGGGGCCAGCCGGAGCAAGGTGAGGCCCTAAAGCTGAGTCCCAGGCCCCAGATCTTTCCAGCTGGCCTCCAGGTGCACATGCTGTGCTTGGACCAGCCTGGGACAAACTCCTCGATCCAGCCGGGAGAAGGAGGAGGAGGCGGCAGAAGGAAGGAAAAGCCACAGATGACTTTCTCGTGAGGCAGGTGGAAAGCCTTTGCAGAGAGCTCCAGTGAATGTCTGAATGCAGACACCAAGAATGGTGACAGACGCATGGCCCCTGTGGTAGTTTACTTACTTGCAGGAGACCTGGCAAGGGGCAGTGGGGATGGGACCTGGGCAGGGCCTGGGGGTGATGAATGATGTGCCTGCCCTCAAGAGTTCAGGATTCCCAGCAGCAAGAAGGAGCGAAGAGGCAGGGGGCATGACAGGGTGTCAACACAGCAGACAGGCACTCTGGAGTGCGTCTGGAGCCTGCTCCTGACACGCCCACCACAGAACTTGGGGAGGGACGGTGCCCGGGCTGGCAGGAGAACTTACCATCTCCAAAAGCAAAGCAGAAGGAAGCCCAGGCCGAGCTGACCCACAGCCTCGGGAAGACAAAACTCACAAACAAGTTGGCCCTGGGAGCCCTGTCCCTGACACAGGCGTAAACATATAACTTGGAAAGATGGTGTGCAGGAGGCTGCAGTCTGCTAAGGCGGTTTCATACTTGCTCAGTTTACCACAAATATGGCAGGCGACAGCACTGACTTTCTTGAGTTATAACAAACTCAACTTTAAAAAGTTCTAGGCCAAATGCAGTAGTTCACACCCATAATCCCAGCACTTTGGGAGGCTGAGGTGGGAGGATCACTTGAGGCCAGGAGTTCAAGACCAGCCTGGGAAACATACAGACCCCAATCTCTTAAAAAAAAAAAAAAAATCCCACTGTGTCCACTGGAAAAAAGGTACATAAAGGACAAATGTTATTCCTGATATTTGTTATTAACATTTATCCCAAGATATGATCTAGCTTTCTCTTTTTTTATTTTTTATTTTGAGACGGAGTCTCGCTCTGTCACCCAGGCTGGAGTGCAGTGGTGCAATATCGGCTCACTGCAACCTCCGCCTCCCGGGTTCAAGCGATTCTCCTGCCTCAGCCTCCTGAGTAGCTGGGATTACAGGCGCCCATCACCATGCCTGGCTAATTTTTGTATTTTTAGTAGAGACAGGGTTTCACCATGTTAGCCAGGATGGTCTCAATCTCCTGACTCGTGATCCACCCGACTTGGCCTCCCAAAGTGCTGGGATTACAGGTGCGAGCCATTGCGCCTCGCAGCTCTTTCTTACGAATTCAATTCAGCTCTTTGTCTAAAGATCCCATGGGGTTTTCTTTCAAGGCTAATTAAGGCTGGTTGGAAATGCACATGCTTCAGAACTGGCTGCAATGTCCCCTGCAGGGAGTGGGGAGAGTAGCTGTGTGTGGAGTGTAGAGCTGGTTTAAAGGGTCCCCGGATGCCAGGGGTCCGTCCATGGTGGGCTTTGCATGCAGGAGCAGGGGTAGGAGGCTGATTGCAGTGGACTTTACATGCAGGAGCTTGGGCAGGAGGCCCGGGGCACTGCACTGCAGGGCTACCCCTTGCTTCTCTGTGTGGCAAGGTTTCCTGACCATTTCAGCAACTCTGTCCTCACTGTCTGACTTGTGGGCTACCCCTGGCACCAGCATCCACACAACTTGCTCCTCTGCAACCAGGAACCCATGCACCATTTCTGCCTAAGTTCACTCTTGCCTGGCCTCTATTTTGCATTGCTCACCTCCTCCCCTTGAATTTCAAGCTCTGAATGTCCAGCCTATTTCTTAACCAAACTCTGACCAGCAACCCATTCTCCTGAAGCCTTTGTCTGAGCAGTGCTGCAGGCTGCTGAGGACGGCTCCAGCTCCAAAGGGGCCTAGGAGGGTGCCCTTCGGTCTCTCTCTTTGCTTCCCATCAGGGGCGGGGCCTGCAAGCTGAGGACAGGAGAAACGCACTACCTTTTCCTTCCTTCTGGATATTTGATCCTTCTTCTAATAAAGTCGGGAAGAAGCTGGGGAGTAGGTAGTGAGAGCAATCAACACAGCTGGTTGGATAAAAGCGACCACGTCAATAAAAACTCTCCCTTAAGAAACTGAAACCCATCTGCTTCCAGCGGAAGACAGTCTCACTTTGGGACTTCAGCACGTGGGAAGCGGCAGAAGTACCAGCTTCGCGAGCTTCCCATGGGGAATGATTTGATTCCAGGTTAAATGTTCAGAAGGAAGCATTTTGCTCAAGCCTGGGCTAAGCCAGAGTTAGGCTGACTGGTGTGGTGCTCGTTCGGGATTAGGATTAGGTATGCACATAGATACAGACACAGAGAAATTTCTTTAAATCTTGCTCCCATTGTCTCACATTTTCCAAACGTAGAGATCTTCAGGGCTGTAATGATAATTGATGATGTCAGACTTGGTGGGGAAGCATTGTTTTCCCCCATAAAAAGAGTCTGAGTGGATTTTTTTTTTTTTTTTTGAGACAGAGTTTCGCTCTTGTTGCCCAGGCTGAAGTGCAATGGCGCAATCTCGGCTCACTGCAACCTCTACCTCCCAGGTTCAAGCAATTCTCCTGCCTCAACCGCCCAAGTAGCTGGGATTACAGGCATGCGCCACCATGCCCGGCTAATTTTTTGTATTTAGTAGAGACAGGATTTTACCACTGAGTGGAAAATTTATGGTTTTGATCTGATCAAAGCACAAGTCTTACTTCGATCAAGAGCCAGGCAATTAAAACCCAAAGGCTCACCTAGAGTACTGGAAAGGGGAGGGGACTGAACACCTGCCTCAACCCTTCCAGCAAGGGGCCAAAAAAAATCCCTCTAATGTTAAACTGACAAACGTAAGCATAGACAAAGACAAAAAAATCAAACAACAAAATCTCAAACTCTCTTTTCCTAAAATATCATAAAATGTAGGACTAAAAATCCTGATCTATAAACAAATACATGCCAAGATCTGTTTGAAAATTAACCTTTGTTTTAGAGCAGCCAATGGCAGACTTTTCCTTCATTAAAAATGGGCGGAATACTTTTTTATTCAAAATAATTCCAACTGTTTGGCAATAGAGGGAACTTTAAAAAATTTTCCACACTGAAGAGTGTCTTGGATGAGCGTCTCTGAGTTTTCTAGACTACGCTGGTGGAAGACCTGAGGGAAGCCTGCCCTTTATTCAGCTATTTTTTTTTTTGTAGTTTTATAGCCAAACAGTCAAAATCATTAACACAAAGTCAATGCAAAGCCCTGAAGGATGACATCACCAGAGATAAAATTGTACTCCCAGGACCAACCTTCAAAGTTAAGACTTAAGGCTTAATCCACTTCTTTCCAAAACATTTTATGGCATGAGATTTGTAACTCCAACTTGCACACTAAAAGCTGTCCCTCCTGGCATCTGACTCTCGTAATCTACAAAGACTGCTGGGGGATTAAAGGCAAACCTTTGAAACCACCTTCCCAGCCTGAGCACACCACAGTTAAATACACCCAAAGGAGAATTAAAAAGTCGGTCAGTATCTGTCTATCCTATCTTGATGTGAGAATTTTCATAGGAAATGGGATCAAACAGTCCTTCACTGTGGTGTTGACATGTACATCATCAGAGACATGGTATCTATGTTTCCGCAGCCAGGCTGTTATCTGAGATGGAAATTAAGAACACATGAGCTATAACACAACTTCAAGCTGACCTGGGGGCGAGCGAGGGCTGGGAGGCACCAGAATGTCACCAATACCATGGCACCGTGTTGGAGTCCCTGTGGCTGAGTCCTGGTGGCAAGCCCAGGCACCCACCTGTGACCACTCAGACGCCTCCCAGATGGACAGGCAGTCCTGGCCTTCACAGCTCTGCACTGCCGCCGGCCGGGGGCCCGGGCAGTAGAGGGGCCGCGTAGCGACGTGTGTGCCGTTCTGCAGCTGGTACACGCAGGTCACCTCCCGGTGCTGGAAGCCTTTCTCACAGGTCGCCGAGCAGGGGCTCCACGGGCCTGCCACCCACCTGCCAGACGGGAGGAAAGAGAGAGAGAACGACTGGGTGAGAGGCCAGCCTCTCCGGAGGGCCTTCCGGCCGGATCCTGGAATTGCTGCCCTGTGGTGGGAGAGAGGGAGGCAGACTCAGGAAGCTTTTCAGCCAACCCTGGACATAACTCAGAGTATCGGCACAGAGGGAGTGACTTGAGTGGTCCTCTGGTTGGATGGTCTCCTCAGCACAGACATCTTTCTGCAACCAACACCCCTACGGCAGACAGAATTATCTGGTCACGGCCTCCCTGTAGGGAATTACGTATCTGCTTGTCGTCATAGGACCTGCTTCTTTCGACAGGGTGTGAGTGAAGAGGATGCTGGCGGCGTCCCGGCAGAAGCTCTGAATGTGGTTATGTGGTTTGGCTCTGATTCTCTTTACTTCTTACCCTCTGCTGGGAGAACAGTCCCAGTACAGGGAATGTCCCTACAGACAGCCCGCACCACTACCGCCTGCGCTACTGTCAGTGATGGAGATGTTGCAGTTGTTTGTTGCTGCGGCAATAGGGGATTGATACAGCCACTGACAAAGAACCCCCCAGCCCACACCGGTCCCAGCTTGATTAACCAGAACTAGGCCCTCCCTGCTTTCCAGAGCCTGGGCCCTCCGGAGATGGCTGTGGTGCCTGAGAGTGGCACGTTGTGGGCCATGGGAAGACAGAGGCTGTTGAGGTTGGCGTCTGAAAGTGTTCTTCTAAAACTTCGGCTCAGGCTGGGCGGTGGCTGACGCCTGTAATCCCAGCACTTTGGGAGGCTGAGGCAGGTGGATCACTTGAGGTCAGGAGATCGAGACCAGCCTGGCCAACATGGTGAAACCCCGTCTCTACTAAAAATACACAAAATTATCCAGGCGTGGTGGTGCACGCCTGTAGTCCCAGCTACTCAGGAGGCTGAGGCAGGAGAATCGCTTGAACCCAGGGGGTGGAGGTTGCAGTGAGCCAAGATCGCGCCACTGCACTCCAGCCTGGGTGACAGAGTGAGACTGTATCCCCCAAAAAATAAAAACAAAAAATAAAACTTCAGGTCCCTGCCTGATAGCCTGATGATCCGATGCATTAGGCATCTCTGTTGGCCTCAGGGCGCTGGAAAGCAGCTGAGCAGCTTGGGAATCATGCTTCCTCATGACACACAAAGGGCTTCCAGTGCCCTTTTGCGAACACTAAGGGATCTCCCCTGCTTGCTTTCTGGATGAGCCAACTGGCTTTGCCCTTTCTTGTCCTGCCTCATAAACTCCTCGCTTCCAAGAGTTCGCCACCTGACAAAGCAGCTTGACCTGTGCACTGCCAGGTCTGACAGCCACTCAGTTCCTCCTCATTAGTCAAAAACAGTCCTGAATCCCGCCCCAAACCAAGTCTGATCATGCCATGCCGGGCCATCCCACTGTTGAGCAATGTCTACCGCTTTTGCCCACTGGCAGGATCCTTTGAACGGGTACTGGACGGTGCCAGCTGTCTCTCGCTTTCCGGTCCCAGCTGAGTGGCTCATCTGCCCATCCAGGCACTGCAGATTTATCGAGGGCCTCCCACGTGCCAGGCACCTTCTAGGTTCTGATGAGGAAGCAGTGAGTGAAGCAAAGTCCCTGCCCTCTGAAGCTTACATTCTGAGGGGGGCAGACCATATATAGCCACTGAACCATATATATCACCATAGCATCTATAACAAATATACTAAATGAGATTAGAGACCGTAACACACAGTCACAAGTGCTCTAGAGACAAGTCAAGCAGCGTGAGCAGAACAGGGAGTGGGTGGGGGTGTTATCTTACAGCAGGATGCAGGGAAGGCCTCGCTGGGAAGTGGACATCTCAGGAGAGCCTGGGAGGAAGTGAGCCCCGTGACTACGTGGGAAAAGGCTTCCAAGGCAGAGGTCACAGGGGTGCAAAGGCCCTGGTGGAGGGGCACGCTGGCGGGGTGGAGGCGGAGTGAGGAAGGGGAGAGCGAGGGGAAAGGATGGGATTTGGGGGGCAGAAGGGTGAGATACCTAGGGCCTGGCTGGCCCTGGTGGCTCTTGTTCAAATAAGATGGAATACTGGAGGGTTTTGAGAGAGGAGTGACATGTTCCTTTCGGCTCTGAGAGGACCACTGGCTCGGTGTGGATACCAGTTTATAGTGGGCAGAAGCAGCGGCAGGGAGACCAGAGAGGAGGCTCCTACGGCAGTCCCAGTGACGACGGCACTGGTCTGAACCAACTGGGGTGGCGCCGGCATCTCTGGCGCTGAGAAGACAGAGCCACCTGGGCTCCTCCCTCCACCCCAGGTTGTCCCTCCTTGTCCCAGAGCACCTCCTCTGGAGCTAAGTTCCAATCCTCTTGGCAGAATCATCACTCTATCCTCAGGCTTCTGGGGCCTAACTCCAGTGAAGCCCTTCTTGGATCCATGGCTCGCATGGCAGGGATGGGAGCCACAGTGACTCCCTTGGGGTGCAGTTGTGAGGACAAGTGGCACATTGTCCATAAACTGCTTACAACAGTGTCTGGCACACCTGAAGCCCGTGTAAATGTAACTCTTAGCTATCATTGCTGTCATTGTCTCCTTGGTAGGAGATGGAGAACTCCTGCAGGGTGGCCATGAGCCTCCCATCTCAGCACCTGGCCACACTCAGCACGAAGAGAATTGAGCTAAATTCTACACATTTCTCCTAGTTCATTTCTCCTAGTTCTGGTCTTTGGAGTAACCCAGAGGCCTTCTTAAATATGTGAAGACAGTTCTTTTGTTCCCCTTTAAGTTTTCTCTTCTTTTGGCCAAGAGTTTGTGTGGCAGATGTTCAATCCCTCCCATTCATTTTCTACTCAGTCACGACTTTTCTTCCAGAGGACAACATGGCCCAGATGTGGCCTGGAAGCAGCAAGAATGAATGTGATGGATAGGGACAATAAGCACACACATACTAAAAAACAGCCACTATCTTCTTTATTTTTTGAGATGGAGTTTCGCTCTTGTCACCCAGGCTGGAGCGCAATGGCACGATCTCGGCTCATTGCAACCTCCACCTCCCAGGTTCAAGCGATTTTCCTGCCTCAGCCTCCTGAGTAGTCGGGTTTACAGCCATGCGCCACCACGCCTGACTAATTTTTGTATTTTTAGTAGAGACGGGTTTCACCATGTTGGTCAGGCTGGTCTCGAACTCCTGACCTTAAGTGATCCACCTGCCTCAGCCTCCCAAAGTGCTGGGATTACAGGTGTGAGCCACTGTGCCCGGCCCCAACCATACTGCTCCCCAGAATACACCTTAACACTAAAAATACAGAAGAGACATAGTCTCAAATAAAGGAGACATCTTTAAAATGAATAAAAACGTATGCTTATTTCTCTCATTGCTCCTGAGAAATGGTGAAAGCTTTCAGAACAGACTGGTTTCTAGAATCATCACTGTAGAAGTATTGGCTCCAGGACATAGACCTTATGCCTGCTGGGGGCTATGGTCAAGAAAATAGAGGGAAGAACACCAGAAGGTGCTCTTGGATGGAGATATGGAAAATATTCAGCGGGGCAGACATTTACTGAGCATCAGCCAGGTTCACTAGACTTCTGGGCCTTCAGAGGACCCAAAGCTCTCCCCAGGGTGAGAATGATGAAGGCCATGATCCAGGCATGCCCATTACCCCTGAATCTAGAATCAGCCACATCTCTCCTGAAGGAAAACAATGTCTGTACTTGGGAAGAAGAGGCACAGAATAGGAGATTGGTAGCTGTGTCATTTCTTTCTTTGCTCACAATCACAAAATAAACTGGTCTCTTTTCCTTTTTTTTTTTTTTTTAAAGAAGGAAAGTGGTTGGAGCACAGAGAATTTTTAGGGCAGTGAAACTGCTTTGTATGATGCTATAACGGTGGAAACATGTCATAAATCTGTCCAAACCCACAAAATGTGCAACACTGAGAATGAAGCCTAAGATGAACCATAGATGTGGGTGACGATGATGTCGTGATGTGTCAGGGTAGGTCCCTCAGCGGTAACGAATGTAGCACTCTGGCGGGGAGACCATGCGTGCCTGCAGCAGGCAGTGTGTGAGAAATCTCTCTGTACCTTCCTCTCAATTTTGATGTGAACCTACAAGTACTCCACAGAATCAAGTCTAGGCCGGGCACAGTGGCTCACACCTATAATCCCAGCATTTTGGGAGGCCAAGGTGGGTGGATCTCCTGAGGTTAGGAGTTCGAGATCAGCCTGGCCGGTATGGTGAAACCCCATCTCTACTAAAATACAAAAATAGCCCCCCGTGGTGGTGTGCATCTGTGGTCCCAGCTACTTGGGAGGCTGAGGTGAGAGAACTGTCTGGACCGGGGAGGCAGAGGTTGTAGTGAGCCGAGATTGCACCACTGCACTCCAGCCTGCCAGCCTTGGGGACAGAGCGAGACTCAGTCTCAAAAAAAAGGCCAAACCCAAAAAAAAAAAAAAAAAAAAAAGAAAAAGAAATTTGAATGTGATGATTTTCTTTTCTAAAATAGAGACTCTGACTTCATCAATGTTGTCCAACTTGATACTATTTCTATATTTTTAAGCAGCCAGATTAAACATATTAACTTCCCCATCCTGGGCTGCTTTTTGTCTCTCATGAACTGACTCCCACAAGATCTCCTTTGTCCTGCCCTTTTGCAGTTGACTTTGTGAATAAAGACGTCAGGCTTTAGGGTGAGACCTGTTTGGCGCTATTGTGCTGACCCCAGCTGTGAAAACGGCTTTGAGTCTGCTCCCGCCTTTGCTTGTGCTGTGCTTCCAGGGCCAAGCCTGAGAAGTGGGGCCCCTCTGTCTTGCTCATGGGGATGCCACTTGGCATGCCGTAGGCCACAGGGTGCATGGCCATTCCCAGCACGTGACCACGGCAGGTGCTCTAGTGGACGTGAGCAGCGACTCTGGTTGACACAGAGGCCACATCCAGGACACACTGGGGGGACGAGGGAAGAGCTGGGCGAGGCTCAGCAGTCC
This sequence comes from Homo sapiens, assembly GCF_000001405.40. Lineage (NCBI taxonomy): Eukaryota > Metazoa > Chordata > Mammalia > Primates > Hominidae > Homo > Homo sapiens. Next base: position 100,002,537 of record NC_000015.10, read on the forward strand.
TGCCCTGATGTCTCTACATCCGCCGTCACCTCGCTGACTTAAAAAGCCAGATCTGCGGGGAAACAGAGTCAAGAGGAACGTGGAAAAAGCAAAAATGTCATTCAAAAAGTTTTGTAGATTTAAGAGGCTTCCCACAAAAGTGATTTCTTGATTTGAGCAATTTGGAGAAATGGCCCTGGGAGGGGCACTGTTTTCACATGGGAGATTCCTGCAGAGCAGTGAGGGGCGGCTGGCTGTCCTGCCTCTTCTCTCCTTTGCTTCTTGTGCCAGAATGGAACATACCTCATGCATCCCTCCTTCCTGCTGTCCAGCCCTTTCCCGCGGAGTTCTTACAATCTCCCTCCTTGTCACAGCCCAGAGCCTCACAGGGGGAGGGTTACACAGCCCCCAGCACATGAGGTGTAGGTGCAGCCCACGGGTGCCGCCCTGCTCCTCAGCCAGGGATGCTCTGCCATTCACCCCTCCTCTGGGGCTGCCCCTGCCTCCCTCCTATGGTGCAATGGGCATCGCCAGATGGACTGATAAACTCTCATGTCCTGGGGCCCCTGGAATTCAAAAACAAGCTCCACCTGCCGAGAGCACAGCCTCCCAACCCCACCATGGGGGACCTCGAGTCTCCCCATAAGAGAGGAGCACAAATGCACTCACGACCATGGGTCCCACACCAGGCAGCTCAGGGCACAGCCCTTGCTCCACGCCCTTCCTTCTACTTCCCAGCTCCACCTGGGGTTCTAGATGTATAGTCAGAAATACGGCTCAGCCCACAGGAGCCACATAACCAGCCGGATCAGCAGTATACGAGGCTCACTGCTGCAGAGGAGGTGAACACGGGGCTGTGGGGGCCCAGGGAGGCGACTTGCTCTGCCTCAGGGTTGGGGAAGTGATGTCTGAGCTGAGTCTCAGTCAGCAGGGTTGGCCGCGAGTAAGCGAGGCCACTGTATCCTGTTTTACTCAGTTTTAAACTCTATCATCCAGTGTTAGAATGATGCATAGCCACTGAATGGCTATGTGGATAGATTAAAAAACGGTATGGTAAGATGTTTGCACACCTGTGTTCACAGCAGCATTATTCACAATAGCCAAAAGGTGGAAACGATGCAAGTGTCCATCAAAGGATGAATAAAGTGTAGTATATGCATACAAGGGAATATTATTTAGTTGTCAAAAAGGAGATTCTGATGCATGCTACAACATGGATGAGCTTCATGCCAAGAGAAAGAAGCCAATAACCAAAGGAGAAATCCTGTGCAATTCCACTTATGTGAGATCCCTGGAGCAGTCAGATTTATAGAGACAAAGTAGAATGATGGTTGCCAGGAGCTGAGGGGAAGGGGAATAGGGAGTGAGTGTTTAATGGGGGCAGACCTTCAGCTGAAGAAGATAGAAAAGTTCTGTGTTTGGATGGTGGTGATGGCTGCACAAGGTGAATGTACTTACTGCCACTGAACTGTACATTTACAAATGGTAAGATGGTAAATTTTATGTGTATTTTACCACAATTAAAAGAATGATGTCAGTGGGTGGTTAGAAGCAAGTTGTAAATCAGTGAAGAAAAGTCGCAGAAGCGAAGTGTTTCTTAAGCCGCAGGCAGCCGAAGGGGAGAGCAGAGCGCTGTGCCCGGGGTGCACACGTTCACACCTGCAGTGCAGGAGGAGCCGTCTACGGGGGTTGCTGTGTGGACTTTGTGTACAAGCACTCCGCAGCGTATTTTAGCTGTTTTTCAGCTAGACTTTTTGCTTCTGATCTTGACAAATCTCAATGAGGTATGGGCAGAAAATGACTTCCTTAAAACTTCTTTTTTTGGTGGCATAAAGAAATCATTTCACCCAACCCCCCCTGGCTCCAGGAGCCCACCTACGACACTTGAACGACACTGTGCAACTCACCACCACAGTCAAATCACGTTGACTTTAAATCCAGTAATTTGGGAAAGGAACTGTAGTTCCGTAAAACAATTTATATTCCAATTACATTGTAAGCCCTATTTTTTTCCACTAGTAAGCCCCAAAAAACTTTAACAGCAATATTTATTAGCCAAGTTTGAGGTAGCTGCTCTTCTTAAAAGCATGATACTGTAATTCTTTTTTTTTTTTTTTTTTTTTTGAGTGGAGTCTCACTCTGTTGCCCAGGCTGGAGTGCAATGGCGCAATCTCGGCGCACTGCAGCCTCCACCTCCCGAGTTCAAGGGATTCTGGTGCCTCAGCCTCCTGAGTAGCTGGCATTACAGGTGTGCTCCACCATACCTGGCTAATTTTTGTATTTTTAGTAGAGATGGGGTTTTCCCATGTTGGCCAGGCTGGTCTTGAACTGCTGACCTCCAGTGATCCGCCCGCCTTGGCCTCCCAAAGTGCCGGGATTATAGACATGAGCAACCACACCCCGCTCATTTTTGAAGTTTTAGTAGAGATGGAGTTTTGGCATGTATGCCAGGCTGGTCTTGAACTCCTGGCATCAAGTGATCTGCCTGCCTCGGCCTCCCAAAGTGCTGGGATTACAGGCATGAGCCACTACGCCTGGCTGAAACTGTAATTCTTTAGGAAGTCACAGTTAACGCTTCTCTAATTCAGGGCACCCCTTCTCCTGATCCTCCTGCGACTCTGCTTCCTTTCCTGCCTAGCACTGACTCAGTTCCTCTGCATATGCTTCAAGTTAAATCATCCTAATGAGATGCCTCAGGCAGCTCAGTGACCATATGAGACCCTGTATTCTTAGTGCTACTGTAACAAATTACCCCCAACTTAATGGCTCAAAATAACACAGATTTATTATCTTACAGTTCTGGAGGTCAGAAGTCTGGCATGAGTCTCTCAAATCTAAAACCAGGGTGCTGAGAGGGCTGGTTCCTCCTGGAGACTCCAGGGAAGAATCTGTCTCCTGCCTTTTCCAGCTCCATGCTGCCCCATTCCTTCTTTTCCAGCTCCACGCTGCCCCACTCCTTGGCTTGGGGCGTCTTCCTCCATCCTCAAGACCAGCAGTGGTGGGGGAGTGTTTCTCACACTGTGTCACTCCGACCTTCTCTTCTGCCTCATCTCCTACCTGGAAGGACCCTTGTGATGACCCCAGACTCACCCAGATAATCCAGAATAATCTACTTTAAGGCCAGCTGATTACCAACCCGATAATCAGTTGGCCTTAAAATTTGCCGATAAAAGGACTGCTAATAAAAGCATCACAACTGACTACCAACCTGTATTAGTTTGCTAGGATTGTCGATAAAAGTATCACGAATTGGGTGGCTTAAAACAACAGGAATCTATTCCCTCACAGTTTTGGAGGCCAGAAGTCCAAAACCATGGTGTCAGTGTGGCTGGTCCTCCCAAGGGCCCTGAAGGAGAACGTGTTCTGTGTCTCTCTCCTAGGTTCTGGTGGCGGCTGGGAAGCCTTGGTGTTCCCTGGCATGCAGAAGCATCACTCCAGCCCCAGCCCCAGCCCCAGCCCCAGCCTGCATCTTCCCACAGTGTCCTCTGTGTGTCTGTGTCCTTACATGACCCTCTTCTTATAAGGATACCTGTCATATCAGATCAGGGCCCAACCCTACTTCAGTATGATATCATTTTACCTAATTACATCTGCCACGACCCTGTTTCCAAATAAGGTCACATTCTGAGATACTGGGGGTTAGGACTTCAATAAAAGAATTTTGAAGAGGACACAATTCAATCCATACCACAACCTTAACACCATCTGCAACCTTAACTCCTCTTGGCCACACAGGAGGCCACATATTCTCAGGTTCTACGGATTAGAATGTGGACACCTGTGGGGCCGTTATTCTGCCAACCACACACTCACTGCATTCCCAATTCTGAAAAAACTCAGCTCCTATTTAAAATTCAATTTCTATTTACATCTTGATTTGGCTGAGATTTAAACTAGGTAAAGGCCTTGTGAGGTCTGCTGATGTGACAGTTGTTGCAAAGAAACAATGCCATCATCAGGGTCACACTTTTCTGACACAGTTATTTTATGTTGAATATAGAGGGAATCTCAAACGCAGGTAGCCAAAGAGAGAGCCCTGGTAGGTCGTTATTTTCAACAACTTTAAATTATCAAAAAACAGCATGAGATGTTGTATTCCAGCACAATCTGGGCTAACAAGTGGTTTGTCCAGGGGTCCAGTGTTAACTTTGTGCCTCCTCAGAATGGGCGCAAAAGAAGGCGCTGGTATCGACTGAGTGTCTAATCTGTGCCAATCTCTGTGCTAGGAATGTTCCCCACATTCACTCAGTTAATCAAAGTAAGGAAACAGGTGCCTGTATGTGATTCTCTGAGCATCTGTTAGAGACAGGCCAATTCCAGGCAGGGCATCAAGAAGTCAATCATACAACATGGCAGCATAAAAAGGGTGGCAAACACCGCCCAAGCTCCAGAAAATGCAGGCCAGGCCAAAGGAAGCAGCCACTGGCACGGTCAACCCGCTCAGTCTCAGCCTCTTTGTTCCCAGATACGTGAGTGTCAACCTCACGTTGAGTCCTGAACCAAGGGCTGGGACACCTGACTCAGTTTCCCCACCTTCACAAACCTCAGGCAAGTGTGTGGTCCTCAGGGGTGGGAGAAACATAAAAACAGACAATTTCTTTAACATCTGACAAGTGCTGTGAAGGAACTGGAGCTTGGGTTGGGTCCTGAAGGTCAAAGTGGAGCTGGTCAACCAAATAAGCGGGGCTCAGCATTCAGACGGAGGGAGCCTGCCCTCACAATGTCCAGGAGGTGGAGGGACTGTGGTGCAACTGACAAGTCTGGGATGTCTGGTCCACACCTTAAGGCTGGGGTGGGAGAGAGGTGGCCTTTGGTACACTCAGGAATCATGTGCCAGAGGGCAAGATGATGGCTTTCCCCAAGGCAGTGGTGGCAAGGGGACAACATGCCTTGGTAGAAGACTTTTTTTTTTTTTTGAGACGGAGATGGAGTTTCGCTGTTGTCACCCAGGCTGGAGTGCAATGGCACGATCTCGACTCACTGCAACCTTTGCCTCCTGGGTTCAACCGATTCTCCTGCCTCAGCCTCCCTGGTTGGAAGACTCTTAAAGGGTGGAGATGACAGCGTCTTTGGTATGTGGGGTCAAAGAGAGAAAGAAGGCAAGAAATGTCAGGCTCAGGACTCTGAGCCCAAGAATGTTGGTGGTACCTCCACTGAGAAGGAGCACCCGGGGAGGAGCTGGCCTGCGGTGGAAGGGTGGCGCTGCTTTAGAGGCCGGGTTGAGGGGCTACCGGGTGCAGTGTCAGGCAGGTCGGCAGGTGCAGTCTGCAGCTTGGGGTGCGGTCAGGTTGGAGACATAGGGCTGGAAAGTCATGAGCAAAGGAGGTCAAGGGGGAAACCAAAGGTAAGAAGGGATCATCCAGACAGCGCAGACACAGAGAAGACAGCTTGGAGGGCAGGGGCTTGGGGAGTGCAAGCACCTGGGGGGAATGACAGCCTCCAGAAGAGATGCAGAGGGGGTGACCGCCAGGTCAGGGATGCCGGGAAGGGACTGCACCTGTAGTGCTGGGGCCTGAAAGGCATCTTTGGATTTGGCAGCAGGGAAAGGCTGCTGGCCCAGAAGAGGCCTCAGGGGGAAGCAGGGATGGATGGGTGAAGGAGAGGGTGGTCCCAATGCCTCTTAAGAAACGTGGTCTGATGCTTGCTGAGTGGGCTCTGCAGACCCTCCCTCTTAGAGGGGCACTGAACTTTGGAAACCAGGCCTGCCCAGAGGTGCCTGGGAGTCGGAGGGGGTGTGTGGGGGCCTGTGAGCCTCTGGCCTAGTGTACTGTGTGAGGAAGAGGAGAGGACAAGGGGATTTCTGTGGCCAGGGGAAGCACCCAGGGTGACCAAGAGGTAGAAGCAGCCACTGAGAACAGGCTGCTGCAGACACATGGGAATGGGACCCTGCCCACAGGTGGTGCCTCATGGAAGAGTCATCGTGGGCCAAACAGTAGAGCCCGTGACTCATCAGAGGCAATATCCAAGATGGGGCAGCCAAGGGGAAGGAGGCCAGGGCCCGGGGGCCCAGGAGGACACCTGAGGGGAAGGCTTGGCCTTGGCCAGCGCTGGACTGCCATCTCCCCTTGGGGTCTGGTGACGAGCCTGGGCTGGTGGATTATGGCATCCTGACAAGGAGCCCAGCCTGAAGAGTGATCTCGTCCCTTCCTGTCCCAGGGAGACTTGGGCATCTGATCTGGAAAGCGAGATGGATCAGAGTTCTCACTTCTCATTTATTGTCTGCCCTGAGCCAGCCTGAAAAAACAGGCCCACACCTACCCCTGGTGGGTCAGCCCTGTGACTCTAACACACATGTGGTCACCCCTCCAGTTTGTGCCGTTTTTGTTTGTTCGTTTGTTTCTGAGACTGGATCTCACTCTGTCACTCAGTGTAGAGTGCAGTGGTGCAATCTTGGCTCACTGCAGCCTCGACCTCTTGGGGCTCAAGTGATCCTTCTACCTCAGCCTACTGCATAGCTGGGACGACAGGCGTGTGTCACCATGCCCGGCTAATTTTTTGATTTTCTGTAGAGACAAGGTCTCACTATATTGCCTAGCCTGGTCTTGAACTCCTGGGATCAAGCGATCCTCCCTTCTCAGCCTCCCAAAGTGCTAGGATTAGAGATGTGAGCCACTGCGCCTGGCATACCCTGTCCTTTTCTACCCGCTGTCTCATTCTCATGCCCACTGTAACTCCCAGAGGAAGAGGCATGAGACCTGCTGGTTTCCCTTTACAGAGGGAGAAAACAACTTGGAGAGGCAGCAAGACTGGCCTCGGGCTCCCCTATTCCTATGTAGGTGGGTCCTCTGTGCCTCAGTTCAGGGGCTTTCTTTTTTTATTCATATAATCCTACTTCCAGCACGGGTGCACCTGACTAGCCTCATCATGACCCTGAAAGTTCCAGGTGCCCACATACTGAAGTCAGACCTTCTCAAATTCTCAGAAGGACCTGGACAGACCCAGACTCAAGTCCTCACCCCACTGACTCCCCAGCTGTGCCACCTTGGGGGAGTCTGTGCTCAAGCCTCAGTTTCCTTCTTTGTGAGATGTTGCTCTCATGTCACAGGCTTGTTGGAGGCGTGACTCAGGTGACCTCTACCGAGCACTCAGCCCAGGCCTGACACTCCACAGGCCCGATCAACCCCAGCTTATTACAACTGTTGTGCCCGTTACTCTCCATCCAGACATCGGTCTTGTTAAGAGGAGTTGCTGTTCCCCCAAAGCCCTCTGGAATGGACAGTCTATGTGGACGGTCCGAACCAAAACAGAGATGGTCACATTCATCTTAATTTTTTTTTCTAACTTTCAACAGATTTACATGATTTAGACATGAGGGACAGAACACTCACAGCTGAAGGCCTCTGAGTACTGAATCCTATTTTGGATTTACCTGCTCTGAGCTTTGAGTTTGATATGGTTTGGCTGTGTCCTCACCTGAATCTCATCTTGAATTGTAGCTCCTATAATTCCCATGTGTCGTGGGAGGGACCTGGTGGGAGGTAACTGAATCATGAGGGTGGTTTTTTTCCCGTGCTGTTCTCAAGATAGCGAATAAGTCTTGAGATCTGATGGTTTTATAAAGGGCAGTTCCCCGGCACATGCCTTCTTGTCTGCCACCATGTAAGATGTGCCTTTGTTCTCTTTTGGCTTCTGCCATAACTGTGAGGCCTCCCCTGCCACGTGCAACTGCGAGTCCATTAAACCTCTTTCCTTTATAAATTGCCCACTCTCGGGTATGTCTTTATTAGCAGCATGAGAACAGACTAATACAGGGTTCCTCACCCATAAATCAGGGGCAAGAGCAGTGGGCGTGTGTGTGAGGACTGAATGATAAGTAAATATATTGGGCATGGGGAAATCAGGAGGTGCCTGCACAGGGGATGCTCCAGGCATGCACATCCCTTCCTTCTCTCCGTGGTGCAGGACCAGGGAGAAAGCAAGCACTCTGTTCTGCTTTGCTGTGGGAGGCAAGGCCCTTCCCAGTGCACCTGCAACACTGTTCTCCACGTGTGCTGCGAGCCTATGGGTGAGAGGCTGTGGCAGGAGCTGGCCAGCCAAGAGGCCATGCTCCCAGGCCCTTCCCAAAAAAGACCAGCGTCAGAGGTTCCTGTCTGCCTGAGACTGGGTCCCTCTCACAGCTCCTGGCAGATGACAGCCAGCAACTCTGTTACGAGAACAACCAAAACACAGCTTTAACATGTGCCATGCATAGTCCTGAAGACCTGTGGCTGCTTTTATTGAACAGATGTCTGCAAAGGAGTGAGGTGAGGAGGTACAACTGGGACTTTACTAGCTGGGCTGCAATGTTCTCCCAGGGGACCCAGAGGGACGCTTTACAGGCACACGTGAGGCTTCCATGCAGCCTTTCTCCATTTAAAACTCGAGAATTATGAGTTCTCATATACATTTCCCTGAAAAGTAATATTATTCCCATATTTGCTTTTTGAAAGAGGAAATGAAAATCTACAGCACACTGTGAGGAGCACGGCACCATCTGTGAATGTGCGCGTCTCCGGAAGCCGGCGGTTCTACGTGCAGAGAGGCCCCGCGACGCAGACAACGTTGTCTTTTGCTAACAGTGAGGACTACTGAGAAACCACTTTCAGCCTTAAATCCTGTATAAAAAACACTGATTTTGAGGCTTCAGTTAATTAGTTCAACCCCAAGAATCGAGATGGGTGATCAGCCAGGGTCTTTCCATGTTTTCCTGAAAAAATTCTTGGGCCATGATGGTTAGTTCTCATTTGCTGGGGAAAGAGACAGAAAGGAAGGAAGGAAGAAGGGAGGGAAGTAAAGGAGGAGGGAGGGGAGGGAAGGAAAGGAGGGATGGGAGGGAGGGAGGGAAGGAAAGGAGGAGGGACGGGAGGGAGAGAAGGAAAGGCAGTAAGGACAGAAGGGAGGGAAGGAAGGAGGAAAGGAAAGAAGAAAGGGAGGAATGAGGAAAGGAAAAGAAGGAAGGAAGGAAAGGAGAGAACAAAGGCAGGCAGGAAGATTTTCAACACTTTGCTATTATAAAATATGGTTTAAGGGAAAGTATTTCTAAAATAGATTCTCTAGTTATTATACCAGCTAAGCCTTTTTCAGAGCTTCCTATGTGCCAGGCAATGTTCTAAGCACTTTATATGATTCAACTTATTTGATCCTTGCATTGATCCTATAAAGATCCATTCTATAGGTGAGGAAACTGAGGCACAGTCTCCAATCTCACTCAGGTTGCTGCAAATGCCATTAATTCGTTCTTGTTTATGGCCAAGTAGTATTCCATCATATAAATATACCACAGTCTCTTTATCCACTTGTTGACTGATGGGCATTTGGGTAGGTTCCAAGATTTTGCAATTGTGAATTGTGCTGCTACAAACATGCAAGTATCTTTCTTGTATAATGACTTCTTTTCCTGTGGGTACATACCCAGTGGTGGGATTGCTGGGCCAAATGGTAGTTCTACTTTCAGTTCTTTAAGGAACCTATACACTGTTTTCCATAGTGGCTGTACTAGTTTACAGTCCCATCAGCAGTGTAGAAGTGTTCCCTGATCACGGCATCCATGTCAACATCTACTGTTTTTTGATTTTTTGGTTATGGTCATTCTTGCAGTAGTAATGGGGTATCGCATTGTGGTTTTGATTTGCATTTCCCTGATCATTAGTGATGCTGAGCATTGTTTTCATATGTTTGTTGGCCTTTTGTATATCTTCTTTTGAGAACTGTCTATTCATGTCCTTTGACCACTGTTTGATGCAATTGTTTTTATTCTTATTGTTTTGAGTTCATTGTAGATTTTGGATATTAGTCCTTTGTCAAATGTATACATCGTGAAGATTTTCTCCCACTCTGTGGGTTGTCTGTTTACTCTGCTGTTCCTTTCACCATGCAGAAGCTCTTTAGTTTAATTAAGTCCCAACTATTTATCTTTGTTTTTATTATGGTTGCTTTTTAGTTCTTGGTTATGAAATCCTTGCCTAAGCCAATTTCTAGAAGGGTTTTTCCAACGTTATCTTCTAGAATTTTTATAGTTTCAGGTCTTAGATTTAAGTCCTTAATCCGTCTTGAGTTGATTTCTGTTATTAGGTGAGAGATGAAGATCCAGTTTCATTCTCCTACATGTGTCTAGCCAATTATCCCAGCACCATTTGCTGAAAAGGGTGTCCTTTCCCCACTTTATGTTTTTGTTTGCTTTGTCGAAGATCAGTTGGCTGTAAGTATTTGGGTTTATTCTGGGTTCTCTATTCTGTTCCATTGATCTATGTGCCTATTTTTATACCAGTACCATGCTGTTTTGGTGACTACGGCCTTATAGTATAGTTTGAAATCAGGTAGTGTGATGCCTCCAGATTTGTTCTTTTTGCTTAGTCTTGCTTTGGCTATGCAGGCTCTTTTTTGGTTCCATATGAATTTTAGAATTGTTTTTTTCTAACTCTGTGAAGAATGATAGCAGTATTTTGATGGGAATTGCATTGAATTTGTAGATTGCTTTTGGCAGTATGGTCATTTTCACAATATTGATTCTACCCATATGTGAGCATGGGATGTGTTTCCATTTGTTTGTGTCATCTATGATTTCTTTCAGCGGTGTTTTATAGTTTTCCTTGTAAAGGTCTTTTGCCTTCTTGGTTAGGTATATTCCTAAGCATTTTATTTTTTTGCAGCTATTGTAAAAGGGGATGAGTTCTTGATTTGATTCTCTGCTTGGTCGCTTTTGGTATATGGTAGAGCTACCAATTTGTGTACATTAATCTTGTTTCTGGAAACTTTGCTGAATTCTTTGATCAGTTCTAGGAGCTTTCTGGAGGAGTCTTTAGGGTTTTCTAGGTAAACGACCATACTGTCAGCCAACAGTCACAGTTTGACTTCCTCTTTACCAATTTGGATGCCCTTTATTTCTTTCTCTTGTCTGATTGCTCTGGATAGGACTTCCAGTACTATGTTGAAGAGGAGTAGTGAGAGTGGGCATCCTTGTCTTGTTCCAGTTCTCAGACAGAAAGCTTTCAACTTTTCCCCATCAGTACTGTGTTGGCTGTGGGTTTGTCATAGATGGCTTTTACTACATTGAGGTATGTCCCTCGCATGCCGGTTTTGCTGAAAGTTTTAATCATAAAGCGATGCGGGATTTTGTCAAATGCTTTCTCTGCATCTATTGAGATGATCATGTGATTTTTGTTTTAAATTCTATTTATGTGGTGTATCACATTTATTGACTTGTGTATATTAAATCATCCCTGCATCCCTGGTATGAAATCCACTTGATCATGGTAGATTATCTTTTTGATATGTTGCTGGATTCAGTTAACTTGTATTTTGTTAAGGATTTTAGAATCTATGTTCATGAAGGATATCGGTCTGTAGTTTTCTTTTTTGGTTATGTCCTTTCCTGGTTTTGGCATTAGGGTGATGCTGGCTTCATAGAATGAATGAGGGAGGGTTCTTTCTTTCTCTATTTTGTGGAATAGTGTCACAAGGAATGGCACCAATTCTTCTTTGAATGTCTGGTAGAATTCTGCTGTGAATCTGTCTGGTCCTGGATTTTTTTTTGTTGGTAACTTTTAAATTACCATTTCAATCTCGCTGCTTGTTATTGGTCTGTTCAGGGTATGCAATTCTTCCTGATTTAAGCTAGAAGGGTTGTATTTTTCCAAGAATTTATCTATCTCTTCTAGGTTTTCTAGTTTATGTACATAAAGATGTTCACAGTAGCCTTGAATAATCTTTCACATTTCACTGGTATCAGTTGTAATATCTCCTATTTTATTTCTTAATGAGGTTATTTGGATTTTCTCTCTTCTTTTCTTGGTTACTCTTGCTAAAGGTCTACCAATTTTATTTATCTTTTCAAAGAACCAGCTTTTTGTTTATCTTTTTTTAAATTCAATTTCATTTAGTTCTGCTCTGATCTTGGTTATTTCCTTTCTTTTGCTGGGCTTGTTCTTGTTTCTCTAGTTCCTTGAGGTGTGACCTTAGAATATCAGTCTGTGCTCTTTCAGTCTTTCTGATGTAGATGTTTAGGGCTGAGAACTTTCCTCTTATCACTGCCTTTGCTGTATTCCAGAGATTTTGACAGGTTGTGTCATTACTGTCGTTCAGTTCTAAGAATTTTTAAATTTCCATCTTCATTTCCTTTTTGACCCGATGCTCATTCGGGAGCAGGTTATTTAATTTCCACGTATTTGCATGATTTTGAAGGTTCCTTTTGGAGTTGATTTCCAGTTTTATTCTACTGTGGTCTGAGAGAGTGCCTGATATAATTTCAATTTTCTTAAATTTATTGAGGCTCATTTTATGGCCTACCATACGGTCTATCTTGGAGAAAGTTCCACAAGCTGTTGAATAGAATGTGTATTCTGCAGTTGTTGGATGAAATCTTCTGTATATATCTTTTAAGTCCATTTGTTCCAAGGTATAGCTTAAATCTATTATTTCTTTGTTGACTTTCTGTTTTGATGAACTGTCTAGTGCTATCAGTGGAGTACTGAAGTCCCCCACTATTATTGTGTTGCTCTCTATCTCATTTCTTAGGTCTATTAGTAATTGTTTTATATATTTGGAAGCTCCAGTGTTAGGTGCATATATGTTTAGGATTGTGATATTTTCCTGTTGGACAAGACCTTTTACCATTATATGATGTCTCACTTTGTCTCTTTTAACTGCGGCTGCTTTAAAGTTTTTTTCGTCTGATACGAGAATAGCTACCCCTGCTCACTTTTGCTGTCTATTTGCATGAATTGCCTTTTTCCACCCCTTTACTTTAGTTTATGTGAGTCTCCTGAAGGTAGCAGATGGTTGGTTGGTGAGTTCTTACCCATTCTGTGGTTCTGTATCTTTTCAGTGGAGCATTTAGGCCATTTACATTCAATGTTCCTATTGGGATGTGAGGTACCGTTGCATTTGTCATGCTATTTGTTGCCTGTGTACCTTGCTTTTTTTTGTTTTTCTTTTTGTTTTTTAACTTGTATTTTTGTTTTAAAGGTCCTGTGTGATTTATGCTTTAAAGAGGTTCTGTTTTGATGTGTTTCCGGAATTTGTTTCAAGATTTAGAGCTCCTTTGAGCAGTCCTTGTAGTGGTGGCTTGGTAGTGGCGAATTCTCTCAGCATTTGTTTGTCTGAAAAAGACTGTATCTTTCCTTCATATATGATGCTTACTTTTGCTGGAAACAAAATACTTGGCTGATAATTGTTTTGTTTGAGGAGGCTGAAGATAGGGCCCCAATCTCTTCTAGCTTGTAGGTTTTCTGCTGAGAAATCTGCTGTTAATATGATAGGTTTTCTTTTATGGGTTACCTGGTGCTTCTGTCTCACAGCTCTTAAGATTCTTTCCTTCATCTTAACTTTAGATTACCTGATGACAATGTGCCTAAGTGATGATCTTTTTGCGATGCATTTCCCACGTGTTCCTTGTGCTTCTTGTATTTGGATGTCTAGGTCTCTAGCAAGGCTGGCGAAGTATTCCTCCATTATTCCCTCAAATATATTTTCCAAACTTTTAGATTTCTCTTCTTCCTCAGGAACACTGATTATTCTTAGGTTTGGTTGTTTAACATAATCCCAGACTTCTTGGAGGCTTTGTTCATACTTTCTCATTCTTGTCTTTGTTGGATTGGGTTAATTCAAAGACCTGTCTTCGAGCTCTGAGAATTACTTTCTTCTACTAGTTCAATCCTATTGCTGAGACTTTCCAGAGGATTTTGCATTTCTGTAAGTGTGTCCAATGTTTCCTGAAGTTTTGATTGTTTTTTCTTTATGCTATCTATTTCCTTGAATATTTCTCCCTTCACTTCTTGTATCGTTTTTTGGATTTCCTTGCAGTGGGCTTTGCCTTTCCCTGGTGCCTCCTTTATTAGCTTAATAATTAACCTCCTGAATATTTTTTCAGGTAAATCAGAGATTTCATCTTGGTTTGGATCCATTGCTGGTGAACAAGTGTGAGTTTTTTGGGGGTACTAAAGAGACTTGTTTTGTCATATTACCAGAGTTGGTTTTCTAGTTCCTTCTCATTTGGGCAGACTCTGTCAAAGGAAAGGTCTAGGGCTGAAGGCTGTTGTTCAGATTCTTTTGTCCCATGGGGTGTTCCCTTGATGGAGTACTCTGCCCCTTTTCCTATGGATATGGCTTCCTGTGAGCCGAACTGAAGTGATTGCTGTCTCTCTTCTGGGTCTAGCCACCCAGCAAGTCTACCCGGCTCCAGGATGGTATTGAGGCTTGTCTGCACAGAGTCCTGTGATGTGAACCATCTCTGGGTCTCTCAGCTGTAGATACCAGCACCTGTTCCAGTGTAGGTGGCAGGGGAGTGAAATGGACTCTGTGAGGGTTCTTAGCTTTGGTGGTTTAGTATTCTATTTTTGTGCTGGTTGGCCTCCTGCCAGGAGGTGATGCTTTCCAGAGAGCACCAGCTATGGTAGTATGGAGAGGGATCAGTGGCAGGTGGGGCCCTAGAACCCTCAAGATTATATGCCATTTGTCTTCAGTTACCAGGGTGGATAGGGAAGGCCCATTCAAGTGTGGGCAGGGGTGGACGCGTCTGAGCTCAGACTCTCCTTGGGCTGGTCTTGCTGTGGCTGCTATGGGGGATGGGGTTGAGGTTCCCAGGTCAATGGAGTTGTGTACCTAGGAGGGTTATGGCTGCCTCTGCTGAGTCATGCAGGTTGTCAGGGAAGTGGGGGAAAGCCGGCAGTCACAGGCCTCACCCAGCTCCCACGCAATCCAAAGGGCTGGTCTCACTCGCAACGTGCCCCCTCAACAGCCCCGAGTCTGTTTCCAGGCAGTGGGCAAGCTAGGCTTGAGAACTTGCCCCAGGCTATCTGCCTCCCAGCTGTGAAAGAAAAGGGCTTGTTTCTGCCCCCACCTGTGGAATCTGCACACTGGATTTGTGCCCTCCCCCCAAGTTCTGGCCAGGAGGCTTCTTGCCCGGTTCAAATTATTACATAGTTCAGCTGGAGACTTCCTTCTCCCTGTGGTGTTCAGCCTCTCCTCTGGCCTCCCTCCCGATGGATCCCTGTGGTGCCAGGCAGGAATGGCCTGCTTGGGGACCCAGGGAGCTCCCAGGGCCTTTCCCGCTGCTTCCTCTACTTCTGTATTTCACTCGACTCTGTAAACTAACTCAGCTCCAGGTAAGGATGGAAACTTCCCCCGAAAACAGACCTTCATTTTCTCCAGTGGGGGTGTATGTTTGGGAGAGGATGCTCTCCCTTTCCCACTTCCACAGTTTGGGCACTCACAGTATTTGGAGTGTCTCCTGGGTCCTGCAGGAGCAGTCTGCTTCCTTCAGTGGGTCTGTGAGTCCTCTTGGGGTTGCTGGCTTGTTCTTGCAGGTTCTAGATTATCACCATCATCACACAGACTTCCTATTATGTCTTTTTTGATTATAGTCATGCTAGTAGGTGTGAAGTGGTATTTCATTATGTGTGTTTTTTTGTCGTGGTAAAATATACATAATGAAATTTACCATCAAATCCATTTGTAAGCTGTACAGTTCAGTGACATTAAGTATATTTAAATTATTGTATAGACACCAACCCCATCCATCTCTAAAGCTTTTCATCTTCCTACACTGAAACTCGGTGCCCACTAAACAATAACTCCCTATTTCCTGCTCTCCCTAGCTCCTGGCAACCACCATGCTACTTTCTGTTTCTGTGAATTCACTACTCTAGATGCCTTATATAAGCGGAATCATACAGTATTGTCCTTCTGTGACGGGTTTTCACTTAGCGTAATGTCCTCAATGTGCATCTGTGTCGTAGCCTGTGTCAGCATTCTTTTCTTTTGTAAAGCTGAACATACAAATCAACTAAGAGAAGACAAATTGCCTAATCAGATAATGGGCAAACAATAAAAGAAAAAAATCACTTAAGAAGAAATATAAATATCTCCCGATATGGGTTGGCTCTGGGCCCTCACCCAAACCTCATGCTAAATTGTAATTCCTCGTGTTGGAGGAGGGGCCTGGTGGGAGGTGATTGGATCATAGGGAGGATTTCCCCTTTGCTGTTCTCATGATACTGAGTAAGTTCTCAGGAGATCTGGTTGCTTAGAAGTGTGAACCACCTCCCACTTCTCTCTCTTCCTCCTGCTCCAGCCAGGTAGGAAGTGCCTACTTCTCTTTTGCCTTCTGCCATGAGTGTAAGTTTCCTGAGGCCTCTCCAGCTGTGCTTCCTGTACAGCCTGCAGAATTGTGTGCCAATGAAGCCTCTTCTCTTTTACATTATCCAGTCTCAGGTAGTTCTTTGCAATGTGACAACAGACTAATACATCCCCCAAACATCTGAAAATATTCAACCTCACCACAGAGCAGGGGAATTTAAAAACCAAATGAGGACGTGCCCTTTCACATCTATCAGACTGACAACACTAAAAATATGTGACTAAGCCACATTTGGCCATGATGGGAGAAATGTTCTCACACGGTACTGGTGAGATGCTATCTACAGGTAACCCCTTTGGAGTAAAGCTCAAGTTATGTATAACCTATGCCTTATTCCACTTCTAGGGATACAGTTTCTTACACATGTGCCCAAGAAAACCAGAAAACGACATTCACTCCATAATTGTATAAACCTCAAATGGCAATCCACCTACGTGTCCATCGATGGCAGAATGAATAAATGTGTAAGACGAAATCATATAGAAAACGAATGCCAAAGAGCTACAGCAGCAACACGGCGAGTTCCCAGGGGCAAGACAGATGTACATACCCTAAGAGACTATTTAAGACACAACAAACAATACTCTCTTCTGTTTGTGGATATATACATATATAGTGCAAGTTTGAAAATTTGGGTGGGATGAGATGCATACATACCAACAGGGGAAAGGAGGAGAACGGGACTAGGGAGGGTCAAAAAGGACTTCCAACGTATCTGTAACATATTATGACTTAACGGATGTGAAATGAATACAGCGATTGTAAAGATTTGTTAAAACTGGGAAGTGGAGACGTGTTTATTAGTTAATCTCGGTACTTTTCTGTACCATGAAAATTTTTATAAGAAAAATACTTACAGAAGCTATAGTCAGGCTGGTATGTACTAACTGACCTTGGCTGCAGTGAGTGGTTGAGACCACGGGCAACTGAACATGTGCTACCCGGTGTATGACCACACCTGCGCTCCAGCCCACTGAGGCCAAATGTTGCCACGCCGTTCATTTTTAAAAGTAAGGCTGAAAATCCAGAGTCTTACTGCAATCTCCTGATTTAAAAATGTTGGAAATGAATCCTAAAACCTTAAGACGCCTGTGTGGGCCAAGCTACGTCTGCTGTGGAATTTGGCCCTGTGGCCTCTAGTCTAGGACTTTACACTTTCCTATCCTGAAGCAGCAGCTGCCGTGGTTCTGAGCCTAAGCTCCAACAGCCAGATGCCCATCTCCCTCCAGCTCACACTTGGAGATGATTCTGCACCACTGGCCTGCACACGGGTCCTTGTCATTGCTTTCTTTGTTTTGATCACCAAATTCCTACTACTCACACATGCTAACTTAACAGGTTAGCCCCAAGCCTCTTGTCCTAAGATTTGGAAAAAAAAGACTCCCAAAGCATAATGACGTGGCATAGTTTTCCCAGGACAGCAGCCGGAATCGTACCCATCAGAAATAAACACCAAAGTCCTGAACCAAGTAGGCTGCAGAAAACACCCAGGGGACGGATTAACACCAGTGGGAGGCCCTGCCCTGCTGGCCCAGCTGCCCGGCCCCACAAAATTATTCAATGTGAAAACACACAAGCAGACCTCCCCAGCATTCCACCCCCGCTGCTGCTCCACTTTGGACATGAAAATATTCAGAATTTGACAAGGATCTCAGAAAATGTCCTGGGGCAAGGTAGGGAGGTGCTCAGCAGTCTGAGTGAGGCAGCTCGCTTGTCCTGTAAGGGCGACACAGGGGAAGCGCTCCCTCAGCAACTGTGTTCGAAGGGGCAGAGGCAGGGCTCCAACAGGACTGAGCTGGCTGCCTGGGGCTCTGGCATGCAGCTTTACGAGCAAGGGAATTCACAGCTCTGCCTGAATCCCCACCCACAACTACCTTTAACTGCAAGCTGCAGGTTCACTCCCTGACTCCCCCAGAGCCATCAGGAGCCAGCCAGGCCCCTGACAACAAGCTGCAAGGTGACCCTCCGTGGGTCTATTTTGAGTTCCTGGTGCCTCTCAACATGCTGCTGCTAAGTTAGAAGCAGTGACCCTGGTAGTTATGGCTTATAAAGTCCATGTTCATGGTGAACTTGAAAAGAGGTTTCCCAGGGGCAACAGACATCCAGGCTAGAGCCATGTGGAGACGGCTGAGGCCCAGGGCGCCCATCCTGACCCAGTGGCTGGCGTTCGGCTGTGTCTATCTCCATGCACTGACTCAAGTGACTAAGGGTGTTTGGAGACCATGACGTGTCATAATCATCTTTAGTACAGATGACAGCTTTGTCACTGGCAGCCTCTCCTCCTCATTTTCTCCTGCTTCCTCCTGGGCTTCTCCAGTGCTGGGAGCTTCGCTGTTCTCCCCTCCACTTCTCTATCTCCTTCCTCCCCCATTTTCTAAGCTAGCTTGGCTCTTTCCTTGGTTCAGTCTGTGGCTTCTTCCCTCTCATGGCTCACTTACAAATAACTGTTTGAGGACCTTATCTATGCCATGTTCCTTCAGATACTAGGGAACAGGGCATAGGGGACCCCTGACTCTCCACCTGGGAGGCTTCAGGCCGATGTGTTCACCAGCCTAGAGGATAGCAGGGAGTCCCACCAGGCCTGTGGTTCTGGGTGGGTGTGCGTGTCACAGACCACTCTGCTAGTCCCCATCACTGAAGCCTAGTGGCCACTTCCTTTCCAAAGACCAGACATGCAGGGTTAGGATCTGGGCGTCATCTTGGACTGCTCTCTGTGCCACGTTCAAGCAACCACTAAGTCCCACCAAGCCAACCACCACGAAGGATCTCAAATCTGCCTTCCCCTCCCCATATCCATGGCCACCCTTCGCTAGGGTGCCATAACAGTCTCCTAACTGCACTGCCTCCCCAAAAACAAACATGTAATCTCTTTTCCCTTCCAAGTAACCTATGCTTCTCTGCCACAGCTCCAGTCTGAAACTTTCGACGGCTCCCTAGTACCTAATGCCTTCCATATCCTGAGCCCAGCATTCCGGTCCCAGCCAGTCTGATGATTTACTCATTCGTTCAGTCCACGCTCCTTCATAGTGCCACCCAAGGACTGCAGCTGTTTTCAGGAATATATGCAGAGAAACAAAAATAAGACTCTGGACTAAGAAAAAGAAGTACCAGGGTAGATGAAGGTAAGGGGAACAAGCCTTGTCGCCCTGGCCCTGGCCAGCCACATGTGCTCCTCCCTCCCAGGCTGTTGGCTGTTCCTTCACTCAGACATGCTGGCACCGGTCCCTCTGCCTGCACGCCCTCCTCATTTCTCGGTTGGCCAATGTCAAGCGCCTGCTCCTCCACAGGTCCTAGATGTTCTCTCTTCCACTGCTGGCTCATCTGAGGCTCTCCAAATGGCCTAAATGATACCGTTCCTGCCAAGACTATCCTGACCTTGCTATGGCTTGGGTGCTCCTAGGAGTCAAGAGGCTCAGATCTAGTTCGGGCTCCCAGGCTAAGTCTTTGTTGACCTTGGCTACTAAACTTCCCCGGGCTCAGTTTTTCCATCTGTGAAATGGGTTGAAACTCATTTGTTTCTCACGTGGATGTGCCAACGATTGATCCTATATGGTCAATCTGTTATCACCCAGTGTCCCCTTCTGGATGGATGCAGGCCCCCAGCAGGCATATCACAGAGCAGTCCAGGAGCTGCGTGCACCACAACCCCATGTGCTGACTTAGCCACAGCCCCCACCTCCTCCTCGGCGGTGGACCCCACTAAGGCAGCGTGTGCTGAGTCCACCCTAAACCTCGGCTCTGGCACACTGGAGAGAAAGTTCGTATTAATGTTGCTGGCCAATAAAACAACCAGCAGTTTCCTATAAAAAGTGACAGTGGGATAAGTCTACATTAAAATATTCATGCCCTTTATTTCACATCACAAAAAGATTCAAACACCCCAACCAAACGCAGTTACAGCAGCTGCCGGGCAGATGTTCTTCAGGCAGGCAAATGAGACACAGTAATTAGTCTCAATTAAGTTACCAGTAAATTATGTAACGGAGACCTTTAGCCACCCAGCCCTGACAGGTTTGCTGAGCCAAAGGCAGTGAACCCGGTCCAAAACTATTTAGAAACTCTGGATTGCTTTGGATAATTCATGTTCTGAGTAAATTACAGAGAGTCTTGGCATGGGAGGAATAATGAATACCGTAACCACTTTCAACTGAAAATAATAATTTGTTAATAATTTTAATAGCTAATGAGCTACAGAAACCACGTCCGTAAGCCTTCCAAGCAGAAAGGAAGGAGATTCATTTTATTTCTGGCTGTATGAAGCTGATGGCATTCACTCATCCATATGCTTTTGAGACTTTTGCTCAGCAAGTATCTTGTCACATGATCTGTTTTCACCGGAGCACTGCTTCTTCTTGAATTTTCAAAAACAGTTTCCTAAAGGTCTGCTCTGCAAAGATGTTTCTGTCTAATCGGGCTTTAAGGATTTCTCAGCAAGAGGCACACAGGAGACTGGCTGGCTGCCATTCTGCCTTCAAGACCCTGAGAAAAGAGACTCTTCCATCAAGTCTTGTTGAACCAAGTTGTGTGATGTTTTCCCTTGTCAACTTTTGTTTTTAGGTGAACAAAATAAAAAAATTTTTTTTTTTTTTGAGACGGAGTTTCACTTTTGTTGCCCAGGATAAAGTGCAGTGGTGTGATCTTGGCTCACTGCAACCTCTGTCTCCTGGGTTCAAGTGATTCTCTTGCTTCAGCCTCCTGAGTCGTTGGGATTACAGGTGCCTGCCACCACGCAGGGCTAATTTTTTTTTTTGTATTTTTAGTAGAGACGGCGTTTCACGTTGGTCAGGCTGGTCTCGAACCTCCTGACCTTAGGTGATCTGCCTGCCTCGGCCTCCCAAAGTGGTGGGATTACAGGGGTGAGCCACTTTGCCTGGCCAAGAAAATTTTATTCACAGAATTGTAGAGAATATCCCACTCCCTGGTGAAATAACTGTATTTGGGGCCACTCAGAGTCCAGATTTCCTCTCTTCATCCACAAAAGCCTGGTCACATCTTGCTGTGGATGGTCCTTGTCCAAGTCCTTGCCTTCTCCCTATCTCTTCTGAAAGTCAGACTCTAGCACAGAGCCTCGTGCTTCTTAAGGACCTCATGAATGTCTTCTAAATTTAATTAAATTCCATGGTTCTCTATGAAGAAAACTGACAAGTGACCTGGAGCTTACAAAAATGATCTTTGCGCTGATCTCCAGGGCATCTTGGGCTATTCTCACTCACTTTAGTTTATCTCTTCTATTGCCGTATTTTCTGCTTAGTAGAACTTATAAATTTAATTCATGCACATTGTAGAAAATCTGGAAAGTACAAAAAATAGCGAGAGAACCAAAGGACACACATGATCCTAGTCTTTCTTCCTAAACATCTTCCTTTGATGTTGATGTCATACCACAAATCTTTGTATACTGTGCATCGCTATTGATAGCGAAGCAATTCCTATGCAATCAAAAATCTTTTCTAAAGGTTGATTTTTTTTTGTTGTTGTTGTTGAGATGGGGTCTTGCTCTGTCACCCAGGCTGGAGGGCAGTGGTACAATTCAGCTCAGTACAGCCTCGAACTCCTGGGCTCAAGCAATTCTCCTGCGTCGGCCTCCCGAATAGCTGGGACTACAAGCACATGTCACTGTAACTGGCTAATTTAAAAAATTTTTTTTGTAGAGATGTTGTCTCATTTTGTTGCCCTGGCTGGTCTCAAACTCCTGGCTTCAAGCAGTCCTCCCACCTTGGCCTCCCAAAGTGCTAAAGATTAACTTTTTAATGCTTGCATATTACTCTGTCATATAGATAGAGCCATACATTACTGAACCAGTGCATACCTGGTCATTTGGGTAGGTGCCCATTTTGTCCATATTTTGGATGATTTCCACAGGGTACAAATGGAAGTCCTGGATCCAAAGTGTTGAGCAACATCATTCAGAGGGCCAGGGAGGAGTGCTTGGATCTCTCCGTGATGGGGATCTCATTACACTATGACCCGGCCATGCCTGACCCACTAGCCTGTTGGGTATGCTTGTTCTCTAGTGACGATGCTTTACATTTGTGAAGGCTTTACATTGTGAAGGGGCAAGGTTTCCAAAAGTCCTCCTATGTATCCCTTGTGTCTTCTTTCTGCCTATGCATGTAGCCCTTCAGCTGTTCCTTAAGAGGCAGCAGTGTCCAGGCTACAGTCCCTCCACCCCACTCCCCTGCTTTGGATGTTCCCTGCCGGTCAATGTTTCCTTAGCACGTGACCTTGACAAATACATGTCTAGTTGCAATGTGACCTGCTTCAAGTAAATAAACAATAAGAACCACACTAACTGGACCCTTCTATATGCCAGATGTTGTGTGCTTTAGTCTTCACTTGATTCCCAATTAGATAAGCGGGGAGCTCCTGTGAAGTAACCTGCTCAGGATCACACAGTCAGGGAGATCGGTCTTGGGTTGAGAGTGGTACGCTAATGTTGTCTCCTATAGCCAATACATTTCTCTCTGTATCTCCTGTAGTTTATACTTTATATAAATGGCTGCTGTGTTATTTGAAGCATAAATATTCATAACTGTTATATTTTCATTATAAATTAAGACTTTTAATGTAAGTTTCCTTGCCACATTTAATGCTTTTTGGCTTGAAGTCTATTTTGTCTAAAGTTAGGATTGCTACCTCTGCTCTCTTACTGTTTTTGCTTCCCTGGAATACCTTTATTTTTAGCCTTTTTGAATCGGTTTCTTTTAGGTGTGTTTTTTTGCATACAGCATATAGTTGGGTCTTTGTGAGCCAATTTGACAATCTTTTTCTCTTCTTTTCTTTTCTTTTTTTTTTTTTTTGAGACAGACTTTCACTCTTTTGCCCAGGCTGGAGTGAAGTGGCGTGATCTCGGCTCACTGCAACCTCCACCCCCAGGGTTCAAGCAATTCTCCTGCCTCAGCCTCCCCAGTAGCTGGGATTATAGGCACTCGCCACCACGCCCAGCTAATTTTTTTGTATTTTTAGTAGAGACAGGGTTTCACCACATTGGCCAGGCTGGTCTCGAACTCCTGACCTCAGGTGATCTGCCAGCCTCGGCCTCCCAAAGTGCTGGGATTACAGGCGTGAGCCACCACGCCTTTTCTTTCAGAAAAAGAAAATTTTTTTCTTTTAACCAGTAAGCTAGGCCAATTCCAATACACTTGATCTCAACTTTGTAGTAGTATTTAATTATAATTACTGTGTATATTTTATTGTGTTTTCTGTGTTTTTTAGATGTTATTTCTTTACTGTTTATTTATTTTTTGGTATCTATAGGTTTTTGTTTTTGTTTTACTCCAACCATTTTTGATAGTTTTATTCAAGTATCACATAAATACATAAAAGTATATAAATTATAAGTATACAGCTTGATGAAATTTTCACAAAGCAAGGCTTGTAACTACAACTCAGATCAAGAAAAGGAACATTACCAGAACCTCAGAAGGCCTCCTCATACTCAGTTATGAGCCTCCCCCAACAATTCTGACTCCTACCATCACAGGTTTGTTTGGCGTGTCCTTCAACTTTATATAAATGAACTCACAGAGCAGGCACTCTTGTCTTTTGTGTCTAGCTTCTTTATTTGTGAGACTGATCCAAGTTTTGTAGAACAATAGTTTATTTTCATCATTGTGTCGTATTTCATTGTATGACTAGACCACAATCCATCCATTGTACTGTGGATGTGCATTTGGGTTGTTTCAGGTTTTGGCCTCTTATGACTAGCACTGTGCTGAACATTCTTGTACATGTCTTGTACAACTTGCTGGCATACACCTATGTGGAAGCTAAAGCAACTGCATCTTAAATGGGAGGCTAAAGCAACTCCATCTTGAATGCTTATCCGCCATGTTGGCTTAACTGACTAACTGTAGTTCCAGGAAGGCCTCCGAGATTTCCAATTTATCTACTGTTGCTTGTGTAAAAGCAGGCACATACCATAAATTGTGCTCTTAGGTCAAACAACCTTATGCTATCACACTTCAGTTGTCCTACAAATTGCATCTGAACCATTCCTTGACCTGGGTCTGGGGGACAATGGCATGGGGATCCACCATCTTGTCTTGCTGCTGCCCGAGGCACAGGCATGGCTTCTGTTTTTAAGTCCCTATTAAATGTTTCTTTCTAAGAAATTGGATTTGTCAGCCTCTTTGGCCTCTCAGCTTCCTCAGACTTTGGGGAATGTCTGCATAGCTCTGCCCACCTTGAAACAATCTAGGAGTAGAATTTCTGGGTCATGAGAATTTGTATGTTTAGACAAATAGATTTCCAAAGTGGTTATGCCAATTTACACTCACACCAGCAATGACAGAGATTGCCAATGGCTCCACGTCCTTGCCAAAACATACTATCATCTGTCTTTTCTATTTCAATCAGTCTAGTGGGTGTGTCAGTGGTATCACATTGTGTTTTAATGTGTACAAGTGGAGAATACAGGTGAAGGCATTATGGGCAGGGAGAACAGGGTGAACAACAGTCGGGAGGTGCAGAAGTACTCATACCTTTGTAAAACGCACTTTGTCTCTCTTTCCTAATCTTTTACTACCTGGTTTATCAGTTTTTAATGATATCTCTTGACTTCCACCCACTCTCTAAACAACGACAAATGTTATTATTTGATTTTCCTGCTTTCTGTTTTTTCTTTCTTTTTATTCTTTTATTCTACTCTTTTTTCTATTGCTTTTAGTTGCATTCTTTTCATTTTGTCAGAGCATATAACATTTACATATTATTTTTCATTCCTGTATCTAACTTTGTGTTAGTCTTAGCTCCACAATTAAACATCCTAAGATGCTCACCATCAGCCCTTTTACCGCTGACCCTAGTCATCTCTTGGTTAGATGAAGGGCATCCTATGATAGTAGTGGGATTGACAAACTATGGCCTGAGGGCCAAATCCTCCCTGATACTTGTCTTGGTGAATACAGTTTTATTAGAATACAGCCCTGTCTATTTGTCTATACATTGTTTGTAGCTGCTTTTGTGCTACAATAGAATTGAGTAGTTAAGACAGAGACTATACAGCTTGTAAAGCCTAAAATATTTAATATCTGTCTTTCACTGGAAAAGTTTGCTGATTCCTGCTCCGGTAAATTCCTCAAGAAGGGCTCATGGATACAGCGTCCTCAGCTCTTGTCTACTTAAAATTGTTTTTCTAAAGCTTTGATACTCGAAGGATAGTTTAGCTAGTTATAAAATCTTGGTCTGATCTGTGAGGACATCATGCAGACCCTGAGAACTGGGAGTCTGAGTCTCATGAGTCAGAAGGAGTGGGCTGGGGAGT
Organism: Homo sapiens; assembly: GCF_000001405.40. Classification (NCBI taxonomy): domain Eukaryota; kingdom Metazoa; phylum Chordata; class Mammalia; order Primates; family Hominidae; genus Homo; species Homo sapiens. The sequence continues at coordinate 100,027,895 of NC_000015.10, forward strand.
AGAATGAGTGCCCCGTTCTGAGACGAGTCCTACCACTTGATAGCCACACATTTCTGTGGAGTCTCCTGACCCCATGGCAGTCCCCACTGGGGAGCCCTACCCAGAGAAGTCACATGACAGGAGGCTGCTGACAAGCTGTACAGGCAGAGCCACAGACAGACCCTCTAGGAACTGTAGTGCCTGGGTGATGAGCCATCAGCTGCCATCTGTGTCCCTGCTTCATCCATAATAATATCATGGGAAGCTTACTAAGTGCTCTGCTGACCTGACCCACCACCCCAATAACACTGTCAGACAGGCGCAGAATGTTCTCATTAAACCCTCGCACATTTGGGGCACTCATGCAGCCTTCTTTTCAAAAATGCATGCAAACCATCTGCCTAAATCATCCCTCATCCTCTAGTTGTGCCAGGGGTTGACAGCACTCTGAAACGGCATTCTTCGGACCCGGCCATTTATCTGTTTGGGAAATTGAGACCCAGCCCTCAGACCACTGGCTCTGCTCTTGTCTGCTGTGATTTCTCAGAACCAGTCAGCAGAGCCTCAGAGATGACAGCTGTAAAGTTCTGTAGCATCTTGGATTGGATTTTGTCCTGGAATGGGGTTTTGGACACTTCTAGAAAATCATAACAGTGATCATAAAAATGACAAATTTAGCTCTTACTGTGTGCCAGGAACTGTCCTGAGCCATTTATTTCTCTTAGCTCGCATCATTCTCATGACAGCCCTCTGAGGTAGGAACTCTCTCAGTCCCCTGTCGTACAGACAGGTTGAGTGGCCTGCTGCAGGTCCCCTGCTGGCAGCAGCGGGGCTGAGATGGGAACCTGGCTGCTGGAGTCCTCACTCTACTGCTTCTGCTTCTCAGGGTTCCCTCCTTAGTTTTCTTGAGCTGCCATGCTCTTTGCCTGCTTTCTTCTACCTTTGCCTTCTACCTTTACCCTCCTTCTCCTTTTTGAAAAGCAGCAGTGAACCTGCACTTTGCCTTTTGTCACTTTTAGCCTTAACAGGCATCTCCTTCTCAGTTTTCCTTATTTCAAGGGCTAACTTAAAACAACCACAAAAAGTTATCTTTGTCAAACCTTTCTTAGCAAGGCTGTTTGCGGACATCTCGCTGTCTGGCCCGAGCTGCCTGCTAAGGCTCCAAACTGTTTCCTCCCTCCCATTGCTGCATGCCTCAGTGCACTTGGGTCTTTCCATCTGGTTCACCCTGAGCCACCAGGGTGAACCCCTAGTCCTGAGTATGTCTCCCATCTTATGTCTTGTTGGGTCAGTTGTGATTATGGAGTCAGAATGGAATCTTCCCAGATTTCCGCTTGGTGCTGAGCTGTATTGACTTTCTGTAGCTGTGGGAACAAAACTACCTCTACTCTGACCTTTACTTATTCTATTAATATCTTCTCAAAACATAGGGATCTAAATTTAACCCTGCTCGGTTTCCTTTCCTGACTGTGGCAAACTGCAAAACAAAATGGCCGTTGCTTCCCAGGTTGTCACAAACCTTCCTGCTTTGTAAGAAATAAAGTCAGGGTGATGAGTCCTTTCATTCATCCATTTATGCCAGAGAGAGGAGAAATGGGGAGTGCTTTGTCTGTCAATTAGGGCATCCGGCTGCCTCATTTCCATCCCCAGCTCCAGTCACCAGAGCTGCTGCCATGCAACGCCTGGAGCCTCCTGCAAAGTCCTGCCTTCAGTCTCCACTTGGTTAGGTCTCTGCTTTGTGGCTCTCTCCCCTCAGTGGCCTGGGCTCTGGGCCCTGAAGTCTTCAGGAGATGAGGTAACCGACTACCTTTCCCTCCTAGATAAGCCCCATACTCTATCTCTACTGAAGGATTTTTGCATCTGCTGTTAGATTCAAGTCATGGGACCCAATTCACCAAATCTGGTGATTTCCACCATGCTTTCTGAGTTAAAATGTCAAGGGACCTTCGTTACTATATGCTGGTGGTTCTCAATGCAGTCCCTGGACCAGCATCATGAGTGCTATCAGAGCCCTAGCTAGAAATGTAAGTTTCCAGGTCTCACTCTGGATGTACTGAATCAGAAGCTCTGGGAGTGGGGCCCAGCACTCTGTCAGTTACCCAGTCTCCTGGGGATTTCAGCACAGTAGAGCCACTAGACATATTGGGAAAATAATCACCCGAGGCCTGAGCCTTGCTTCGGATCAGCTCTCTGAGAGGTGCTGGCCCCCAGATCACCCTTTGTCCTCCCTGACAACTCACTGGGCAGGTGCAGCTGAAATGTTTTTCCCTCCCTGTTCTCATGATTCAGGGTAAAGCTCTCTCCCCCTGGCCAGGGAACATCCTCTTCCCAGGAAGCGGATTAAGAGTCGTGGAAGGAAAACACGACTGAGCCATGTGCACGGTGTGGGCCAGGGCACGTTCATTACCTCCTCAGTGCTAATTTCTGCCCTTAATGTCGTAAGGAATTCCTTTTGGAAATTATGTACTTCAATTTCATCAGGCTCCTTCCTTCAGTGGTATTTAAACCCAAATACAGGTTAGCAGACAGAAGTGCTGGCAGGAACCAGCCTTTCACATCCACCCACAAATGCAACCTCCTCACGCTCCCCCTACCAGGGCTCCAGTGGTCTGTAATGAGCCACCTGGGCATGGCACATCTGTGAAATCTCTAGTCACGCGCTGAGCCTGAAATCCAATCTTCGGGTTTGAATGATGCTGAGACCCTCCCATGATCCTTTTTCCTTCCCTAGTCTTACCCCCATCCTGCTGATGATACTATCTAAAGTTCACAAGTAGAGAGCTCAGAAGCATTCAAGAGGTTAGAAATGAACCACTCAAGACTTTTCTGCTGTTGCAATTTACTCTGAAATACGTATAAATTATATGATCTTGTTCTGACAAGAAGGGGAATGTTAGTATACTCTGGGACCTGCCCGCAATCTTTTACTATCTGGAAAATACCAGCATGGGTTTAGATTATGTAGTTATAACTGTATTAAAAATGTGTGTGTGCACGCTCACATGTGTATGTGTGAGGAGTGTCTTACGAAATAATGGATAACCCACAAAATGTTGGGGTCCAACAGCTGGCTGATGTTCATCATCGATATAGTTTTGTAGTTGAGCAGTGATGATAGTTTTGGCTGGCGTTCACGGAGTGCTGACTCGGGGTGAAGGAATTTATAGGCATTACTTCACTTCATCTCCTCAAGACTTCTATGACAGATGTTCTCATTTCCCATGTTTACAGATGGCAAGATCATGTAACTTGCCCGTGGGTTTGCATGCAGCTAGGGGTGAGGTGGGGACCTGAGGTCAGTCTCTCAATGCCCACCATGTGAAGCTGCCCCTGGGTGAAATGGATGGAGCATTTCATTCTTTTTCTGGCTAGCTACCGAACCTAACAAATTGCATGTCTTCCTGCCTCTACATGATAAGTAGATGATGATCTTGCTATTGCTTCCAACTTTAAACAAATCCATTTCAATAAAGGCTGCTGTAAAGCATGAGCAGGTAAAGGAAAGATTTAAAATATGTCTGCAGAAACTGCTGCTGAGAGTGGAATGAGTAGGACTAGAGGAAGAAGTCAAGGTGGGCTATGGGTAGGACACAGCATGGGTAAAGTCGACCACAGGCTCTACCTAGAGAGGGTGAATGATTTAACTAGAAGACAATCCAACATACACCAGGGTCCTAAACCAGCCTCTGATTTCCACCCCTTCATCAACGGAGCATCTGTCCAGACCAGACATCTGTCCCCTAATGGGTAAATGCTCATGCCACCGGAATGAAATCTCATTTTCGACATAATGCCGCTAACCATAGAGATGAGCAATTCTGGGATGACTGAGGCACATTCCCTCCACCAGTATCAAACAATCCATTTATCTGTTCAAATGACTTACTAAGACCTACTAAGCTCTAGGCGCTGCTGGGCACTGGAGACTAAGCTGCACACCCAGTGATTTCCATATTTGTAGAGTACTCACCGTGTGGCAGCTTGGTTCTACAAATAAGTTCCTGACAAATATTTGCTGAGTGAATTGAGCACTGATAAGGTCCTTGCCCTTACGGGGAAGAGGAACAAGAAAAAGAAAGGGAAGACTAAAGAAACAGAGTCACACAGACCATACAGGAATGACGGAGGTGTCCTGTCTATACGCGGCACTTGGTACAGGTAGATGCATTACTTACCCATAGAGGACAGCATGGAGGTTTCAGAAGCTGTGGGTTTGATTCCTGAACGGGTATCAAAGGTTTAGTTCCTTATCCAGAAAATCTCAGGCCTGGGACACAGACGCACCTCTCCTCCATTGCCTGCCAACTTGCATCACTGGTTACTTGGGGTCTGACTGAGAGTCCCTCCCAGCCCCTCCAAGCTCAAGGTCAGCTAGGCATGGGTAGAAAGTGTGCTTGTCTCAGAGGTCCAGGAAGGCACCCGTCAGCACCTCTCACTGCCTCAACCCCAAATCTCCCCAGGTCTCCTGGGAAACCACCTTCATATTGAACCCCTTATGTTAGATATGTCCTGAATTTTCATTTCTTTTCTAGTATGGGTGCAGATAACACTAACAACAAGCCAGAAAACCAACTAACTACAGCATTCTGAAAAATTGCTCTAGTGTTTAATCCCAGAGCTTTGGGCCTTTGGGCTGCGAGTTTCACTTCCAGGGAAAGGAACCACTCCAGCTTCCCCTTGATAGCACTCGGAGTTAAATGCCACTACAGTACTGTCTGATGACTCTCTTGCCCCGCTTTTGGATATCAATTTAGAGCTGCCTTGGTCAAAAGGGTTCTTTTTAATGCCATGGCAGAAGCAGGCTGTACTGTTTTTAAAATGAGAACGAGAAAGCAGAAAGTATGTAAGATTTAAAGGAGGAAAACATTGTTTTGCATTCTGTTACCAGAATGAGCTGGGAAAGCTACTTAATGACTAAGCGTCTCGAAGTCTTCATCTGTAAAATGAGGTGAATACGTCGACTTTCCAGAGGGACTGTGGGGCTACCTAACCCACGAGACAGCCAGCAGCCACTTCCTCCTTTCTCTCCTTACTGCTGATGAGCAACAGTGAACTGGCCCATTCCCAAAGAGCTTTGCCTTTCTGCTGCTTCTGTACTTTACGTCTTAGCAAGAATACAATTTCTGAGTTTTAAAATTCTCTACTTTTACAATAATCATTTTCAAGTATTGTTTTGAGAGAAAAAAAATGGTTCTCTGGAATTTATGGGTCCAAACTAAGCTCTCAACGGGAAGCAGAAGGCCCAGTGAACAGGGTTGAACCAGCAGCTGATGAGTCCACTGCACCCATTTTTATTTTTTTCCCAAGCCATCACACCTGATCAAATTACACTCTGGGGACTGAAGATTCTGTTGGTACAATCTTGAGGTTAAAATAACCAGGATAAGTCTGGATTTGGTAACAGGTTGTACCACACCCAGTCATGAAGGGTTTGGAAAAAAAACTCTCATGCTTTGAGAATCACACAGCTGCTGATGTTGAAAGTTCCCATCCAAGAGTAACATTCCAGTTGGGCTGGCTTTTCCCAGTACACAGGGATTTTCCAGTACAGTAGCCCTCTTGCTAACAGACTTGCCTGCTCTCATTCTAGCTGAGAGCAGAATGGGTTGGACAGTCTTCATTTCTCAGTCTTGGTTAGATCATGACCTTAGCCTGTCTATAGGACTTAATAGTTTCTGCCTGTCTCACGTCATCTTCCTTCTTCTGGTGAGAGGTGAGAACACCTCGGTTTTCTTTACCATGCTCCCGTTTGTTGGCCAACAGGAGAGCACATGAGCTGAGAAAGACTGATAAGACTTTGCAGGAACCTGGGTTCTGAGCAGAGTGACCTTTGGAGTGGATACAGGAGCTGCTCCAGCCAATTCGGGGATCTTCTCTCCCAGACCAACTTTTCGGTGTCTCTTCAATTTTGGGAGCTACTCCACATTCTTTCTATATTCTCTTATCTTTTTGGGGCAAGTTCAGATCTGGTTTCTGTGGCCCAGCAAGGCCCAATTGTGCTCTAGAAGCCAGTGGTGCCACGATCACCTCCTTCCATTTCCACACCACAGCCATGGCTTCAGAGCAGATTGGGAGACTGGTGGGGACAGCAGTTTGATTGGCAGTGATGCCATCAGCTTATTGGATGGTCTCCTTACCTTCCACTATACACTAGCTCTATCCAATGGAAGAAAGAGGTTGGCTGTGTTTACTTTTCTAGTGAAGGTATAGGGTCCTCCAAGCCCTTGTGAGCCCACAGTGCCTTGACCTTGCTGCTGAGAGCACCTCTTTCTGCAGAAGCTCCAGGAAAGGTAGACTCCAGGATTACAATTCTCCTGGGAAGAAGCACAAGGCTGGGATTCTCAAAGTGGTTCACAGCACACAGTGGCACACCAACAGTGCGTCTGCTGGCAAGAGACCATGGAGGATTCAGACCTGTGGGGCTGTCTGAGCCAGCACTTCCCTACCTGACATGCCCACGGAATCCCCTTTCCCTCTAATCTTGGCACAGGCCGTGCTGTGGGAGGCAGTGCTGTGACCGTGGTCACTGTGTACACAGTGCAGAGGCCTGGCCGGCCAACAAGGAGGCTGCAGAGCATGCAGTCTGCAGCCTGGGAAGCACCTGCCACTACCAGGCTGGATGCCTGGCCTCACCTGAAGAGCACAGTGAGCCCCTGCAGAAAGGGGATGCCACTGCTGGGCTTGGGAAGAAGGACCCCGCGTGTACACCATTGTTTCTATCAGAACTGGTGTTTGTGACCTTGGCCGACAAGCAGTCCCAGACAGTCCACTTGCAAACTCTTTCCTTTGACATTTAAGCCACTAAGTCCCTCTCGGAAAATGTCCCAAACAGAACTGGAGAAAGGGCCACTGGTGGCTTCAGATATCTCCATCCTGCTCCCTCGTGTGCCCGACACCTACTTGTTCTCCTTATTCCTCCAGCATTAAAACCTCTCTTGGAAAAGGACCTGATAAACTCATTCCCACATAAGAAAAAGTTAAAACAGGTTCAGCCTCTTCCTTCCCAGTGCAATGCCCTTAGCTTACTGATAAATGTTTCATTCTATTCTTTCCTTAATAATCCCCTTAGCATAAACATGCAGGCACACAGAGCTGGAAGGCCACCTTCCTTGGAAAAGGAGAACCTGCCTGTCTCCCAGCAAATGCCCCATCACCCCGGGGACCTAAGATTAATGTCATACTCCATGGGGAAAACTCAAGCACTTGGAACATTTGTAAAAAGGCAACCCTCAGGTACTCAGGGTGCTCAGCTTTCAAAAGAGCAATACCTTTGAACAGAGGCCAGGCATGCAGTTCCCCAGCAATGCTCTAGATGGTTAGAAATGACCCAGGTTTCACCATATTAGCTCTGACAGGCAGTCCTGAATGTTTATGAATCCAGCCTATGTGAGGTCTTTCTAGAAGGTCTCAAATGGTTTCTTAGAAAGGAACAGATGTAAAACGTGATCATAAGGGATGTGCTCAGTTATTTTTAAAACATTAATTTTAATTCTGGAGTATTTCCAGAGTACATATATTATCGAGGAAAGACTTACCCTGTCTGTGTGTGAAGGGATCCTGGCCACGACTTTGGTTACGTTCTTATTTTCACTGTCTCACCAGTGTGTAATGTTTGCTCATTCTTATCCTTATGTTTCTGTTTTGGGGTTTGAGGCAGAGGTGCAGGGGATGAGGAGAAAAGGAGGATGGCACTTTTTTCAGGGTAGGATTTCACTGACTGGGGTGAGCAAATCTAAGCATTGATCCTCAGGTGTGCCGAGTCTCGGGGCTAGCTTGGGGCCACCAGGAGGACAGGCGGGTCTGCGTGGTTCCAGAGGGACCCCCAGAGACTGGCCTCCCTGTACAGTTTACAACACCCTTTTTCATCTTGTCCAGTACTAAGGTAGGTGGGCTCAGGCCGATATTAAGCAATGTCAAATCCTGCAAGAACCTGGGAGTAAGTAGTATAAATATGAAAAAGAAATAACCTAGAAAATGAAGAGACGACTCACCAAGTTATTGCTGAAATAACATGCAGAGAATACTGTTATTCTCTGCATGTTATGAGTGTACAAGCTACTGCTCAGAGACATAGGGGGTCCCGTCCAGGCTCCCTTGCAAGTGAGAAGCACAGAGAACATGGGGAAAGAAAATCCTTGACTCTCAGTTCCAAACCCAACCAGCCTATGGGAGGGTGTCTCCAATGTGATGCTCGGGATGGCTTTTCTATGAGGCTGCAAAGATGATGGCTGGCCCAGGGAGAAGCAGTAGGGCTTCTTTGTCAGAGTCTTTGGGAATGGCAGCCATGGTGGGTGCATGACTTGCAGGAAAGCCCCTCCAGGGGAAAGGCAAGGAGGGTGCAGAGAGGCAGCAAGGGGAAGGTGCACTGTGAAAGGGCCTGCCGAAGGGCAACGGACCACACTGGGCAAATTCTCTGTCTTAGGACAGAGGCGCTGGGAGAAGCCGGCACTGCGTAATGGGAAAGGACAGAGGAAGGGGTGAGAGAAGCAGCCCAGCATGATAAAGGCAGCCACTAAACAAGGTCCACTGATTCCTGCTTGAGAAGTGACAATTAGGACCTTTCTAGCACAGGCTCCTGACTGTCCCCACTGCCCCAAGTCCCGAGATATCGTGAGCTCTGGGCTGGTGTGTCAGCCTCTGCACTCACGGGAGCCTGCGGGAGGCCTCTCCTTAGCTCGAGAGCCTGCAACCGTAAGTGCGCACTTTTTTGTGAGTTCATTTTTTAATAGCTTTGAGACATAACTCATATACCACAATGCAACCATCTGAAGCGCACAATTCAATGGTTTTCACTACAATCTAGGATCTTTTTATTACAACAAAAGAAATCCTGTAACCCTTTAGTTATCAACCCTCACTTCCATCCCTCTCCCTCCTCATTAGCACTAGGCACCCACCCATCTACCTTCCATCTCTACCGATTTTGTCTCATCTAGACATTGCATCTCGATGGAATTTCACATGTGACCTTTTGTGTCTGGCTTTTTCCACCTAGCATGTTTTCAGGGTTTCTCTGTGCCAGAACTTCATTCCTTTTTATGGCTGAATAATATTGCGCTGCCTGAATCTACTGCATTTTGTCTATTCTTCAGTGAATGAACATGTGCCATGTTTCTACCTGTTAGCCATTATAATACTATGAACATTTGTGTACAAGCTCTTGTGTGGACATGTTTTCATCATTCTTGGGTATATACATAGTACTGGAATTGCTGATTTGAATAATAACTCAAGCAGAACTTTTTGAGGAACTACCAGATTTTTTTTAAAAAGCGGTTGTGTCATTTAGTATTCCCATCCCAGAGTATGAAAGTCCTGACTTCTCGACATCCTCATCAACATTTGTTATCATCTGTCTTTTCGATCACAGCCACACTAGTGAGTGTGATCATATGGTTTGATTGGCATTTCCCTGCTAAGGATGCTGAATATACCTTCTTTAGAGGAATGTCTGTTCAGATCTTTTGTTCAGTTTTCAATTAGGTTCTGTGTCATCTTATTATTGAGCTGTAGTAGCTCTTTAGGTATTCCTTTTTTTTTTTTTTTCTTCTTTTTGAGACAGAGTCTCACTCTGTAGCCCAAGCTGGAGTGCAGTGGCGCAATTTCGGCTCACTGCAACCTTCGCCTCTGGGGCTCAAGCCATTCTCATGCCTGTCCCCTGAGTAGCTGAGACTACAGACATGCACCACCACACCCAAGTAATTTTTTGTATTTTAGTAGAGATGGGGTTTCACCATGTTGCCCAGGTTGGTCTTGAACTCCTGAGCTCAGGAGATCCGTCTGCCTCGGCCTCCCAAAGTGCTGGGATTACAGGCATAAGCCACCATGCTTGGCCTAGATGTTCTTCATATAAGTTCCTTATCAGATATATAATTTGAAAATATTTTTCCCATTCTTTGATTGTCCTTTATCTTTTTTTGAGACAAGGTCTCACTCTGTCACCCAGGCTGGAGTGCAGTGGTGCAATCTCAATCTAGATTCACTGCAGCCTCGACCTCCCATTTCAGCCTGCCCCCCACCACCCAAGTAGCTGGGACTACAGACACACACTACCATACCAGGCTAATTTTGTATTTTTTTTTTGTAGAGAAAGGGTTTCACCATGTTGCCCAGGCTGGTCTTGAACTCCTGGACTCAAGCAATCCTCTAAAGTGCTGGGAGTACAGGTGTGAGCCAATGCGCCCCACCTCCAACTGCATTCTCTTGCATGTGGATAGCTAGTTGTCACAGCACCATTTGTTTGAAAAGACTATTCTTTCTCCACTGATTGCTGTTGGCACCCTGGTGGAAAAGCAGTTGACAGTAACTGTGAAGATTTATTTCTGGACTGTCAGTTATACGCCATTGTTCTTTATGTCTATCCTTATGCCAGGGCCACACTGTCTGGATCACTATAGTTTACAGTAAGCTTTGAAATTGGGAAGCATGAGGACTCCAACTTTGTTATTCTTTTCTAAGATTGTTTTGATGATTTGAGGCCCTTTGCAATTCCATATGAATTTTAGCGACATGTCCCCATTTGTGGAAGAAAGATGGCTTAAATTTTGATAGAGATTGCACTAAATCTATAGATCAATTTGTAGAGTATTGTTATCTTAACAAGTCTTCTCATTCATGAAAATGAATGTCTATTTGAGATATTTTTGTAGTTTTCAGAATATGTTTTAAAATTCTTTTATTAAATTTATTCCAAAGTATTTTATTCTTTTTGATGTTATTATAGGTGGATTTTTTTCTTAATTTCACTTAATTGATACTATACAGAAATACAATTGATTTTTCCTTATTGATCTTACATCTGTAAACATCCAGACCTTGTTTATTAGTTCTAATAGTTTTTAGAGATTCCTTAGTATTATCTGTATACAAGATCATGTCATTTGTAAATACAGACAGTTTTACTTCTTCTATTCAAACATGGATGCATTTTATTTCATTTACTTGGGTAAATGCCTAGGCTGGAATCTTTAATAAAATGTTGGATAGAAATAGTAAGAGCAGATACTGTGTCTTGCTCCTGATCTTTGGAGAAAAGCATTCCGTCTTTCACTTTAAGTATGGTGTTGGCTGTGGGTTCTTGGCAGATGCTCTTTATTCGGTTTCAGTAGCCTGCTTATGTGTAGGACTTTGTCCACTTTCTGTAAGTTATCTAACTTAGGGCATACGGCTGTTCATAGTGTTCATTCCCAATCCTTTTTATTTCTGTAAGGTCAGTAGTCACATTCCTGCTTTCGTTCTTTAATTTAGTAATTTACGTCTTCTTTTATTCTTGGCCAATCTAGCTAAAGACTTGTCCATGTTGTTGATTTCTTCCTATAGTTAACTTTTGGTTTATTATTCTGCTGTACTATTTTCTACCCTTTATTTCATTTATTTCTGCATGAATGTTACTATTTCTTTCATTCTGCTTGCTTTAGGTTCTGTTGCTCCTCTTTCCAGTATCATTACATGGAAGGTTAGTTTACTGATTTGAAATCTTTCTTCTTTTTCAGTATAAGTGTTTACAGCCATAAATTTCCCCTTAAGGCCTGCTTTAGCCACATTCCCTAAGTTCTGTTATATTGTGCCTTCACCTCGATTCATCTCAAAATATGATTTAGTTTCCCTTGTGATTTCTATTTGACCCACTGGTTGTTTAGGAAGGGTACTGTTTAATTTCCATGTACTTATGAGTTTCTTAAACTTCTTTCTCTTACTGATTTCTAATGTCATTCCACGGTGGCCAGAAAACATACCTAGTATTATTTCTATTGTTTTGTGCTTGTTAGATTTATTTACTGGCCTAGTGTATGATCTATTCTGAATAGTGTTCCATGTGCAAATTCTGCTGTTGTTAGGTGGAGTGTTTTATAGATATCTATTGGGTTTGGTTGGTTTATACTGTTAAGTCTTCTATTTCCTTGTTGATACACCTTGTTTTTAAAATCCACTACTGAAAGTGAGGTATTGAAGTCTCCAGTTATTACTGTTAGGTATTTATTCCTTCATTTCTGTCAGTTTTGCTCCATGTATTTTAGGGTCTCATATGTTTATAATTGTTGTATCTTCCTGATGGATTGCCCTTTTATCATCATAAAATGTCTGTATTCTAGTAGTTTTTTTAAAAAAATCTTTTTGTCTGGTATTAGTATAGCACTCCTGCTTTCTGTCTGCATGATATAACTTTTTCCATCTTTTTACTTTCAATGTATTTGTATATAAGTATACACTCAGAAGGAGAAAAGAATCATTCTTATCTGTGGACTGTTCATTGCTGTAAGAGTCAGCCAGCAGAGGAGTCCGCCAAGAATGACCTTCATTAGACCCCAAGGGGAAAGGGCCGTTTTGAGACGCAGCCACCAACATATCCAAGCTCATTTCTGAAACCCTCAGCAATTCCACAAGCTAGGAACCCTTCCACTGTTGCCCTTACTGCACAGCCATTTCTTCTGTGGGCTGATGTTTCTTCCAGAACCTGGAGAATACACAGCTTCCCTTCATTTCTGAGAGATCGCTTTGTAATCTTTTTTGGGGCAGCGGCTGTTGTTGTTCTTTCAGTATTCCTCAGACTAAATCTCACCTTTTCCCTTTACTTGTCCTTTCTTGTAACTGTGACATAAAAAGTCAAATGGAAACATCAAGTGCTTGATGGTTTTCATATTTTATTACTCAGAAAAATCAGGAAGAGAGAAGGATCTCTTTTGATGGGTTGCAGAGCCTACATGCAAAGCATTTCCCAACAGGAGAAATCCTGTCACCTGTGAACCTGGTACCAGGGCATTCTCTCATCCTCTGTAATGATCAAACGAAGGGATGGTCAAATGACCAAAAAAAAAAAAAAACCTCTGAAAATGCTTTCTTGTCCTCCATCTTGAATGTTTCTTAATTTAGATAAATAAGGTAAGGCTTTAAAACTTAACATTTAATTTAAAGACAGGTGACATCCTGAAATTTGTGTCAGAAAAAGTTCCAGCATCTTGGCAATCTAAATTTCTCCTCCCCACTCACATACCATCAACAAGGCATGTAATACACCACAGGTATTAGTCACAATTAGATTTACCTATTTTATTTTAGAAAAAGACAGGAAAGAAAATGTTTATGTTTCAGACTAGCAAGAAATTGATTAAAAAACCATATCTTTTCAGATTGTGGCAATAGCTAAAGATCCACGTATTCCAGGCTTCATTCTTAAGTCATGGTCTCTCTCTCTGTCTCTCATACATGCACGCGTGCACACACACAAAATATGCTTTAATAAAAAGGGATTCCATTCCATTTTAACCCCAAATAAGGCCAGCCTGATTAAGATAATTGAGGAAGGAGAACACATTTAAAAACCAAATACGCTTCCTTGCAAATGACTATTCAATTCAATTGCCAGTAAGATGTTGAATGTTCTTTTCTGAATCACTCTAATTCAATGTACAGTACAGCATGTACTGCCTGGGAAGAAGTTCAAATCATAAATACCATAGGGAAATATCTAATAACTTGGAATGGCCTTTTTCAAGTGGCTAATAAGCTCTTAAAGACTGCAAAAATGTTAAATCTGGTAAAGCACAAGGTCTGTGCTCCGGGACGTGTCCACTTCATTGGCAGCCCCTGCCTCCTTGCTCCAGGACCACCTGAGGCTGGGTCTCAAGGGTCTCGTCACACAGTACTGCTCTTTGGATGCTGAATGATGGGGAGGCCTCTTCCCTGCAGACTGTGGTTAGCAAGGTGAAGGCTGCTGGCCATGGCCATAACAGCTGGGCTGATCTGTGATTTCTGCCATGCCTGCCAATGTCAGGGTCAGGTTTGTCAATGTTTTTGTGTTGGTGTGTGAGATGCTGGGGAGACGCCATCTGCCATGCGTGTCAGACTCCAGATTCCATATGGTTACAGCAGGGTTTGGGAGAAGTATCCACAGAGCTAGGATTAGAATAAAGTGGTGCTAATGGTGTGCAGTTGGGAAGGCAAAGGAAACTGTCAGGAACTCAATGGAAAAAGGGTTGAAGAAAATTAAAGGGAGATCAGGAGAAATAAAGGAAAGTATAAAGGAAAAAGACAAACATCTCTGCCACTTTAAAGGTCAAAGAGTAACAATAACATAGAAAGGCTCTTTCACCTTGCCAGGTTCAACAGTGGGTTGCATTCTGGCTTCTTTAATAAAGTTCACACCATGGGATTCTTGGGCGCTTCTTCCAGGTTCCAGGCTCTGTCCTCCACTCATGCCACCCCATCTGAAACAGCCATTTGTAATCCAGACCCTCCACATCTCCACCTTACCCTGTTGCCCAGGTGCAGTTTTTACTTGTGTGTCCAATCTCCCCGATTTTCTGGCACTCATTTCCTAAGGTCAGGTTTTCTACTTTTCTTCACTTACTAGCATGAATCCATGTAACCATAGGTTCTTATGAAAGACTCATGACAACTAGATCGTGCCATGCAATAATTCAAATTTTGTTGTCCAAATATTTGTGTGTGTATAATAGCTGTACAGAAGTCCTCCCTTATCTGTGGCAGATATGTTCTAAGACCCCCAGTGGATGCTTGAAAATAAGGCTAGTACTGAACCCTGTATATACTATGCACAGATTTCTTTCTTCTTTTTCTTCACAATTTCATGGGTAGAAGATTCATTTACTGTAGATCTGAGCAACCTCAGCATACATTTGTTTTTCTTTCCTTATTAAGTTGAAGACGTTTACCTTTTCACTTACAGGATGCATTTTATAGCTTCTTTTTAGTACATCTGAGTTGCCATCATCACCACTCTTGTGCTTTGAGACCAATATTAAGTAAAACGCAAGAACTACGACACCCTACAGTTGATCTAACTGAGATGGCTACTGAGTGACAACCAGCAGGGAGCAGAGACACTGTGGATCCCCTGGACAAGGGGATGATTCACGTCCTGGGCAGGACAGAGCGGGATGGTGTGAGATTTCATGACACTACTCAGAACAGCAAGCAACTTAAAACTGATGAACTGTTTCAGAAATTTTCCTTTTAATATTTTTGGGCAATGGTTGACCACGGGTAACTGAAACCACAGAAAGTGAAACTGCAAATAAGTGGGAACTACTGTACATAATACATATATATATGTATATGGTGCATGTAGATACATTTACATGTGTGTATGTATATATGTATGTGTATGTATGTACGCACGGATCTATCTTGTTAGGAATTGCAAGAGCTTCAAAATCTATTATCAGATCATACATTTCTTTAGCCAAACAATAAATCCTCTTTGATGAGTCATGGCACTCGCATATCCAGTTTAAGAAAAAGTACAAGGTCAGATGGTTCAGAATAAACAAATCAACAAATGAGCAAACAAAACCAGCCTGGGGCAGGGAGCCAGGCACTTGCTGTCTACAGTCTCTAAGGCAGATCTTAGGTGCTATTTTCTCCTGTTTTTCAATTTCATTTTCTTCTCTGCTCTAAGTAATTCCACTCATTCTTTAAGTCTGATTCACATGATTTTACAGTCAGGAAGGGAGTGTAAGGAAGTGGGAAAGAGAAGTGGTGGGGAGGCAGAAATCGAATATTTATCAAGTTACACAATAAAAAGAAATTCAGAATTCTAACACGTCCTCCTTTGTATAATAAGAAAATACATTCCCTGAGCTAATACCTGCAGAGCTCTGGCTCATGCTGAGAGCGTGGTGCCAATATCTCAGTGGGCAAAACGGGAGTAAGCAATAATCCAAAACACAGGCCAGCAAACTCTTACGTGTGGGCTATGTCTGGCCTGCGGGGTTATTTTTGGACAACCCAAGGGCGAATAACAAATTTTACATGTTTTAAAGGATTATGACTCAAAATACAGAAAAAAATATGCCAGAGACCACATGTGGCCTGCGAAGGCAAAAATATTTATTCTCTAGACCTATACAGATGAAGTTTGCTGACCCCTGTTCTACGGAGATACTAAGAACTTGCTTCTGAAATTGCTTTTAGTCTGAAGTGTATTTGGCTTGAACTTGGCTCAAACGTGGCAACACGGCAGGACTGTGGTCCATCAAGCCAGAATGACTCTGAACTTTCTGTAGCAATACACACACTTGATGTTATCTATCGTAGGCTTAGCACAGCTCTGTGGCACTCATTAATAGAGTCTGCACTCATGTTTGTTTATGTCACTTTGTTTTGTAGGTGTTTTCCTACATGATCTTCTGGTTTCAGTTTTGCAGTGCAGCATGGTTCTCTCTTAGAAGATACATGGGAGGCAAAATCACGAACTTGATATACTTGCCCACTTGTTGCAATGATCAGAGGGCTCTGTTATGGCACTTTGAATTAATCTGGAATCTAGTTGAAACATGAAGATGTGATCTGATTACCTCTCATCTGTCTTTCACAAACCTGGGAAATTTTTGATCACTGTTTCTTAAATGATTATTTTCTGCTCCATTTTCTCTCTCCTCTCCTTCTGTGACTCCAATTACCCTTATGCTAGAATGCTTGATACTATCCCACAGGTAACTGAGTCTTGCTCATTGTCAACAATTTTTTCCTTCCCATTTTCTAGACTGAATAATGTCTAATCCTCTATCTTCAAGTTCAGTAATCTTTCATCATCTTACTCTGTTGTTAGACCCATGGAGTGAATTTTTAAAATTTCAGATATTGTATTTATTTTTTAGTCCTAAAACTGTGTTTTTGTAGAGTATATCTTTGTTGCTTCTAAGATCTCCTATATGTTCCATGACCATGAGCATAGCTTTTCTTACGTTTCTGAGCATAGTTACAATAGCTGCTTTAACATTCTTTTCTTCTAATTCCAACATACATGTCATCTTCCAGTCAGTCTCCATTAATGGCCTTCTCTTTTGAGTATGGATCTGTTTCCCTATATGACTAGTAATTTTGGATTGTACCTGGAACACTGTGAATGATACACTAATCAACAGCAGCACTGCTCAACAGAAAGAAGATGAGAACTGGATATATAATTTGGATTTTTTTTTTTTTTTTTTGAGACGGAGTCTGGCTTAATCACCCAGGCTGGAGTACAGTGGCGTGATCTCAGCTCACTGCAACCTCTGTATCCCAGGTTCAAGCAATTCTTCTGCCTCAGCCTCCTGAGTAGTTGGGACTACAGGTGCACGCCACCATGCCTGGCTAATTTTTGTATTTTTAGTAGAGATGGGGTTTCATCATGTTGGCCAGGCTGGTCTTGAAATCTTGACCTCAGTGATCTGCCTGCCTTGGCCTCCCAAAGTGGTGGGATTACAGGTATGAGCCACCATGCCCAGCCTGTTAATTTGGATTTTTTTAGAAGCCACATTAAAATAACCTCAAATTTAATTTTAGTAATATATTTTGTTTGTCCTAATGCATCCCAAATATAATCATTTGGGACGATTATAATCAAAGTAATCACGTTAAAAATTAAGATATTTTATAATCTTAAATATTTTATAAAATAATTGAGACTTATAATCTCTTTTCATACTAAATCTTTGAAACCTCATGTATATTTTATATTTATAGCAGATTTCAATTTGGAGTGGCTAGTGACCACCATATTGAACTATGCAGCTCTAGAGTTTCATTTTAGAAGAATATTGAATTTTTGTTTTAGTAGGCAGCTAATTTGGCTGGAATAAAACTCCAGGCACTGTCTCTCTTGTGGTGGGCAGCAGCTACAGTCTCAGTTCAGGTCTTCTAGCTTTAGCTGTGCTATGTGGAGTCTGGCCGGCCTGTCTTATTCTTAGATTTGGCCCTAGTCTCTAAGAATTCCCAGAGATTCTTGAGATATATGCAGAATTTGGGAGTCACTCTCTGTGGCTCCCTCCTTTCTGGAGTTTTTCCTTCTCAGTTTCCAGCTGCTATGGGTTTCCCTGAATATTCTCCTCTGATGGCTTAACCAGTAAAAGATGGCGGGTAACTATCAGAGTTTTAGCTAGTCTCAATGCAACTAGGGCCTTCCTTTGGTTGAAGAGCTGTCAACATGGGTAATTCAATTCCATGCCATTCTATTCCTCCATTTCTCTATTTCTCTTCAGTTTCTAACTGCTTTCTAGATTTAATTAATTAATTAATTTTTGAGATGGAGTCTCACTCTGTCACCAAGGCTGGAGTGCAGTGGTGTGATCTCAGCTCACTGCAACCTCCACCTCCCAGGTTCAAGCAATTCTCCTGCCTCAGCCTCCTGAGTAGCTGAGACTACAGGCATCTGCCACCACACCCAGCTAATTTTTGTATTTTTAGTACAGACAGGGTTTCACTATGTTGGCCAGGCTGATCTCGTACTCCTGACCTTAAGTGATCTGCCCGCCTTTGCCTCCCAAAGTGCTGGGATTACAGGTGTGTGCCCCCTCACCTAGGCTGCTTTCTAGCTTTTAAACAATTGCTTTTTATACTGTCTCCAGAGTTCTTAATTGTTATCTGTAGGAGGGCTGGTCCAATATAAGCTACTCTATCGTTACAGGAAGCAGAATCCTTTATTTTAAAATCTTATCCCTGGAGTTCCACAGAGAAGCCAGGGCGTACTGTGAGAGGTGGAAAAGGCGGAGTAGACTGGCCCACTCTGCCACATCGTGTGTGTGTCTCAATTCAGTGGTAGCAGTTCTCATTTCATCTGTTTCATTTTACTGGTTTCTGTGCATAATTTTAAAAAGACTTGGGTATAAAATAGCTTGAAAACAGAACTAATTTTAAAACATGTTGTGGGAAGTCAGGAACCCCGAACGGAGGGACCGGCTGAAGCCATGGCAGAAGAACGTGGATTGTGAAGATTTCATGGACATTTATTAGTTCCCCAAATAAATACTTTTATAATTTCTTATGCCTGTCTTTACTGTAATCTCTAAACATAAATTGTGAAGATTTCATGGACACTTATCACTTCCCCAATCAATACCCTTGTGATTTCCTATGCCTGTCTTTACTTTAATCTCTTAATCCTGTCAATTTGTAAGCTGAGGAGGCTGTATATCGCCTCAGGACCCTGTGATGATTGCGTTAACTGCACAAATTGTTTGTAGAGCATGTGTGTTTGAACAATATGAAATCTGGGCACCTTGAAAAAAGAACAGGATAACAGCAACATTCAGGGAACAAGAGAGATAACCTTAAACTCTGACTGCCGGTGAGCCAGGCAGAACAGAGCCATATTTCTTTTCTTTCTAAAGCAAACGGGAGGAAATATCACTGAATTCTTTTTCTCAGCAAGGAACATCCCTGAGAAAGAGAATGAGCCCCTGAGGGTAGGCCTCTAAAATGGCCCCCCTGGGTGTGGCCGTCTTCTATGGTTGAGACAGTAGGCATGAAATGAGCCCCAGTCTCCCATAGCGCTCCCAGGCTTATTAGGATGAGGAAATTCCCGCCTAATAAATTTTGGTCAGACTGGTTGCTCTCAAACCCTATCTCCTGATAAGACGTTATCAATGACAATGGTGCCCGAAACTTCATTAGCAATTTTTCGCCCCGGTCCTGTGGTCCTGTGATCTCGCCCTGCCTCCATTTGCCTTGTGATATCTTATTACCTTGTGAAGTACGTGATCTCTGTGACCCACACCCTATTCACACACTCCCTCCCCTTTTGAAAATCCCTAATAAAAACTTGCTGGTTTTACGGCTTGGGGGCATCACGGAACCTGCTGACATGTGATGTCTCCCCCGGATGCCCAGCTTTAAAATTTCTCTCTTTTGTACTCTGTCCCTTTATTTCTCAAGCCAGCCGACGCTTAGGGAAAATAGAAAAGAACCTATGTGACTATTGGGGGCAGGTTCCCCAATAAAAACATGCTTCTCGAATGGAGCCCTAAGACCTTTTTGCTCAATCATGCCCTTGAGCTCATGCTGACCTCTCCTCCTCCATCGTCTCTTACCCTATTTTCTAATCACTTCACCAGGGCCAGGCCATCTTTAGTTTCCAGAGAAGAGGCTGTAGCCTGTTAGACTGCTGAGTCTTTACAGTGGCAAATCCTCCATTCTGTGGCCCCTGAATATGACCTGATGGACTGATCGATAGGTTCGTGGTACAGCTGCTCATACCGAGGTGCTCAAGCAGATTTCCTGCAGTGAGCTCTTCCTCCAGGCCTTCAGCATTAGGGTGGAATTTCATTCTTAATTTGGCAAGGAGCACAGAAAATCATCACAGCAAGCCTCACCTTCTTTTTTTCCTTCCTGTCTCCTCTCTTTCTCACTCAAACACATTTTAAGAGTTTGACAAAACAAAGGGGGTCGGTGCAAAAGCCAAATATGTTGTGAAGCTCTTGTACTAGGCAAGCGGCACAAATTGAGTTAAGAAACCTAGAAAATGGAAATACTAAACACCTAGCCTAGTTAGAAAAGGTCAATATGCCTCAAATGATACACAGAACCACAAAGCAAAAACCATTCACCTCAATTCACAGCAGGACGGAAGGCCAAAGGGTGACATGCCACAACGTAATGGATTCATTATTAAAGTCCCGCTAAAATGACTCAAAAAGAGGAGGCTTAGCTGATGAACGCATTTCACACAATTCATCTCCTGACAACCCAAGAGAGTCCACAAGGGTAACACGGCCATGAAAGCTGGGGCTGGGACAGAAGTTCTGATGGATCCCGAAGAATAAACACCAAGATCCACACTCACTGGCATGAATTTCAGCCACTGAAACAGGTCACCCACAACATTAGCCTGTGTGCACCTTTCTCCTGGGCACTCAGACTCCAATATTTGTTTCCTTCTCCACCAAGACAAAGTAATTTGGGGAAGCCAATGGTTAAAAGTGTGTGGTGATGGCCATTTTTTTTTTTTTTTTTTTTTTTTTTGCCATGAGATGTTACTAATGGTCTCCTACACAATGCCTTCCAGTGAAGGTTGTATTTCCATCAGAGTCCTGGCTTAGTAGCTGGAAATTTGGTAATTTGAGCAAGCGGAAATCTCTCATCAACAATAACGGAACACAGCATAGAGCAGTACTGTGGCATTAACTGCATATCACTCCCCACCACTGATGGTGCTGCCGCCCCAGACTCTGGTGGGTCCAAGCTACAGAACCCAGCTTCTTACCGTGACTGGCAGGGGTGCAAGTTGCACCTTCGGACCTGGGGCTCTGGGCGGCTTGCTTGAGGGCAGTCACTGTCGTTCACCAGAGTTGTGGTCTTGTTGACAATCCGTGTACACGAGACGATGGTTCTGCGCTCCCCTGGAAACCAAACCACAGGGAGCTGAGAGACTGTGGCTGCACCCACGTGGAAAGGCTGGGCTTGCATGCCCATGAAAGCATGTTTGGGTGCTGCTGATGGTCACTTGGTCATTTAAAGTGACTGCTGTAAATGTCATGTGGGTTTTTAGAGAGGAAGAACTATAATCGTAGGGAGGAGAGTACAAGACACAGAAGGCAGAGTGGGGCCCTGGAAGATTCTAGAACAAGATAAGAAAGCAGCAACACCTCAGATCAGCGGTGTCCTTGGACAGCTTGGGGTTCGTTGATTTGGGCCTTTGATTTCCAAAGATTGCTCATCTTTTTATCTGCTTGTTTGATGTTTAAAGTCTATGGAGATCTGATCTCAATTAAAGACCTGCACATCAGCCCTCAGCAGAGTCTGGCTACCTATTACAGAATTCCTGCTTGCTGGGGAGAAGTGGGAGATGAGGAGTCTGGTCTGGAAGACACACAGACCTGCATCCTCTAGACAGGCATTCCAGAGCCATTCTGACTTGTCTAGCCAGCCAGCTGGTACTTATGGCTGAGCCCCCACCTGCTCTTGGGAAGCTTTGCTAATTCATTATCCCAAATAGATGTAGCCCTTCTTATAGGTGTTCCCAGAGCACCCTAAACACTGCACGGCCATGCCTTTGTCACCCTAAATACTGCACGGCCATGCCTTTGTCAGGCAGGCTGAGTGACTGGGAGTTAGGAGGGTGGCCCTTGGAGCCAGGCTGTCTGGGTTCAAGTCTTGGCTGTATCACAAATAGCATCACAGTGGCCATAGTGTCAACAGTTGGCCACCATACTTCTGTGTCTCAGTTTCCTCAAGCAGCCTGGTTTGCTTAACTTCCCTGTGCCTCAGGGTGCCTCAGTGATGATTAAAATAAACAAATATATATGGTGTCCATAGAACAGAACCTGGCAGGTGGCTAACACTTCATCTTAGCTCTATTGCTGTCATTATTATTATTTGGGAAGAGTGACAATAAAAGATTAATAGGGAGTCAAGCACAACTATTTGGATCCTGGGCTCCCTGCTGGGTCTGTGTCCTGGGCAATTTGTCATGTAGGGATGACTCGAAATCATGGAGACCTGAACTCCACTGCCAGTTGCTGCTGCCCCACATGGCAGCCTCGCATGAGTACAGAAAGCACGGAACTGCTTTCAGCTTTGGTGGCAGGTCTGACCACTGTGTTAGGAAGCTGGAAGTCATCAGTGTCATAAAAGGATTGCCACCAAGCCAACAGCAACAGAACAGCCTGCCCCTGACCCCAGGAGAGCCTGACTATTCCATGTGGGCTATGCTTAGTTTGTAACAAGCTGCCCAAGAGGAAAACCTGGCTGGAATCAGAGGTAGATGTGTCAGCTGGATTTGGAGGTTGAAAGGCCATCGGCACAAGCGGCAGCTAAGGGCTGAGGGGGAGAAGGCCCCCCGGGGAGAGGTGCAGAGTGGAGGATGCAGGGCTGATGGTGGTATCCGGAGGCTATGCCAACTGCCGCAGGGCTGTTGCAGGAATAGGCTAAGCACAGACAGTGAGGGTGGTTGGCCAAGATGCCCAGGAAGAAACTCCTGTGTGTCTATAACTCCTACCCATGAAAAATGGGATGAATCCCTTAAATGGTAAGCAATGCTTTACATATTGGACATCTAACAAAAGTTATCCAAGCAGTCAATAGGTGCTCAGGACTAGGGATGGCGGGGGCTATGCCCGGGGTTCCACTCCATTATCCAACTCTCTGGGTTGGCCTACCAGAGTCCAGGTCAACCTTCTGTCCCAACTCTTTGTCCACTAAAATCCACCCACCCTGTGTTCCATCTCCCATGACCCTTCTATGTGCCCTGCTAGGGTGACAAACAGCACTGTACTAAGAAACTGCTGGCTCAGAGTTCAGAATGGCTTCCTATTGCCCCCTCTCAATGACACAACAATAAACACAATGCCTTTTGGTCATATTGATTCTTGCTGTACGACAGGCTCTTTGGCTCACCCTGTGGACCCTGCAGTGTGCATGAGAGACAACCATCCTATTTCAGAAGTGAAGAAACATGGGGTAGAGAGAGGAAGTCATTTGCTGAGGTCAAGCAGGAAGTTGTGCAGTCAGGACTCATGCTCAGAACGTTTCACCCGACTTGCAGGACTTTTTCTTTCCATTGTATCCTGGAGTGAGGTGACTGTGGCCAAGAGGGAAGGGAATTTGGGAGCGGGCAGAGACATGCTCTGGTGCCCCTCCAGCAAGCAGCAGCAGTTGAAGGTCTATTCTGTTTATTCCCAGGGTCCACCTGTCACACCCGAGATGTAATCATACATCAGCCAAACCCCGCTTCACCCATAGGTCAGAGCTGTGGGGCCCTGGGCCCCAGGCAAAGCAGAGGTATGGGCATGACCCTAGTGTGGGAGTTGGGAAGACTCTGTCCAAGTATTCTGCAGAGAGATTTTCGGTGGGATATGGTTAAATTCCCATGGAGCTACAGGTTGCAGATGTCTCACACTCTGCGTGCTGGCCACAGATGCCTTTCTCCTTCCTTCAGCAAAACCCCACACCCAACAGGTCATGGACCACGGCCACTCACCTCCGCCGCACTGCACACTGCACCCTTCCCAGCCGCTGTGGGTCCAGATGAACAAAGAGTCCTGCGGTTTTTCTGGTTCGCTTTGATTTTCCGCAGTGCGGTTTACAGGAACAGTGTATTCATAATGAATTCCATAATCTTGGTCGTGAAATAACAACACCTGGATCAGCCGCAAAACAAAAGGCCATTTTGAAAAGGAAGGAAGGCCCGTGGGAATGCCGAATCTGCACACACAGGCACACTGCGGCTGTTTCTTTATGAGGGGTAACCAGCTCTTTTCTGGGGCTGAAAACAGGTTCCACTGAGGGTGCTCCTTTATCTCAGCCCTGGATTCCTCAGGGACTCAACTGAGGAGTGGGGTGAATGCAAACCATCGTGAGGGAGTTCTGTTCTTTCCTACCCAAGAGAGAGACCAGCTTAGACTAGGAGCTTTAGGATAAGTGACTCTGAAACCTCTCACTGCACTTTTGATGGAGAGCTGCGTCACGCAGAGAACAGTCCACATTCCTGCATGCTCACCCACAAAGCTGCCCTTGCAGACAGGAAAGACACAGATAAACTTTTACCTAGAAAGGCATCAGAGCAATTGGGGTGACTCTATTTCTTTGGAAATGAACATCTTCCTTCACTCCCCATCATCAATCACTGCTGTGTCAGTTGGTCCAGAGTCAGGAGTAAGGCAAGCTCAAGGGCAAAATGCAGCTCACTGGTGATACTGATTCTGCAAACAATGTGTACACCCCAGTTTGGGGACCATGGCTTTCTATATAGAGGCAAAGGGGCACCTCTCATTTTCAGTTTTAAAATCTTGAAGTGACAATCACATTTTGAAAGAAAAGCCATCAATATTAAGCGAGGGCTGAAACTTCAGTTACGGTAGTAGTTGCTTTCTCCGAGTTTTGTTCATCCTGGTCTGAATGAATCCAGGCTGGGGACTTCACTTTAACGGGCTAACCACTTGCTCAGTTTACAAAGGCTTTTGGTGAAAAGGGAAATACATTCACATTGGTGTTTGCTAGAGAAAGCAAATTCTCATGCTAACAGGTGAAGTTTCAGTACAGGTTTTATGTTTTGCCTCCTCTCTTAGTCCCTCTGAATAACTGCTTTTAACTCAGAATAGGAGGATTTGTTCTGACTGTGACTAGGGAACAATCTTATCCCAGATAAATGACTTAGGTACACATTCTTGGGTCCCAGAAACCTACTTGCAGGAACGTATTTGCAGTGGACTTAGCGGGCTGAGAGGTGCGCTGGCAGATTTCTACATGGTTTGGTTGCACATGAAAACTGCCTTACCTTTGTCTCCCCAGAAATTTTAACGGGGTTAACACCACTACGGGGCAACGCCCACCCTGGGGGCCAGCGCTCCCCGGCAGAGCCAGCCTCCTCAGGAGATTCCCTGGGCAATGGCTAGAAAATCTTTTGGGTGTCAACTAACCTGGAACACTTACAGGCTGCCAGAGATCACAAATTAACGGGGAAGAAGAACTTCCACGGAGAGACTCTGGCAGGCACTGTGGACAAAGCGTGTTTTGATTACAGGGGCACAAGCTGCCACAAATCCTGTTTTTTGGAAGGAGACCCGGAATCGATAATGATGAGCCATCAGAAGTTAGCCATGAGAACTCCTGGATCTTGAGACGGAAGCAGGGCGCTCCATTCCCTGGAGATCTCTGACATGTTTAAAAGGAGGCATCACTGATGTTTCAGTGGCTTGCATGGAGGCCTCCCTGAGACAACAGGTAAGACGGCGCCCTGGCCTGGCCCAATGGCTCACAGGTTTCTGGAGGTCACCTGGGGAGTAGAATACCCACATCATCTGATCCCCCTCCCTGATTCCCAAATGCTCGTTGCAAGCTGGGTCTGTGAAACCTGAGGGATTCCAGTTCGGACCTGGAGTCATAGTTCATTTCCGAAAGGTAATGATATACACTCTGTGCAGGCAGATCTATGCATCTCACCAACCGATGCAAAAACAGACTTGGAGTGGGGCTGTCTGCTTAATGAGGCCAAGTCTCCCTGGCTGCCATCCACGTGGCTAAGCATTTCCTTCTTTGAGGCAGCTCCTTTTGAAAAAGATAGGAGCTCGGCCAGGGAAGAGCCAGGGGAAGCAATGAGAGAATTCTGAAGCAAGTTGTGCAAGGGACTGGAAAAGAAAGGACCCAGAGAGGGGAGAGGACTGAGCAGCAGGGGACGGCATAAACCCCTGGAAGCCAGATGCATTTCCTGCCCCCGAGGTCCCAGGCAGAAGTAAACTGGAAAGTAACCTAGTAGACCTCTCGGAGCCACACCCCCTAAGACAAGTGTGGAAGCCCAGCAAGTTACCATCAAGTGCAGCGGTAGTTTGGTTGGTCCCTTGGCAGAGATCTTCTCCCACAGCCCCCTTCTCACATAGCGAACAGTTGTGCCTGCAATCTGGAACTCTCCGGGGAGCTCTATCTTCCAGTCACTGTTGATGGACCCCTTACCCGAGTCTTTGAGAGCTAGAAAGCAAGTTGAAGACCAAAGAATCAAGGGGCTGGGGGTAGGGGGATCCAGCCTGTCTTTAAACGGAATCTACAGCCCCTGAGTGGGGCAGAGGTCTCCCTTCCACAGGGGGAAGGAGGGAGGCCTGAAGCGAGAGAAGGCGAGTGCTCTGTATACTGAGAACAAAAGCCTGGATCGCAGGGAGCACGGAGATGCAGACCCCTAGGATCCCCAGGGAGAGCTGTGGGATTGATGGGCACCTTTCAGCCTGGGCTTCTGTCTCAAAACCAACTCAGATAGCTGGGGTTAGGGGTGGAGGGGCAGGGAATGGAGAAGACCATGGTCTGATATCATTTCACTAAACTTATCCAGCAGATGGTTTTCTGCCTGATGAATTCATTCCATTTTAATGTGTCCCAGGCTACAAACCAGGTTTTGCTGCTTTAGCAAAACTCATCAGTTCCCTTTCCTATTACCTACCTGGGGTTCCAGAAGGAGAAGAGCCCATCTCCAGCACCTCTTAAGGATCTGATATCCCCCCATTACTAAAGTGGACGTCCCTTCAATCAATAACCATTACTCTGTTAAGTATGAAGGTTTGGAAACCCTAGCCACCCACAGATGTGGTGGTCACACTTGGCAGCTGTGGACGAGCAGTGGTTGGGGGCTGAGCGTAGCAGGGGAGAGGCACTCTCACACCCTAGCTCTGTGGGCTTCAGGTTCTCACGTTTGCTCACCCACATCTCTACCAGGGACAGCCTGTGCCAGGAGGGGCTGAGAATCAACATGCTGCTGACGGGCCATAAGCAGAAACTTGGTTTTCCACACAAGCCATGTATTTACTATTTTCTGAGTCGCTCACCAGGATTTTTCTTGTGTCTTCCCACTTCGGGGTGAAGATCATGTGGTTCTCATGAGGACAGCACTCTGCAGTGACATCCTATTTTGTTGCTGCTGTTATTTAGGGAAAAAAAAATCCCAACAACTAAAACCTATTCTGGCATTTTAGGAGAAGTCGGCAGATGACAAGAGGTGACAGTAAGTCTGTCATTTCCCAAAATGGGAACTCCAGGGCACCCTCAGTCCTATGCCCACACTCCCTGTACACACAACTGGAGCCCCAAGGACACCCCAAACTGATCTACATATATCTCATTGGGACCCTACTCAGTCCATATCAATGAAATCAGATTCTACTGCATTGACTGTTCTCTGCTTACTGAGGCCAGAAATAAAATGCCCACATTTAATACTGATTTTGGAAAATGAGAGTTGAAACCCAAAAGGGGTTTTGGTTACTGCTGAATTCATCAGCCCCAGGCTGGAGCAGGCCACAAGCAACAGAGGGTCGCTGGGTAGTCACTGGCCTCAGTTCTTGTCTCCAGGACATTATGGTCCCACTGCTCGCTCCCGGCAAACACACAGACGCAGGCTCAGGGCTTCTCGTGTTAGAGGGACTGCCAAGAGAAACAGGTTCCTCGCTTCTAGGAACTTTCCAGCAGAGTGGCTTCCAGTGGGGTCTCGTATCCAGGGTGGCTATGAGAGGCTGAGGATTATAGGACTCCAGGGACAGCTTAGGAAAGAGAAAGCCCTGCCACTTGGAGCCGAATCTGTTTCCCTTCAAGAAATCCAACCCACAACTGAACTGTCCTGGCTATGAAAAGGAGGTGAGAATGTTGGGACACCCACAGTTTCCTCTCCTTTTTCTCTTCTTCTGCCACCATCTGCAAACTGCCATTTAAGGTGCATATTCTCTAGGTTGGCTCTTTCATATACTCTGACCCATTTAATCTTCTCAACAACCCTCTGAATTATTGTCATCACTTCATGGGTGAGGCAATGGGGGCAGAGAGAAGTACCTTGCCCAAAATCACAAAGCTATTCAGTTGTAGAGTGGAGACCTGAATCCAACAGACCAACCCTACTGCACTTATCACTCTGACAACTTTCAATTCCCATTTCTTTAGCATCAGTCTAGATTTTATGACTAATGCTGAAATGTGCAAAGGTAAGGCCTGTTTTCAAAAAGGACAAATTCTACGCTCTGTTACAGGGTTTCATATTCTATATACCCTTACAACAGTGACTGATTTCACGGATTTCCAATGCTTCTAGTGAGCTAATAATGCAAATACATACTTGGTTATATTAACTATAGGCAAATATAGGCAAAGGGTGCATGGACGTTCATCATTCTTTCAAGCTTTCTGCAGGTTTAGAAAATTGTCTCTTGCATATGCATGTGTCTATTTGGTTTTAGGATCCAGTGTGGGCTGGTGGGAAGGAGCAGATAGAAAAAACCAAGGGGCCAGAGTCCTTTAAGACAGCAGTCCCCAGGACTGCTTTTTGGGACTAGGGACTGGTTTCGTGGAAGGCAATTTTTCCACAGACCAGGGGGTTGGGGGAAGTGGGGTGGCGGGGGATGGTTTTGGGATGAAACTTTCCACCTCAGATCATCAGCCATTAGATTCTCATAAGGCATGCACAACCCAGATCCCTTGCACGTGCCATTCACAATAGGGTTTGCGCTCCTATGAGAATCTAATGTCCCACTTCTGATCTGACAGGAGGCGCAGCTCAGGCGGTCATGCTCGCTCGCAGGGCACTCACCTGCTGCTGTGCAGCCTGGTTCCTAACAGACCATGGACTACTGCTGGTCCGCAACCTGGGGTCTGGGGACTTCTGCTTGAAGAAACACCTCAGAAAGCATAAGTTGGGGGAACAGCAGATGTACCCTGCCATTCCCTCAGCCTATTTTGAGGGCCTCCTCACTGCTGGCTAAAGACAGACACAGCTCTTGCTCCCAGGGAGCTCACAGTTTGGAAGGGAGAGAGAGAAAAGATGAACACAACACAATTTCACAAGCTTTATGGTAAGGTGCCTCCGGGGCCTGGGAATGTTGTGGGACGGGGCAGATGGGGAAGGCTTCCTGGGATAAGCCCGCTTTCAGCTGAGCGTGTAAGACAGGGAGAGGAGACAACGCCACCCGCAGTGTGTGGCTCAGTGGTGTGTGGCTGCCTGCAGTGTGTGAGGCAGGACGGTCATTCCTGATCCTCAGAGGCCAGGACTGCTAAGATCAGTTCTGGGCGGGGTGATGGAGGGAGGAAGGCACAGCACCCCATATGGAGAAGCAAGTGGAAGGTAAAGTTTTTTCCACTTTTCAGAGGTTTGGCTGGGAAAAGGAGGCAAGAGAGGGAGAGTGGCCTCAGAGGGTGGGAAGAAGGAAGGGGCTCACTGTGAGGATAGAGGACACCCAGGCATGCTGAGGTGCCCTGTACAAAGGAGACAGAGATGAGCAAATGATTTCTTTGAAGCTGTGTGCTGACCACAGCCACACCAGGGCCTGCTCCGTAGAACCCATTTCTCTCACAAAGACCAGAGGGAAGCCAGGCAGCTGCTCTCCTCCTTGCTGGGCCACCAGCACGGACCGGCTGAGTCCCATATCCACACCCTGCCAGTGACAGACTCCAACACGGGCTGCCCTGAGCTGGGGCCCCAGGCTCGTCCCTGGTTTGTTGCTTCTGTGAACACCCACTGTGCCCATGACACGGCATCTGTTTCTCCCTTTAAGCAATGGTACCCAGGGTTTCTCCTGGGAACATGTTTTCCCTCCCGTCACGTGGGATTGAACCCCACAGTTCCAGGCACAGGCCCATCACCCAACCCCAAACAGGGGGACTTTTGTTCACCTTAGGAAAAGGCAGCTTTCTTCCCACAGGGTTTCCCAGAGACTGGATGTGAGCCTGGATCTACCAGCCCACAGGAAGATGTCCACAGAGAGGACAGGCAGGAGTGCCAGTGCGGAGAGAAACCGTTTCTCCTGTGACATCATTTTAAGCCCCTGGATCCAGCAGTGCCTGAAGCTGGTGCTCAGCAACTGAGAGCTGGGTTTGGCATTCACACATGCTTTTTGGAGGTTGGGTTAAAAAAAAGCTAATCACGATGAGGGCAGAACAGGCGAGGAAAGAAAATTACTATTACAGCTTCCTATAAATAGGCCCCAGATGTTTACCACCCAGCTGAGTACCCCTGAGAGGCAGAAGGCCTGGCACACTCCACCCCTGCCTCAAACTCCCTCCAGGGCCTCTGCCCATATCCCAGCACTAACACCTCTATCCCAGCTCTAACCCTCCTATCCCGGCTCTAACACCCCTATCCCAGCTCCAACACCCCTATTCCGGCTCCAACACTCCTATCCCAGCTCTGACCCTCCTATCCCGGCTCTGACACCCCTATCCCGGCTCTAACCCTCCTATCCCGGCTCTAACACCCCTATCCCGGCTCTAACACCCCTATCCCGGCTCTAACACCCCTATCCCGGCTCTAACCCTCCTATCCCAGCTCTAACACTCCTGAGGAGGTGACTCTTTCTCCACTGGCCTTGTTTATGTATTCCTCGGGCCCTTTTTTTAAAGATGTTTTAAAGTGACTCTGAATGACAACCTACAAACTACCCCACTTCCATGCCAAAAGTAAAACATCTGGGAAGTCAAGAGTGAAAAGGCCCAAAAAAGGGCAGGAGGGCACACCTGGAGACGGTTATAAGACCATCCTCAGAAACGCTGCACAGAGGTGGCGGCTGGCCTGGGGAAGCCCTGCTTCTGCCATCGGAGGCCCGACACTGGGCGGCAGCAGCAGCAGCAACTACAGCACGAGGTGGAGATAGAGCCACTAGGGCCCTGGAGCCTGCCATCCTCTGATCACCGGAGCGGGGTCTTGCTTGTCTGTAGCGGAATGGGTGGGAGAGGTGTCAGGAAGAGGGCTACTGGAGGCCACGGAGGAGTCACTGGGTATGGTCAAGGAATTGTGGGATAGGAAAGCGAAAGAGGCTGCGGCTGACGGACAAACCCAGGCAAGCTCAACTGCTGATGGGAAGGAACATACTGGACAACAGAGTGCTAGCGGCAGCCGGTTCTCTGGGGAAAATAGCCTAGAGTCATGGCGTATTTGCTTCCCAAAGTGTAAATACCCTCACCATGACAGATTTTGCTATCCACCTGGCATCAGTGAACAAGGAGTGGGGAAGAGATGCCTCTAATTGGCTCTCACAAGCCACACACAGCTGTGGGGGCACTCCAACGAATTCTGAAGATGCTTGTCTTTGCTTTGGAGGTCCTGGTCTGGAGCCGATGAGTTGGAGAACTCCTGCACAATCACAACTTGTTTGAGGCCAGGCGTGGGTTTGGGGTCAGCTCTCACAGCCCCAGAAAGAATACACTTGGCATGCCCACGCACTGCCTGTGGCCATCGCCGCAGTGGCTGCAAGTTCTGGCGCACTGCAAATGCAGCTTTCCAGCTCAGAGCCTGCACGCCTCTCCTCGGGACAGCGTGCTCCTAGCCACGCATTTGTGTATCTCCCGGGGAGAGGAAAACACAGGCAGAGTTATTAGCAGGAGGTCAGCAGAGCCAGGAGGCATAGGGGTTACTTCCAACCTTTTCACTTTGGTGTCACTTAGCAAGATTCCAAATTTGCAATTTGCCGTGGTCCATCTGAAAAATCATAACTTCCTGCTAAAATCAGAAGTTCGCGCCTGACATCCCTCAAAAGAGATGTCAGCCTCAGAGATTCCTTTGGGACGTCAAGATCATTTTTAACAGTGAATAAATAGGTTCATTGTGGAGTCCCAAGAACAATGACTTCATGGGGCCATGTCAAATCCAGAGAGACAATGCAGGTCACCTCCTGGCCCCTTCTGTGGCAGCTTGGGTTGCTCTCCTGCCTTGCGTTAGCTGCAGAGTGGGGTCTGCAAAGGCCTATGAGGCCCATGAGGCTGCAGCTCCAGGCACCTCTGGAGGAGTCCTTTCCACAGCCCTATGCATAATGTATTTTTTTTCCTGAAAGACAACCTTCCAAATTAAATACATTTTGGGCTCTACAAGTTCCTGTCCCCTCAAACCTTGGGCATCAGTGAGTATCTCCAAGCCCCCTTTGTCTCTAAGTATTTTGAGATTAATTAGTGTGCACTTGAAATCAGGATATTGTTGGACCCAGAAAGCACTCCATGGGGCAATTAAAATGATTACGAATGCTTTGATTTTATGGGCAATTAACAGAGTGAAGAACAGGGGACTCCCCCAGTGATTTGATTTTATCTGTGAATTCTGAAGCTCTGGTTTGCTGGGGAGATTTTCCCTTGCTCATTTCGCCTGGGCCAGAGATTGGAAGTCTTAAATCACTACCCAAAACATAACTATGCTCACTTTTGTGGGTTTTGCTCAGAAGCTCTCAACAGTTAGACTTCTGTGGGGCACCACACGGGTGGGTACACTTTCCTTTGCCACCAGGGCAGAACAAAACCTTTGCAATGAGCTGGAGTGTGAGGTTACATGCAGAACGTCCATTTCGGTCTCTGGCCCTTCTTCCTCTCTGTGGACACTTACACACCATCCTGGTCTTCCAGGCACTGTGGGAAAGACCATGAGCCATTCCAGGGAGCGAGGTGGGGGCATTCCTGAGGGAAGGGCACTGCTCCTTTTCAGAGCTGGCTGGAGGCAGATGCGAGCTCTGACCCTGTCCACATGCCCCTCTCTGGCATGGAGCTGCACAGAAGCCCGAGTGGGGTTCTTTTAGTCTCTCTCCGTCCTAGCTTCACTGGAAGACCTGACCCACAGTCAACCTACTTCTAAACCTGGCAGCAAGTCAGCTCCTTTTATTTCCACTCGGAGTTCTGCCAGCTCTGTTCTTAGCTATGGATACAAACTGCCCAGGCATTTCCTGTTCCAGGTGGTTTTGAGCAGAAAGCCAGCCAGCGTGGGCTGAAGGTAGGTGGGGTGAAATTCTTCAGGAATTGCTCCCAGCAAATGTGAGAGTAATTCAAAGTAATTCAAAGTTACACTGGGTTGACTTCCAAAGCACCCAGCCCCGAGTGGAGACAAGGCCTTTTTGAACTAACTTTAGAAACATAATGAGTGTGGACCACCTTCAGGCTTGCCCGAATCCATCAGCCAGGCCCTGGAGTCCTGGGATTATGCCTTCTGGGTAAGATAAGGCAGGAAGCCGGCTCCAACCTCCCACGGAGGCCCACTGCTTCTGGAGAGCTGAGCAGTCACCCCAAGACGTTAAACCAATCTCCGTGGGATGCAGGTTTGTTCCGAAGTGCATACAACGTAGTGGCAACAACAGGCAGGTTTAACTTGTGTTCTCCAATGAAAAGTCTCCATCCGGCAGTCTCTGGCCATGATTGGACAGAGTAATTCTGAGAGGCTCCATGAACGGCAGCGAAATCAGAGGAGGTGGAGACCCTGGATGAGACACCAAGCCCCCTGAAGCTTCAGCTTGCCCCTCTAAGAAGGAAGCAGAGCAAGACCTTGCAGCCCATTTAGGGAGATTAGGGATCGGCTCTCCAAGGCACAGCCGAGCTCCGTGACTGGGAGCCACTATCGCGGATGCTATTGTTCTTTTTTTGTATACATGGCCCTCAGGCTTCAGGAGCTGAGGGACGATCACAAGAGCTGGTTCTCCTGGGTGGCACCTGCTAGTTAGCACCTGTTGGCCTTAAAGTGAATGTGAGTGAAAGGTCCATTTGTGCCACAGGAATGGGAAGTTGAGGAGTGATCCAAAGGATTCTAACATCCTCTGTCATTCTAAAATTACCATGCAAAAGTGGAGATTAGGAAGACACTCCTATCGCCAGACACTCAGGGCTGAGCCAGGCGGAGCAGCCATGCTGGGAAATCTCAGAAGCCGGGGTCGGAAGCCAAGGGACTTACTCGCAGGGACACCTTCTGGGCTTGATGGAAGAACCACTACTTCGACCTCCAAACTGAGTACCTCTTGGAATACCCAGACTGCGAATTTTGAATTAGGATGAAAGGTAACATCAGCATCCCACGGAGGGCCTCCAGTACATTCAAATGCATGGGTTGGGAAGGGGAAGGGTAACTTTTTGGCATGATACCAGCTGGTGGGGCTTCCAATGCAAATGCTGGTGAGGTTGACCCAATGTCCTTTGATGGGCAGGAGAGGGAGTGGGCTCTTTGCGAATTTAGTAAAAAGAGGCTGTCACTTTGAAGCTGCCAAAAGCAGCAAGAGGCCTTGTTTTAGAATGCATTTTTAAGTGTTGTTCTATTTGCAGAGTGACAGCTGGGACAGCTGAGGAGGAGAGTGCCAGGCGAGGCAGGGACACTGTCCATGCAGGGGAGGTGAAAAACCATGGGGCTGATGAAAATGCACATGGATGTCAACTCCAGGGATGTCAAGGTCTTACCCTGGCAGCAGAAGCACGAGCGGCCGTCACAGCCTCAAGGAGGCAGGGTGGATGGCAGGTGACCAAGCTAGGAGGAGGTGGCAGGGCAGCTTGGGACAGGGGGGGATCCACAGAGTGTGGTGCCAGTGATACCCCACGTGGGTGCTTGGAAATGGGCATGCCTGCCTTCCCCAAGGCAGGTGTGCGAGGAGCATCTTAGCGTCAAAGCATTTCCTAACTCTTCAACAGGACTGTGGTCTTCATTGTAAACTTGCCTATTAGAGATTTGTTTTGTGTCTGTCTCATTAGACTTTGAGTCTCTCAAGCAGAGACCATTTCAAAGAAAGACTCCGACTTTTGCATAGTCTATAAAGGCAGGAATGTAGACAAAGATGTCATTTTAAAAAATCAGTGATAAAAATGGAAATAAAAGGGTTTCATGGGTAACTTCGATTTAGCTAAAATCATTTTTGAAACTAGACAAATCATGTCTTACTTTTTCTTTCTTCAGTCTCAATCAGCACTTTGCAACACAGGCTGAGAGATGATGACATGAAAACAGCTCAGAAGAGGGGTGCCTGAGGAAGATCAGCCACCTTGAGTTTAAGTTTAACCCAAGACAGGAACATGGGATTAAAGCTGGCAGAAGGGCAGGGGCCACAGCATGTTCCAAGCCAGGAAGGTAGGAGCAGAGGCACCCTCTGGGCACCCTGCTGTCTCCACTTCTGTGTCCAACTGAGAACTCCAACCACCTTGGGGCTCAAGTCCTGGGCTGACCTTTGCTGGGGTCGTCTGGGAATTGGGCCAAGGATACCCTCAGAAGGTCTTCTCTGGCTAGGAAGGGATTTATCAGAATGGCTTTGCTCCTGCATAGTTAGGAAAACTAGTCCAGAATAGAACCCAAGTCTACGGAAAGATGCAGGTGTTTGTGCTTGAAGTCAATGGAGCTGGCCACTAGGAATTTGGGATACACAGACCTTAGTGAAATTGGTATCCTTCTGGGTTTCCATTAGACTTAAGATTGTTGTTCTTTTTCCAGCTAAGAAGTCATCCCCAGAGCCACTGGCAGCCCAATGGGGCTTCCTGCAAGTTGGCCAATGGCCTGCACTGCTCAGACTCAAGCTGCTCTCAGCTCTCCTGGGGTTACTTTGGGGGACTGGTAACCTGCCCCAATTCCTCACAACTTCCTTCACTCTTCTATGATCCTCCTTCCTGTCCCAAGCTTGTCTTCCATCATTTTCCTTCCTGTTCCCGCCCCTAATCCACCATGGGGGTGGCTGCATGTTAGTCAAATATGACAGCACTGTGTGGTCCCCTCTGGGTGCTCATGTCATTACAACACAGGCGTGAAACCAGCCATAACCCGGGAGGAATGACACTGAACCAATTTACCAGACTGATCATCAAAATCGATTCTCAACACATAAATGGTGAGTCAAGTCATTTGTGTTTTACCCAGAAAGCTGTGGGCAGGTTTATCCTCCACCACACGGATCCTCCGAGCTCCAGCAGGAATGACGGCAGCTTCGATATAACCTGTAGCAACAAACGACACAGAAGTAAACCACACCTCCACCCTGCACCAGAGGCCGTGCAGCATCCCCCGGCCAAAATCTAGCTACCAAGCCCCCCACAGTGGCTTCAGAAATGGAGGGCTGGCGCAGAAGAAGGAGGCTCTCCTAAGGCCAGGACCTCCCAGTGGCCCCATTTCCAGAGAGCAGGATTTGCACGTGTTTCAGGTTGAGTGGTGTCCCCCTCCTCCAAATTCGTATGTTGAAGTTCTAACTGGGCCCCCCCTTCAACCAGAACATCAGCATGTGACCACTGCAGACATATTAAGATGAGGTCATCCTGGAGTAGGTAGGCCTAATCCAAAATGACTGATGTCCTTATAAAAAGGGGAAGTTTGGAAACAGACATGCACATAGGGAGAATGTCGCGAGAACATGAAGGCAGAGATGAAGTGATGCTTCTACAAAGCAGCCAAGGAACGCCACAGACTGCCAGCAAACCACCAGAAGTTAGGCAAGAAGCATGGAACAGATCCTCCCTCGTGACCTGCAGAAGGAACCAACCCTGCTGACACCTTGATCTCAGATTTCTCAACTCCAGAACCAAAAGACAGTAAGTTTCTGGTGCTTATGCCACCTAGTTTGCGGCACTTTGTTACGGAAACCATAGCAAAAGAATATAGCCTGGTATTCTGCGAGAATGGCACCTCCCTGGTGCATCAGTGAATAGTGGCCCTGGTCTCATTCATCTGCTGGAGGGCCTTTTGCTCTTTGTTGTATTTTGAACTTTCCCTGAACATCCGTGGGATGACAGCAGAAACCAAGCAATTTACCCTATGACGAAACTACAGTATTGCCTTAACACACGGTGCACCGTTTCTTGCTTCCACCACCTTTGGCCATTTCACTTGTATAGTTTTGTCCATTTCCTTGCATGTTTTTAAGCAGAGTAGGGGGCCAGGACGGCAGGTAGGAAGTGAAGACTCAGGGAAAACATGACGGAAGCTGCCAGGGCAGAAGCTGGCAACTGGCTAATGCCTGGTTAATAGGGTGATTGCCAGTAAGTGAGCCTAACATGACGGTGAGATTCTGAAACGTAGGCTGGTAATAATTTTGGTTTGATTTTTATTTGGGATTTAGACAAGCGTATTAGGCGTTTGTTTCTGCGATTCAGATGAGGATCTCAACTTAGATTACAAATCCTAGCCCTGTTGTTCCCAATGTGATCACCAGAATCATGAGCGGAGCTGTAAAAAATTAGAGATTTCTAGGTTCAACTATGTGGAAATCATGGAAATACCTATTTTGAGGGGTTTATTTATTCATTCATTTTCTCACAATAAAATGGATTTATTTTTATAATAAAAATAGTATACAAAAGTTCAAACAACATACAGCAGAAAACCAGAATTGACCTATACCACATCACAATGAGAAAATTACCCCAAGAAAGTAATATTTTGGTGACCAGCCTTTTCAACACCTCTTAATGCATATAAACATACATATATCATTTTATGTGAAAAGAATATTATATGTACTTTTAAAAGATCAGTGACAACTTCAAAATAATTAGTTTTGCTAGGTAATGTATGTATAAGGTACAAAATTCAAAAATTATAAAAGGATCAAGCAAAAAGTATATTGATCTATAGGCTATATGAGGTGTTCTGTAGCCAGCTACATTTTTAAACTATAATAATTTCTATATTTTGGCTGAGTTTCTATGTAGCTAACTCTACATCTGCTAATATGACAGTTCTGTTTCTTCCTTTCTAGTCTTTATGCCTTTAGTTTCTTCTTTCACTATTCTGGTTGCAATTTACAAAACCACATTGTATGCAAAATGCTATTGCGGCATACTCGTGTAATTCATGATGTCATAGGAGTGCTTCCGAAGTTTTCCCACCGAAAAAGATTGTTACTGTGAGAACAGGATAGGTATCATTAATCTATCAGGTTAGGGACATTCTCTTGTTTAAATTTTACTTTAAGTTCTGGGATACATGTGCTGAATGTGCAGGTTTGTTACATATGTATACATGTGCCATGGTGGTTTGCTGCACCCGTCAACCCATCACCTCGGTTTTAAGCCCTGCATGCATTAGGTATTTGTCCTAATGCTCTCCCTCCCCTTTTCCCCCACCCCTCAACAGGCTGGGGGGTGTATGTGA